>NC_000013.11:104377979-105002979 GCF_000001405.40 Homo sapiens
TACCTGAACTTATTGCTCCTGTCTAACTGAAACTTCAAACATGTTGACCAACATCTCCCTTTCCCAGTTCACCACGAGCCCCAGACCCTGGGAACCACCATTCTACTTTCTACTTCCATGAGTTTGAATTTTGTAGGTTCCACGTATCAGTAAGATCATACAATATTTGTCTCTCTGTGCCTGGCTTGTTTGAATAACATAATGTCTTCTCGGTTCACATATGTTGTTGCAAATTACAGAATTTCCTGTTTGTTTTTTTAAAGGCTGAATAATTTTTCATTGTGTATATATATATCACATTGTTTTAATCCATTAAACCAGGGGTCCCCAAGCCCTGGACCACTTCTGGTCTGTGGCCTGTTAGGAACTGGGCTGCATAGCAGGAGGTGAGTGGCAGCCCAGCGATCCTGACTGCCTGAGCTTTGCCTCCTGTCAGATCAGTGGCAGCATTAGATTCTCATAGGAGTGCAAACCCTATTGTGAACTGTACATGAAAGGATTCTAGGTTGCACACGCTTTATGAGAATCTAATGCCTGATGATCTGAGGTAGAACAGTTTCATCCTGAAACCGTTCCCCCACCCAGCCCCATTCATGGAAATATTAACTTCCATGAAACCAGTCTCTGGTGCCAAAAAGTTGGGGACCACTGCATTAATCCATTGATGGACACTTAGGTTGTTTCCATATCTTGGCTATGGTGAGTAATGCTGCAATAACCATGGTAGTGCAGGTTTTCTTTTAACATACTGATTTCAATTCCTTTGGATATATAACCAGAAGTGGGATTGCTGGATCTTCTGTTAGTTCTATTTGTAGTTTTTAAAGAAACCTCTGTACTGTTTTCCCGAAATGGCTCTACAGATTTACAATACCACCAACAGTATATAACAGTTCCCTTTTCTTCACATTCTCACCAACACTTTTATCTTTTTAATAATAACTGTCTAACAGGTGTGAAGTGGTATCTCATTGTGGTTTTAGTTTGCATTTCTCTTATGACTAGAGATGTTGAACATTTTTTGGTTATCTTTTGGCCGTCTATATGTCGTCTTTGAGAAATGTCTATTTAAGACTTCTGCTTACTTTTTAATCATTATTTATTTTCTTGTCATTGGGTGTTTTGAGTTACTCGTATATGGACTGCAAATATTTTTTCCCAATCGGTGTCAGTTTTGATTGATTGGATATTCTCATTTTAAGTCATGTTTCCTTGCTGTTTTACGTACATGTTAATGTTTGGTTGGAGTGAGATTTTGTGAATTTTACCGTGTTAGGGACTGGATTTTAAAACATTTTTCTAAATATTATTGATCATCTTTCTGGATTGCAGTTTAGTTACAGAAATAATTTGATATTTTCAGGTTTGCCTGTAATATTTGTTACTAGGACCAGAGCCATGTCTAGTCTAGGGCTAATGATTTCCCACTACTGAGACAGAACTCTTCTCTGTGCTGTATGTAGGCTTGTGAACTCTGTGTTTTTCTGGTCTCCCTGGTGGAAACAGATACTATCGCCAGAACTATGTGAGTGCCTGGTAGTGTTTCCTCTCATTATTTTGAGTGATCCTTTTCACTGTCTTGGGAGGCTTCTCTTCAAGTGAGGGCTGCTCAGTACTCTGCTGAATGCTCAAAAGGAAGCCTTTTGGAGATGAATAGAACTTTCTCTGTGTACCTCTCTCCTCTGTCCTGTGAAGTCTCCACTTTGGTCTCTGTGACTCTCAGCTCTTTCTCCTCAGATGAGAAGGTGCAGTGTGCTCTGCCTGGGTTCTTCCTCCTTGATCATGGCCTGGTCACTCTTTCAAGAGAGTAAGCTGGGATAACTGTAGGACCCAACCTTGTCTGTTTCCCGTCCCACAATGTGTTAGAGTTCTATTGCTGCCATAACAAACTAACACAAACCTAGAGGCATAGAACAACACCCACTTATCACCTCACAGTTCTATAGGTCAGCCCAGGGATAGCAGGACTCATTTTATTTTCTGCTTACAGTCTCATTAGGCTGAAATTATGGCGTGGGCAGAGCATGGATCCTTTCTGGAGAATCTAGGAGACAATCTGTTCTCAGGCTCTTTCAGGTTCTTGGCCTGGTTTATTTCCATGTGGCTACAGAAGAGTCATTCTCAACATTTAGAGGCTTCTCCTGGCTCTGAGCCCCATTCAAAGTCAATCATAGCGGCTCAAATTTTATCTGGTTTCTAATCTGCTGCTGCCTCACTTCTCCTTCCTCCTCTGCTACCACATAGCTTATACTGACCCTTATGCCTTCTGCTGGAATTACACTGGGTCTCTCTGAAAAAACCAGGATGATATTCCTATCATAAACTTGGCTGATCAATAACTTTATCTGGAATGTTTCTACAATACCATATGTGTATTGTTTTTTGAATGAATAACTAGGAGACAGTGATCTTGAAGGGTCATCTTTAAAATTCTGGCTATCACATTCAGCAATCACTATCCTTTTTCTGATTTCCAATGCCTTGAAAATAATGGTTTCTTTTTTTTTCTGTTTGATTGTTTGTTTGTTGCAGCAGCATTATAGACATATTTGCCATCACTCCATCTTGGACAGAAGTTGATCTCAATGGTCAGGCTGTTAGGAATTCTCTGTTATCTACCTTCTAAGATGGTGTCCTTCTGTTGCTATAAGAAGTGGAAAAGGGGTTGTTAACATGTTAGGAAACTTTGTCCTATTCTTAAGATTGTGCTTATCTCAGACATTAAATGTCTGGTTGAGTCTAATTCCTGCTGCATTGATATCTGTACAGGTTCTGCTGGTCCCGTTGGTTCTTTACATTGACCCTGTGTTATTTTCTGTGCAAATCCATTGCCTTGGCCATTCAACCCTAATCTCTAATATAGCATTATGCATGCAACTGTGTTTGTTTGTTTTCATTGTTTGTTGTTTCTTCTAGCCTTGGTTTTCTACTAGAGAACTGAGACTGTGAGCAGACCCAAACCTTCTTCCCAACCTATTGGGATCTCTACTTGGAAACAGAAACTTCTGAAAATTCTAAATGCCACACAGCAGCTGTGGATAAAAGAATGCCACTTCAGGCAAGGCTGTATTTTAACTTGCCCCTCCCAGTGCTGTGGTATTTCTCCCACCTTGTTCATGTGGACCATAAGATTGTAGAATTTCTCTTGAATGTTTGCAGTCTGGGGCCAGCTACCTCTGCAGAAGAGAAACACCCTAATTTCTCAGGTTGTGGTCATGGTCCAACTCTTAGTATGCTGGCTTATGATTTGTCTTCCTCCCACCAGTGTTAAAATCTTCTCTTCTTCCTGAACTAGAAAGAGGGAAGTTTTCTGACTTCTTCTTCCTGAGCATGAAAATATTTTTTTTCCTCTAGTATGTCCTAATTATGATTTAGAATTTCTAGGCTTTCTTTGACTATGCAAAGAGAAATAAGAAGAAAGATATATTGATAAATTTGAAATATATTTCATAAAATACCCTACAAAAACATTATAAAATTGCAATTTCTTCATGTGAACACATTAATACCTTTCTGTCCTCTCAAAGAATACCTATGGCATTTCTGCAACTAGACCAAGGCTTTAAACAAGTAAATTCCTAAGTAAATTACTTAGTAAAAGAAGTAAAATAGCAATATGACAGAAAGTAAGAAAAATGAGCACAGAAAATAAGTTGACCTCATTATTGAATTACTGAATTCAGACAGCAATGCAGCGCAGAGGAAATAAAGACTCCGGGACAGAGGCTTCTGGTAAAGAGTTTTCAGTGGCAAGTATAATGATCAGAGTGACTGGACTCCAAAGCAGCCATCATGGTCACCTAGAAAACAATCAATTATTTTGTTTATGACAAGTAAGGTACACTATTATTACTTCATTGAGAAAATTCCATTAAATGTTTCTCTATGGTTCAGCACTTCTTGAGACTGTAACCTTGTGCACTATGAGACACATCATAGAAGCAGGAAACCCAGTGTTCTCCTATTTACGTGCTTTTAACTACATAGAGTTGTAATATTGGCTTCATTCTTGAAGTCAGTGAGACCAAGAACCCACCAATTCTGGACAAAATATGATCATGTGGGCAGACGTATTACATTCAAAAAACACTTTACTGGAACTCACACAAATTTTTAAAATTCCATTTTTTCATAATAATCGATATAAACTTTGTAAGATCAGATGGGTGTCTACTTAAAGTTGACATATAAGGAGAGAAAAATGAACCATAACAATGCATTAACAGGGAAGAGTACAGTGCTTTATTCTAACTGATTGAAGCAAGGTGAGAGATTTGAAGAATGGTGTCATGCCCACATTTTTCCATATTGTAGAAAAAAAGAAATGTATTAGTGTTCAGGGAGGTTGATGCTAGACCTGGTATTCTTCCCTATTTTCAAATGCCAAAACTAGAGAGGGATTTAGAAATAAGCATCTAGAAACTGCACCCCCACCTCCATTATCATTGGTGTATGGTTAATCCGTTGGAGGAATAAGAATACATTTTAAGAAGCTTGTTGTTTTCCCAAATCGGCAAAAGCTGTTTCCACACTTCCATTGTCTATTGGCAAAAGTTTTTAATAATACTTATCTTTTGACCTTTTATCCATTTGCCCTTTGAGTTTATTTGCTCCAGCTCTGTGAACCCCTGTGATACAGAGCAATTTACTGGGTATTTGTTCTGTAAATCAAAACCACCTCAAAGGTGCTTTTGCAACTGTATGGGACTCTACTTTTTTCTCCAAGATGCCTGCAGAAAACAGACAACAGACAACCACAATGGAAAGATACAAGTGTAAAGTATAGTCTCAGGTCATTTCATCCTTACGATTTCCTTTCTTCACTTATGTTAGAACAAAATCTGCAGTGTCACACATCTCAAAACACACATAAGTATCAAATCAATAAGAGATACCTATGCAGCATATGCTTATTGTAAGGAGGTGGGAGAAACTTACTTTTTCAATTAATTTACAAATAAATTTGAAGGAGACTGTGTTAAATGGAATGAGCATAAACTGTTAATATGTTTTTCTTTCTTCCCTTTTACCATTCTTTCAAAAGAATAGAAAACACCCAGATGTATGCGCAGTACTGGCTGATTTTCAAACTCTGTCATCAGATTAGTATTCAACTTAGTGTTCAGGGGTTTAGCCATTATAATTAATCATTCCTCTAAGTGCAGAAAGATACTTAATACTCTGTCCTGACTCATTATTTAGATTTTTTGTTCTGTAGTGAAGGGCCTTAGAAAAAGATTAATTAAGTCAAACACTTTGGGGTTATTCTCCCATCATTGGAAAGAGGACTTACATACATAACTGGCATTAATGTTGGGCAATATTCCTCCTATAATGAAACAGATGACTCTCTTAACTTAATTTGTCCAGAAAAAAATAAGACACACCAGATGTAACATAATGAGTGTTTCTGATATTTTACTGTTATTATGTAACTTTTTGTACTGCAGTAATAATCAAACAGTTTATATACTTTAGGACATATATGGTACGTTTTAGGAAAAACAAAGGCTTACTTCAGCTTGGAAATAACTAACTACGTAACCAAGTTGTGGCATCATCCTCGCTGAATCTCATTCTCTCAGCTAAAATATGAGGAGTTAGAGTGTATAATCTCTGTTGCTTATAATTCCGACATACTGTAATTCAATATGTAACGTATTTAGATCTGAAATGAGCTCAAAACATTGGAAATCCAGAAGGACAAAGTCTGGAACTTGCTATTGGGATAAATGAAAAGATTACCCATGTTAGTTTTGCCAGTGCTAGTTGAAAGTGTCTGAAATCTGTCCTTCAACATAGAAAGACAAATTACTTTTCAGTATTTCTGTTTCTATTTATGAAATACCCATTATTATGTTGAAATGACCCAGAGACTCTTGCATAAAATAGGGATGAGTCCATGCTATGAAAAATGTCTTGCCCTAAAAATAATTCTTTATCCTCATTCTGTATATACTCAGAAATATTGTCATTGAGGTGGAATAGAGAGACACAAATAGCTTGTCCAACATTCTAGCCCTGTTATATTTTTCCACTATCATATTTATTTTTTCCAAAGTGTAGTTCTTTATCTGGAATATTAATTCTTTACATACCTCAAGAGGGTCATCCAGTCACTTAATTAAACACGTCAGTCTTTAAAATCCCTACTTTAGAGAATCCATCATCATCAACTATTTTTTTCCTGTGGCTTAATTTTTCTTTATAAACCCCGTTTATCAAATCACAAAACATACATGGATGTGAAAATGTTTATATTCTAAAGCTGTGTTTATGTTCTCAACCAGATGCATACCCTTTTTTTTTACTTAAAAATGGAATTTCAGATAGGTTTATTCTTTGCCTATAAATCGAAGAACAAAGTATAAATCAATATGATATTAAATATGTGAACTTTTAAAAGTCTAAATAGATGGAGTAACATTGCTTGTTCATTTGTTTTCAATTCAAATTTTGAAATGTTAGGTTCTTCATTGACCCTGGTCTATCCAGAACAATCAGTTTGCCTAAATCACCAGAGATATTCAACGATGAATCCAGATTGAATTATTTCCCAAATGGAAAGATTATGGCTTAGAGAACTTATTAGACAAGCTGCAGCAAATAGGTGACTCTTTATCTGATGTGTATATTTTTCTGATCAATTAGATTATAAATTTTTAAATGCAGTGAGCAAATTTTATATTTCTTTAATAACCCATAAGACAAAGATTGGCAAATTTTTTTCTATAAACGTGTAAATAATAAATATATTTTCATCTTCACGGGCCATACTGTCTCTGTTGCAAGAACTATATTCTGCTGTTTTAAAGCAAAATCACCCATAGATAATATGTAAACAAATGAACATGGCTGTATTCCACTAAAACTTTATCTACAAAGACAGACAGTCAATTTGGCCTGTGAACAATAGTTTCTTGAGTCTCCCATATGAGCATATAGTATTGCATAATAAAAATGAACTTAAATGTAAAATCAGTGTAAAACTTTGTTTTCTTTTAACACTACCTGTTTTCATAATAATGATTTATTTTACCATTTTATATAACTGATTATGTAAGATCTACTAATGACACACAAATCCACATCAAAAATACCTGTTGACATAAATATATGTAAACTAATGTCAACCATGTACAAATACAACAATGTAAGAAAAGACTAGAAGGCCAACAATGTAAGAAAATACTAGAAGGTAGCAGTGTAGTTATTGTAATACAGGAGTTTTATTGCTGTTTTCCAAAACTACTTCAATGTACACTACATTTATTTTTATGAAAAAAGTGAACGTTTTAATAATACAATAGATTGAGACTGTACTACATGAATTAACTGTATAAACATTAAAATAGATCTTTATGGTTCATTACTGGGGAAACAATATTTTAAAATACATGAAAGGCATCCTAGTTAAGAAAAATACTTTCCTTACCATGCAATTATTTTAGAAGGTCTAATTCCAAATTATATCATATTACAATAATTCTAGGACTTTACTTTTATGACTTAAAAACTTGTTCTGATTTGTAGCACTTTGGCAAGACTATTTGAAGTTATCCATAAAATCGTGTACAGTAATCAGCCCTGTGTGGTTACTGTGAGTCAGAGGCACTGACTACTTGGTCATGAATTTCATAACTTGAGTCTTTAATTTTTTTTTTTTTTAAGCCAGGGTCTTGCTCTGTCTCCTAGGCAGGAGGGCGGTGGCACTATCTCACCTCAGTGCAGACTCTAACTCCTGGGCTCAAGCAGCCCTCCAGCCACAGCATCCCAAGTAGCTGGGACTATAGGCATGTGCCACCATCCCAGCTAATTTTTTTTATTTTTTGTAGAGACAGGGTCTGCTATGTTGCCTAGACTGGTCAGGACCTCTTGGCCTTAGGCAATCTCCTGCCTCAGCCTCTTAAAATGCTAGGGTTACAGGGTCACCACACCCAGCCCAAGAGTTTTTAAAAGTTCTTTTTATTGTGTGCAAAAGTCCCTAAAGAATGCTGAGTTTGTTTTATGTTTTTGTTAGAACAATAAGAACTCAAAAAGTTACATCAGAAAATATTATTATAAAGTAACGTAAGAGGCTGAAATACATTATAAAAGGTACTTCTATACCATTATAATTTTCAGTGCATTAGAAATATATTACTGTAAGAATCTGTGATTTGAAAATAAATACAATGGACACACTGTATCCACAGGTTCAACATCCAGGGATTCAACAACTGTACATTGTAAATATTTTTAAAATAATAATACAACAATAAAAAATAACATAATAAAAAGCAATACCATGTAACAACCATTTGTATACATTTGCATTATATTATGTATTATAAGTAATCTAGAGATTATTTAAAGTATACAGGAGGATGTGTGTAGGTTATATGGGAATATACCACACCATTTTATATAAGGGACTGGAGCATCTGAAGATTTTGAGTATCTGCAGGACTCCTAGGACCAATTTCCCAAGGATACCAAGGGACTACTGTATGTCCACACATGCTTATTTTTGTGTTTCGACATTCACTCCTCACTGTACTCCATAATTCCAAAATGTCCCTACTGGATATTGATTATTCAATTAGAATTCAAGTTACTGGAAAGAATGCCTGAATGAAACATCTTGAGCATAAGAAAATATTTTTTCTCCAATAGAAGATGAAGCCTGTAGATTTTCCAAGATTTTTTTATGACTCTAGAAAATAAAGATGAGGATTAACATCTTAGCTATGATCCTTTGAGCTTTAAGTAACCAATTCAACCTATGTGAGTTTCAATATAAAAATGAATCTGTTACAAACGTGTAGGTGTGTCTCACAAAATCTGAAGTCTAGTAGGTGTATCAAATTTTGACTAAAGGCTTGAGATATTATTGGCAATCTTGACAGTGCTCTCACTAAATCTCTTACCTGTGCTTGGCTTTCTTCCTGTGTATCTGTTCCCCTACCACATCCTTTACTCACACTGGTAATCTGATTTTTCATCTTCTTTGTTTATATGACAAATTCGGGTTGTAAGAGGGGCAGTATGTACATGTCTTCAGCTACATCCACACAGAAAGATACTGTTCCAAAATCCAGGGTACACATTTAGATAAGGTCAGCCTATATGGATGTCCATCTCTGTACCAATCCACTATAGAGTAGCTGGGACCATAACATCATGGGACACCTGCTCCTGTTATGACCATCCAGATTAGGAAGGTCAGCAGTCATCAGATATGAGGTCTGATAACTTGTTTGAAAAAAATAAAAATAAAAATTAGGGGGCGGATCATGAGGTCAGGAGATAGAGACCATCCTGGCTAACATGGTGAAACCCCATCTCTACTAAAAATACAAAACATTAGCCGGGTGTGGTGGTGGGCACCTGTAATCCCAGCTACTCGGGAGGCTGAGGCAGGAGAATGGCATGAACCTGGGAGGCAGAGCTTGCAGTGAGCCGAGATCACGCCACTGCACTCCAGCCTGTGTGACAGAGCAAGACTCTGTCTCAAAAAAAAAAAAAAAAAAAAAAAAAAAAAAAAAGGTGTTCTCTAATGTAGCACATATTCTTTAAAAAACCGTCTCCTAAATTATTTGAGAATTCAAGAACAAAAGTACAAATTGAAAACTATCATTACTCCCAGTACCTGCATCCCGATATACCATTTATTAGGTGAGGAAATAACCTGTTTTCCATATAACTTAGTGAGAAATTTTATGAACATCTTATTAGATTTCTTAAAAATGATGATATAGCATTTCTCACTTCTAATCTAATGCTTTATGTTACTGCAATTCTTAGCATGCAAACATTTTTTCATTTTGGTGCCAAATCTTATTTGTTGATGGTATATTTTATTTTAATACGGAACTAGATATTTGTGTTACTATTTTATTGAGGAATTTTGTAATTATGCTCATAAGTGAGGTGGTTGTTTTCTTCTCAAACAAGTGAGATCATTCCATTGTTTAAAATGACTTCACTGTAATATTGATCTCATGTCCAAGGTCAATTTTCTACTTCATTTTACCTCTCAACAACAGCATTTGCTCAGCAAAGTTGTTTTTCCTTTTCATCACACTTTTTTCCAACTTGCTAATTTTGTCCATTTTTTTTCTCTTGCTAAGTGGGCCACTCTACTTCAGTTTCCTAATTTAATCTTTGTGAAAACAGGATTCAGTCCCTGGATTCTTCATGTCTCCATCTACTCTCCTTTGGTAAATGTTTCAACTCATTTAGAAACTGAAATTTCTAAAACTTGTATATCCAACCTGGACCTCTTTCACAAACTGGTTCATCCAAGATATCCACTTGTATATAATTAAAACATATATTTTCTGTATTCCTTTGTTGGGAACAGGCCCCTAAATATGGCCATAAACAAAATATCTGCAGCACTGTGACATGTTCCTGATGGCCATTGACGCCCACGCAAGGTGTTCCTAAGCCACAAACAATAGCATGAGCGATCAGTGCCTTAAGGACATGTTCCTGCTGCAGATAAGTAGCCAGACCCCATCCCTTTGTTTCCTGTTTTAGTTAATCTATAATCTATAGAAACAATGCTTATCACTGGCTTGCTGTCAGTAAATATGTAGGTGAAACTCTGTTCGTGGCTCTCAGCTCTGAAGGCTGTCAACCCCCTGATTTCCCACTCCACACTCTATATTTCTGTGTGTGTGTCTTTAATTCCTCTAGCGCCACTGGGTTAGGGTCTCCACAACCAAGCTGGTCTCGGCATTCCTTAATGAATCTAAATATGTTATTTTTCAAACCTGAGATAATTTGAAAAATTGTGTTTTGTGTCATGTTTATTTCATGTAACTACATTATAATTTCCTCATGTTCACAAAGTAAATATCTGAAAACACATTATAAATTGTACAAAATATTTGATCTCAATATCTTTTATTTGGTTCATCTAAAATGTTACTTTTAGGTATTATGTATTAAGAGTTGTCAGTTTTTCATATCATAAACAAAATTACAAATAACAGACTTATGAATATATCCTTGATGAAACCTAGCAGTCAGAAATTCTTAGAAAATAAATTCATGAATCATAGAAGAGTTTTAATTTTTTATACTGTGCAGTTTTAAAGCCATTTCAACTAATTGAATTGCCCTGCAGAGTTAAATTTTATTGATAGCAGTATATGAGATTGCCAAAAATCTCACAAAAATATATCTAAAAATGTTAATACTTTTAAGAGTTATACATGAAATTACCTGTTGCTTAGTACTTATTATTGAAGGTTTTTTGCATGGATATTGGTAAGATATTTTTAATTTTTTTTTTTTTTGAGATGGAGTCTCCCTCTGTCACCCAGGTTGAAGTGCAGTGCATCTCGGCTCACTGCAACCTCCACCTACCTGGTTCAAGCAATTCTCCTGCCTCAGCCTCCTGAGTAGCTGGGATTACAGGTGCATGCTACCACACCAGGCTAATTTTTTTATATTTTTAGTAGAGACAGGGTTTCACCATGTTGGCCAGACTGGTCTTGAACCCCTGACCTCAGGCAAACTGACCACCTCAGTCTCCCAAAGTGCTGGGATTAAGGCGCCTGCCTTATTTTTTGAAATACCCAATATTCAAGAACTGTGAAGAATCCTTAGATTTTACCTATAAATTAATATGCTAGCTTGTCACGGTTCCCGGATGCTGACAGTGAACATGAGATTCCTTAGCCAAAGACAAAGGACTTCATTACTCACAGCAATAGCAGAAATTACATAGAGACATCAAGAACCAGTCAACATTTGCACATGGCAATGGACTGTGCTACAGGAAAGAAATCATGGTTATAGAACCCAAATATTTTATAAAGGGCAGTAAACCTGCCCAGCCTTCATCCAAAGGGAAACATTGTCTTTATCACGTTGAACAGCAAACAAACTTTATGTTTGCTTTAGGAGAGACACTCTCTCTATCTTCCAAAGTTATTTGCCCAACAGCTTTAAAAGATTGTCTAGAACAAATGCAGTAAGGCCGACTGCTTGCAAAGAGATACAGAGTCCCAAGGGAACCATGAAGAATGATCTCTCAACATTAGTCATAGATTTTGCCTGCAGAGGAGGAGCAGAGATAATGTTAGATTTTTTAATTTATTTTTTTCAAATGTCTTTCTAAACGTGTATAACATTTTATTACCTATGAATGTCAAATCTATCAAAATTTGTCATACCCTTTTTAATTTTTATGTCTCACTATACTGAATATTTTATATTTTGTTAAATATACAAATACTTTTTTTTTAGCTTTTTACATGTTTTTCTTTTCTTTTTCTTTTTCTTTTTTTTTTTTTTTTAAGACAGTCTCGCTCTGTCGTCCAGGCTGGAGTGCAGTGCAGCTATAGTGGAGTGATCTCAGCTCACTGCAACCTCCGCCTCCCGGTTTCAAGCGATTATCCTGCCTCAGCTTCCCAAGTAGTTGGGACTACAGGCACGTGCCACCACGCCTGGCTGATTTTTGTATTTTTAGTAGAGATGGAGTTTCACCATGTTGGTCAGGTTGATCTCAAATCTTGACTTCGTGATCTGCCTGCCTCGGCCTCCCAAATTGCTGGGATTACAGGCATGAGCCACCACACCAGGCCTAGGTTTTTAAATTCTTATTCTGCTTTTTGGCTTTAAAAAGGTACAGCCCATCTATGAGAGCAAACATTGACCTACGCTTTTATCTAGTTGACTTTCAGCCATTAATTTACTTTGGATTTCCGGTAGTGGCTTTTAACATCATTAGTTTACAACAGTTATCCAATTGGTCAAGTGACATTTATTTAATAATTTGTAATTTCCCTTTGATTTGAAATAATTCCTTTATAATGACAATTTCACTGAGCTATACATTTCTCTATTTCTGCATTTTAATCACACTATTGTGAATTTATAAATTATAAACTATATTAATACTGTTCAATATTTTTCAGTAAGTATTTGTTAGATGAGACACTGCACAAATGGGACAGGTGGTCACCAGTATAATTTTGGCCTTCAGAAGGCTGGCGATGAAATGGAAGGCATAAGGAAGAAATATATTTATGAAATATGGAAGCTACAGGAACTGATCATAACGGGCATCTAACCAACCCAGGATTGGATTGTATGTGCATTGTTGTGGCTCAGAGAGAACTTTACACGGAAGTAACATGTAAACTGGAGGGTAATTGAAGAGACTCTAACAATGGAGGACACGGAGCACAGGTTTTCATTTGTCATGCCGGGAAAGTGGGTGGGAAGTGGGAAGACCTGAGAGGTGTTAGACAACAAGGTCCAGATGGGCAGGCAACCAAAGCACTTTGGATGAGGGGAATGAAAAGCCAGGAAAGCTTGTTTTCAAGCAGACATTTATTCCTCAATTTGTATTTCCAAAGTTGACTCTCAGCATAGCACTGAGAGAAGGTGAGGTAAAGCTGAGAGCGGCTTCCTGGGAGGGTGTGGAGGATCTGGAGACAGCAGGAGTGGCATGAAGGCAGTTGTCATAATTCATGCAAAATTGGGGTGTAACTTTACCTAATTATTGAGAATGGAGATTTTTTAAAAAAGCAGACAGATTTAAGCAATGATGAGGAAGTTGAAAGGGCAGGATTTGGGAATAGGCTAAATCCAGGGAGGAGCATAGAGGGAGAAAGTCTAGAGTGACATTCAGATTCTGCTTGGTTAGTAAAGATGATCATCGGTGTTAAAAATATTGAAAGGAAATGGTCTGTGTGTATGTGAGAGGTGAATTTCCTTGTCATTATTTTTATATAAAAAGTGTCTATTATCCTTCCTTAGTTGCTATTCCAAAAGCATTTTGAAATATTTGTGATTTTAAGTGCATGCGCACGCACGCATACACACAGACACACACACAAAAAAAACCCCCTCTCCCTCCCAAACCTAGAGAGATTTTTGTTGGGATTTCATAAAACTTAATGATCACTTAGTTATTATTGTTAATGTTATAGGAAAAGGGTCCCAATCCAGACCCCAAGAGAGGGTTTTTGGATCTCGTGCAAGAAAGAATTCAGGGGGAGTCCATAGAGTAAAGTGAAAGCAAGTTTATTAGGAAAGTAAAGGAACAAAAGAATGGCTACTCCATAAACAGAGCAGCCCTGAGGGAGGCTGGTTGCCCATTTTTATGATTATTTCTTGATGATATGCTAATCAAGGGGTGGATTATTCATGCCTCCCCTTTGTAGACCATATAGGGTAACTTCCTGATGTTGCCATGGCATTTCTAAACTGTCATGGCGCTAATGAGATGACCAGAAGTCACTCTTGTCACCATCTTGGTTTTGGTGGGTTTTGGCTGGCTTCTTTACTGCAAACTGTTTTATCAGCAAGGACTTTATGACCTGTGTTTTGTGCCAACCTCCTATCTGATCCTGTGACTTAGAATGCCTTAACCATCGGGGAATGAATCCCAGCAGGTCTCAGCCTCATTTTACCCAGCTCCTATTTAAGATGGAGTTGCTCTGGTTCACATGCCTCTGACACTAACAGTTAGTCTTTACATTCAAGGGTATGATATGTTTGCCTATTTATTGTTTCCATACTTCAATTGTGGTTTTTGTTGACAGTTTTATTTTCATCGTATAAGCAATGGTCATTATTTTATAAAATCATTAACATCTTTATTTTGTTTGTAATATACAAAACATTTTTCAAATCAATTTTATGGTTATTTCTGTTTTATAACATGTTGATTATGGTAGGTAAGTAAATTTCTATGTAACCACCTTTTTTAATTCACACAAATTTTCTTTTCTTTTTTTTTTTTTTTTTTTTGAGACCATGTTTCACTCTTGTTGTCCAGGCTGGAGTGCAATGGCATGATCTTGGCTCACTGCAACCTCTGCCTCCCAGGTTCAAGCGATTCTCCTGCCTCAACCTCCCTAGTAGCTGGGATTACAGGTGCCCACCACGTTGCTCAGCTAATTTTTTTGTATTTTTAGTAGAGACGGGGTTTCACTATGTTGGCCAGGCTAGTCTAAAACTCCTAACGTCAGGTGATCCACCCGCCTCAGCCGATTCACACAAATTTTCTAATAACATTTGTATTTATCTTTTGAGTTTCTACTTAGAAAACTATAGCTACAGAATCTGCTAATAATAATACATTTATTTCTCTATTTCCAACAGGGATGCCTCAAATATCTATTTCTGCTATTATTCAATTGATTAGAACTTTTCAGACATTGATAGGTAATAATGAAAATAGAATCTTGACTTCCTCCTAGAATAAAGAAAATATCTTCCAAGTGTCAGAATGCTGTTGGCTGTTCTTTTGTCACAAATACTGTATGTTATGGTAAGAACTTAGCCTGTGCTTTCACTCAGCTTCCTAAGAAAGTTCATAAACACCTTTTTCAGATTCTTTCACAATGATTTTATACTTTTCTCTTTGACTTTATAATGTAATGAACTCTATTAGTGCATTTATAATTATGGATTTTTTTAATTTCATGGATAAGACCTAATTGTTAATTACATATTCTAATACAGAGTTAAATTGTATTTATTACTATTATATTTAGGAGATTTATAACTATGTTCATGAAGAAAATATATATTTTACAATTAAAAAAAATATGTATATATTTTAACATTTTTTGATCTTTCCAAAATGACTTTATTGCTATCTTTTGAAGGTACAAAAGTCAATTCTTAACCTTCACCTTGTTCACCAACAGCATTTAGAACTACTAAGCACTTCTTCCTTGTGAATACACTTTCTTCACTTGGCTTACAATATATCATTTTGACCTGATTTTCTTCGGTCCAAATTGCCAGTTCTTTGGCGTTCTTTTTCTGGTCTCTCAGCTTTCTGCTGATCCCTTCCCATGGCCAGGCCACAGGGCTGATTCACCATAACTCTTTGTCCATCCACATTCTCTGGGTTAACCTTTGATTTAAATATATATATATATATATATATATATATATATATATATATATATATATATATATATATTTTATCTTTGGACCTCCACATCTTAGTACTTTGATATCTCTTCTCGGATGTCTAATAGTTGCCTCAAACACAGCCTGTCCCAAACTAAAATGATGTCCCTGCTCTAACAGTTTTGTATCCACAGATTCCCTTTTGTCAGTTAATGACAACCCAATTCTTCTCTTCTTGTTTTGTTTTTTCTTCTTTTGATTCACTTGGTTTTTGTCGTTTTAGTTTTGTTGAGGTATAATTGATGTCTAAAAAATTACACAAATTTAATGTAGACCTTATGATTTTGAACATATGCATACAACCATGATACTGTCACCACAGTCAAGGTCCTAAACATGTCCACCACCTCTAACTTTCCTTGTATTCGTATGTGTGTGTGTCTGTGTGTGAGTGTGTGTGTCCACGCATGCACTCCAATGGCTTCCCATTTAACTCAGAGTGAAAGCCCAAATTCTCTCTACTCCATGCTGGCCCCTAGCCTCTGTGAGCTCACAGCCTAAGCACCCCCTTCACTCACTGGGCTGCAGCCACACTCACCCCTTCTCTGTTCTGGTGCTGCTTCAGGATCTTTCGATTTACTGCTTTGCTTTCCAGAAAACATGTTTCCCCTAAACGATAAGAAGATTCTCTCCCTCATATCCTCTAAGTCTGTAATCAAGCAACATCTGACCAGCCTATTTTAAAATGCTACTCCCCAGAATAACCTCCCTCCTCCTCCAGCACTATCCTTCCCTGACTTGCTTTATTTTCCTCAAAAGCACTCATTTCCTTATATCATATGATACAATTTATTTAATTAAATTTATTATCTATGGGTAGACTTCAATAAAATGTAACCTTCATGAAGGTAGCGATTTAATAATTCCTGAATAAATTAATAAGTATTCTATTAAAAAGTGTTTCAAATGACCCCCTCTCTAAAGGAATATTTATTATAAACAATATTAAATAAATTTGTTTTGAGAAATTTTTATAAGAAGCAAATCTGTTTAATTTTACTTAACCATGTTATTTGCAAATGTATTGAATGCCAGAAGTGTTAAACTCCAAGAGATATGTTGGACAATTGCATTCTAGTCCAACGACTGTAGCTGCAACCTACAGATATTTACTCCTCACTACTGAAGGTAGTGACTCTTCAAAACATAATGATGTTATCACTACATATACTTTAAGCATTTTGAGGGTTGACAGATACTTAAAAACCATTTGTGATGCAGTGTATTCGAATTTGTGTGCAAATGCTGCTGGTGCCCCACCATATCTCTGTGCCCAACTGCTTCAGTGAATGAAGCCTGTCCTCTATCCAGCATTCGATTGTCTCTGACCAAGCAATATCTCTAGCCCACTTTGCCTGTAACTGAGGCCAGCTGAAAATACCTCATCGCATGACTACGAGACAGGGATGTTATTTGGAGCCCTGTATTTTTTTCCTGTTCCTACGGTTCCCACACTTCCCCTGGGCAGGTAAACTACAGTCATCCACCATCATAGCTGTCCTGATAACCCACCCTTTCTTGGATTCTTTTCTATCTTGTCTCATGTCCCTCTCTCTCTACCAATGTTACCTTCACTCTTCCCCTAATTACTTACCAGGCTTCCAAACCTCGCCTCAGGATCTCCTTGAGAAGGAACTAAAACAAAAGTAATCATTAAATATTTTTAAACCAAAGGTTACTGATAAACGTTTAGTGCTAACATCCCATTCTACAATTGAAGAAGTCTTTAATCTTTCCTATTAGCTGTCTATTCTCTATGATCTTTTAATGGCTCATTCTTCTCGTCCATTTTTTTCTTAGGTTCTACTTTTGTCTCTCTGCCTTTCTGTATAAGAAACATTTGAGAATGCCTGTACCATTTCAGTCGTGAAACCAATACTCAATAGTATTTTCAACCAGCAATCTTTTTTTTTTTACATTTCTTAAATTGAGTGTTTTCCTTGAAAGAATGGTTCTTGGTATTTATACAGTTTTCAATTCTTGGGAGGGGAAAGATAGACAATAGGAGTTAACTACATTGATAAAAGAAGCATCTCGTTTTGTCAACATTTACGGATCAGTAAATGTACAGAGAGGTGAATTATATTTTGATGACCATAGTGTCTGTTTGTCATCAGACGAGTATTAGTTCTTGTTTGCTCATATAGCTCTAAGTTATGTTAACTGTAATGTGCTATTTGTAAATATTACAGACTACAAGGATCACAAGAATAATTTCAGTTTAAATTTTGAGAAAAAGTAACGAAGGTTTTGGTAATATTATATGACAGTATTCCGTGCATTTTTATGTGACCATTAACCTTCCACACAGGTATGATTTCTTTTGCAGTTGATTTACAGATTATCTCTATTTATTTGGGTTGCTTTCCTATTTTAAGATCAGACAATGGCATAAAAACATCTGTTACTTATGCAAGTAAATATTATAACCTGATTTCAACTCTACCTTTTAAATTTTATCTTGGGAAAAGGCAGATAATTATTTTGTAGAAATTGTCTATCCATGTGAATGACTTTATGCATTGCATTCTTACATTGTTTTCTGAATATTATGATGTTTTCACATCTGAAAAAGCCTTTCTGGAAGAAATTCTTTCCAGGGCTAGCCAATTCTTAGACATAACAAGGTCCAGCCAAGAGCATGTCTTTGATATGCAAATAATTCATGAAGAGCCATACCTTCTCTATCTGACCTGCACACCTCAGGAGGCAATATTCTTTTACCTCAATCATTATAGGAACAGGTGCTAGGCAACTAGGAACCACCCCTAGCAGGTG
This sequence comes from Homo sapiens, assembly GCF_000001405.40. NCBI lineage: Eukaryota > Metazoa > Chordata > Mammalia > Primates > Hominidae > Homo > Homo sapiens. Next base: position 104,396,691 of record NC_000013.11, read on the forward strand.
TGTCCAATCTTTTGGCCTCCCTGGGCCACATTGGAAGAATTGTCTTGGGCCACGTATAAAATACACTAACACCATAGCTGATGAGCTAAAAAAAATTGCATAAAACCCTCCATGTTTTAAGAAAGTTTATAAATTTGTGTTGGGCTGCCATCAGAGCCTTCCTGGGCTGCATGTGCCTCACGGGAAATGGGTTGGACGAACTTGGTAAAGCACAACAGAATTATGCAATCTAGCCATTCATAAGATGTTCACCTTGGCCCACCTTGCGTTTCCCACAAAAACCCCAATAAAAGCAGTGGCCAGACCTTTCCCCTGGCTCTTTTCTTCTGCTTTATTAATGCCCTGGTGCCTTTACCAGGTAGTCTTCTTGGCGTGCTGTGCCTCTGTCTCTAGGACTTGTCAGTGTGTTAAACTTTATGCTCCTGAGTCTCGTCTCTGCCTCCTTTTGTGGGCACACTTGACTGAATGTATCATAAGAAAAAATATGAAACACCTTCCTATCTCAGAGGAGCTTGCCTCATACCACAGAAAGAGCAAAACAAGCACCATGTGAATTAGGGATGCTGGTGCAGGAACATCGCCTCCATTGATTATTAAGTAAACATTTTGATCTCACAGTTTCTTCACATATAGAATGAGCCCCCAAAGCCTACTCCAGTACATTTTAAAGGTTTAAATAAATTAAGTAAGTTAAATAAAAATAAGTAAAATTAAGGATCAGGTACAGTAGCTCCCACCTGTAATCCCTGCACTGTGGGAGGCTGAAACCAGAGGATTGCTGAGGGTAGGAGTTCAAGACCAGCCTGGGCAAAAAAACGAGACCCCCATTTCTTAGTAAAGACTTTTTTAAGTAAGTAAGATTAAATAAAAATACTGGTATAGTGGCTGGCAAATATTAGACTTCCAATACATTTGAATTCCTTTAATTCCTGTTTTTATACCTTATCCAAAAGTTTTGTAAGCAGAAAACAGCTTAGTAGCTATTCTATGTTTTACATGATGATAAATGTTTAAGATTATCACTTTTTAAATTTTTAATTTTTGAGGGTACATAGTGTATATATTTATGAGGTACATGAGATGTTTTGATATAGGCATGCAGTGTGTAATAATCACATCATGGATAATGGGGTCTCCATCCTATCAAGCATTTATCCTTTGTGTCTCAAACAATCCAGTTATATTCTTTTAGTTATTTTAAATGTACAGTTACATTATTATTGACTATAGTCAGCCTGTTGTGCTTTCAAATTCTAGGCCTTATTCTTTCTATTTTTTGTAACCTTTATCTATCCCCACCTCCCCCTCACCGTCCCACTACCCTTCCCAGCCTCTGGTAACCGTCCTGCTCACTATCTCTGTGGGTTCGATTGTTTTGATTTATAGGTCCCATAAATAAGTGAGAACATGCGATGTTTGTCTTTCTGTGCCTGGCTTATATCATGTAACAAAACGACCTTTAGTTTCATCTGTGTTATTGCAAAAGCCTGAGTCTTGTTCTTTTTTTAATGGCTGAATAGAACTCATTGTGTATAAGTACCACATTTTCTTTTTTCATTCATTTGTTGATGGATATTTAGGTTGCTTCTAAATCTTGGCTATTTTGAACAGGGCTGCCATAAACATGGGAGTGCAGCTATCTCTTCAATATATTGATTTCTTTTCTTTTTGGTATATATTCTGCAAGGATCATATAATTAGCTCTCTTTTTAGATTTTTGAGGAACCTCCACACTCTTCTCCTTAGTGGTTGTACTAATTTACATTCCCACCAACAATGTAGGAGAGTTCCCTTTTCTCTAGATCCTCACCAGCATTTATTATTGCTTATCTTTTGAGAAAAGGCATTTTGACTAGGGTGAGGTGATATCTCATTGTAGCTTTGATTTGCATTTCTCTGATGACCAGTGATGTTGAGCACCTTTTCGTATGTATGTTTGCCATCTGTGTGTCTTCTTTTGAGAAATGTCTATACATCTTTTACCTTTCTTTTTTTTTTTGATGGAGTCTGGCTCTGTCGCCCAAGCTGGAGTGCAGATGTGACATCTCGGCTCACTGCAAGCTCCGCCTCCCAGGTTCACGCCGTTCTCCTGCCTCAGCTTCCCGAGTAGCTGGGACTACGGGCACCCGCCACGAGGTCCGGCTAATTTTTTTGTATTTTTAGTAGAGACAGGGTTTCACCATGTTAGCCAGGATGGTCTCTATCTCCTGACCTCGTGATCCACCCGCCTCGGCCTCCCAAAGTGCCAGGATTACAGGCTTGAGCCACCAGGCCTGGCCTTTTGCCCATTTTTTAAATCAGATTATTCGATTTTTTCCAACAGAGTTCTTTGAGCCTGTCTATTGTGGTTATTAATTTCTTATCAGATGGGTAATTCATTTTCATGGAAGTGTTCAAATATAAAGATGTTAACTGACCCGTATTGTCCCAGTTTGCATCTAAATAAAAATAAATATATTTGAGAAACAAAAGATTTCTAAATATCTTGTGAAAATAAATTAATAGATGGCTTTGGTTTTGAAGAGTTAATTCTTCTATAATCAGGAGAAATAAGAAATCATTTATAGAAGACTGGAAGATGAATTCTAAAACAAAGTAATAGAGGCATTAAAAACAACCTTAGAGAAGCTCAGGTTTAGAATTTTCCAAATTTCAGCGGGGAAATAAGGACACAGTGGGTTAAGTATCTCATTCATCTTGTTCAATCTTTGATAATTAGAGAACGGACTACAGTTCAAGTGTTTTCAGATTTATATCACTGTTTTGTTGTTCCTATTGCTGTTGTGGTGGGAATGGTTTTCATTTTGTTCACCCCACACCTGTTTCCAGGTTAATTGGAATTAAACAGCTTGGGAAAATTTAACTTTTTAAATAGTTTTAAAATTTGGATTCAGAGATACAAATCAGAATGCATCAACATAGAATAAACTGTCCTTTACTGTGATACTTCAAATCCCTCAAGCTTTAAGTAACCAAACTGTTCGCGTGTGAAAATATATAATTATTTAAGTGAAAATTGATTTGGTAACACCTGTGTGAGACTTTTTCTTTTTTTTGCGTAATGTAGGAGTCGATGACTGTCTTTAAAAATGTAAGTCATGTTATTCAGCTCCAGGATAAATGTTTTAAACAACTCTAGGGAAATATTGAGCGATAGTGTGTATTAAATTTATTACTAGAACTCTTACGTTGAATGCTACATGAGATGATTTAGTGTATCCTTTAGTAAGAATGTATCAGTGAAGAGAAAGCATAAATGAGTTTACAGCCTGTGACAGCTTGCAGAAACTCAAGCAGTGTACACATTACTTTAGTCAATCTTAAACACTGGCAAAGGCTTTTAAATTAACTCTTATAATTGGTCCAACCAAATAAATAATAGCTAGATGAATAAAGCTGGTTTTTACATTGTAGTCATATATGCTATATGACTAAATTAACTATCAATTTCAGTAAAAAATGGATGATAGTTAGAAAATATGGTGATGGTGCCATGATCCCTTGATTCCAAAACTGTGAGGCTGTGTAGTCACATGTTCTGGAGTCCCTTGAATGGGTCTGGAGGGAGGGCCTAGGAGGGCAACAAATCCCACCAGTGGTTTGGTCTCAGTGGATGGCTGATATAATTGGGTAGAAGATATGACAATTTTTTTTTTTTTGAGACAGAGTCTCGCTCTGTTGCCCAGGCTGGAGTGCAATGGCATGATCTCGGCTCACTGCAACCTCCACCTCCCAGGTTTAAGTGCTTCTCCCACCTTAGCCTCCCAAGTAGCTGGGATTACAGGTGCCTGCCACCATGCCTGGCTAATTTCTGTATTTTTAGTAGAGACAGGGTTTCACCATGTTGGTGAGGCTGGTCTCGAACTCCAGACCTCAGGTGATCCACCCAACTCAGCCTCCCAAAGTGCTGGGATTATAGGCGTGAGCCACCGCACCCAGCAGGCATTATTTTTTAATCCTGAAATTAAAAGATTACTTCCAGCATACAATGATTTATTTGACTGGGTATTTACTGACAAATATTTTTTGCTTGGCCAAACTTTAGTCAGCCTTCTGCATCTTCTGATAGACCCATCTGTGAACTTCCTGGTAAAATCTAATTTCAGCAAAAAAACCCTGCTAAGTCACTTTAGCAAGAACTCTCCGTCATTGATATCTGTTCAGATACCTCATCCTCCACCATACCCCAGGTAATGTTGGATCACCCTGGCCTGTTTTCAGCAAGAATGATGTCCGCTTGGCCTAACCAAATTCCCCTTGACTCTGATGTTATGTCTCTTTAATTTACTATCCACTGACCTCCACACTTATTTTTGGCTATAAATTCCCACTTGCCCATGCAGGATTCCAAGTTCAGCCAAATCACTCTCCCCCACTGCAGGATCCCACTGCAGGGGTCCCTATATCTTTTGAAATGGCTCTGAATAAAGTAGTCCTTTCCATGATTTGACAAGTATCATTGATTTTTTTTTTTTTTCTCTAACATTACTGATATGGTTTGGCTGTGTCCCCACCCAAATCTCACCTTGAATTGCAATAATTCCCATGTGTCAAGGGCCCGGTTAGGTGGAGATAATTGAGTCATGGGGGTGATTTTCCCCATACTGTTCTTGTGGTAATGAATAAGTCTCATGAGACCTGATGGTTTTATAAAGGGGAGTTCCCCTGTACACATTCTCTTGCCTGCCACCAGGTAAGAAATGCCTTTGCTTCTCCTTTGCCTTCTGCAATGACTGTGAGGCCTCCCCAGCCATGTGGAACTCTGAGTCCATTAAACCTTTTTCCTTTATAAATTACCCAGCCTCAGGTATCTCTTTATTAGCAGCATGAGAACAGACTAATACAATTACCATGGTATTGACTGCTATTCAAAGCCAATCATTTATTGTTTATTACCATATGGTTAAGAAATAGATAATTTTTTCAAGTACTGAAAACATACTAATTTTCTTAAAATTAATATACAAACTTCAGTGATCAGGAAACAATTATTTTAGTTCCCTAAAATTGCAAAAATATTTCTATCTAATTATTACAAGTGTTTGGTTTTACCTTCCTAAAACATTTTTTTTTTCTATTTTGACTGAGATTGGAGTGATTGTTTGAAATTTTTAGGCTAAAGGGAAAAAAGAGCATCAGTATACAGTATATTCAAATGCAGGCCACTACTCTGTGGTATACTCTGATAATGAAGACAGACGAGTTAAGTTGCTAAATATTGTAAAGTAGAACAAAGAAGATTAGAAACCATTTGGTGATAAGGAATATTCTCTATTACTTAGGAAACATAAAAAAATAGATTTCCAAATATCTTTAATTTGTGTGTATGAATGTGTATGATTCTGTATAGAAGAATATGAAAATGTTAAATATTAAAAGTGTACCTACCAAAATAGGTATTTTCTTATATTCTATTAAATTAAGAGATTTATACTTTTGATATATTAGAGATACACAGTCCCAGAATAAGCTGGTTGTATCAGTTGAAGCCTCCATGGCAGCTTTTGCACCTCGTTGAGAGAGTGAGGGAGAAGCTTCTAGACAATAGTGGCGGTAGTCGAGTACTGATGGGATCTCTTCTCGCAGCAACCAAGACATGGGATCAAACTCAGTGTCCATCAATGGACAAATAGAAAAAGAAAACGTGTTATGCAATAATATTCAGCCTGAAAAAAAGAAAATCCTGTCATTTGTGACAACACAGATGAACCTGGGGGAAGTGATGCTAAGTGAAATGCAAGAGACACAGAAAGACAAATCCTGCATGATTATACTTATATGTGGAATCTAACAAAGTTGAACTCATAGAAATCCAGAGTAAAGTGGTGGTTACCAGGACCTAGAAGAGGAGGGGGGTTGAAGAGATGTTGGTCAAAGGTTACAAAATTTCAGTTACTTTGGAGAAATAAATACAAGAGTTCTATTATATACCATGGTGGCTATAGTTAATAAGAATGTATTGTATCTTAAAAAAATCACTGAGTAGATTTTAAGTTTTCTCACCACACACACAAAATATGTAATGCATATATTAGCATATGTTAATTAGCTCAATTTAGCCATTCCACAATGTATACATATTCCAAAACATCATGTTATATGTGATAAATATATATATATTTTGTTCATTTTAAAAAATGAGAATAACAAAACCCCACTAAAACCCCAAACAGATTATAACCACTAAAAGAAATCATGATAGATGAGCTTGGGGACAAACCACTAATGCACACTACCAGAGTGGTATCAACGTTCCTTCAGGAGGAAAGAGAAAGAGACAATTTGACATGTGACAAACATGAGACCTGGATCACTCCCAGATTACAACCCGGCCTCCATTGGAGGTGGGCAGGCCAGTTATACATCGTTTCCCGTCATACTCTAAATTGTGTATAATTACCGTGAATCCATGGTTTAAGATGAGCCAGCTGGGGGAATCTGAAGTCTATAAAACCTCCAAAATGCCTTCCACGAGAAAGCCCAACACTGAGGAGAGACCACTTGAAAAAGACTCTAAATTTATCAGAACCAAAGTAATAGGGTCAAAGGAAAGAGACAGTCATGTTTAAAATGAGCAAAGGAAAATGCAAGACAATTTCAAATGGTAAGTGACCCTATCTTAAAGAATTGCTGAAAATTATAGGAGAGACTGTGAGAGCTGTGAACTTCAAAAACTTTCCTGAACCACCACATCTTCTTAAAATTTTGTGAAACTAATTTCATGTGAAAACAACAAGAAAACTCTCAATGAAATTCTATACTATGTCTTTATAGAAAGAAGAAAGAAACCTCCAATAAGATATGCCACAAAAGAAATAGAAATGTCAGTGGAATGTTTCAAAACAAGCTAAAATAAATTAAGAAAAGGATGAAATATATAAAACCTGCATATATCTAAGTTAAAATAAAAAGAAATGAGGTGATAGTACACCAAAAACAATTTGATTTGAAATAAATGAATACAATTATTTTAAAAATGAAGACTAATGAAGGCATGCAGACAATGCCTTCAGAGAAATAAGTAAAGGAAGAAAAATTTTAAAATCATAGAAAAATGAGAGAGAGCAAACAGATTAAAGAAAAAGTACGTTGTATAGAAGAATATGTTTAAGGAATGTCGAATCAATCTATAATAGGTTACCTCATTTATAAAAGCCAAAGCAATAAATAAAAAAAGTAAAATTGTAAAGTTCCTTAGAAGTATATTCTATATGTAAGATATGAAGATGTATCTATGTATATATATGTATAAATATGTTTTTTTTAAAAATAGAGACAAGGTCCCACTCTGTTGCCCAGGCTAGTCTCAGACTCCTCCTGGGATCAAGTGATCCTCCTGTCTCGGCCTCCCAAAGTGCTGGGATTAGAAGTGTGAGCCACCCCTCCCAGCCTAAATATGTCTCCCTTTAAAATACTTGTTTGTTGGCCTTGATATGTATGATTTTTGTTTCAAGAGGAACCTTTGAATCCTTCCTTTATTTCCCAATTCTCTTAACTCTTAACATTAAATTTGTTGCCCAATGATGTTGTTTATTCTTTCACCAGGCTCCTGGCATACATCTCTCTTGAGTTCTATTTTAATACAAATAAACCTCTATTTGTCCAGCATACTCTAAGCTTTAGCCAAATCATTCATTTAGTAAACATATATTGAGCTTCCCTAAGTGTGTGTGAAACTGCAATAAAAAAGATACAGCACACCAGCCTTCATGTATCTCCCACCTAGTGAGGATGTGTTGTCATTTTTCATTTGCTCTGTAATTATCCGAACCTTTGCAAACACTGTGATTTCCTCCAGGGTGTCTGATACCCTGCTACGGCAGCTGAAGCTGCTTCCACTTGGAGCATTCTGCAGTATGAGACAGAGTCCAGGTTTCAGAACACTTGGTCTATAACATTATCTCTGGCTCATACTAAATATATAACTTAATCTTCCTAAGCCTCATTTCCTCTGCTGTAAGGAAGCCATAATAATATTTTCCTCTATGGGTTTACTGTGGGGATTAATAGGGCAACATATGAAAGTGCTTTGTAAACTTAAAGCACCATAGAGGTTTAAGTTTACACTACTGCTGAAAATTTCCACATCAAACTCAATGCGTCTAGTATGGAATTTTTTTAATAGTCATTCAAAAAGCATTTAATGAGTGCCTGCTAGCTTCCAGGCTGGGTTTTAGTTGCTGCTTTTCCTTATAACCACTCCCTCTCAACTCTAATATTTCTCTCATGTGCTAAGGCCCATATTTTTGCCCTCATAGCTGTCATCTTTTTATTTGTACATTTTTAAAGACTCAATGTCACTTTAAATCATTTCTTCTTAATTATCAGTATCCAGTATTCCTGGCTCGCTGACGTTTTCTTTGTGAAGTGTCTGACATCTCTTCTGCATTTCTTTTATTTCTGCATCGATTTAAGGAAACCACAAAAGACACCTCTTAATGATTGTACAATTATGTTTAAAAATCACCCTATTGTTTTCAAAATGAAACAAACATGTTTTAACTATCCACTTTCACCAAATTTGCTAGTAGAGTGACTTGTTGCAAAATATATTTAAAAACTCAGCAATAGAACAAACATGGAAAGTACTTTTAATATCTAATATCTACAGCACAGCTAGAAGGGTAGGTATGCCAAGCTTTGGGCATGTGTATGAGTAACAATATGCTCATAGATCAAACTAAACATAGATATAGAGAATTTTGCATAATGACCCAAAATAGAATCCCTGTTGTTCAGCGTGGCTCCCTTTCATTATTGACCCAGAAGGTGAAAAGTAATTCACAGAAGGTAAAAGTCAGTAGACATGAGCTTTTGTCTACACTGGGGCTGTCAAGAGGTACACGAAGGTGAAATAGTGCTTTGCTGTGGCGTGCAATTTAGATGAGATGCAAAAGCTGAGGGAGATGGGTGAGAAGGCCCTCTTTAAAATCAGAGGTAAGAAATAGCTTTTGGCAGGACTCAGTGCAAAAATATCAGGCCATTGACATGCATATACCCACAAACACAATTTAAACATGAATAAATATCTGGAGACTGAAGGATAAAAGTAGTGCTAGAGATTCATAAGGATTTTATAGAATTAAAGACATGCTGTCCTCAAATCTACCTTTTTTTCCAAGAGAAGGAGTCTCAAGAGAACCTCTCTAAGATAGAATCCTGGTCAGGTGAGTCCCAGGGAATCTGCATTCTCTGTGAAAGTCACAGTCGGGAGATAATAAGGGTGTCAGGCTTAAAAAAACCTACCCCCCCCCCAAAAAAAAAAAAACAGAAAGAGCAGTATGAGCAGAAACAATCTACTGTTTCCTCTTTAACACAACAAGGATTCCTGAGTGCTCATGGACTCAAAAGTGAAAGATAACTCATCTCAAGCCACCTTGAAAACATGAGGTGGTCATAGCCAAGAGCATTGCCTTTGGGTGAAGTACACCTAGAAATATGTGTCTATGACTATATGAGCAAATAGCCATCACTCAGGGCCATCTATGTAAGATACCAAAACTGGAAAAGAAGAAATCACAAATGACATAGGACTGATAATGAGGAAAATATGATATAGAATCTATTAAAATAATTGTTTAAAATGCCATTGCTTAGTTCTATAAAACTAAGTTTGCAATCCTAAATGAATTCAATAATTTTCTAGGAAAATATAAACTAACCAGCCTTACTTCTACAATAAATAGAGAAAATTATAAAGAACTACATCCAAATAAGTACCAGGCATAGCAAATTTCAAAGCATATTCCACCAACTATTTAAGACATAAATAGTCTTAGTATATCAAATAAAATATCTAGGAATACATTTAACATGAAAAGTAAGATATTTGCATTAATAAAATGTAAAACATTACTTTTCCTCTACTGGAGAATTGAAACAGAAAAAAAAGACCTTTAATTCCTAAAACTGAAGCTAAGATTATCCTGACATTTTAAAAAGCTCAAAAAGATAGGACAAAGAAAATCATAGACCAATCATTCTTTTGAACAGCAATGGAAAGAATTTCAAGTAGGAAACAGAATCCAGATTCAACATGGTTTTGATGCCTCATAAGCAAGTAGGGTTTATAATAGTAATGCAAAGATGCTTTGGACTTAGAATATTTTATTGGCCATACTAATAAATAAAACTTTAAAAAGATCTTCTCATTATATAGTCGACATGCAGTTTAAAATGTTATCACCGATTCTTTATATAAAGTCTTAAAAAATGGATAATTACTTTTATAATGGGTAAAATTCTTATCTATTTAAGGAAAATATAAAAATTCCTATAACAACATTATCATAATATTATAAAGCATATAAGATCTTAGTGAAAATATTCTCTTTAAATTAGGAATCGTAGAAAGAATATCTTTTTTCTTCATCTTAATCATTACCATCTTCTTATTACTACAATTAAGCATTCTTCAGGATGTACAGACATACTTGAAACAAAAGAATAAAAGGCCTCATAAAAGAAACAAATTTTTAGCAAAAAAAAAAAAAAAATGAAGAGAATCAAATGGACATTTTAGACCTGAAAAAAAAAAAAAAAGTTCAGTGATTTGGCTCAACAGCGTAATGGAGGTGACAGAGAAGAGAATTGGTGACCTAGAAGATGGGGCAGTAGAAATTACCCATTTCGAAGAATAGAGAGAGAATAGACTGGAAAAAAAAATGAACAGAGACGCAGGGACTAGTGGTACAATAACAAAATATTTAATACACATGGTTTTCAGAGTTCTAGAAGAGAAGAAAGTGGGACCAAAAAGTTTCAGACATAATCAGTGAAAGCTTCCATATTTGTCAAGAGATTAAATTTACATATTACAGAAACTGACCAAACCCAAATAGAATACACCGAAAGAAATCAAAGCCAATGCACATCTTTTTCTTTTTTTCTTTTCTTTCTTTCTTTTCTTTTCTTTTTTTTTTTTTTTTTTTTGGGAGACGAAGTGTTGTTCCGTCGCCCAGGCTGGAGTGCAGTGGTGTGATCTTGGCTCACTGCAACCTCTGCCTCCTGGGTTCAAGCAATTCCCCTGCCTCAGCCTCCCAAGTAGCTGGGATTACAGGTGTCCACCACCATGCCTGGCTAATTTTTGTATTTTTAGAAGAGACGAGGTTTCACCATGTTAGCCAGGCTGGTCTCGAACTCCTGACCTCAGGTGATCCACCTGCCTCGGAGGTCCAAAATGCTGGGATTACAGGTGTGAGCCACTGCGCCGGGCCTCACATCACTATTAATCTGCTGAAAACAGAAGACAGAGAAAAGAATAATGAAGAATGCCAGAGAAAGGTGACAACTCGCCCATAAGAAAAACACAATAAGAATAACCATGGATCTCTCAGCTGAAACTGTGGAGGCCAGAATGAAGAGAGACCTAGTTTTCAGATGTTGAAAGGAAAGAACCATTCACCCAGAATCCTATAACCAGTGAAAATATCTTCCAGAATGAAAAGGAAATTAGGATATTTTCAGATGTAGAAAAACTAAGAATTGTTCACCAAGCTTCTTATTCTAAAGTGCATATGACAAGGCGAAGGGTCTGGAATAGCTAAAATAATCTTGTTAAAGAACAAATTGGGAGGAATTACTCTACCCAACATTACTTATGGCTGTAGTAATCAGGACAGTGTGATCTTGGCTGAGGGGCAGACATATGGACCAAGAATCAGAATAGCAAACACAGAAATACACCCACACTATTATTTCCCAACTGATTTTTAACAAAGGCGTAAAAGCCATCTAATGGAGAAAGCCCTTTCAATACATGGTGTTTCAACTACTGGACATCCATAGGCCAAAAAAAAAAAAAATTGACTTAAGTCAATATAAAAATTAACTCAAAATGGATCATGGAATTAAATGTTAAACTCTTAAAACTTTTACTTGAAAAATAGAACATTTTTGGGATACAGGACTAGGCAAAGAGTTCTTATGCCAGACAGCAGGTTGAAAGAAAGAAGCTACAGAGTGGGAGAAAATATTTGCAAATCACTTATTTAACAAATGTCTAGTATCTAGAATTTATAAAGAGCTCTCAAGATTTAACAATAAAAACATCAAACAGTACGATTAGAATATGGCAAAAGTCATAAAGAGACATTTCCCTGAAGAAAAAATACAGATGGCAATTGAGCACATGAAAAGAAGCTCAATATCATTAGCCTTTAGGGTAATGAAAGTAGAAACCACAGGGAGATATCACCACATACCTATCAGAATGGCTAACAGTAAAACAAACAAACAAACAATACCAAACCCTGATAAGGAAGGAGAGGAACTGAATCATTCATACATTGCTAGTGAGAATGTAAAATCATAAAGCCACTCTGAAAAACAGTATGTCAGTTTCTTAAAACACTAGACAACCAGGCAATTGCACTCCTGAGAACTTATCCAAGAATATTGAAGATATGTTCACATAACAAGCTGTACACAAATGTTTGTAAGTCTTATTCATATAACAAAAACTGAAAACAATTCAGCTGTCCTTCAATAAGTGAATTATTAAATAAACCATGTTGTATTCACACCATAGACCACTACTCAGCAATACAAACAACAGACTATGGATACACATGACAACAAAGCTGAGTCTCCAGAGATTTATGTTCAAAGAAGAAGCGAATTCCAAAAGGCTTTACATTCTGTGATTCTATTTATATCATATTCTTGAAATAAATTATAGAACTGAAGTAGAGATTAGTGGTCTCAGTGGGACCACAGGTGAGGCAGGAGACACTGGGTGTGGCTACAGAAGAACAACAGAAAAGACATTGTGATGTAAATATTTTGTACTTTGTATTAATATGCTGGTTGTGATATTGTATTACAGTTTTGCAAGATGCTATCATTTGGAGAAACTGGGTAAAGAGTACATAGCTTCCTTTCATATTATTCCTTATAGGTATAGGTGAATCAAAGATTATCCCCCCAAAATATTTTTAATAAGTCAGAAGGGAAGTATTTTGAAAAATTTATTATTTTAAGGTATTATATTTTTACCTGGAAAGATGATAAATAAGATACAAATTAATTTAGATTAAAATATACCTCATTTAATTGGCCAGCTACAAAGTTATATATCTTGTATGTAGATAAACAGTGAAATAGAATATATAATCAATATAATTAAAGAATAAACACTGGTCGAGAATTTTTAAAACACTCCAGAAGGACACAGTCTTGCAATAAATCAAATATATTATGTTCTAGAAAATGAAATCTCATATTTTAAAACATCTCTTTTCCCTAAATCAATCTATATATTTTATGTAATTCCAATAAAAATGTCAATTAAAATCTGTTTAAAACATCAGTGGGATTATGAAGTCCTTCTGAAAAACAAATAATACTTCTAATAATGAAAGATAAGAAAAAATTTACCAAATATTATCATTAAAGAGTGTTAGTGACACATAAGTGTGTGTGTTTGTCTGTGTGTGTGTGTGTGTGTGTGTGTTTGTGAAGAGACAGGAAAGAGAAGGAGAAAGAGGTAAAAGGAAAAAAAAGTTTGAGAACTAACCAATAATTCTGTAATACATTATGTAATTAGTATATGTAAGAGAGACATTTCAAGTCATAGAGAAAAGATCTCTTATTAAATAGCATGGCAACATTTGAATTAAAAAATACATTTTAATTTCTATTTTACAACTCTATTAAAAGAAATTCCAGAATTATTGAATAATGAAAGAAAAACATAACTAAAGTGCAATAAAATCAATGTAGCATATTTAATTTTAATTTACTTTGTCAGTGGGTAGGTCTTTTTCAACAACATACAAATTCCAGAAGGTATGGTACAAAGATGATTCATAAATTCAAACTAAATAATTTTTAAATGCAATAATTGTTTAAAAGCATGACAGTTGGGGACAATTGACCATTTAATGTCCAGTCTCTGAGGCCTACTGCATGCCTACTGGAGAAGAATTGTTCCTCGTGCACATGTGTCTTCTGGTTAAATCTGGATGACCTAATCCAGATGGGGTTCTGCTGGGTGGCTCTGTTGCAGCCTGCAGACCAGCTGGGCTTGGATTCTGGCTGTGGTCGGGCTGAGGTCTCTCCATAAATTTATTATGGTGACCAGGGTAGGAGGGCAGTGGCGATAGTGATTAGAAGAAACCTCTTCTAATTGTGGATCACAAAAGGCAAGTTTTTTAGAATAATCTTTTAAACAAATTTTAATTCTTCACTACTGTCACATCTACTAACTCATCTTTGGCCAAAGCAAGTCATGTTGACAAGGACAGAGTTAAAGGGCAAAGAAGTATACTCTCTCCTGATGAAGAGAGGGCAGAGTTTCCATGTGTAAGACTAACCAAGACAACTGAAAAATGTGGACTAATTTCAGCTTTTGAAAGTGAGAGTGAATTTGCAATTCATATTACATTAAAAAGGGAATGTTCTATGTATATAGTTTCTACAGATCCATTGGAATTAAAGTGCAAAAGGAAAATTAGCAAAAGATATGACTAGACAGTTTTCAGAAGATAGTCTTTAATTATATGCAAATATGTTGTATTTCGCTCATAGTACGATAAATATAAAAATTTGGCAAAGATTTGCTAAATGAAAAACAAAATAGAGCTACCTTTTATTGTTATATGCGAGGCATTCTCATACATTACTGATGGGCTGGTATGCTGGCATAGCTACAGAGGAAATTTACATAAACATTTACATATATAGTTTATCTACATCGCTTACATATGTATGTTTAAAATGCACATAATCTTAGACCTAGGAATTTTTTTCTTTATATATATTTATCCTACAAATATATTTTCACATTTGCTAAATAATTCTATACAAAGTCATTCATAGCTGTGGTTTATTTTAAACAGTAGAAGATTAGAAACATCTAAATTATTTTCCACTTCTGACTAGTGATTTAAACCATGATGTATCTACACAACTATATTCCGTCTTTAGAAAAAAAAGTGGCCTGCTTTGTGTGTACTGAGATAGAATGATCTTCATTGCATATTGGGAGTGTGGAAAGCAAGATGAGAATTGAGTTTATAGTAGCCTCATATTTTTGTAGGAAAACAAAGCAACAGAGAATAACTTTTGGTTGGTTGAAAAGTGGGTAAATTTGTAGAATATGCCTGAAGAATAAATAAGAAATGAATAAAAATGCTGTCTCAGGAAAGGGAAACTTGGAAGCAATTAGCAGCTCTCACTGAGGTGAAAGCTGAGAAAATGTTATTCCCATCAGGAACCATCTGAAGAACCTGGATTCTGTTTTTAAGCATTTGAGGAAAATGTGTCAGTGTGTGTATACCTAAAATTTTGACTGTGGACCTTGTGGTAGTTTTCTGTTTCTGATCCGATTTAACCTGATAGTGCTGACATGCTTTTCATACATTTTATGATATATGCATCTGAGAAAAATAGTAGACATTTTTGTATGTAGATTCCCACTGACCATTCTTTCATTTTTTAAAAATTACCCAGAACTATTCCACTGATGATTTTAATAATGATGACAATTCTGATTATAATAATCTTCTTGTTATCTTTCTGCCTTAGAAAATTATCTGCTCCAAAATTTTATAATACTCTAATTACTTCATTATAAATGTTATCTTCTAAAGATGTCAGACATAGCAATTGAAAGGAAACTTTAACAAGAATAATTATTTTCTTGTCGAGGAATTTCTCCCACTTCAGATCTGTTGACCAATTTTCTTGAAAAAAGATGGATATAATGAACTAAACTATCCGGTATTTTAAAACTATAGTTTTCTCTTGATATGCTAAAACATAAAATACATTTCACTCAAGCCCTTGTTCCCTCTTAAGATGTTACATTTCTTTTAACAGGACTTTGTCGTTACAGTCTGATACTGGCTTATTTATTTGGGCTTCTATTTTATACGATCTAAGTGAAGTTAAAGGAACTTGGTCCAGTTACTTCTGTAGTCTGTTATAGAAAATCTTAAAGAATAATAAAATAATTTAGAAAGAAATAATGATGACTGAGTGGTCTAAATTCTTCTGTGGATTAAGTGATAAATCAACAACTTTGTGACCTTGAGGAATGTATTGAAGTTTTTATGCCTCAGTTTCCTCACTTATAAAATGTAAATAATAATGACTTCTTAGACTTGTGAGACACAGATAAAATATATTAGAACAATGCCTGAGGAGAAAATAATTAGTAGCTAATATCGTTATTTTTATCAAAATTGTTCTTAAATGTTACTATGACACTTTTAATTTCTTCTGCCATGTCTTGTATTTATCTCAAAAGAAATGTTTGTAAATTTAAATAATTCATTACAACCAGTGTTAGGCTTAATAATAAACTGAAGAATGAACTCTGCTTTTATAACATTTAGGACTTCTTATTTGGATGGATGGATAGATAGATGATAGGTAGGTAGAGAGATAGACAGATAGATACATACATACATACTGTACATTAACTTGGTAAATTAATATACTATCATATAATTGCTATGTTCATCTCTCCAGCTTCTATCTCAGATATTTTCTGCCCTGCTGATACTTCAGTATTCTATTATCTTACTTAAGCCACTAGAGGAAGTGAACAGGTATAAGAAAATGATTTTTATAGTTTTCCATAAAAAATTAGTTTATCTTCTTTCCCTTTAATAAGTAAATACATATTTGGGTTTCAGTAAACTTGTGAATTTGAGCAACATCTTCCAAGCAATTTCATCAGGTGGTCTTGAATGTTCTTAAAGAATAGTTCTGGCTTCAAAAGTGGCAAGATATTTTTGGAAAGAATAGTAACACAAGGAAATATTAATAGAAACATTAGTACTGCACTTGAAATTATTATCTACTAGAAGCAGAAATCCAGGAATTCAGAGGGAGATACTTGTGTTCCAATAACTCCGTAATCCACTCACCAGTAAGAAAACATCCAAAGCAGAACAATAACTTCTACCTTTGCAACACACGTTCAATTTTATACAAGTTATTATATTTAATCTTATTAAAATTTTAGTGTGAATTAGTTTGCACATTTAATAGATGGGAAATTGAATTCAGAGGATTTCGGTGATTAAATATTTCCTCAAAGTCTCCCTGAAAGTAGGTTTAAAACTTAACAGATTATAGTTTTTGATGTAGACCCCAAATAATTGAATGATGAACATTGGTGGGGAAAATAAATATAAGGGAAGAAAAAATAGGATTCACTTAAATTATATTTAGTACTACTTTGGTACTAATCATAAGAAATAAGTTTCTTATAAATAGTAATAGTCTAAACTCAAAGATACTACACTAAGTAGAAAAACATTTTATTCTAAAGTTAACAAGTAAATGTGAAAAGTTATTATAATACCATCTTCTATATAATGCAAATCAGATTACATGTGTCTTACATCCATTTAACACGGAATTGATAATGCAGATAATTACGTATATGTTAATGTGTAAACACTCATTTATATGACAATTTTATATTTATAAGCACATAATTATAGAACAATTTTGCCTTCCAGTAGAAATATGTATTATGTTGTTTACTTCTCAGTAAGAAAAAAAAAACTTGTTAGAATTTTTTAAAAGGTCAAAAAAATTGTTAGGAATCCCATAGTATGAGAACCTCATTGTCATTAAGTATTCAGATTGAAAGTGAATTTATTTTACAGAACCAAAAGCCAGTGACAGTCACAGGATACTTGAAATGAAAGGAAAGATAGTCTTTGGATCACTGAGGATGCGTCATATTAAACCAAGCGTCTTTCTGTTATGAAGAACTGAAAGCCCTTGTTACAAAGTCAGAGCCATGCAGGAAAGGCTAACACTAGCCTTGAAACTCTGAATCAAAAAACAAGACAACTGCAAATTAAAACAAGATTTGTTGGGAGTTTTGCTAAGCATTCTCCAATTAAATAGAGGGAGCAAAAAATGATGAGAACTGACCTATTTACAAGAAAGTTGATTAGAAACTAAATATAGAACACAGACTAAAGTATCCACTAACAAATTTAGCACTGAATTCTAAATACAGACTCATGGTCTCAGAGGGAAATGAAAAAGCTATTAAATTAACATGAGGCAGATTTTATAGTGTAAATTGGTAAATTTATAAGACATTTTCCCAGTGGTTTATCTCACAATGCCTGGTTCGATAATGCAACAGAAATTGCCTAAAAACAATACTTCTAATAGTAATAAAAACAAATCTTTAACACAGTTTATACAGTGGACTGAAAGCTCATCTGTTTTTCATGGAGCCTCTACCACCAATGACGGTGAATAAGCCACTTCACTTTCTTCCTCCCATGTCTGGAATGCACTCTCTAGAAGGTGAGCAGAGTCGATTACAAAAACAGGAAGTATCTAATACTGCGAGTCTATGCTTTGTGATAAATGGGCTGGTACAGAGGCTCTGATTTAGTGTCACTGTTTTTCTTGTCAAAGCAAACATCAGTACATTAGCAAAAGTAGTGTGGGCATGGCTTTAAGAAGTCTATCTAAGCTGCCCAATAGTTCTCACCTTATAAACTGATCTTGTTTTTTAACAAGTGGTGCTTTCTAAATAAATTCTTTTCCCCAAATATTTACCTTTCTTTCTTGTAATCCCATTTTCTTCTTCTCATGGAATCTTGCAAAAGAGGACAATGACCCTCCATTTGACAAACAAACTTGTTTTCAATTTTTTCCCTCAAAGTTGCCAATGCATGAGATTATTATTTAATAATAAAATATTAGATCATTGGCCAACATATTAAAATTCCCTCACTTTTTCCTCTACAAATGTTATTCCACTTATGCTAGGTGCCCAGCACTTGAGATAACAAAAATGTTGCAAGCCAGATACAGATTTTAGTAGGTCTCTATGGCAGCATCATTTTACCTGCTTCCAGGAGGATGAGGAAATTTACCTGTCTATGAAGCTTTTTAGGAACAGGACTTGAGGCTTCAGGGACCCGATGGGTTCCTTGAGTACTCTAGGAATTAATTAGTCTTGGCCAAAAGAAAAAAATAGCACTCTCTTTTCTTTTTCTGAAAACAAGCTTTTCTATATAAAATGGTACAAGGTCCTTTATGCGATTTTCAATGAGTCCATGTTGGCCTCTGATAGATAGACAGACATAAATCAATATTATTACAATTTGACTTGGAATCTCAATTATGTTGATAAATAGACATGCAGGAAGTATCAGAAAGTTCCCAGGCTTTCAGCTACATTGTCCCAAAATTATTACAATTATTATTATTTTTACTTTCTGATCTGCAAACCATTCCTAGGAAAAATAATTTAAAATAACATGTTTATTATCAAATGTAATAGCTTGTGGAAATGCAGCTAAGCAACCCATGTTTTTGAGATAGATAGATAATAGATGGATGGATGAATGAATGGATGGATGGATGGATGGATAGATAGATGGATAGATAGATAGATAGATAGATAGATAGATAGATAGATAGATAGAAGATAGTTAGATACATGATAGATAGGTGGACAGAGAGATGAGAGAGAGAACAGGGAAGTACCAACTTTTGAAAAGTAAATCTAGGCACAAATGATCTCCCTTCCAATTCATTACTGGGAACATTTGTATTATCATATGTAGTCACCTGTAAAGGGTATTGAATTAGTATTTAATTTCCAATAAAGCCACTGAAAGAAACAACAAATATTTTTCTCTTGGAGATTGTTTTATTTAGGCTACTCATTTTAACATATTACATTTGCTTATAGTGTTTTCCGATTTAACCTAGACAGAACAAACAAAGTTAAATAAGGAACTTAGCCTCTCAATTCCTATTTAATTTTAATATAAAGCAAGTGAAGTTTATATACCTGTTTAGGGAACAGTGAATATGAAGACATATGTATCACATTTGTGTCAAATACTTATATGCTAAGATAGTGGTAGATAGATATCAGTCTCTGATACTCTAATGTTTTTATTTCTGTACTATCATAAAACTTTTGAATGAATATTGGATTTTGTGGGGGTGAGACTGGGTACATTGTTTAAATTCCATTATTAAACAGAAGATCATCTTTAAGATCTAGAAAGAGATTTCACGTCTACGAACACAGTGAATTAAAAACATTGATGTATCTGTTTATCTGAGTGCACTTGTACTTAAAGGACAAAACTTTAATTTGATATTTTAATCTATATATAGGGCTAACATGGTAAATTCAGTTGACCATATTTAGCCTGATATATATTGACTCAATCCAAATGTGCCAAATTACACTTCCCTTTGTGGGTGAAAAGAATTATGGTTTACAAAAAAAAACGACCTGTCATAGCACTACAGTGATGGGAACTGGGGACTTTGGAAGTTAATAGTATAGAACTTGATTATTTATTTAATTGGTTCCAGTCTACTGCAGTGTTTAACAAGCTCAGATAAATGGGCTAATCTTTCACAATTAGTCTATTAAAGTCTGGTTATTTTATCAGTTGTAATCACAGGGTTTCCTAAGGCATAAATTGTCTAGCACCTTTATACATAGAGGACATTTAATTTTCTCTTTGGCTATTTGCTCTATGAACTTTGTTTTCTTTAGCACAAGGAATTCCATATTAACAACAGACATCTGAAAATCCAGATGGCTTCAATGAGTAAAATAAGTTAGTCAGTTATTAGCGACTAAAAGGGATCCTTAATTTCTATTGAATAAGCATTCCTATTTTAAAATGTGTAACATCACCACACAATATAAAACATAATGCAGTGACAACTTTTAGACAGGGCTCATAATGGACATTAATCTGTAGCATATTTATTCTTGCATGAGGATGCTATATTGTACCAAGTTTATTCTAAATATGGGATTTTCATTTACTTAATCTCAAGTGGAACCACATGTTTAAACTTTTACAATTTTATGACTTATTGAAGGAAAGAAAATTTATGAATTCATGGTTTAAAAATCTAAACTTTCATTTTATATAGTCAGTCACAACCAACTTTATACAATGGATGCATGGAAATAATTGACACACTGTCACCTGAAGATCAGACATAATAACTAAATATATTTTCCAGTAGAGATGAAATGCTCAGAGCACAGGTTTAATGACTTCTGATCTTCTAATTGGTCCCTGGCCCCTTCCTCTATCTCTTAACTATCTGTGACCTCTGACAGACACAGTGTCATATTCAGTCCACCGTTTTTCCAGTTTTATGGCCCCTCTAAAGTCACTTGCAGTTGTGCTTTTTTCCCCTCCTACTCATGTGTGAACTCTTTTTCAACATGTGTGCCTGTAACTTTGTGCTACTAGATTTTGATGAAGTTTCAAAATAAAACTTCCCCTTACTCTGATTGCCTAATAGATATTTGAAAATGAAGTTGATTTTCTAATTTGGTTACATTCATTCCAGCAGCTAAACTCACACATATGCTCCTGTACTCTTCACGTTAGACTCCCTTGAAAGCTGAAATGCATGAACATTTAAAGAAATACTCAACAACACTACTAATTTTAATGTGATTAAAGTCAATGATGGCAATTTTAAAATAACAAGTGCATTGTCTACTAACCCTCTAAGAGCAAGAATAACTCAAAGTTTGTGCCTGTGGTTAAACTGATTTAAGAATAAGAATAATTGGAGTTCTAAGGGTGATAATAATATAGAAAAAGATAATAGAGGATATATTAAATTATCCATTATGAAGCATTTTAAATATCATTACTGACATTTAAATGAGAGATCTCTGATACAAGATGGTGAATTCAATTATAATTAAATGTATAAAATAATTGAATAACAGCAACATTAAGAAAATTGCATACACTTTTTAAAAAGTGAAAGAAAAATTTCCATTGACCAAATATATGCTTCCATATCTGGTATCTTTAGCAGCATTTGAGTGATTAAGGTCTAGAACTTAATCATGGTGCATGTGCAGGGTCTCCACCAAAACAATGGGGCCTGTGAGGAGGGGGCTAGGAACTGAAGAACCTGTAAAAGAACTGTTAGAGTCAAATTTTTATAAGATAGTGGAGGAGATGCTTAAGATGACCCTTTAATGCTGCTGTTCAATCCCATAACTTGCCTGAAGAAAATTCTTTGAAGAAAATTCTTTAAAGAAAATGTCAACTATTATCAAACACATGAGGAAGACCAACTACTGGTCTTCCAGTAATTTCAATGCACAGAAGATAATGTGATGAGAATAACCAGATAAGCAATGGGCAATGTGTCAGAAGGGAAAACAACAAATATATCATAGTTAGAGAAGGAAGAAGTATTTGAAATGGGAGTTTATGGTCATAGGTATTATCTTTATCTATAGTGTTCTAATATGATATAAAAAGAATACCCATATTTTAGAAGTATACATATGTATGTGTGTCCTTATACATATGAAATGTATATTTGATAGTGTATTAAAATATGATATAAAAGAATATCCATATTTTAGAAGTATACATATGTGTGTCCTTATACATATGTAATGTGTATTTGATACAATGTATTAAAACATTAGCAGTAATTGACACTGGGTGGTAGTTTATTTGAATAATTATTAATTTCTTATTAGCCTCAGTAAATATGAAGTTAATGAGGAAACAGCAGATGAGAAGTCTGTGACCTCCTATTATGCTTAGAGACCCAAATAAGCCATGAAACTTTTTTTAATATAACAGATTGGAAACAGCTCCTAGACTTTTATAATATGCCAACATTTATATTTAAAATGTGACAATATTCTCCCATTTTAAGAAAATGAGTAGCAGATCTTCAGTTTTGACATCACTTTATCGATGGAGAGAGAAACCTGGGCATTTTTCTTTTAGGTACTGTGAAAGTAGCATACTTTACGTGGTCTACTTGTAGTATGTGCATTTTATAACTTCTGAAGAAAGAAATAGAATCAGTACTTGCAATGTCCAATTTGCTCTTTGGAAGTTATCAACTTACTTATAAATTATTATGGCATAACCTTTAAAGTAATTAACAGGGTGCCTTTCTATATGTATTTTCTCGTGAGAAACTGTTGACTTTTTTGGCCTTAAAATTTAGACAACAACATCATTGTTTCCACTATGAAGTTTATTCTTTTGTCTGATCAAAGAGATAGAATAAATGGTTGAGAAAGCACATACTAAACCCCCAGGCACCTCTATTGCCTCAGGTCAAGGATTTCAGGAAACAGATCCTGTGCTTTAGTAGGGATAATGTAATTATTTCAACCCAGGAAAAACTGTATTAGAAATATAAACTCTATGTTATAGAATTTTCAATAAAAATGTAGTCATTATATTTAGATAAGACTATGAATATATGCACAATGTGGAGCTTTAAAATTCACAATTACGTGCTTTTTACAGTATTGTATTATTATTTTGGAAGGCCTTCCTGTGCAAGATAGCCTATTAGCTACAGTTAAGTAAATTGAGGACTTTGTTACAGTTAAGTAAATTGACAACTTTCCAGAGCCAGAGGAACACTATTTCTCAAAGTATATTTCCCAGAACACTCACTGAAGAAGATAATAATATATATTCTGGTGAGTTGTGATGTTATCATAATTGTCAAAGAAATTTCAAACTGTTCAGCTCATACTGGACATCTCTGAAAAGATACATCATCATCATCATCAACACACAAAAACACGCACGTTCTTTATCATCTTTTTAACTTAGCATTTTCAAAATTTTATCAAGACAGCGATTTGTCTTAGCTTTGACTGTCATAACAAAATATCATAGACTGTGTGACTTAAATAACAGAAATACATATTCTCACATTTCTGGAGGCTACAAGTCCAAGATGAAGATGCTGGCCAATTCTGTTCCTAGTGAGGGCTCTCTTCCCAGCTTATAGACAGTCAACTTTAACACCTTTATTGTTGAATGAATAATATGTTCAGATGGGGCAAATATCAAACAATATTTAAAAACAGATAGAATATCTTTTTCCACTCAACATAATTATCAGACCCAAAATACAAACACAAATAAACACAAACAAATCAATGTATGTACCACTCCTTCACTTAAAACTTATAAGCCCTTTCCATCTTCACAATATTATCTATTAATATTTGAATTTTTTAAATCATAGTTTGTTGAATCTGCTCTGCCATAGAGACTGTTTCTACTCTTGCTGTGGTAAAAGCAAAAGTTTCGGTAAAAATACTCGCACATATTTCCACATAATTGTTAAATTTCTAGAATTTTAATTGCTAGATAAAAGTTACATGCATGCACCATATTTTTCACAGATAATTGCCAAACTGCCTCTGTGGGGTTATAGTATAGGCAATTTCTGGCTTCAAGACACTATGTTATTACATTTTTATATTTTTGCCAGTGTGATAGGTAAACTTGTGTATCTGTGTGGTTTTAATGTGCGTTTTTCTTATGAGCATGCCTGGTGCTCTCTTCAAATACTTAAGAGGGTTTCTGTTGTTTTTGAATCAGCAACATTTACTACTTATTCTATTGGGTGGTCAATCTTTTATTGTACATTTACAATAGCTATACATATTTCAGGGAAATTGGTCTTTTGACATTAATATGAGATGAATAAACTTTAATCTTTATTCCCTGACTTCTTGGTTAAATCACAGGAGAAAAGCCTTTCTTATTTTAAATGCTTATAATAATTCACATAGGTAGTACTTTGATGATTTTATTTTTAACATTTAAAAGTTTTAATCCATTAACAATCATCTTTGATTATAGCAGGAAATATGGATGCAAATTTATTATTTTGCCAGGAGGCAAAACAACGCCGTGTGCACTATTTTAAACCAATTGTCAAATTTTCTTAGCTTCCAAAACATTCATTTGATATGCCAATGAATACTAATTCCTATGTTTATTTAGGTTTATCTCTGGACTGCTAGTATGTTCTTTCTTCTACTATTCCATTACTTTACTATACCAGAATCACAACATTTTACGTTTTTTAGTTTATACAATATGTTTCCATTTAGGCTAGTTGTAGTGACTACTTACTGTTCTTTTTTTCCTAGAGTTTCCCTTGGTGTTATTATTTGTTTATTTTCTTCCATATAAACTTAAAAATCAAACAGTTAAAAATAATTTCGCTTGATATTTTAATCAGGATATTGTTAAATTTATAAGTTAACTAACGGAGAATTATTTCACAATGTTGAAAATCTTCTTATCCAACATCATTTTATCTCATTTCTCTTGTTTAAGGTATGTTTTGTGCTGATAAGAAGCTTTTAAAAATGTACTTCATATAGTTCTTAGAGTATCATTTTATACCTTGTTATTTTATATAAATATGCACATGCATTTGTATTTGTGTTCATATACATTTATGTTTATATATATATAATACATATCATATAATTAAATGTAAAATATATATAAAATTATTTAAAAAATGAATGTTGAGTTTAAAGAATTCTTAAAGAGTGAATGCCCAGATGGCTGATCTATAAATGAAGTATATTTTATAGAGATGTTGGTATGGCTTGGTTCTGTGTCCCCACCCAAATCTCATGTGAAATTGTGATCCTCAGTGTCACAGGAGGGGCCTGGTGGAAGGTGATTGGGTCATGCGGGTGGATATCCCCCTTGCTGTTTTGGAGATAGTGAGTTCTCTTGAGATCTGGTTAAGTGTGTAGCACCTCTTCCTTTGCTCTCTCTCTCTCTCTCTCCTGCTCTGCCATGGGCAGATATGCCTGCTTCCCTTTCACTTTTGCCCACCACTGTAAGTTTCCCAAAGGCTTCCTAGCCATGCTTCCGGTTCAGCCTGCAGACCATGAGCCAATTAAATCTATTTTCTTTATGAATTACCCAGTCTCAGGTAGTTCTTTATAACAATGTGAGAACAGATTAATGCAGATGTATATAGCTCAGCTCTAGATTTAGAGCACAATAGCTGTAGTTCATTTAATTACTGTATACTATGCAGTTCATGAATGCACCACAATTTTGTGGATGACCATTTAAATAGTTTCCAATATTTGATTTTTATGAGCCGTGCCATTATAAATGTTTCTGTACAACATTCCAATCCACATGCACATAAACTCTTTCAATACAGATACCTAGGAACACAATTACTAGAATTATAGGGTCTGGGCAGCTTTAAATATACACAAGTCCAGTGTTTTCCACGATTTCTATTCAAGACCTTATATTTGAACTACAGTCCTCTCCAACAAGTGTTTATTTGCCATTACCATAAAGTCTAAAACAAACAAATCCCAAATTGACTCATTCGTCTTTTCTCACATCGGAGCCTTCTACAGTGTTTCCTCTCTCAATGATCAAAGCCAGTAACCTCTGAATCATTCCTGACACTTCGTTCTACCTGTCTGCCTTTATTGTCACATTTTGTTGATTTTCCTCCTCTATTATCTTTAAATGTGTCCACTTCTTTCAAAATTTGTGACCAACCCCTGAGTTAGGCTCCCAACATCTATTGCTTACAATACTGATGCTTGCCTCTAAAGAGTTCCTACCGTATCTTTTCTTCACAACCCTCATCTTTTCATAATATAATCTTATACATAATATAATGTAGGAAAACATTATATTATGTGACCTATGATGTTAAATTGTATGTATAATGTTTCCCTATATATGCATTTATATATAATGAATGCATATATGTATATAAATGGATATATATTTATAAATAAGTGCATATACATTTTATATATAAATGCATATATGTATATATACATGCATATATAAATGCATATAAATATATATATATATGTGTGTATATATGGTATCACATAGAGTATTTATATTTAATAAAAAAGCTTTCTTAGTGGCCAGGCATGGTGGCTCACGCCTGTAACCCCAACACTTTGGGAGGCTGAGTGGGGAGCAGATCACCTGAGGTTTGGAGTTCTAGACCAGCCTGACCAACATGGAGAAACCCCGTCTCTACTAAAAAGTACAAAATTAGCCGGGTGTGGTGGCACATGCCTGTAATCCCAGCTACTTGGGAGGCTGAAGCAGTAGAATCGTTCAAACCTGGGAGGCAGAGGTTAAGGTGAGCCGAGATCATGCCACTGCACTCCAGCCGGGGCAACAAGAGCGAAACTCCATCTCAAAAAAAAAAGCAAAAAAAAAAAGCTTTAGAATTTAGACATAGATTTTTATTGTATGCATCTTGTGCATACAAAAGAAGAAAATAAGTGAAATAAGTTTAAGTTATGATGTTAACTTCATATTGAGTTCAAGTCTCCCAAATCACCTTGCTACTCAGAAATATCAGTGCCATATATTTTCACACAACATCATAGCATCTACCTTCAAGACAGTTGGGGGTGCAGCATTATCAGCAGACTGATAAATTGATGTCTGACACCAAAACAATAGTCCTTTTTGACGCATAAATTTTTTACACCAGGTCCTCATGGCTTCACATTTTTGCATCTATCTAGCTATTTGAAAGTTTATCTTGACATCAGTTCCATTGTTTGCTGTGCTATTTGCAATACTAACACAAGCAAGATGCAGTAGAGTTTTATCAACGTAAGGATATCTTACTTCCTTAGGACTCATAAAGCACTTTCTTGCTACTTTGGAAGAAAATGTGAAATTGTAATCATTCCTCCAATGACAAATATTTCCTTCACTGATATTAAATTTACTTCCTGCTGCTTGAGTTCCATGCTTTTCTATAGAACCAATAACTTATTGTTTTAATGCTGACTCATAGTATGAGTTTTTGAATATATTTTAATTGACAAATATCCTAATGTAGAACCAAAAATATTCAAGTCAGTTTAAAATGAAGACACTAACAAACTCTGACCTATGTCTTTCTAGGCCAAGAAGAAATACATCCTGCCTTTTGCTTACTGATGACAATTGTAAGACACATCCTGAGTTCACACATATTAAAAGGTGAAAATGTGTACATCTCCAATTTGATAAAATACGGCATTTTAAAATTTATAATATTTACCAGGTTCATGCCAGGCACAAAAATAAATCCAAAGGATCAAAGAATGTGTATGTAAGAAAAAAAATCAAGGGAAGCAAAAGATTATCATTAAGACAAAACATGAAATGATTCAGCTTGCTTTTAATTCCCTTTATTTTTATATGGCTTACATGCAAATCTCTTCCAAATAAGCACTTACTGATTGATAATCCGGATCTAAATGTTCTTAAGTGGTTGTAAGTAAATTTCAAAACTTACAAATCACTGCAAAAAGTCTCAACTGCCTTTCATTATCCACTGATGAAAGACCTGGTGTGATGTTAGTGCCCTGCCTTGGTGAGTAACATGACCCTGTGTGGGGTACATGAAGACGCTCCTTTGTCAGATCCTCCAGGCTCAGGATTTCTCTCGCAGGGTGTTTTGTTTTGTCAAGTCTGTGAATAAAAAAAATAAGTTAAAAAAGGTATACAGAATATCTTAATGCTAATTCCAAAACAATAACATTTTCCTGGCCGGGCGCGGTGGCTCACGCCTGTAATCCCAGCACTTTGGGAAAGCGGAGGCGGGCGGATCACGAGGTCAGGAGATCGAGACCATCCTGGCCAACACGGTGAAACCCCGTCTCTACTAAAAATACAGAAAATTAGCGGGGCTTGGTGGCGGGCGCTTCTAGTCCCAGCTACTGGGCAGGCTGAGGAGGGGAATGGCGTGAACCCAGGAGGCGGAGCTTACAGTGAGCCAAGATCGCGCCACTGCAGTCCAGCCTGGGCGACAGAGCTAGACTCCATCTCAAAAAGAAAAAAAAAATTCCCTACAGTCATAATGTCAATGATTCTAAATTGAAGCAGTCAACTTTGCTAGGATGAAAATTTGCCATTCAGTAGCCAACTGTGCCTATCACAGCCACCCAGCCTTAGCAGTAGGACAATGAATGGCAGCAAGACAGGCCGAGGAAGCCTCGCTTTGGGATGATGCGGGTGGTGGAAGTCACGAGATAAAATGAAGATAAGGATGGAGGTGTTCCCAGGAGCCGTGAAAAATGCGGGGAAAAACAGAAACACTGTGTCCCCTGACTTCAGAAGAGGGCACACATAGGCTGTGAGACACACAAATTCTCACTTGCCTGCAATAGCTGCAGCTCTCACTCTATACTATGCTCACCTTTTTCAGCACAGCATCCATCAAAATTCCCAGTACATTGTAGGTGCTATTCTATTTAGAGTGATGTTTAACATTGGTTGAGATGATATTTAAGAAAAATTTGAAAAGGCAAGTAAGTAATTCATGTCCATTTGTATATTAAAACATTTTAAACAACAAAACTAAAACACTGTAGGCTGGTGTGGTAGCTCGCATTTGTAATCCCAGCACTCTGGGAGGCCAGAGCGGGAGGATCACTTGAGCCCAAGAGTTTGAGACCTGCCTGGCCAACATAGTGAGACCCTGTCTTTACAAAATAAAAAATAATTAGCCAGGTGGGGTGATGCATGCCTGTGGTCCCAGCTACTTGGGGGGCTGAGGTGGGAGGATTGCTTGAGCCCAGGAATTAGAGGCTGCAGTGGGCTATGATTGTACCACTGTACTCTAGTCTGGGTGACAGAAACACTATCTCCAAAACAACAACAATAAAAAAAATGTGACACTTAGGTAAATCATTTAGATACATACATGAAATATAATAAACAGGAGTTAAAAACACCCAGGGCTATACATGACGTGAAAATTTTTAAAAGAAAACTTTATTCAACAATGTGGATAAAAGCTGAAAAACTTTGGCTAATTGGAGAAAAATAATCCAATTAGAGTTTTACAGCACAAAATATGCAAAATAAATCTGCAGGTAAATATAATAGTAAAGTGTAGAATGAGAAAAAAATTAGGTCAGTCAAAAAAAGAATGATCGTATCTTCAGAATATGATTTCTTTTTTTAAATCAATACAAATATCTTCAGATAAACTTCAGGCTACTTTCACAATTATCTTTCCTGAGATATAAATTATATGCAGTAAAATTCATGTTTTAAAATGTACAATGCGATGGTTTTTAGTATATTCGTACAGTTGTGCAGCCATCACCGTTATCTGATTGCACAATACTCTTCTCATCCTATTATCAGGTATTTTCTATTTCCTGCCCTTCTATGGCCTGAGTCATTAATCAAGCTTCTATCTCTATTGCAGACATTTCATCATATAATATGTGGCCTTCTATGTCTCTCTTCTTTCACTTAGCATAACATTTGCAAGTTTCACCAAAGTGTAGTATGTATAAGTACTTCATTCCTAATTATGGCTGAATAACATATCATTACATGTATATACTACATTTGTTTATCCACTCACTAATTGATAAGCATTCATGTTATTTCCACTTTGCCTATTATATGCTGCAATAAACACTCATGTACAAGTGTTTGTGTATACACGGATATAGACCTAGGAGTAAAATTGCTGGTTATATGGGAACTTTGTGTTTAAGTGTTTGAAGAACTGCCAAACTGTTTTCTGAAGCAGCCTGTGTACCTTTTTTTTTATTTTTTTGAGACCGAGTCTCGCTGTGTCACCCAGGCTGTAATGCAGTGGTGCGATCTCGGCGCACTGCACCCTCCACCTCCTGGGTTCAAGCAATTCTCCTGCCTCAGCCTCCCAAGTAGCTGGGATTACAGGCGTGCACCACCATGCCTGGCTAATTTTTTTGTATTTTTAGTAGAGACAGGGTTTCACCATACTGGTGTAATGGGTATAGGCCAGGCTTGTCTCGAACTCCTGACCTTGTGATCCACCTGCCTCGACCTCCCAAGGTGCTGGGATTACAGGCGTGAGCCACCACACCTGGTGCTTGTACCACTTTTCATACTCACCATCAATGCAGTTGAATTATACTTTTTCCATATTCTCACTAACATTTGTAATTCTTTGCCTTTTTGATCATAGTCATCTAGGTTGGAGTGAAGTGATTATATTGAAGTTTTGGTTTGCATTCTCCTAATAACTAATGATATTGAGCATCTTTACATGTGCTTATTGACCATTTGTTTATCTTCTTTGAAGAAATGTCTATTCAAATAATGTAGTATTTTTCAAATATGATCAATATGTCTCTAGTTGTCAGCCTACATTATAAAATTTGAAACATAAATAAACCGTTGTTCTACTTTTTTATGAACTATGCAACAGTGTAGCTGAGTAATCGATGAGATAAATTGATATTTACCAATATGATCCAGCTAAAAAATAAAAATTGAATTAAATTATTTTGAAACTGCTCATGAATAAATGAATCTAGGCAACTAGTAGGTGCATGACACAATGAGAGAGAATAAGAAATTAGATACCCACTGATGGAAAATGTCTCCACTTAAGAAATAGTCTTCTCCAAAAAGTGAAACAGTCTATTCAAACCTCTACACTTAACTACAGATTTCAAGGAAATACAGAAGAAAGAAAATATCAAATTATACTTTAAAAATAACATCAGCAAAACTCAGATCTTGTGAAACTCTACAAGATATATGACCAAGTTTATTCAACAAAAAATTATGCAAGAAAAGTTTAAATGAGAGGGATAAGATACATTCTAGTATTTAAAAGAGACTTGTCAATTGAGCTAAAAAAAAAGAAATTGTCAAATAAAATACACACTATCAAGAGATTGTTAACATCAAGCTTTCCTAATAATAACAAGGTTGTCAGCAATCAAGTGTCTCAGAAAAAGCAGGGTAAATCTGGAAATTTGAAATGGGCTCCACATTTCCTTCCTTTCTGTGTTAGAAAGATAGTGTCCTGCCCAGAGAAACAGACTAGATTTCCAAGTGAGGTTTGTAGAATTACTTCACATGACATGGCTTTGCTGGGAACCATGCACACAGCAGCTCTCACTGGTTGGTCAGGTGTTTGGGGATTTCCCAATCTAGTGTTGCATGCTGGTGTTTCTACAGATAAGCAGTTTTGGGGCAGCCCTGACCCAAGACTCCACTAAAAATGGCCTTCCTCAGGCTTTCTGCAAGGCCCTAGCACTCTAGGCCTGTGATGGGCATGGTAGACTAAAAGGTCTCTGAAATGACTTCCTGGTCAGTCTCTCGTGTTGACAAATAGTACCTGGCTTTCTTCAGTTCATACTAATACTCTTATCAAATGCAGCTTGGGCCACACTCTTAGTTGTTTATGCTGGAGTGCAGTGGTGCGATCTTGGCTCACTACAAACTCCACCTCCTGGGTTCAAGCAATTCTTCTGCCTCAGCCTCCCTAGTAGCTGGGGTTACAGGTGCACACCACCACGCTCTACTGATTTTTGTATTTTTAGTAGAGACGAGGTTTCACCATGTTGGCCAGGCTGGTCTCGAACTCCTGACCTCAAATGATCTACCTGCTTCAGCCTCCCAAAATGCTCGGATTACAGAAAAAAGCTTAAACAACAACAACCAAAAAAAAAAAAACAAAACATTTTTTTTTTTTACACGGCTGATATTTTTTGAAATCTTTGCATTTTGCTTCCCTTTGAATAATAAATTCTCCGTTTCATGATTTCTTTCTACTCACAGTGTACTATAAGTAGATAAAAGAAGCCATGTGACACCCAGAACACTTTGCTGCTTAGAGATTTCTTCCACCAAATGTCCTAGTTCATTTGCTCATCAGGTCTGCCCTCCACAAAGTCCTAGGACATGGACATAACTCAGCCCAATTATTTGCCACCTTGTAACAAGGATGGCCTTTCCTCCAGTTTCCTATGGGATATTTCTCATTTTTGTCTAAGGCCTCTTATTTCTGCCAGCAGTCTGGTCACAACCACTTAGGTATCACTAAGAAGTCAGAGGCTTTCCCTATAGCTCTCCTCTTCTGAATCCTCACTAGAATTGCTCTTAATGCTTCTTTCATAGCAATCTAGGCCCTTTCTCTTCTGCATTTCAAAAGTGTTTCAGCCTGTACCCATTACCCAGTTCCAAAGACACTTCACATTTTTAGGTATTTGTTAAAGCAACCCTCTACTCCTCTGGTACCAGTTTTTGCCTTAGTCCATTTTGTGCTGCTATAACAAGACACCTGAGAGTGGGTAATTTCTAAAGGACAGAAATTTATTTTCTCCCAGTTCTGGAGGCTGGGAAGTCCTAGGTGAAGGCACTGGCAGATTTGGCTCCCTGGTGAGGGCTGCTCTCTGCTTTTAACGTGATGCTTTGTTGCTGCATCTTCCAACGGGAGAAATGCTGTGTCCTAAGATGGCAGAAGGTGAAAAGGGAGTGAGCTAAAGGCTTCAGGAAGCCTTTTTTTATAAGGGCAACTGATCCCATTCAGGAAGGAGGTGCCCCCATGACCCAATTACCTCTTGAACATTCTACCTCTTAATACTATCACATTGACAACACCTGCAGTTTAGAGGGGACACATTCAAACCACAGCAATAAGTATTCATGCAAACCACAGTCATAAGTATTCTGTCATACTTTCTGCTTGAATTTATTATTCTGTCACTTTGATTTAAATTATAGTGTATGCTTTAGACATGAACCAATATTGAACATTTATGTTTACCTTGAAGTCAAAACAAATCCCACCACACTTCTTCCAATATCCTTTTAAAATCAAACAAAAATGCTTTTTCAAAAAATAAGCTGAAAATTTCAGAGCAAGCATCTAATGGAAATGAAATATAATGATGAACTTAATATGTTTCCTGAAACCCTTAATTTTTATTAATGAAAATAGCACGAGTGGCCCTCCTGGCTTAATGGCAAGTTATTAGTATAATATTCCTGGTACATCCAACAATAAATCCTAATAACTTTAGGATGAAGCTAGGTTCTGACATCTGCTTATATCTCAGTAAATTCACTCTATCCTGTTTTATATGTGAGTAAAGATATTGTTGAAATAAAAATCTTCCTGGCTAGCTGATTGCTTGGCATGTTTTCAGCACAATAGATCTTACATTGAAAAACAATAAATGAACATAAACATTTTCCTTAAATTCAAGCCCATTACACTTGAAATGCAACACTCTGTCATTTGCTGATCAGTGTTTCCGTTGACCTCTGCGCTCAATGAATGCAGCAGCTTGATTGAAAAAAATATTTGGAAGACAGTATTATATTATTTGCAGAATGAGGTAATTGGAGAAAAGCTGACAGTAAGTTTCACAGGGGCCATAACCAAATAGTAGCTGGGGCGTAGGATGAGAAGTGGAAGAGAGAAAGAGATAGTAAAAGAAAGAGAGAGAGAGAGAAAGAGAGGCAAGAATATGGAAATGCTAATAAAGTCACAGGGATGAGTTCTGTTTATGTGGACATTCTCTAGTTTTATTGTTATTGTTGTTATCTCTATATTTATTTTCAATGTGGCTGTTAGGTGCACCGAATTGTATTCATCATAATCTTTGGTTCAAAATTGTTAATGGCTCATCATGGCCCGCATTAGTTAGTTAAAATATGAATCCCTACGGACATAGCTAACAGCTCAGGAACTTAAAAGAACATGAAACGGCCGGGGGCAGTGGCTCACACCTGTAAACTCAGCACTTTTTGGGAGGCCGAGGCGGGTGGATCATGAGGTCAGGAGATCGAGACCATCCTGGCTAACACAGTGAAACCCCGTCTCTACTAAAAATACAAACAATTAGCCAGGAGTGGTGGTGGGCGCCTGTAGTCCCAGTTACTCGGGAGGCTGAGGCAGGAGAATGGCGTGAACCTGGGAGGCGAAGCTTGCGGTGAGCCGACATCGCGCCACTGCACTCCAGCCTGGGCGACAGAGCGAGACTCCGTCTAAAAAAAAAAAAAAATTATGAAACCCAGCTACATAAGCATGAGTGTTCATCCCAGACCTGATACCTCTGCTTTCTCCCAGAAGGAAACACTGCCTTCAAATGCGTGTTCATCACTACTTTAAAGTTTCTAGCATATATACTTACGTCCAGAATGTATATTTTTTGGTGACAGTTGCTTTTGAGTTTTATTACAAAAAAAAAAAAACAAACCTATTTTACTATATGAAGATGTCTATGCCTGGGTTTCCTCACTGGGTAAGACTCAGTTTTCTCCATATTATTGCATGTATATGTAACTCACTTTCCTTCTAATAATAATCTAGCACATGAAAAAGCTGTAATTTGTGAACATTCTCTCATCAGAGAGCAAATGTTTCCAGGTTTTCGTTATTGGATGTGCTATAAAACTTCTTCTAAATGTTTCTGGTCACATGCACGAAGATTTTCTCTTGATGACATAAACTAAGTGGCATGGCTGGGGAAAAAGAGGTATGGACAGTAACTGAGTGTGATGAAAAGTTTCATGTCAGTTCTTAATCTCACTGACAATATGTATGTGTATAACCTGTTGATCCACTTCTTTATTACCATTTGCTTTAGTCACAATTTTTGCCAGTCTAGTGGGTATAAAATAATAACTCATAATGGCCTAATTTATATTCTCATGTTTACTAAAAGAGCTGAGCATCTTCTCTCTTTCCTGGCTGAGGCTTTTATTATTCCAACATGTTTTCTTTCTCTTGTGGTTAATGATGTACTCTTATAAAAAGTTATGACTGTGTGTGTTTTTCTATTTAAAACCATATTTACAAGGTTTAACTCCACCTTACCTGGGGATTAATGAGCTATTCTGTTTGTATTCACTTATGCTTTGGGCTGAGTGGATGCAGCTTGCATACATTTAATGACCAAACACTTTAGTTTAAATTATTTGAGAACGTGACTATTTGAACTTATAGGTACCACATAACTTTCCACAAATTATTTAAATATATTTTGGAGAAAAATTTGAGTTCAATTTTAAATAAAAATTAAATACAGGTTCAAAGCATTTTTATAAACTCTTTTATTTTTATTTATTTATTTATTTTAGACAGAGTCTCGCTACGTTGCCCAGGCTGGTCTCAAGCTCCTGGGCTTAAGTGATCCTCCCACCTTGACTTCCCAAAGTGTTGATATTACAAACATCAGCTACCTCACCTGGCCTCTTCCTGGTTATTTTCGAATCCTAATAAAAATTTGAATCTAAAATTTAACACAAGGCAATTATATGTGTATCTCTAGGTAGTAGAAATAAAAAATGTTAATCACGAGATTTTCCTCTTTTTACTTTGATATTTTCAAAAACTTAAAAATATCATGCATTTTATAATTATAACAATGTTATTACTCTCATCAGTTGTTAATCAGTACCCTGATGTCCACGTTGAGGATTTTCCTGCCTGCCTTGTCTGCTTCTCAAAGCCTTTTAAACCAGTGTAGCCACAGACCATAATATATCAAATCATTTAACGGCAAGTGTTGCCCAAAAAAATTGAGGGGGGCTATTATTTTTGTAATTTTCATGAATGATACATTTCTGCAATCAGGTATTGAACTCATTCAAAAAGTTATGTATTGACCATTTTCTTTCTTATTGCCCTGGATTCTGGTGCTGGAGAGATAGTGGTGAACCCAACAAAGCCCCTGACTTTATGGAGCTTCCTTGTTAGAAGAGGAGAAAGAACATGTGTGTGTGTCTGTGTGTTGGTGGGTGTGTACATGGGTGTGTTGGTGTCAGTTATTCATGAAAACAACAAAAAGCAGTGTAAGGGAAAGAAGTTGGGTGAGCAGAGTGAATGGCTTATGTCTCTGAGTTCCATTCTCTTCCGCACGTGGTCCCAGGCCTACCTCCTCCATTTCCTTCAATATCAAGTTCATTTGGTCATTCTTCAAGGAGGCCTTCCCAGGCTTCATGAACTGGAATAGGCTTTACTATCCTATCCACTTTTAAATAAATTTTTTAAAATGGAAACGAATTACTCAGTGAATTCTAAATAATTATCTGGTAGTTGAGAAATAAATACAATGATATAGTGTTCTGTTTTATGTAAAAGGTGTGTTTCTCTTTTCCAGTTAATCTTTACTGTATAATGAATTTGAGAGTTTGAATTTCTTGCAGGAAGTTAGAAAATAAAACATCGTCTCAGGAAAAGTATTTTGGGGAAAAAAGAACTTCAAAGACTACAAATCATAATTATGACTAATTAGAAGTGAGGTTTTGAATCTCCCCTAGCATTCACCAGTTATTGAGATTCCAGAAATATAGCTAACCCAAATTTAATTAATGCACAACAAAGAGATATTCACTAAAGGGGTGGCATAATGATACAGTCAGAACCCATGTATCAGTATTAAATAGGCATTGGTTATTGCCCTACTGATGTTGTTTTGCTTACCCATCCAATTTTTAAAAAGACTTGAGGTGCTTTGTCCTGACATATAGGCATGTTAATATATTGAAGACGTTTCTTTATTTTCTCTTTTAAAGAGTTTTTGCTGTGACATAACAATAACTGATTTTCTGATTTATTCCCTCAGTAATTTAGTTGCTACTCCATTTCTATGAACCACAGCCAAGTAATTAATCTTTTACCTGGGAGACAGCACTGGCGATTTTAATAAAACACAGGAACAGGAATACATTTATATAAGAGAAAGGACAGAAAAGACCTGTTTTAGGATTTAGGATGTGATTAAAAGAGAACGTTTTGGCAGGCATGAAGAGAAATAGGAGGCTGATATCAGTGCATGGAATGTCTCATTACTGCTTAATAGTAGTGTACAGAAGACACACGGGGAGCAGCATTTGGCTCACAAGAAATATACTTTAAAAAAAAAACACACAGCAAAAATGAGGTTGGAAAAGCATTCATTAGTGTATGAGCTCTATATGTTGCCTTCACTGTGAAGGTTGTTCAGGGGGCTGGGAGCATGGTCCTCAGACAGCATAGCATCTCTTTCTCCCAAGATGCACATTATGCTAATTAAAGACGTGTGATTAAGATCAAGTGAGGTTGGCATGCCCAGTTTGATCACAGTGACTGGTTCAACACGAAGGAAAAATTCACCACCCTCTGATGCTTCTGCAGTCTGAAGTGGGGTAATGCTGTGAAAGGGTGTGTTTTGCCTATTCTGAAGTCATAGGAAGACAGTAAGTTTTGATGTGGTTCTTAGGC
This sequence comes from Homo sapiens, assembly GCF_000001405.40. Classification (NCBI taxonomy): domain Eukaryota; kingdom Metazoa; phylum Chordata; class Mammalia; order Primates; family Hominidae; genus Homo; species Homo sapiens. The sequence goes on from NC_000013.11 coordinate 104,434,518, forward strand.
AACCTGTAAATATTTAGAAGACTTTTAATCATTTTTGAAATGACAATTTTTAACACATTATGATGTCTGGAAGCAGAAGCAGCAACGTATGGCATAGTTCTCCCAAAAACTTATTTTCCTTCTGAAAATCAATGTCAACACCATCTCAAGTGTTGAGCGGAAACACAGAGCTTATAAAATAGATTACAGTTTGGGAGGCCAAGGCAGGTGGATCACCTGAGATCGGGGGTTCTAGACCAGCCTGACCAACCTGGAGAAACCATGTCTCTACTGAAAATACAAAATTAGACGGGCATGGTGGCACATGCTTGTAATCCCAGCTACTCTGGAGGCTGAGGCAAGGGAATTGCTTGAACCCGGGAGGCGGAGGTTGCGGTGAGCCGAGATCATGCCACTGCATTCCAGCTTGGGCAACAATAGTGAAACTCCATCTTAACAACAACAACAACAACAAAATAGATTACAGAAACATATATTTTACTGACATATGTAAGCAGTAACTATATGTTACCAAAAGAGGTAGATAAGAAGTAAAAAAATTATTTAGCTTCGGAGATACTTACCAGTCCCAAACGTGTTCAATCATATACTGTGAATCCTCCTAAAGAATTACTGAAAGTGATAGAATTTTCTGCTGTTTTCCTACTATCAAAATATATTTCAAATAAGAAATATGAAAATATTTCCTCTTTGGAATTTGTTTTCCTTTTTCTTCACTTTTTTAAAATTTGCAATATTCAAGATCAACTAATTCCTCTAGTGTCCTTTAAACCTTATATGGAGGCTCTAAATTGAGCTTTTTATATAGTAGTTGCTCTATAATTATTTGTGTCCACAGAATACCCTTGTTTTTGATCTTGAAGCTCTAAGTAATGTATTGCTGCTGGACATGTAATTCCTCCCAAAATGTTGTACTAGGTTGAGTGTCAGGCTAAAGTCAGGGGAGCAGGCTCTGGAGGCAGGTATGATACAAATGAGGGGAGGCGCATACCTTCTGGGTCACAGCTGCTTTATCTTTACAAAGAAAGGATTATACTAAGTGATTTCTAAGGCACGTAATTTTACTATGTTGGTGCAAAAGTAATTGCAGTTTTTGCAATGAAAAGTAATTATAACAGCCAATGCATATGATTTCAAATATACAACAAAATCTATCTAGTATAGCATTTTCCCACACAAACCTTTCATGTTTAAAGTCCTCAAGTCCAGAAAAATGGAAAAAAAGAAACACAAACTTTGAATATCTCTTTATTAACACTAATGGTCAAAAACCTCAAAAATTTATTTTTTAAAAAATTCACTTTTATGTAGATTATGTTTATAAGGAAAACAGGTGTTTTATTGGCTTTGCAAAGGAACACATCTACATTAAAATAATTTTTCCATGATAACCATAAAACTTAACACCACATGCAGGAAACTTAGGCTGTTCAAACAATTTAAAAGAAAAAAGCCAAGATTAGTTAAAAGATTAAAATTGAAAAATTGGTATTTGAAAATAACAGAGTTAATAACTCTGACTAGCTATTCTAGTAAATGGATTATTTTCAAAACAGCTAGTGGTTTAACTCAATACATTTTTTTCATGCTTTTGTGAAAATAAAAACTGATTCGTGAATGAACCAGAATCAATTCTTTTTTTAACTTAACAATATAAATACTTCTGATTTATTATCTTTATTTTCTATCAGAGATGAAGAGCTATTAAATAACATGGATGAGAGATTTACATTTCCTGTCAGAGATATAACAAAATGCTCTCTTGTTGTAATAGGAAGTGTAGGGAATGGAAGAGTGTTTGGAAAATACCGAGAGATCCTGTGATCAGGGCCACGGCTCCTAGAGGATGTTGCAATCTTTACTTAGGTCCAAATGCATCAACACTAATCTTGATTACAGCCCAAACTACCATTCGCTGCAAGAAATGTGTCTCTGATGGAAAAATGACTGCATAATATGAAGGTAGGCAGACACTTCATTTTCAGAGATACCCACAATTTTCCAAACTGGCTTGTTCTTTTTTAGTTAATTGTCCATATGCAAAGTTCACCAATTCTCCAAGCTACAATTCTTAGTCATTCTTGTCAATTCGACCCAGATGGCAAAATTAAAGGCCCTTCACATCATGGCACAACAGTAATTTTAGTTCATCAAAGATTCTTACCCCATGCTGTTTTTTCACAATTAATATTTAAGTTCCTGTTGGGCAAGTGCTTCATGAACAATGACATGTACTCTGTAGCTGGAGGATCCATCTTCTTGTCAAAGCTGATGGAGAAAAGAAAAGTGGTCTGCGGACATGATAATTACATATTGCCTGAAAAGGTGGAAGGTGAGCTGCTACAGATGGGAGGAGAGATGAAAGAAGCTCTCACTGCCAAAGAATTCTGAGAAAAACTACCAACTCTGAGTCCTACTGTACTGCAGTCCCCAAGCCCAAGAGAGGCTAAATCAAAAGAGCTATAGGGTTTGACTTTTAACAGCAATTAATAACAAACACAGATAGTATTCAGATAATGAAAGTCATTAAAGAGCACGCACACAGAGTTATCTATTTCGAAGCAGTAGCCATTGATTTAGGCATTTTGCATAATCATTCTGCATCCGTTGTTTCTGAAGCTGAGGAAATACAAGTTTCCATTGCTTAGGAAATATATACTTCCATTAAATTGACCAGAAAGTATTTTTCCATCAGTTTTAATTATAAAAACACCTATTTTATTTATTAATATCATGGAGTTACAGATGAGAAAGTAGCAAAATATTTCATCTCAATTCATTTTTGCAGCAAAAACAAATGGTTGGATTTATCATTGCAATTTCAATCAAGGAAAAGAAAAAGCTTCAAGACATTCAGTGACTGATTTGGTCCTACAGTTAGTAAGAGACAGATTTGAGGATTTAAAATATATCTTCTAGCACCAAGTTCAATGTTCTTTCTCCCAATCCAAATCTAGCTCCCAAATCCTTTACGAAAGACATTATCCTGTATGCCTGAATTTAATATTCAGTTTCAGTGATGTTAAATAGAAGAGAATAGAAGTGGCCACTTACAAATAAAATAAAATGTTACTTTACTCCTTATCTTCTCCTGATTTTAAATCCTAGAAGTAATGTAGCAGAAAATGTTGATGGTCTTTGTTTAAAATAGTCATGTAATAAGTAGAAACAATAATGTAACAATCTCTAAAATGAGTTATTAAATGATGAAAGGTATTTGGCATTTAAAAATGTTTAAAGAAAGAAAAGACAAAAAGAAAAGTATATTTAGGATAAAATAACCCTGTGAAAATAAAATTTCATTAAAAAAGAGAAAACAGCAGACTCGTTATCCTCTCATAACTGATTTCTTCTGGGGAAAAAAAAAGATAAAGTTGACTTTGCTGTTTGTCAAAATATTTTTTTCACAATTCCATAATATTAACATAATTTTTCTCTGAATGAATCATCATGGAAATAGTGACGGTGGTGATGATAATGATGAAGAAGAAGAAGGTAGTGATGACAATACCAATGCTAAGTAATAGTAATTAACTACTTGATATGGCCATGTAACAAGAATTATGCAAAGAGCTTCATCTAAACAAGGAGGAGTTACAATTATTAGCACTGTTTTAATGAGCAGGGCAAGGAGTCAGAGAGATGAAGTCACTAGCATAGGTTCACTGCCCCAGCAAGCAAAAACACTAGATTCAAACCCATACACCTGACTTCAGATTTCCTCTTTTTCATGTGAATCAAGAGTTCTATGTAAAACAACACCACACAAACAAAATCAAATCTTCACTCACGAATTATCATAACCTAAACTGAGATAGTTAAGCAAAGAGACTTAGCAAAAGCTTGAATCATTAGAGTTTTAATCTAATTTTTTCTGTACATTTTGTATATAGAAAAGACATGATCACATATTACATTGAAAGTTAATGGTAATGATTGTATTATAATTATGAAATTAGGTCATTAATTAAAACTTCCAAAAGTTTGTAGTACATTTTACGAAAAGTGTTACCTCAAGAAACTTTTAAGATTAATTAATTATATCAACTGGCTAGAATATGTTTTTTCTTTCCCTGACATAAAAAAATCAAAAAACATCTAACTGCATTTTTATTAATTCTTTAAGACATGGTCTAATTTTCACTGCCTTATACAGTTTTTTAAAACACTACAGCTGTATTCAACAACACTGCATTTAATTTCCCATCATTCGTTGTACATAACTCCATTACAGCATTTATGCTTTTCATTGCTTTCTTAAAGTACACATGTAACCATCATGCTCTACTAGTGTATAAACCAGGTAATTTTGAAATAGGAACCTTATTATTTATTTGGCATTCTCAGGGCTTACCATAGTGTCAATTCTATATTAGATTCCTAATTAATACTAATTAATTTACAATTAGGCCCCAAACGGAGCTTTTCACGAAGTAGATGCTTTAAAATAGTTGATATTATTTCTTTTCTCTTAATTTCATTGTATATTTTATATCCTTTACAACATGGTGTTCAAAGAGAGGTATTAATATATACTTAACTGCCTTAAATTATAGTTTTTAAAACGTACAAAAGGTCACATGAGGAAAATACATTTCAAATCTAAAATCACTTTGAATTAGAACCAAAAAAAAAAAAAAAAACCACCGGGGACTGTTGTGGGGGAAGGGGGGAGGGATAGCATTAGGAGATATACCTAATGATAAATGACGAGTTAATGGGTGCAGCACACCAACATGGCACATGTATACATATGTAACAAACCTGCACGTTGTGCACATGTACCCTAAAAAAGTACAATAATAATCAAAACAAAAAAAGCAGAACTTAATACCTGTATTGATAATTTGAAAAAGGTCAGTTAAAACCTCAAACACAGATTTTTTATTACTGTTTTGCCTTTTCCCTACAAAAAAAAAAATTATATGGCCATGCTCTGAAAAATGCAACTAATTTCATTTGACAGCATTTATTCTTTAAAAGTTTTTCCATGCATGGTTTACCTCCTCTCAAGAAGTTTTGAAGAAAGGCAGTGAAAAAAAACAACAATAGAAGGTTTACCACATGATGAAAAAAACGCTAATAATGCTAATTTCTTCAAATTCTGAGAAAAGGTGTCATGAGAAAAAATGTTTATATAAATTTTCCATGTATTTTTTTGACATATTCTCCACCTTCTGTGTCTACATCTTCACAATGAGGTCTAGAGATACATAGGTTAATTTTAAATAAACCGAAATAGTACTATTTATTAAACAGTGTAACTCACATTTTTCATGTAGATTTTTGCATTTAATAGCATATATCTTAATTTGCATAAATCCAAGAGCAGTGAACTATCTGAAGAAAAACTATTTACAAGATATGAACAGACATTCATTCGAATTTGGATTTTAAAAAATTGGGTATGGTTGTGTGTTTTGTCATAATTTAGTATGTAATTCCCATGGGTCAAAAATTAGGTCATGGTGAAGTAGTAAGTTTAGTGAAAAATTACTATATTTTAAAAATTTGTGTAAAATCCCTGTGAAGCTTTAAGTCCAAATAGCAAGTTAATACATACCAGAATGTTTTGATATAGGAAACAAAGTTATAGAAAGCATACTCAAAGTATATGCTTGATTCTTCACTTTCTAAGGATTTCGTTGACTACTATGTATGTTTCTACTTAGAAAAATATGATTTCTGTAACCTTAAGCATTTTCTCATCTCAACCAAAGTGCAATCAATTGAGCTATTAGGTGTGTGCACACTACCCAAAAAGCTATTTGATATTCTTTGTAGCTATTTATTTCTTCATGAAAGCCATTCTGAAAGTCCTGACAAGCTTTGAAGTGATTAGACCCTGGCTATAGTTTCTCATTTCAGCTGGATCAATAACCTGTACATAGGACGCGATTCTAAGACCCCGTGGTACCCCTCATGCTGATCGTGCAATTCAAAGTTCATGAGTAATACATCAATTACTATGAAACAATGTGAAATAAAAGTTTTATGGCTATTCTTAGAGAAGTGTTAGATTAGTTGACAGCAAAATAAAAAAAAATTACGGTTTTAACAGCCTGAGCCTTATTAAAATCTAAATAAAGTACCTACATTTACAATAAAAAAGTGTAAAAAACCCCACACACATTCAAACAACGTCTGTTAAATACTGGAGGCAAAATAGAGAAACTACATTCGATGGCTCTAAAGTCACTTAATTTAATTTGTAGAAAGAAGCTTAAAGGAGAAATTTTCATCTGAATTTAAATCTTTAGTCTTCCAGTAGATTAAGGAAAGTGTGCTGGCAAATGAGCCTCCCCAGAAGCTAGAATACTACAAGCAGGAATTTTGCAAAATGTGATTTCTCTGACAAAGCTAATAAACCGCAGGTAGGGCACATTCCAGGACTGAAAATACCCCGAACAGAATCTTCAGATGGGGCAGCGTCCCATCCATTTACTCCAACTGTGCCAAGATATTACAGATCTGTGTGTATCAAAAGAGAATGCATACCATCCATGGTTTTTTTGCCACCAGCCACAGTGGGGGATGACATCAACTTCAATAAAATTACAAAAAACACTAGGTAAGAAAGAAAAGGATTGGAAAAATCACTGCTGGATTTTATTATGATTCTTGAATCCACAGGCCTTAAATTCTGAGTTTTCTGGAAAGGCAGCAATTTTATCTGTAGCAACATTATTTACAGCTGACTACTTCCATCATCGTCTAAAAGGTTGTTCACTTCCTCTATTCCTGTTTTTAGAATGCAGCACACTTTCTGGCACATAAGATGTAAGTATATTTATATCCATGTCTATGTCTCTGTCAATGTCTACAACTATATCTATACATAGATATCCATCTATATAGAAACATACAACATAGATATATATCTACATCTATATCTAGAAAATACAGCTTTGGAATAAATAGCTACATATTATGCAAAATATACAAACTATAGAGGCATACCTATCTAAATATATAGATACATGCATAAATATTATAAATACAAATATAAAATCGTGATTGCTTAAATAATAATTTATGCTATTTGAAGAAGCATTCCTCAGTAACTTTTTAAGAAACACAAATTAGTCAACAACACAGTATGCTGTAGTCCCTCCTCATCTGCGGTTTTACTTTCTGCCATTTCAGTTACCAGAAGTGCACATCAGTCCAAAAATAGCTGAGTACACTTCAATATAATATTTATAGAAAGAGACCACATTTATATAAATTTTATTATACTACATTATTCTTTTATTATTGTTGTTGTTAATCTTTTACTGTGCCTAATTTATAAATTAAACTTTATCCTAAATATGTAGTCATAGGAAAAAAAATAGTGTATATAGAATTCAGTACTACCTGAGGGAGGTCCTGAAATATATCCTCTTTTGATAAGGGGTGATTGCGAATGTATTTTGGGGGCCTACGAATTTGACAAAAGTGGAATGGAGGACAACTAACGCTAGCAAGTACCATGAAAATGCCATTCATTAATTATGACGCTTCAGAAACAACTGGATGATAAGTATCTAAAACGTGGAGAGAGCCGTGTTCTCTTCTATTCACTAATTGTTCCATCAGGTAATTATTCTAAAAGATACATAAATCTTTTAGGTATAAGAAAAGGTTTATTGCAGAGATGTTTATGAGATCATCATTTATATGCCAAGACTTGGAAACAATCTAACTAGCCAATTCTGTTATGAGCGTTTGATAAATTACAGTATATATACACAATATGTTTGTATGTAGCCGTTAAAATAATGAACATTAAAGTTGTTAGTGATATGATAAACAGTTTAAATGAGTTTTTGAACAAATTATAGTCAGGCAAAATTATAAATATTTTGATATATATCTGTCAATGGCAAAAATTTTTGAAAGAAATGTAATTTTTTTCCTGGATGAAGATCAGTGGGTAATTTTTCTCTTTCTTTCTCCTTTGTTTTTACCCTTTTAATCTACCTCAGTCCCTCACATTTTCTACAGTGGTATGCATTATTGTATAGTAGCATAATATGATTAGTATTCTATTGTTTTTAAAGGAAAATACATTGCCATGAAGAATAGTACTGAGTACTGTATGCTAGGCATGGTGAATAAAACTGGATGGGTTTTTGTCCTCATGAATTTTATAGAGTTGTCTAGAATCCAAAAGTTAATTAATAATCATGCTGGCTAGGGAATAATGATTCAGAAACCCGTGTTAATGCCTTGAGGCTGTTAGGGAAGAGAATGTCCTCTGTGGCCTGTTCTTGGGAGTAGGTAGGGAAAAGGGGAGAGCCTGGAACCCATGGATCAGGTTTCTGAGAAGCTGAGGAGGGGTCAAACCGCGCCAGGGAACAACTTGGTCTCTGTTCAGGACCTTGGCTTTGGCCTGAGAGCCAGAAAAGCTGCATAAGTTCTGAATAGAGGAATGATAAAGATGATTTCAAGGATGAACTAAGCTTGGTACAAGGAGACCAATGAGGAAGGTAGCACGGCCGTCCAGGTGTATTAGTCCAGGCTTGCACCTGAGAATGAGTAATTTACAAGAAAGGAGGTTTAATTGGCTCATGGTTCTGTGGGCTGTACAGGAAACATGGTGTCAGCGTCTGCTTTAGTGGAGGCCTCAGGAAGCTTCCAACTGTGGCAGAAGCAGGAGCAAGAAAGAGAGAGAGGTGCCACATACTTTTAAATGACCAGCTCTCCCGAGAACTCACTATCAGGAACCAGCACCAAACAATGAAGGATCCATCTCCATGATCCGAACACCTCCCACCAGGCTCCACCCCCTGCATTGGGGAATATAATTCAACGTGAGATTTGGGTGGGGACAAATATCCAAACTTTGTCACCAGGTAGTAAATGAAGTTGAGTGAGTTTGGACTTGTTCTTGAAAGAGTAGCATGATTTGGGTTTACAAAAGTTAGAGTTGTCTCTACTCAACTGTGTGACTGTGGGAAATTCCAAAACATTGATCAGCCACACCCCTCATGTATAAAGTAGACATGATAATGTTACCTGTTTGATAAGGTCGTTGTGAGGAGTAAACAACATAATTTGTACAAAACATTTATCACAGAGCTGGACACCTCTTCAGTGTTCAATGTGAATGATTTTTACTACCTAGGTGGTAGTAAAAATATAGAGAAGTATATGAATATAAACAAATTTTAGGGGATGAAGTGAAACTGGGAATGTGTGAACTATGGGACGTGATGGGAGGAAGTGCTCAGAAATATGTGTAATTTGTAGAACTAGAAAGATAATGGCAGCATTCCTTGAGAAATGATAAACAGGCTGAGAATCAGTTTCTGGAGAAAACTGGCTTGATTTTTGAGTATGCTGAACTTAAAGTCATTCTGTGATGTCCATGTGGAGGTGTTTGAAAAATGGTGGCATCTCCAAGTATATTAGAGGCCCCTTGGGACATAGAGCTGTCAATCAGGGAGACACCAGGCAGAAGTTGAGGTCTTGGGTCCAGGAGATCACCTAAGGTGAGCCAGATAGAGGAATAAGGCCAGAGACCTGGGACCAAAGCATAGAGACTTGCAAAATCTCATGGCGAGGGTAAAGTTTGTGCCACCAAAGCACACGGGCAATGACATTGCTGATTGAGTTGACGGCAGTTTAGATCCTCTGATAAAGATGAAAGCTCAATAACAGCCAGTGGAGAATAGGCTGGAAAAAGGAAAGAAGGCTCTCCAGGAAAATCTGGTTCTGCTTTTAAAGGGAAAGTGAGACACAGAGTGGAGGAGAGAAGGGAAACTTGGGCAGGGGGACAGAGGTCCTCAGTTCCTTGGCCAAAATCTTAGAGGTAGATATGTTTCTGAGTTAAGAAATGTTCAGTTCTGTGAAAGCAACACAGAGCATAGAGAATGTGTCATATTCTGTTAGTCTGTAACATCCCTGCAGGTAGACCCAAAAGGCAAAGCTCCACCTCAGCCAGCCTCTAGCTCACCCCTCGCTCATTGTAATTAAAATAGATGTCTATTGAGGAGGCAGTCTGTCCCTTAGCAATTGACTTTCTTCACAGGAATTAGAAAAAAAACTACTTTGAATTCCATATGGAACCAAAAAAGAGCCTGTATAGCCAAGACAATCCTAAGCAAAAAGAACAAAGCTGGAGGCATCACGATGCGTGACTTCAAACTATACTACAAGGCTACAGTAACCAAAACAGCATAGTAGTGGTACCAAAACAGAAATATAGACCAATGGAACAGAACAGAGACCTCAGAAATAACACCACACATCTATGACCATCTGATCTTCGACAAACCTGACAAAAACAAGCAATGGGGAAAAGAGTCCCTATTTAATAAATGGTGCTGGGAAAACTGGCAGCCATATGCAGAAAAAAGAAACTAGACCCCTTCCTTACACCTTATACAAAAATTAACTCAAGATGGATTAAGGACTTAAATGTAAAACCAGAAATCATAAAAACCCTAAGAATACCTAGGCAATACCATTCAGGACACAGGCATGGGAAAAGACTTCACAGTTAAAACAACAAAAGCAATCACAAGAAAAGCCAAAATTGACAAAAGGGATCTAATTAAAGAGCTTCTGCATCGCAAAAGAAACTAGCTAGCATCAGAGTGAACAGGCCACCTACAGAATGGGAGAACATTTTTGCTATCTACCCATCTGACAAATGTCTAACATCCAGAATCTACAAGGAACTTAAACAAATTTACAAGAACAAATCAAATAGCCCCATCAAAAAGTGAACAAAGGATATGAACAGACACTTATCAAAAGCAGACATTTATGTGGCCAACAAACATAAAGCTCAACATCACTGGTCATTAGAGAAATGCAAATCAAAACCACAGGGAGATACTATCTCATGCCAGTCAGAATGGCAATTATTAAAAAGTCACGAAATAATAGATGTTTGTGAGGCTGTGGAGAAATAGGAATGCTATTACACTGTTGGTGGGAGTGTAAATTATTTCAACCATTGTAGAAGACAGTGTGGCGAATACTCAAGGATCTAGAACCAGAAGTAGCATTTGACCCAGCAATCCCATTACTGGGTATATATACCCAAAGGATTACACACCATTCTAATATAAAGACACAGGCATGTGTATGTTTATTGCAGCACTATTCACAATAGCAAAGACTTGGAATCAACCCAAATGTCCATCAATGATAGACTGGATAAAGAAAATGTGGCACATACACACCATGGAATACTATGCAGCCATAAAAAAAGAATGAGATCATGTCCTTTGCAAGGACATGGATGAAGCTGGAGGCTATCATTCTCAGCAAATTAACACGGGAAGAGAAAACCAAACACTGCATGTTCTTACTTATAAATGGGAGTTGAACAATGAGAACACATGGACACAGGGAGGGGAACATCACACACCAGGGCCTGTCGGGGTGGGGGTCAAGGGGAGGGAGAACATTAGGACAAATACCTAATGCATGCAGGGCTTAAAACCTAGATGATGGGTTGATAGGTGCAGCAAGCCACCATGGCATGTACATACCTATGTAACAAACCCGCACATTCTACACATATATCCCGAAAGGTAAAGTAAAATAAAATATATATAATAAAAATAAACAAGTTAAACATGTGTTTGAAATTTAAAAAAAAAGAACAGATGTGTCACCTTCCTTCACCTCACAAATCTCTAACGAAAGTGCCCCACTTCTGGACAAGGAGGGTAAACAGCATGGTGCTGTCTGCCTGCCACCCAGGTCTGGCTACCAGCCACCCACTGCCTCTGGGCTCGCAGTTTCTAGTGGTGGTTAGATCTGAGACCCCCACTGCTGCTGACTTCATGGCTTGTTCCCGTGTTACCTTCTATGGGGACAGCTTCCTTGTTGGGCTCCTCTCATGATAACTGTGCGCTGATTTTGTCAGGACTCCAGGCTGCTGACATCTCTGTGTCTGTCTTGTAGGTATTCTGCCTTGGGACATGATCTGATTCGTTTAGGTTGTACAGGCTCTCACATTCACAAGTCCACCTTCCCTAACCAGTACATAAATATACTCTATCATAACTCATATTAGAACACAAAACCAGAAACTCACTTTTTGAACCCTCTCTACCCCCCAGCTCCTACCTTATTTCTGTGTTCCCTTCAACTTTTAGAAAATACTTGCTCTCCTGACATCCTTTCCCGAAACCTTAGCTAATTCCTTATCATGTGGGTTTCTACTCAAATGTTACCTCTTCACAGCAACATCAGAGACCAGTCTATCCAAAACCCCCGCCCAGATCTCAGGCACTCCTTACTTTATTCCCTTCTCTTCATTAAGTTTCCTCAGAGTGATATTATATTTTTATTACTTGCTTTGTATTTGGAGATAGAACATAGATCCTCCCAAAATAAGGGATACGTAGCTAAAGCACGTTTTATTTCTTTAAAAACACAAAATAACTCCAGTTGATATCAAGGGAACTGCTAAACATATTTATTTGAAAAGCAGTAATCATCGTATCTTTTAGTGAGACATTTTTGCCTTAATGCTATTTTACATATTTGCCTATCCCTTATCCTAAAGGAATTTTCAATACCCTATCCCAAATTTCCACAAATCCTTAGGAACATATGTTCTTATAGTCACTTTTGGGTCCAACTTCATGGCTGGCCCAAAAACTTAATCTCACTTCCCATCCCACATCAATTCTTATTGCTGCAATGTGACATAGATGTAGAATGCGGTCCCTATTTCTTTATCTTTTCCCCCCAAATTTCTAAATCTGTGAAGAACCATGCCAAACAAATGTGTGCCTAGGAGGAAGAGATTTCACTAACGTGTGTGACTGACGGAGGGCATCGTTCTGGGCCTGCGCAGAGTGCGTGCTGGTACAGCCTGGAAGGATGAGGGATCCTAAGCCCGGGCTCCAAACCTCCACCAAGAGGCGACAAGATTAACCCAACAATCTGGAGGGACAGTTCAGCTTCTGGGGATTCCCCTCCCTCTTTCTCTGTGAGATTGTTTCCTAAATAAACTGCCTGCCTCAAGTTTGTGCCTCAGGCTCTGCTTTCAGGGGAACCCAAAATAACAGAGAAACCACACAACAACACAGATGCTAATATTATGTATTCGCATTTAGCCACTCACTTCTAAAATGTTCTCACGGCTCGAATTTTTCTGTGGTCTGTGTTCTCTTGTGGGTCTGCCCACCCATGTCTCTTCCTCATCCTGCCTCCTCAAACCCCAAAACTCTTCCTTTTGACTGTTACCCTCGGATTTGCCTCAGAAATACAATATCCACTGGACAGTAGAAGAGGGCAGTGTTCCCTTCTCCCTCCAGCACCAGGTTTCCCAAAGCAAGCCTAAAGATGCACGGAGCTACCAACGAAGCCAAAGGCTCACCCAACGCAGGTCTCAGCTTCCAGAAGCACAGAAACCACACAGATATTTTGAAACTCTATCATGGCCTTTCTTCCTCCTCCCTCGGTCTCCCAAGAGGAAGACAATGTCATGGAGTTTTATTTTCTAATTTACATGGATTACAGTACTCTCTAAGAAAGCACAAGCTAATGCCTGTTTGGTTTCACGTAACAATACCTTTTCTTTGTGATACAAACATGCTTGCCTGTGAAATGAACACAACAAAATGTACATTGAGGAAAATTTATGCAAGTTTTTTTAATAGAGGTATATCAAGAAGCAACTAGGAGTACATCTGAAGATTTAGACAATAGCAAGTAAACAAGGATAAAGATATTAATTCTAAGAATTGTGAGGGGTACAGACAGATGAAGATGGCCTGGTCAAACCCAGAACACAGGAATGAAAGAGAGCCACATAAGACTGAGTTAGGGAATGTGGGCAAATATACAATAATAAATTACTATTTCTTGTAAATATAGATGCAATTGTAAACTCAAAATAAAACCTGGTACTGATGGTTTTTTTCAATATCAAGAATAATGCATAAATCAGAAAATAACATATCATTTAGAAAAAAATGAATTAAAAAGGTTGACAATTCTTAAAAACGATGATAGGAATAATGGCAAAGTCCTTTAAGGGCCTGTGACTAGAACTAGGTCAGAATGAGACACTTGTGGCCGCCTTGACCCTGGGTGTGGACTAAGGTATCCTAAGGTTTAGAATTCTGAGATCAGATTAGAATTGAATTTTAAAGAAGAATAAAGAAAACACTGTGGTATTTGGTCAAATTGGACAGCATAAAATCCATGAAATATTGGTGTGTGTGTGTGTGGCTGCTATGGACAGAGAATACATTCGCATACATGGTCCAGACTAACCACATTAGCAAATGAAAACACTGAAAATGGCAGGAACTAGTCCTTGTTGGAAGGTTGTTTCACAAGTCATGCCTGTTTGTGTTTGCATTTATTTATTTATTATAGAACTTGACCTTCCTCACTAATTAACACCTGATGGCAATTTCAAATGGGACTCCATACAGATCTTTCCAGGAAGTGATTTTAAAGGTATTCATTAGGCTCTATAAAGAGATTCTAAACCATCTACGTGAATACATTTTTACAAACTCTCTGTACATATATGGCCACCTGCCTTCTTGTTTCACTGCCTATTTTCACAGTCCTGGCATATAGCAGTGCATATATTAACATAAAAGAGCATATCTGTAACTCTGACATGGTGTATATTTTTTCTCCTGTAATTTTTTTTTCCATTTTGGTTTGGATGATTATACCTATTTATTTTTCAAAATTCAGAGTTTCTTTTAAAGTGTGAAGTATATTTTCACACTTCTGATCGCCAGAGGAAGAGGAAAGAGAGTGTCACACATCAGACATTCAAATCCAGACATTATGCAATCACAATGACAGGGATTAATAAAGATTAAATTGGTTCCCACTTAAAAAGTCCTAGCTCTTCAGCAATACCATTGCTACGCTTTGAAACGTGCTTTGTTGTTGTGTTTCACCTTGCTCTCCGTGTTGGCAGTTTGTTTTCATGAAAGTGTTCTCTAGCTACTATTTTTCAAGAAGCTACAGCTGGATAATAGGATTTACGAGGCAAAGTTTTAAACGTATCAGTGGGAAAATATCATCCCTATTCAAATGGCCACTTTGTTGGGATTGCTTTATTTATTTATTTTGGGCATTATTAGTTGTATTTTTTTAAAAATACGATTTATATTAAAAAAGTCTTTATAATACTATTTCACACATTGTTGTATATTAAAGATTTTATCAAATAAGTTGTCTTCATGGGACTATGTGATTTGTTGTTGTTGAGATGGAGTCTGATGCTGTTGCCCAGGCTGGAGTGGAATGGCAGGATCTCTGCTCAATGCCGCCTCCGCCTCCTGGGTTCAAGTGATTCTCCTGCCTTAGCTTCCCGAGTAGCTGGGATTACAGGCATGCACCACCACACCCAGCTAATTTTTTGTATTTTAGTAGAGACGGGGTTTCGCTATATTGGCCAGGCAGGTCTTTAACTCCTGAGCTCAAGCAGTCCACCTGCCTTGGCCTCCCAAAGTGCTGGGATTACAGGTGTGAGCCATCATGCCTGGCTGATCTTTTTCTTCTTTTTCTTTTTTTTAACTTATCAAATCATCACTTATAAGAACAATTTATTCAAACAACTTCTCACCCCCTATTCCCAACGTGGCCATTTGAATGAACCATCCAACTATTCCTTTTGGTTGAGTCAACACAGGGCAAGCTGCTATGAAGGCTCTAGGGTAAAGGGGTGGTTAATAGAGTAAGCAAACAAGGGATAATAGGAATGCCAACAGACGTAAATTTTCTTTGCCTTCTTAAAGAAGTAGTTCAATTCACTTCATATTAGTTGAGGTTCTATGACTCAACCTTGGCCTGTGAACCAAATAATTACCTAGTGTTTCAAAACAAGGGAAAAAGAGCATCATTATATTCCAAATGAAATGTGTGTTAGTTTCCAGTAGCATATCTGTACACTAAAAATGACCTAACCCCCAAAAAATCAAGAAAATAATCCCATTTACAATAGCATAAACAAAAGTTCTTAGGAATAAATCTAACCCCATAAAGTGGAAGATCTTACAATAAAAACTGTAAAACATTGATGAAAAAAAGGAAGAAGACAAAACTAAATGGAAATATACTCTATACCTATGGATTGGAAGAATTAATAGTATTACAATGTCTATACAACACAAAGTGATCTACAGATTCAATGCAAGCCCTATCAAAATTTTCGTGATGTTTTTTGCAGAAATAGAAGATAAATTTTAAATTTGTGTGGAATCACAAAGGACTCCAAATAGCCAAAGCAATCTTAAGCAAAAAGAACAAAGCTGGGGACATTATACTACCTGATTTCAAAACATATTACAAAGACATAGTAATCAGTACAGCATGGTACTGGCATAAAAACAGACACACAGACCACTGGGGCAGAATGGAGAGCCTAGAAGTAAATCCATACACATATTGTCAGTTGATCCTTGACAAAGCTATCAATAACTCACAAGAGGAAAAGGACAGGCTCTTCAATAAATGGTGTGGGAAAACTGGAGATTGACATGGAGAACAATGAAATTGGACCCTCCTCTTATCCTGTATAAAAAAATTAACTCAAAATAGATTAATGACTTAAATGTAAAAGAAAATGTGCTAGAAAAGCTTATTTACATTTGTCTAAGCCATGATTTTTTGGCAATGACTCCAAAAGCACAGCAGAATTAACTAGCTTTAAAAATAAAAAAGGAAGCCCTGCTATTTGTGACAATGTGAATTTACCTAGAGGACATAATGTTAAGTGAAATAAGCCAGGTACAGATACACAAATATTTCCTGATATCACTTATATGTGGACTCTAAATGAACTGAAGTCATAGAAGAAGAGAATAGAATGGTGGATACCAGGGGCTGTGGGGTGGGATGGGGAGAGTAGAAATGGAAACATGTTGATCAAAGAGCACAAAGTTTCAAGTACAAAGGATGAATAGGTTCTAGAGATCTCTTGTTACAGCATGGCAACTACAGTTAATACTAATCTGTCACATTCCTAAATGCTGGGAGAGTAGATTTTAAATGTTCTCAGCACACACAAAAAAGATAAGTATATAATATGATGAAAATGTTAATTAGTATGATCTAATCATTTCACAATATATACATACATCAAAACATTACATTATAACCATAAATACATATAATTTTGTCAATTTTTCCTTAATAAAACCAGGGAAAAATAAATTTAAAATAAAAAGAGCATCTAACAACAAAACAACATAAACAAAGATATCTAGGTAGTACATTCCCATCATTAGCACCAGCGTTCTCTGTTTTCTTATCTTATTGACTTTATTGGCTTTCCTGAAATTATTTAACCTTGATATAGTGCATTGTCAGCAGCTAAGAATTATTCATATGTAAATATATATGTATTATACTGCTATAAGTTATTTATGTAGAAATATATATATTGATTTTATAATATTATTTTAAGATTTCCATGGCTGCGGTCATTTTCATCTTACAGAAACAAGGAAACAATATGTATGCTGCCTTCATTCAACAAATTTGCATTGAGTTTTTTCTGGGTGTCAAAAGCTGGGGATGCCATAGTGAGCAAGAGAGGCCCAGAGTTATCCTTTCAGTAGGCAAGAGAGAGTAGGGTTTGGGTGTGCTTTCTGAGGTCAGACTACTGACCTCAAATCCACTTCTGCAAGTTGCAAGATTCCTACTTGGGCAAATCACTCAACTTCTCTTGTGCTTTGGCTTTTAAACTTCTACAATTTTAATGATGGTGTTGCTAACAGTCGTCATTCCTCCTTGAAAGAATTGTTGCCATGATTAAATGAGTTAATATATGTACAACTACCCTAGCACAGGCTAGCTCTTACCATTTTGCAAAAGGCAGAGGAGAGTTTCATTAATAAAGGCAACCTCTTCATTGTACTCTTTGTTGTATTTTTCCAATCTGGATTCTGGATCATTTATGGTGTAGGAGGATGAGGAAAAGAGAATAGGCCTAGATGGGAAAAATGGTAAAGAATATGGAGAGGAATAGATGGGAGAAAACAGAAAAGAGTGAGTGAGAGAGAGAGAGAGAGAGAGAGAGAGAGAGATTGAGACTTGGACTTGGAAAGTAATTGGAAATGAAAAGGTTTTGGAGCAGTTGTAAGATACAAAGATTTGGGCAAAGAAGAAAGAGGATGTTATGAATATTTCCTAAGAGATATAATTTGAGTTTTCTTGAGTTTGCAACCATCTTTTATATGCAAAAGTAGCTATCTTTTTGCTGATTAAATTATCCTTGTTTGTTGGACACTGAGTGATAGTGGGAGCCCCAGGATTTTTGTAAGTTGAATATTTCTCAATAAACTAGGTATTGAAAGAACATACCTCAATATAATAAGAGTCATCTATGACAGACCCGCAGCCAACATCATACTGAATGGGCAAAAGCTGGAAGCATTCCCCATGAAAATCGGCACAAGATAAGGATGCCCTCTCTCATTACTCTTAATCAACATGATACTGGAAGTCCTGGCCAGGGCAATCAGGCAAGAGAAAGAAATAAAGGCATCCAAATAGGAAAAGGGAAGTTCAACTATCCCTGTTTGGAGACAACATTATCCCATATCTAGAAAACCCCATAGTCTCAGCCCAAAAGCTCCTTCAGCTGATAACTTCAGCAACATCTCAGGATACAAAATTAATGGGCAAAAATCACCAACATTCCTGTACAGCAACAACAGTCAAGCTGAAACCCAAATCAGAAAGGCAGTCCCATTTACAATTGAGACACACACCACACACACACACACAACACCTAGGAATGCAGCTAACTAGGGAGGTAAAAGATCTCTACAAGGAGAACTACAAAATACTGCTCAAAGAAATCAGAGATGACACACAAAAAAATGGAAAATCATTTCATGCTCATGGACAGGAAGAATCAATATTATTAAAACGGTTATATTGCTGAAAGCAATTTACGGACTCAAAGCTATTTCTATTAAACTGCCATTGACATTCTTCAAAGAACTAGAAAAACCTATTTTTAAATTCATATGGAACCAAACAAGAGCCCAAATAGCCAAAGCAATCCTAAGAACAAAGCTGGAGGCATCATGCTACCTGACTTCAAACTATACTACAAGGTTACAGTAACCAAACAACATGGTACTGGTATGAAAACAGACACATAAACCAATGGAACAGAATAGAGAACCCAGAAATAAGGTCGCACACCTGCAACTGTCTGATCCTTGACAAACCTAACAAAAACAGGCAATGGGGAAAGGATTCCCTATTCAATAAGTGGTGCTGGGGTAACCAGCTAGCCATATGCAGAAGATTGGAATTGGACCCCTTCCTTACACCATATACAAAAATTTAGCTCAAGATGGATTAAAGATTTAAATGTAAAACCCAAAGTTATAAAAACCCTGGAAGACAACCTGGGCAACACTATCCTGGACATAGGAATGGGCAAAGATTTCATGAAGAAGACACCAAAAGCAATTGCTACAAAAGCACAAATCAACAAATGGAATCTAATTAAACAGCTTCTGCACAGCAAAGGAAAGTATCAACATAGTGAACAGACAACCTACAGAACTGGAGAAAATTTTTGCAAACTATGCATTGGACCAAGGATTAATGTCTAGCAACTATAAGGAAGTTAAATTTACAAGAAAAAAAGCACCCCATTAAAAAGTGGGCAAAGGACATGAACAGAAACTTTTCAAAAGAAGACATACATGCGGCC
The DNA here is from genome assembly GCF_000001405.40 of Homo sapiens. NCBI lineage: Eukaryota > Metazoa > Chordata > Mammalia > Primates > Hominidae > Homo > Homo sapiens. The sequence goes on from NC_000013.11 coordinate 104,454,190, forward strand.
AACAATAATTTGAAAAAAGTGCAACATCACTGATCATTAGAGAAATGCAGATCAAAACCACCATAAGATACCACCCCATACCAGTCAGAATGGCTATTATTAAAAAGTCAAAAAATAACAGATGCTGGCAAGGGTGTGGAGAAAAAGGAATGCTTATACACTGTTGGTGGGAGTGTAAATTATTTCAACTATTGTAGAAGACAGTGTGGGTATTACTCTAAGACTTAAAAATAGAAACGCCATTTGACCCAGCAATCCCATTACTGGGTATACACCCAGAGAAATATAAATTGTTCTGTTATAAAGACACACACCCGTACGTTCATTGCAGGACCATTCATAACAGCAAAGGCATGGAATCAACCTATATGCCCATCAATGGTAGATTAGGTAAAGAAAATGTGTTACATATATGCCATGGGATACTATGCAGCCATAAAAAGAATGAGATCATGTTCTTTGCAGGAACATAGATGGAGCTGGAGGCCATTATTTTTAGGAAATTAATTCAGGAACAGAAAATGAAATACTGCATGTTCTCACTTATAAGTGGGAGCTAAATGATGAGAATATATGGACACACAGAGGGAAACAACACACACTGGGGCCTGTTGGAGGGTGGAGGGCAGGAGGAGAGAGAGGAAAAAATAACTAATGGATACTAGGTTTAATACCTGGGTGTCAAAATGATCTGTACAACAAATCCCCATGACACAAGATTACCTATGTAACACACCTATATATGTAATCCTGAACTTAAAATAAAAGTTAATTTTTTAAAAAAGAGAGAATCCTTGAGTTGTAAAAGAGCTACCAGAGTTGAGTACCTAGAACAGCAGCAAAGCAGCTTAAAACCTGGCAACTGAATGTTCGAGTGAGGAAAGGTCTGTTATTTATAGAAAAATTTGCCTATACTTTTGTCTGCCTATTAGAGGTTGAGGTAATAAAATGGGTTGGCAAAGCTGAGGTTCCTTCAAAATGAGGCAGTGCCATCAGCATCCTCTGGAATAAAAAAAAAAAATCATTCTGATAGTGCTGCTGAAAAAGTTGACCCACTGTACTTATTTGTCAATCTGAAAATTCCTAATGAAACACAAGTCTCCATGATTTGGGATCAAAGTTCTCTATTAGGCAAAAGTAGAAAATCTTAATGGAATGCTCTTATGCACTCTATATTATTAGCACTCTATAAGACAGCAAAGACATGGAATCAACCAAAATGCCCATCAGGGGCAGGTTGGATAAAGAAATGTGGTACATATATGCCATAGAATACTATGCAGCCAGAAAAAAGAATATGAATAGAGGACTTTGCAGGAACACAGATGGAGCTGGAGGTCCCTTAAAAATGAGGTGGTATGATCATCATTCTCTGGAATTAAAAATCATTCCTGGCTCACGCCTGTGAGGAATTAAAAATCACAGTGGCTCACGCCTGTAATCCCAGCACTTCGGGAGGCTAAGGCGGGTGGATCACCCGAGGTTGGGAGTTTGAGACCAGCCTGACCAACATGGAGAAACCCCATCTCTACTAAAAATACAAAATTAGCCGGGTGCGGTGTCACATGCCTGTAATCCTAGCTACTTGGAAGGCTGAGGCAGGAGAATCTCTTGAACCCGGGAGGTGGAGGTAACAGTGAGCCAAGACTGCACCATTGCACTCCAGCCTGGGTGGCAGAGCCAGAGACTCAGTCTCAAAATAATAATAATAATAATAATAATAATAATAATAATAATAATTCCTGTTATAGATTATTGGAATGTAACATATTGTTCTGTTATCTAAACCTCATCTAAACAGAAGATATTCTTTTTCTCACTTAAGATACATTAAATGAAGATGGAGTTACATACATACTATAAAGGATGTTCTACCAATTGTTTAACTCTCGTTTACAATATTGTCATAGTCAGAGATGCCTTTTTAGGGGCTTATTTTTTTTTTTTTAAGACGGAGTCTCGCTCTGTCACCCAGGCTGGAGTGCAGTGGCGCCATCTCGGCTCACTGCAAGCTCTGCCTCCCGGGTTTACACCATTCTCCTGCCTCAGCCTCCCGAGTAGCTGGGACTACAGGCGCCCGCCACCACGCCCGGCTAATGTTTTGTATTTTTAGTAGAAACGAGGTTTCACCATGTTAGTCAGGATGGTCTCGATCTCCTGACCTCGTGATCCACCCGCCTCGGCCTCCCAAAGTGCTGGGATTACAGGAGTGAACCACCGCGCCCGGCCCTTTAGGGGCTTTTATTGTTGTTACTTTTTCATCTTAGAGCAACAAAACCAAAAAAGTGTGTCTATATTCATTCATTCAGCAAACATTTATTGGATACATTCTATGACACAGAAATGTAGACATCACAGTAAATAAGACAGAGGGTTGCTTTCCTCATTGACTCTATATTCTGGGGAAGCTTATATTGCAGGCATCAGAATGATACCATTCCTACTCTGGTTATTTATTAATTTTTAGTCAAATCAGAAAACTATGGTAGAGTATTTATAAAGAAAAATCTGATTTAATTAAGTTTATGAATGGTCTCTGCTCACCACATCTGATTACTTCCATCTTTATCCCAGGTTCTCAGCTAGATCCTGACTTCCTCATATTGGCTTTCTGTTTCCTTTGCAAATTGTCCTCATCCACCTCAACTTGCCTGGCATGGTTAACTTCATTTATTTATATTTCTCAGTGCCTTTAAAGGTGAATGAGGTGAATGTCTTAAAACCTAATAAAATAAATCAATATAATATTCATGTATGAAATTATTATTCCTTCCAAAGGCAATTGCACTGAAAAGAAAAAAAAACTCTTAGGGGATATAATATCTATACACTTAGGACTGAGTTTCTAATAAAAGATGTTTTCCTCACTGTGGTCTGCCCTTATTCTAATATCCTATTTCTCCACATGTATCTAATTTGAGCTGTGAAATGGTTTATTTTCATGACTGTACAATTTCTAGCAATTATTTGGATTGAGTTGTTGCATATATGGGTATCAATTGATAAGCCAAAAAAATACTGTATGTGGAAGAATTTTTTACTAAGTGAACAGATTCAGGCAAATCCTGATTTTATGAATTTTGAAGTTTCCATCCTTTCCACAATTACCGGTGACTGGATGATTATTTTTCCTAAGAAGATTTGCATTGACCTTATTTCTAGATATTTTTTACTACTAAAGTAGAAACTACTTAATGAATTGTTATACATTTCATGTGACCCTTCCTTTCACTCTTCAGACTTCCTACGACACATAGTAAGACTTTCAGAGCAAAGATCAATGTTAATTAACATGCCCGACATAAAAAGCATTATAATTTTCCAGGATGTAAGAAGCTGAATGTGTATAGTGCTTACATTGTCATTTTGTTAACAGACTGATATAGTTCAGACTTTCAGAAAGTCTTGACAAGAAGTCACCGCAGTCAGTAAATTACATTATTATTGATAATGTTTCAAGCTATGCCCAAATGATGGGCTCAAACCAACTTTATATAAGGGAGCCCTCCTAATATAAAAAAGATTCTTTTCTATGTTTATTGACATATGTGATTCTATTGTTCTTCGTATAGTTCTGATGTTGGATATTTTGAGAATGGTTTACCATGACATCCTAGATCTTTATATTGAAAAACGCATTCATTTTATTTTAGTCAAAATGGCATGCACATTCATTTAAAGGACAGAGTTTAAGTACATGGTTTCTATGAGCCATTTCTGAATGACATAAAACTCAAGATGACCAAGATACCACTTTGATTATGATTATGGTCTTTGGATTCAGAATGCCTGTTTTGGAAAACTGGCTCTTCCAGTTTTTTAACTGTGTGACCACAGAGACGTTATGTAACCTCTCTCTGCCTCAGCTGCCTCCTTTGTAAAATACTTAGGATAATAACAAAAGTTACCCCATAAACAAGTTACATATGTGAATTCTCTAAAGGTGTACCTGGCAATATGAAAACTATATATTGGCTTATTATTATTTATGATTATAGTTTTACATTATGGAGGCCTCGGTAGCAATTGGCCTGGATTCCTGGGTGTCATGTGAAACAGTATAAATATATTTTAAAAATTCATGAGTAGGCTTACTTAAAATACTCACTTCGTTCATATTAGTTCCTGAAAACTCTGATGAGATGAGAGGAGCTACTTTTCCTTGCAAATGTCCCATCCACTCAAGCTACAGGCAGTAACTCTTACATATTCTCAGTACAAGCCTCTCTTAAAATAATGCTTTCATGTCTACATTTTAATTCTCTTTTACACACAGTTGCACAATGAACCTAGCCTGAACTGTCCACTTCCTCCCATAGTATATGTGGCCACCATGAGAACGTACCTCACCAATCTCTAACTGCAGGAACATAAGCAGTCAAGGGCCCCAGCTACTGGGCTTGGAAATCCATTGCTCCATTTGCACTGAGGCCATAACCCCCTTGGGCTGCTGCTGCCCAGTGACTGAGTCCTGCAAGGACACTAATGCAGAAACATTGCTGGGAAACACAGACTCCTCTGACGGCCAACTTTGGCTCAGGCACTTCATGACGGCCTTGCTGAGACATCTTTAGACAGAACATAACCATCCTTGCCTCCCTTCCTTCTTCATTCAGGATTGACCTGTACTGTGCTGGCTCAGCAGCTCTCAGCCCCCGGCCCTGTTTTCCCTCACACAGGCAGGTTCACCTAATAAAACCCTTGCTCATCTCACCCTGCCTTGGCATCTGCTTCTTGGGGGACTGGGAATAACACAGTCATTGCCGGTCTGAGTGGCAGGAAATGGGCATGTTACACAGGGCTTTTAATGTGAACCTCCACAGTCATACTGCTAATAGGATTTGGCTCCTGTAGAGCCAGAGTAATTATCATCATCCCCTGTTTCTATGTCACCAATTACTTTCAGTGTGTCCTCCACATGTGAATTAAGTTTTATGGAATCCACAAAAGAGTGAAATTGTAGATTACCGAAATGCTCTGTGTCATGCTTTAAAGAACAAACAAACACACAGCAAACCCAAAACACATGCAGGTACCCCAGCCAAGGCCTATTAAATAACCCAGGATGACACATGTATATATAGCCTACTTATTCCATATTTTTAAACTTCCTTTCAATGCTTTTTTTCTATTTCTTTCAATCATGGAATGAATAATTATTTTGCAGGAAATGATTTAATTTTTACTAAAACTAACACTTATTAGTTCAAGTGATCTTGCTGTTTCTTGAAGAGAAAACAAAAAAGAAAACAAAACGCACATCCCCTGATTGTTCTTGGGCATGCAATAAACATAACACACATAGCAAATCAGAAATGTGCTCCTGCTTTTTCCCTCAAACCTGCTTGTCCCACAGTTTTCTTCTCAGTAGATTAAGCATTGATTTAACAAGCTAGAAATTTGGGTTTCATCTTTGAACCCTCTCTTTTACTCACTTCCCATAACCAAATCATCAACTCTTTCTCCTGCAGTTCACTTTTACTCCTGCCTTGGGGACTATCAGATGGGTTTCCCGGACCAACTAATCGAAAATTACATTTCCTTTCATACAAAATCTCCTTATTCTGATTTTTGTTGTTGTTGTTGTTTTGAGATGGAGTCTCACTCTATTGCCCAGGCTGGAGTGCAGTGGCACAATCTTGGCTCACTGCAACCTCTGCCTCCCGTGTTCAAGCACTTCTCCTGTCTCAGCCTCCTGAGTAGCTGGGAATAAAGGTGCCCGCCATCATGCCCAGCTAATTTTTGTATTTTTAGTAGAGACAAGGTTTCACCATGTTGGCCAGGCTGGTCTCAAACTCCTAACCTCAAATGATCTGCCCACCTCAGCCTCCCAAGTGCTGGGATTATAGGTGTGAGCTACTGTGCCCAGCCATTCTGATTTCTTTATCTTTGCTTGTTTCACTTCCTGAAAATTTATTTATACTCTTTCTTTCTCCTTCTCCCACTACATTCTAAGCCTCATGAAAGGGTATATTTTGTCTATTTTATTCCCTGCTTTAAACCCAGTGCCTGGAATGGGCCTTATACTTACTAAGTACTTAATTATTTGTTAAATGACTGATTAAATGAATAAAATAATACAACTGAATTCTAAATCTAACACATGAAAATATTTATGTGTTAAACGTTAGAATCACCTACAGATATAGTATGCTTTTTAGAATTACATAAATCATCTATTTAGTGAAATTTAACTTATCAGAGTCCCTGGATCTCAGTGCCTAGATATGAATAAGATCAGCTTTAGCCCTGGTAATTCTAATTTGAAATATAGTCTACTGAGAAATGTTTAAGGAGCTGAAAAACAAGAGTAGACCTTTACCATTCATGATAGGATTCTTTAAGTTTAAAATTTATTTTTTGTTTAATATGTAAGTCACAAAATTGAGTCATAACCAGACTATTAAGTCCTGTCTATTTTCAATGTTAAAATTTTAATTTTAATCATGTCTGTTGCTTAGTAATTAGATCATGTGTTAATGTCAAATTTTGCAAGTTCAGTGTCAAATCCACATACTGCTATTCATGTGTGCGATATTGGTGACTCAGAAAATGCTTGGTGACGTCATCAAAATTAGGTCATAGTAACAACAATGACTCCTTACTGGATTTAGACCCCTTCCTCTGCCAGGATCAATTTCAGACACTCCTCTGTTTGAGGCAAATGGGTGCAGCTGGTTTTCAATTCTCCTTCCTACTACTTATTTCCCTAATCCCTAACCTTGGCTTCAGGTCCTTAATTGGTACTAGAACTTGCAAAAGACACAGAAAAACAAAAAATATTGCTTTCCTGGTAGTTTTGTGAGTGGGTTTTACGGACTGTGGACCTAGCAGGTGGTAGAGCCGGCTCTCTGATAGGGACCTTCGTGGGTTCCCTGGAGATTCCCCTTACTCTCTGGGTGTCCATCCAAGTTCCTTGACCCTCCGTTTTCCCTGTGGTTTTCCACCTTCCCCTGTCCTTGTGCATCCAGCAGCGATCTGCACTTCTTTCTGTTCTGGTTCTTTCCCTTTCCAGGCAACCCTGTCAACAGAGCCCAAGGGAACCACGTGTCAGTTCTGTGGGTGTCCTACTCAGGTTCAAAAGAAAATCAATGGATCTTTTATCCTGAGAAATTCTAGGAATTCAGTCCAATTTCAATATAAGAGTAAGTTTGCTTTTTCTGCAAAGCAATTGTTCAGCTGGTCTTCCACCCTCTAGATTTCACTGGTAGGAATTAAACCTTTTTCCAGCTCCCTTGATCACATTTAATTTCTCCAAGTAGCCTTATTAAATCCTTTCCTTTCAATAGTGGCTGGGATTGACAGCAAAAAAAAAAAAAAAAAAAAAAAAAGTGAAACATTACATCTTTTGAAAATTTCCTCTTGCCATGTTGTGATCCATTTTTATAACCTTTATTGGACTGAGCAGTTCAAAAGTTGTAGAGTGGTTTCACTGATATTTCCTTTGTGATTTCTATATTTGGTCCATAATTCAGCATTCATTAGTTATATTTTGCCTTTACGGAAACTTTATTTTTAACATTATTTTATAATTTATTTTTGGCTTGTTGTTGATAAATATTACTTACTGGGAGGACTTTTGTCTTAAATATAAGAAAGCATAGTCCTAAATCTTTACACAGGCTGATGCCTTCTGGAATTCAGCAAATACTTATTGAGTATCATTTATGTGTTTAGCTATGTAATATTTATATAGAAATTTAAAGGAAGAAATACTAAATCTTATGTAAAATAACCATATAAATTATTTTAATATAAATGTCTACTCTGTTTCTACATATATTTGTATTCTATCAACTTTCTTTCTTTTTTATTTTTTATTTAGAGACAGAGTTTCACCATGTTGGCCAGTCTGGTCTCGAACTTGAACTCCTGGTCTCAAATGATCCTCCCACCTTGGCCTCCCAAAGTGCTGGGATTACAGGCATGAGCCAACACTCCCGACCTCCATCAACTTTCATATTTAGAGAATATTCAAGATAAAAGCTATCTGATGCAGATATCAAAAATATTGAAACATTCACACAATTACTTTCCTCATTGCAACATTAATATATTACCTCATTGCAGGTTACCTCATTGCAACATTAATATATTAAATCATTCTTGCATTTCTATAGAGAAATACCTGAGGCTCAGTAACTAATAAAGAAAGGAGGTTTATTTGGCTCACAATTTTGCAGGATTTACAGAAAGACTGGTGCTTGCATCTTCTCATACTCTAGGGAGACCTCAGGAAGGCTGCGGTCATAGTGAAAGACAAAGCAGGAGCAGGCACATCACATAACGAAAGCAGGAGCCAGAGTGAGAGAGTGAGCGGGGAGGTGCCACACACTTTTAAACAACCAGATGGTACAAAAATTCACCATCACAAAGACAGCACCGAGCCATGAGGGATCTGCCCCCATGATCCGAACACCTCCCCCTAGGCCCCGCCTCTAGCATTGGGGATTACAATTCAGCATGAGATTTGGGTGGGGACAAATATCAAAACTCTATCATTTCACCAAAGCCCCTTGCCAAATCTCAAGTCCTTCCCACATTGCAAAATACAATCATGCCTTCCCAACAGTGTCCCAAAGTCTTATTTTATTCCAGCATTGACTCAATAGTCCAAAGTCTCATCTGAGACAAGGCAAATCTCTTCCACCTGTCAGCCTGTAAAATTTTAAAAAAGAAAATTTAGTTACTTCCTAGATACAATGAGGTTGTAGACATTCCCACTTCAAAAGGGAGAAATCGACCAAAAAAGGGGGAGCTACAGGCCACATGCAAGTTTGAAACCCAGCAGGGTAGTCATTAAATCTTAAAGCTCTAAAATAATCTTTGACTCCATGTCCCCACATCCAGGGCACACTGGTGCAAGGAGTGGACTCCCAAGGCCTCGGGCAGCTTTACCCCTGTGGTTTTTCAGGGTGCAGCTGCCAAGCCTGCTCTCGTGGGCTAGAGATGAGTGTCTGCAGCTTTTCCTGGTGCAGAGTTCAAACTTCTGATGAATCTACAATTTGGGGGTCTGAAGGATGGTGGCCCCTGTCTCATACTCACAGCTCTACTAGGTAGTGCTCCAATGGGGACTCTGTGGGGCTCTGATTTCTCCTTCACGTTGCCCTCTGACCCCACATTTCTCCTCCACATTGCCCTAGTAGAGGTTCTCCATCCCAGCAACATGCTTCTACCTGGATACCCAGGCTTTTCCATATATTCTCCGAAATCTAGGCAGAGGCACCCAAACTTCCTTCACTTTTGCATTCTGTGTGCCTGTGGGTTTAACATCACATGGAAGCTGCTAAAGCTTATGGCTTGAACTGTCTGAAGCAGCAGCCTGAGCTGTATCTAGGGTCCCTTGATCCAAGCCTGAAGCTGGAGAAGCTGGGACATAGGCAACAGTGTCCTGAGGCTGTGCAGGGCAGTGTAGCCCTGGGTCTGGCCCATACAACCATCCTTTCTTCCTAAGCCTCTGTGCCTATGATGAGAGGGGCTACTATGAAGGTCTCTGAAATACCTTTTCAGTCTTTTCTTCATTGTTTTGGATACCAGCACTTGGTTCCCTTTCAGTTATGCAAATTTATCTAGCAAGTTGTTGCTCTGTAGCCTGCTTGAATTCCTCTCCCGAAAAAGCTTTTTTTTTTTTTTTTTTCTGCCTCATGGGCAGGCTTCAAATTTTCCAAACTTTTATGCTCTGCTTCCTGTTTAAATATAAAATCCAAATTTAAGTCATTTTTTTTTGGTCCCATATGTGAGCATAGGTTGTTAGAAACAGCCAGGACATATCAGGACATATCTTGAATACTTTTCTGCTTAGAAATTTCTTCTGCCAGATATCTAAATTATCACTATGAAGTTTAAACTTCCATGGATCCTTAAGGAATGTACGCAATGTAGCCAAGTTCTTTGCTAAGGCGTAATATTGGTGACATTTGCTCTAGGACCCAATGAATTCATTGTTTACATATGAGACCTCATCAGCCTTGATTTCGCTATCCATGTAACTACCGCATGTTAGTCACAACCATTTAACCCGTCTTTAACAAGTTCCAAACTTTCCCTCATCTTCCTCTCTTCTTCGGAGCCCTCCAAATTCTTTCAAACTTTGTTCATTACCCAGTTCCAAAGCTACTTTCACATTTTCAGGTATCTTTACAGAAATACCCCACTTGTGGCACCGATTTTCTGTATTAGGCCATTTTTGCATGCTACAAAGAAATAACTGAGATTGGGTAATTCATAAACACAAGAGGTTTAATCGGCTCAGCGTTCTGCAGACTTTACACAAAGCATGGTGTTAGCATCAGCTCAGCCTCTAGGGAGGCCTCTGGAAGCTTATAATCATGGTAAAAGGCAAAGAGGGAGCAGGCATATGACTATGACAAAAGCAGAAGCAAGAGAGAGAGAGTTGGGGGCGGGGTGCCACACACTTTTAAATGAATAGCCCTTGTGAGAACTCACTATCATCAAGATAGCACCAAGCCAAGAGGAATGAAATCCCATGATCCAAACACCTCCCACTAGGTTCTAGCTCCAGCACTGGGGATTACAATTCAACATGAGGTTTGGGTGGGGACAAATATCCAAACTACGTCAATAAACAATAATTTTTAGGTGTTCTATAGATTGATGTAAGCATCACTGCTAGCTTAATTTTTCTAGCATATATAGTTCCCTTCAACAGAGTTCTACCTAGTCTTTAAGATGTAGGAGCTGATTCAATGAAATGTTATTTATCCCTAAATTTCAGGTCATGTGACGCTCTCCTCTATTCTGCCTACTTTAAAAATTATGTGCATGGATCGTAATTTCCAGTCTTCATCCTATATCCACTTAGTGGTACTGTCAAAGCTAGGAAATTATCAAGAACACATAACTTCCTTCTCACTTTCCTATTGTTAGCAGTCTCAGGATATTTTAATGGATTTTTGTGAATATCTAATTGGATTCCTATTTCCATCTCTTGGTTTTAATACATCCTTAATCCCATGTCTATAATAATCTTTCTAAGCAGTTCTTTGAATTTTATCGAAATCCTATCAAACACACACAGGAACATATCATAACCCTTTCATGTCCATTTCAGTCTCTAGAGGCAGAGATGTTCGAATCGCCCTCCTTAGAGCTCTGAGAGAAGAAAGAAGTTGAGAAGCTGAGAAGCAGCATCTCATTTGCCACTTCCAAAGGATTGCTAAGATTTTATTGCTTCACATGCTGGGCTTCCAAGAATAATTTTAAATGTACCATAAATTTTTCAGAAAGCCAATCCCTCTAGTGAAAAGTGAAAGACTAAATAATATTGATATATAAAAATGAAGTTCACAAGAGTTCATTATTTAACACTGTCATCTGTCCTGCCTTCCGCTTGGCCCTCCTCTAAAATTACTTCTATCCAAAACAAGAAAACAAAACTACTGATGAAGTCATCTAGGTAACCTTATTGTCATCCCACAGAAATGTCTCTACAGTCTTCTTTACTTGTTTAATTCTCATTATGATATCATTATTTAGATTCTATATCCTTTCCTGACCACTCAAGTTACATACAAATTGAATTCTTGCAGCTTTTTATTATTGCTATTTATGTTTCACTTAATGCTATTGCTGTTGCATATGGTTTTGCTATTTGATAAAATAATACGTGTCTCAAAGTCATTTCCAAGTTTCACTATGAAGTGCTATAACATTTTGTATCCCCTTCACTTACCATTGTATCCCCTTCCTGTTATCATTAACAACGTAAAGAATGGCTAGATGCCTGTGGTTCACAGTGATGGGTATTTTAGAATAATAGTGTGAAGGGGAGAAAAAAATCTTCAGCACATAAATTTTTATTGATTTTTAACTAGAAATGTTTTAATTGAATCAAACTATAAGATCCAAACAAGAATTAACTCATAATTTAATAAAGCAAGAAACACACAAAACATAAGAATGCTTTAAAATTATTTGCTTATATTACCTCATCTGAAAAACTTCTCCAGAGTCCCACTAACTGGGATAAGCTCTCATAGCATCCTGTGTCTACATTGTTTACTAGGCCTGGGGCTATTTGAGGAAACAAATCTGCCTTTTAACTAATATGTCCCAATACCTAATACAGGGCTGACAAAACACATGGAATATAAATATTTGCTAACTGAATACATAAACCATAAATTAAGGTGGAGTTTTAAACTAGCATTTTTTGTGTGTCACTATTGCACAAATTATAAAGTACCTTCATTCCTAAAAATATGTAAATACCTCCAATAAACCATGACAATTCAACTTTTCTAATTTTGTTTATATTACACAATTTTCATGTTTTCTCTACCAGTATTATGTTATATATTGTGCTAATGAAGGAATGATTTTATAATAGCTAATAATTATTTTTAAGAATCATATGCAGTACATTAAATAGCTATACTATAACTTTTTATGTTTTTTCTAGTATAACATGTTTATATGTAAAATATTAAAGATGAATCCAACTGCTATAAGATTTTTCTCCAATGTTTTCCTGATAATGGTTTTAGCATTTACCATCCTTAAGCATTTAAGTCAAAGCAGACTATATCACAGTGCAATGAACATTTCCATATTAGGTATGTGGCCTGTCCTCTTGTAGGTTTTCAATTTAGGATATTTTGTGAAAGATTGTAAGCATTTTATACCCATTGGAATAGTTGCTCACAAGTTTAAACTACATCTGTTATCAGTAATAAGGAAATGCATGTATGTTTAGTCGAAATTGGGTATGTGAATTCATTTTGACTATTTGATGTATAATTTAAATAACTTCCTTAATCATATTCAGACTCAGTTGCAACAGGGGTCAACAAATATATATTGAAATACACAAACAGAATTAGCAAATTCATGTCATTTTTGAAAGCAACTTCAGACGACTGCAGCGAAGCTGTGGAACTTCAGGCTTTCAGGCTTTTCTGCTGTCATACTCAGAGTTCAGTCGTGGCATGAAAATATTTGTAATCAATACTGTTGACAGTTTTCTCCTAGCGATGGATAGAGCTAATGTGTTCTTGATGCCTAAAACTAAACTGGCAACAATTTGTGGCAATATATGATCAAGTGGCAGCTTTGAAATAATATTCCCCAGAAAGAACAGAAGGTTTTCCTTCTTTTATTTTCTATGATCAGTTTGGTTTATTTTGTGCTCTTATCTCTTAAAGTGAGCACAGGTTGAGTTTCCCTTTTCCAAAATGCTTGGGACCAGAAAGAAGGGTTTCAGATTTTGGATTTTTTTTCAGATTTTGGAATATTTTCCTATACATAATGAGAAATCTTGGGGCTGGGACCCAAGTCTAAACACAGGATTCATTTATGTTCATATAGACCTTATTCACACAGTTTGAAGGTAGTTGTATTGAATATTTTAAATAATTGTGTGCATAAAACAAAGTTTGACTGTGTTTTGACTATGACTTGTCACATTATATCGGGGTGGGATTTTTCACTTGTGGCACTGTTGGTGCTCAAGAAGTTGTTTTTGTTTGTTTGTTTGTTTGTTTTTGAGACGGAGTCTGGCTCTGTCGCCCAGGCTGGAGTACAGTGGCGCGATCTCGGCTCACTGCAAGCTCCGCCTCCCGGGTTCACGCCATTCTCCTGCCTCAGCCTCCCGAGTAGCTGGGATTACAGGCGCCCGCCACCACACCCGGCTAATTTTTTGTATTTTTAGTAGAGACCGGTTTTGACTGTGTTAGCCAGGATAGTCTGGATCTCCTGACCTCGTGATCCGCCCGCCTCGGCCTCCCAAAGTGCTGGGATTACAGGCGTGAGCCACCGCGCCCGGCCGCTCATGAAGTTTTTGGAGCACTTTAGACTTCAGATGTTTGTATTAGGGATGCTGAACCTGTACCTGTACGTCCTGATTTGAGAGCATACCCTGTAGCGGGAACCACTGTTATGCCCAGTGGTGAAATATCCAATTTGTTCTCATTTAGCTTTTCAGTGTCAGAGTATAACAATGAAAAACAGAATATTGCAGCAACTTGAATTTAAATATCACATTACATAAACCATGGAACTGAACCAAACCAAATTATTAAGAAATAAAATATAACTATGACAAATAAATCTAGCAACTTAAATCAAATGGGTGTCTACTATATCTGTGATCTGAAACATCCTACATTCCAAATATATTCAAATCTCAGAATTTTCATCTTCCAAGGATGATTTTTCTTACATAATATGAATTACTGGTTTTGAATTGAGAAATTGAAGAGTTCTGTTTTGTTATGATTTTTGACCATATATTTCAACTTCAATTTAAAACTTGATTCTTACTGTTAGGGCATTAGTGCATTAAGCAACATTTTTATACATCGTTCCTTTTTTTTCAGAAATTAAGCAACGTTTCCACACGTAATTCCTTTTTTTCAGAGATAAAGTGAAGCTGATAGGTAAACAAGAGCATTGGTGTGTTAGGATCAAAGAAGAAAAAAGACAGTGGGAATGCTTTGGGAGATGATTCCTTTAAGAATTTCTTTTTATATATAAGGCTTCGTGAAATTTAACTACTGCAATAAAAATTTTATCTGCAAATTAAGTATCAAAAATCAATACAAAACTTGGTCAGAGCCATAGAAATGTCTTCTATTCAAATAGACTCTTCATTACCAAGAATTTCATAAAGTTTCTTTTCCCCTCTGCTGAATAAACAGTCAAGAGGACTTTTCTGAAATTGGTATTTGAAGATGGAGAAATTAAATACCCCCAAGTGTTTACCATTTTCAATGGCCTTCTTGCTTCTTAGCCTGGAATATACTTGCCGCTTCTCCAGGATGAGGGAACAGAAAATCAGATTCTTAGAATGATAGAGCTATAGGTTAAAGGCACTCTTAGTTTTCTAGGGGTGCCATAACAAAGTCCTGCAGCGTGGCTGATTTAACCAATACATTATCTCACAGTTCTGGACACTGGAGGTTCAAGATCAGAGGTGTCATCAGTTCTGGTTCTTCTGAGGGGGGTGAGGAAGAAATCCCCAGCTTTCCTCCCAGTTTCTGGTGCTCGCAGGTAATCTTTGGCATTCCTTGGTTTCTACTGCATAACTCCTATTTCTACCTTCATTTTCATATATTTTTCTCCCTACATGCATGTCTGTATCCAAATTTCTTCTTTTATAAGGACGCCATCATATTGGACTAGTAGATCCACCTGAATCTAGTATAAACTCATCTTAACTAAATATATCTAAAAGGCTCTCTTTCCAAAGAAGGTCATATTCTGGAGTACTGAGGCATAAGACATCAGCATGTAAATTTGGGGAGAACACAATTCAGCCCACAGCAGGGATAACGTCATTACTTCACAGATTAGAGAATCAGAGCTAGAGCAGTTAAGTAGCTAATCCAAGTTTTCAGATTTAAAGTGAGCAACTGATTATGTTAGAACTCTGGCACCTGCTCTTTCCAATACCACAGGTGCCTTCCACAAATAAATAATGGAGCAGCAGACATCTGCATCTTCACTAAAAGCATATTTGTGACTAAATGATTAAAATAAAGCTAAAATTTGTTTGATTACAAAATTCGAAAGTAGAGATTAGTAGGCAATAATGGGATATTTTCTTCAATATTTTCCTGGAATGGAATACATTTTGATAGACATCGTAAATTACTATTGTACATACAAACTAAAATCTATGATGCTCACTTTAAAATATTTCTTTTAGCTATCTTTGCAACACTGACTTTTCTTTCTTCCTTGCTTCCTTCCTTCAATCTTTCCTCCCTCTCTCTTTCCCTCCCTCTTTCTTTCCTTGACAGGTAACTCTTATAAATCTTGCAATTAACAACAATCCCTCCTTAAGATGTTTTATTCATTAGATTCTAAATATTATACCCAAAATGCTTAGAGGAAAACAAATGGTGGAGATGGAATGGAAAATAGAGCTGTACTCAATATCAAAGTATGGTTCTGAAGTCGATAATTTGTGAAGTCATTAAATTTAAATTATTATCTATCCATTCTCATCTTTGGGAAATTAGTTCAAATTAATTACATATATTAACTATTTATTGAGTGGCTACTATGTGAAAACAATAAATCAGAGTTGGACTTTTTTTTTCTTTTATTCCTGAATAACTCAATGCTACGGGATCATCTTGTAACTCAAATCTACATGATCAAACTTGTGTGACAATAGACATATTAATAACTTACATTTTCAAAATTCCCTGTTTAATTGGTGTCAGCATGACTCTGGTTCACTGAATAAAAATTAATGTTCTGTGTTTGATTAAATTTTTGGAGGTCTTCTTTTACCTAAAATTAATCTATAAGTTTATTCAGTAAATAATAAATAGTTGAAGAGAATTGATTATGCTGATATAATATTGAGTCTATTGATTACTGTTAATTGTATCTTAAACATAATTTTAGGTTTCAAGAAAATCCTCAAGATAGGAAATAGCAATGCTTTGAACCAAATTTTAAAAGTGTAATGATGTGTACTTGAGTTTGGAAATACATGTATTGGTACTGAATTTATTTTAGAAGGAAAAATTATAGCAGCCAATAATTACTGCTGCAATTGGATAATTGTGCAGTCAATTGAGTAGTTCCGGTTGCAATTGGACGGCTTCTACTTATCTCTGAGTTGTAATTAACCAATTTCAGGCATAATTATTTGTACCTGGGCTTTTAGACGCCTAAATTATTCTTTCTCATTCTTCAAAAACATGTTGCAATGTTTATTATTTCTTATTTGAACACCACTGATTTTTCTGAATTTAAGGCAATACTATCAAAGAGAGTTCCATTTGGGTTAGTTACTTCAGATTGTAAACGGAATTCATCAGCAGACTAAAGCTGTTAGCACACACACAAAATTGCTTTAAAAGGATTGAGTAAATTGAAAAATTAACTTCATCAAGCACAAGCCAGTTCAGTCAAATATATTTCTTGACAGAATTGACTTCTTGACCAATTATTTAGCCGAATTGATAGTTTGTTTCACTTATTTGTCTGTCAGTTTACTGAAACCTCTCTGAGAGTTTAAATAAGTTACTGTTAAATTCGTGCTTATAGTTCAGTAAAATAAATTATAAATATATAGTACAGAATTATGTAAAATATGTCAATAATATAACTTTTACATATGGTAACATATCTAAACTTGATATTTTGACATCACATTTTTATAATAAGATGTTCTATAAATGCTTACCTGAATTTTTGTGCCAAATGCCTTCATCAGCATCACAGTGCATAGATATTCTGAGTCCATTTTTATGCATATGGAATGTGTAACTTTTCTAGAGCAATTACTGCATCTTATTTACCTTAGTATCCCAGCTGTCTTAAGTCTCTCCTGGCTATTAGGTGTTTAATAAATGTTTGTTAAGAATCACTGTATAAAACAAAAGATAATGCTATCTTATTTCTCTTCACTTTAAAAATATGTCTTTTTGTTTGGCTTGTTTGCCTGTCTTTAACTAGAACTCTGACTTTATTTAATTTTTTAACTTGTAAGTTCAGGGGTACATGTGCAGGTTGGTTTCACAGGTAAACTTAGGTCATGGGGGTGTGTTTTTCAGATTATTTTATCACACATGTATTAAGCCTTGTATCCATTAGTTATTTTTCCTTTATAAAGTAGAGCATATTTGCAAATAATTATAGGAGGACACTAAATGAGAAGAGATATTAGACATCATACCGTTTGAATCAGTCTGAAGAGCTTGGGTTTCTACTGAGGGGTAAATTACAAATTGTAGTGGGGAACATTTATTTACTTATTTTTTTTGTTTGTTTTTTGAGACAGAGTTTTCACTCTTGCTGCCCATTCTGGAGTGCAATGGCATGGTCTCAGCTCAATCCAACCTCCGCCTCCCAAGTTCAAGGGATTCTTCTGCCTCAGCCTCCCAAGTAGCTGGGAATACAGGCATGTGCCGCCATGCCTGGCTAATTTTTTGTATTTAGCTGGGGTGAGGTTTCACCATGTTGGCTAGGTTGGTCCCAAACTCCTGACTTCAGGTGATCCACCTGACTTGGCCTACCAAAGTGCTGAAATTACAGGCATAAGCCACCACGCCCAGCCTATAGTAGGCAACTTTTAAGTTGATCTCTAAAGAGTTCCATCTCTAGGTATTCACATCCTTGTGTAATCTCAGTTGAGATGATGTGAACTGCACTTAGTAACCTACTGCTAATGGAAAGAATGCATCAGAAGGCTTGTGCTGTCATTTTGAGATTAGGTTACAAAACGATGATGACTTCTGGATCAGGTGCTTTCTCTCGCCCTCTCCCTCATCCACTCTGAAGGAAGCTGCCTTTGGAGAGACCTACATGGTAAGGAACTGTGGAGTGCCTCTAGCCAACAGCCAGAGAGAAACTGAGGTCCTCAACTGAACAGTCCCTGAACAGCAGGATCCTACCGATAATCGCCCTGGTGAAGTTGAAAGTTGCACGTCCCCCAGTGGAGACCTCACAGGAGACCACAGCCCAGACAGATTAACTGCAACCGTGCCAGAAGCCTTGTGCTACAGAGAGATGTGCAGAAAGCTGTGCCACATTTCTGACCCACAGACAGTTAGACAATAAGTCTTTATTTCTTTAAAACAGTGAGTTTTAGGGTAATTTGTTGCACAGCAATAGAAAATAAATATACTGTCATTAAGGAAACTAAAGAGAAAGGGGAAAAGTTCGAAGAGAAATTTATATACACTTTTTATTTCTTCTCATATGAAGACAAAGAAATTAACTGACTGTTGCCCATTGTTCTCCAGCAATGAAGGTAACCTAGAAAGGAGTTAGTCTTGATCTTGGTTTGTGTATTCCTCAGAGAGAAGTTTCATATTCTGTAATGGGGGAGAAAAACATAGTATCTACAAAGTATTGTTTAACATTAAATTGTTTAAAAATCATGCCAAATTAATTTTCTGTTACAATTTTCTTAAGCAGTTTGTCTCTCAGTATCCCATATAAATTAAAAGAAGTCTAAACACTTCTGTTCTGTTAGGGGTTGCTCCTTGTACTTTTCAACTTTAAGCTTGCAACTTTTCCGCCTCCCTTAAAACAACTCACAGTTAGATATGCTACATAGGGTTACAGTTTCCTCTGCTCATCTTCAGTGGATGCTGTCATTGGCATCCTGTGTTTCAGCCAATTCTAATGTATTTTTGCATAGAAATGTTATTTCTTCTTTTAGAACTATTATTATTTATTGCCTTTATACTGTGGTTATTGTAGCACGGCCTTGATACGGAGGAGGAGAGATTGATTGTCAGTAGTGCTTGTCTGCCATCTTGTCATGGAGCTGCTCAGAGCATTGGGTTTTCTTCAGAAAGTCCTCACCTAGGTGAGCAGGACAGGCAGTTGAGGAAGCAGACCCCTAGCTTCTCTTTTCTAAAATAAATTATGCTAAAATAATTTTATTAGTTTTAAATATCTGCTTTTCCATCACATCTCCTGTATTTAATAAGGTTGTATTGTAGATTTATTTTTTGAATCAGTTCATTTAAAAATGATCTTTTCATCCCAATATCTTCATTTTTCAGAACAAAAAACTAAATTTGAGAGAAGCATATTAACATTTATGCTGTTATAAAATTATCCAAATGGCAGAATCTAAACTAGAAACAATGTGAACAAAATAGATGTCCAAAATATTTAAAGTTGGTAGTTAATTTTAATCATAGCATTTTTAAGTGGAAATTAATAAGTGTTGGTACAATTATCTGCCAATATGGTATGATCCCCCACAAAACTTCAACAAACTTGGTTCATTATGAGTTTATTTCTAGTTTAAAAAAATTACTCTTTACATTTTATTAACATTGCAATTCTCTGTGTTCTTTGTTTTTTCCCTTACATGTATAAAAATATTGTTAAATGGTTACTAGAAATAAGACTACAAGGCTGGCTGGTGGAATTATGCTATGCAGTCACATGGAGATGCTTCAAGAAATGTGGTTACACTGGCCATGAAACAGTCATAAAACATTCAGATGCCTGCAAATACCAGGGATACAGAAACATGCCCAGCCACATACTTTCATTAGAATTGGACTCAGGAGTTCTGCATGGGAGAATTTTAACTTGACCAATAATTGGGCTTTGGACCTGTACCCAGCTGATGGGTGAGGTTATTAGCAAAAGGCTGTACAATGTTTTTCTTGCAAGAAACCCACTTTGGAAGAGGATAAAGGTTGGCAGGAAGTGAAGGCTGAAAAGCAAGACCTGGACTGTGGATAGAACCATTTTCTCAGTACAAAGTGAGGTGCTCCCTGACCATTCTCTGAATAAGCCAACAGTAGCTTTCCCTAGTAGTAGTTACAAAGAGGCCAAGGGCACAAACCATGTGAATGTAATTCATTAACATTAGAGTGAACTTCATGGAGGAAAAAGAGACTGGAATAGATTCTACCACTTTAGGTATGTCAGAGTGCTCTACAGAGAATCATCAAGGCATGAGTTTAGAAGGGTCATTCAGGAAACAGGTAGACATCTTGCCAGATAAGTATGTACCTATACCATTGAGATTTAAAGGTTTACAATGAATAAAACTATTTTTTTGGTAATGAATGGTAACAAAAAGTCCAGTTATGTAAGCTAAAGATATGTCCTGTTTTCTTTATTTAAAGAATTGAATAAAAATTTCTTTTAAAAGGAACCTCTATTAAGTATTACCAATTTAATGATACTAATAATGTAAGCCAATGCTTATAAATATCTCTATGCCAATTCTTTTCATTAGTAAATATAATAATATTTTATATTTCCTTAAAAGGATGGGCTTCAATTTCGAGAAAAAATTAAATTAATTATCATACTCCTTTGTTGATAAGAGGTAGGCTAAGCAAACATATTTTTTGAAAGCATATCATATTTTACAGTCTGATTTATTATAGAAAAGATGCTTTAACAAAAGCAAAGTGTTATATCACAACTTTTTATGATTCTGGGAAACATTTATTTCTTAAATTATCATACTGTATACAAGCCTCCTGTATTTTTGATCATTTAATTTTTTATTTCAACATTTATTTAACAAATATTTATTGAGTTTCTAGTACATGATTTCATTCCAGTAACTGGAGTGCAGACAGAAGGAAGATAAGCAAACAAGAAACCTCATAGAATCTGCAGAACTTTAGAGAAATAACAAACAAATGGACAAGTACATTAAAATATTAAAGGTTGTGCTAACTGTTACGAAGATTTTTCTAAGTGGTTTGTGTTAGGAAAAAACGGGAGAGATATTTTGATGCAATAGTCAAAGAAGGTGTATCTCTGAGGAAGATATTTAAGTTGAGGCCCACGTGAAGACGAGGAGCTATGGGAAGATCCTGATAGAGTCTGGATAAAGAGAAGAGCAAATACACCTGCTCTGAGGTGGGAAAGAGCTCTGTGTGCTTGGGTGATGCACTGCGTGAAGAAGCAATGGCAAGAAATGTGTCTGAAGAGCTATGCAAGTTCCTTATCTACCTTGGGGTAGAATTTGATTTTCCCCCACCCCACCAAATGCAATAAACTGTAGTAAACAAAAGATTTCTAACCAAAGAACCAATTTTATTTGACTTCCATTACAGTACAGGAAGTGTGTGTTCTCTATCCATTATTTTTTTCTTCCCTGGTAATGGAGCTCTTGTTTTTTGAGTGGCCACTAAGATTCTATTTTTCAGCTTTCTTAAAGCGATACACGGCCATTGAATGAGACCTTGCCAATGAGCTAGGTTGTGTTCTGAAAACAAAAGTAGTCCTCTTCTCTCCATTTCCTCTTTACCTTTGTTTGCATCGTAGACATATTGGTGAATCATAATAGAGCATATTGATGAAAGCATGCTAGGGATGGAAGATCCATAGATATATAGAATCCTTCTACATACCTGGATGCTGGAAACCATATCTTGTTAGCTATCTTATGTCTAGACTATCACACGAAAAAAAAATGTTACTTACACCCTTCTCATTTGCGTCTCTATAAACATCAGTTGTATGTAAACATTAATTAAAAGGGAAGTCCTTTACTGATACAATGAGAAGAAAAGAACGTAGCAAGAACAGAGTTAAGGAAAAGAAAGATGGTATTTTAGTTTTCTAAACATGACATATTGTTGGCTTAGGCTTGGCTTTCGGAGAGTGGGAGAAGAGAAAAAGATGATTTGTTATATACATTTATATTGAAAGTATAACAATGGCCTTGGTTAAGAATCGGTTGGTGGGAGGTGGAGGGAAGAGAGAAATCTTGGATGCCTCTAGTTTTCTGACATGAGCAAAGAAGTGGATGATGATGACTTTTCATCAAGATTAAAAAAACTAGGGAAGTAGGGCTGTGAGTGATGGCAATGGGGAAGGCATAATGGCTGCATGGTGTAGATGTCAACGATTTAGAGAGTTTCATATAAGAAAAAATAATTTTGAGAGTCAGTGTGGATGAGAAAATACAGTTTTCTTGCTGGGTTGAGATACAAGGGATCTAAATAGTAATTTAGATCCTATTTTAAATACATTCCTGTAATTTAATGTATAAACCAGTACAGGATTATGTCAAAACAAGTGTAAAATTTGACTAGTCCAGATAAATTGGGATAGATAATCACTCTAGGTAACAAGGGATAGAAACAGCTTTGACTTAAGTGGATTGTAGTGAAAACACTATCATCGGGCCTCTGCCAAAGCAACAAATGGAGTTTGGGGAAGTAGAGGGTGTAAGTGACTAACTACTCATAAACACAATATTGCAGAGGGCATGGAAAACTAATAAAAAATTGTTTCATGAGGCAACTTAATAATCAATCAGTCAACTTAGTGTTATGAAAGAAAAATAAGAAATAGAACAGGCCAAATCTCAACAAATCTATGTCAATACGTGGAATTTTAGTACAGCATTTCAAAATAATTGAAGTAATGTGTTTATTTATTTTGAGTGCCTATTGACATACCATTCCTCTTCCTAATCTTTCACCTTTCAATGATTAGTGTTTAAATTTCAAGATTAACTGGTAGTTTAGGTAAAGAGTACAATCAGTTCCTTTCACTCCCCAGAGATGAAAAAAATAATGTATCACTCTAATTTAAATAAGAGAGTTATTTTACTTTTGTTTATTGTTTTTCTTTATGGAGAGGAAATATGTTTACATTATATAGTGGCTAGCAGAAAAATCAAAATATCTAGCTCTTTATTCTTGCCCAAATATGCTACTTTCTCCTGAATCAAATTTTTATTTATTTTTTAGTTGTGAGTCATTGGAAGTAGAGACTTTTTCTTGCAGTACTATCATGTGGGACAATTGCCTCCTCCTTATGGAGTCACGTAGTACGTAATGTGCTCTTTTCACTCAAATATGAGTTTCTGTGGTGTCTTACTCATATGGAAGGCTCTCAATAAATGTCTGTGGCTTGTCTTTTCCTTTTGATAGTTATAAATAAATTGAATATATCCACATTTTATTTCAAGTATGCAACTTTTCTTATTTGGGTAAGGATTTGCCTGGCTAATTTGTCAAAATAAACCATGGTTAGTTAATTTGAGTCCATTTCATTTAATATATTTGAATATCTAGATTATGGATTGATAAATTACTATTCAATGCTATCATAGCAGAATAATACTCCCCACTACTTAAGATGTCCAAATTCTGATTCCAATATATATTACTTTATAGGAGTATTTTATCTTATATGGCTAAAGAGATTTTGGAGATGTGATTAAGAAAAGGGTATTGAGATGGGGTATTGAGCCACCAAGCTTTGGGTAATTTGTTACGGCAACAATAAGACATCTTGGTCTTATTAACTATTAGAATTACTGGATGCTTGTGGAGGGCCTACAAAAGAAGAACATGAACACAAGGCAGTATTGTCTTGGGTCACATCCCGGATCTGCCATTTCCTGGGCTGCCTAATTTTGGCGTGTTGCTTAATATCTCTCTTGGCTTCAACATTTCTCATCTATAATATGGGGATAGAGTTTTTATCATAAAAACAATAAAAAATGAAACAAAATAATAGGAATTGATTATGGTTAAATGAGTTTATACATATCAAGCTTTTAGAATTGGGACTACAACAGAGCAAGAGATTACTAAACTAGTAATTAGTATCAACAAATATACAAACAGCCCAAATATTTATTTTTTCCATCATCTCAAGCATTCACCCTTTGTGTTACAAGCAATCCAATTATACTTTTTAAGCTATTTTTAAATGTACAATTAAATTATTAGTGAGTATAGTCACCCTGTCATACTATCGAATACAATATCATATTCATTCTTTCAAATTTTTGTAACCATTAGCCATCATCTCCCCCGCCCCCACTACACTTCCCAGCGTCCGGTAATTATGTCAATTGCATACCACAAATACAGTATTAAAGTCTTCTTAGTTTTCTGGGTTTGTCCATAAACTTAACTTTGCCACCGAATTTTATACCTTTATTTATTTATTTATTTATTTATTTATTTACTTATTTATTGCATATTAGTGTTTTTTTCTTTCAGGTTGAAGATATTTAGCATTTCTAATAAGATGGATCTGGTGTTTGTGAATCCTCTCTAGGAAAGAATTTTATCTCTCCTTCACATTCAAAAGATAACTTTGCTGGCTACAGTATTCTTGGATGACAGGTTTTATATATATACATATATATATATATATATATATATATATATATATATATATATACATACATATATATATATTTTTTTTTTTTCCTTTCAGCACTTTGAACGTCCCATTTTATTCCCTCCAGGACTGTCCATTGAGAAGTCTGCTGATAGACAAGTTGGAGTTCCTTTATGTTTTTGCTTCTTTTTTCTTACTGCTTTTAGAATTCTCTTTGTCCTTGACCTTCAAGAATTTGATTAGTATATGTCTTGGTGTAGTCTTATTTGGATCAAAACTGTTTGGTGTTCTCTGACCTTCCTATATTTAATGTTCCTAAGGTTTGGGAAATGTTTTTGTTACTGTTTCTTTGGAGAAGCTTCCTACTCCTTGCTCTTGCTCAATGCCCTCTTGAACACCAATAATTCTTAGATTTAGTCTCTTGAGGTAGTTTTCTATATCTTGTAGGCAATTTTCTTTGCTTTTAGTTCATTTTTTTTCTCTTCTGACTGTGTATTTTCAAACAGCCTGTCTTCAAGCTCACTGATTCTTTCCTTTGCTTGAGAGATTTTTTTGAGACCCTTTAATAATATTTTCAGTTCAGCAAATCTGTTTCTCAGTTCTAAGATTTCTTTTTTCTTAAAATTATTATTTTAATCTCTCTGGCAAATTTCTCTAATAAATTTAGAATTCTTGGTCAGAGAGCTTCTGTGTTTGCTGTTGTTTCTTGTGGATATATGTCTATGTCTTTGCATTCAAAATTTAGTGATTTATTCTAGTCCTCTCTGCCTGGCTTCTTTTGATTTGTACTGGATATATGTGCTTAGAGGTTATTTATGGCTAGGTCACTGCCACCTTTTTGCTCCAGATAGCACCTTCAACCTAGGTTCACTTTGGATCCAGTAAAGGATTAAAGCATTGTCCTTCTGTATTAGCCTACTCTCTCATTGCTATAGATATTAGATTGGTGCAAACGTAATTGTGGTTCCTGCCATTGAAAGTATTGGCAAAAAGTAAGTACCTGAGACCAGGTAATTTATAAAGGAAAGAGGTTTAATTGTCTCATGGTTCCACAGGATGCACAGGAAGCATGGCTGAGGAGGCCTGGGGAAACTTACAATTACGGCCAAAGACGAAGGGGAAGTGGCCACGTCTTACATGCATAGAGCAGGAGCAAGAGAGTGAAGGGGGAGGTGCTACACACTTTTAAAAATCCAGATCTTGTGAGAAGTCACTATCACTAGGACAGCAAAAGAGAAATCCGCCCCCATGATCCAATCACCTCCCACTTGGCCCTTCCTCCATCTAACATGGGGAATTACAATTAGCTCTGAAATTTGGTCAGAGACACGAAATCAAAACCATATCACCTTCCCAAATGGAGGACATTCCTACAGGGATATCTTAGTAGTGTGGAAAGGCTAGCTCAGGGTTCATGCCCAGGGGACTTGTGGGACAAACATCCTTCTGTGTGGTACCGCAGATGGTCACTCTGATTTTGTGTTTTCTTTGATTGAGTTACAGTACAGCGCTTCCGGTCCTGAGGATGGTTGTCCCACCTTCCCTCTTTTTCTCTGCCTATCCTAAGGGTTATTTCTCCTTTGGGGAACGTGTGATGCTTTCCGTGATTTAAAACAGAGACATGTCTCCTGCCTCAGATTTCAAGATGATGGCGATGCTGGTTGTCCACCTCAACCTCGCTTTTTCCAGTTTTAGAACCAGTGAGTTAGAGAACAATTTTCTGCGTTCTTTGGGCAGGGCAGAATGGGGGAGGGGCATCACAGATGTGGAAGTTCAATTGTCTTACCAGCTGCTGGGAGTTTTTCACTTCTATGTGGCTCGGGGAGTTGTCTTATCTTCATATTTGAGTTCTAGGATATTTCTGGTGATAATCTCAGTGCTGTGTGTTTGCTTTTGATTTTCTTTGTCGGTGGAGGAGGGAAGCCTGCCTCTATTGACATTTTAGAACTAGAAGTTTCCCCAGTTATCTTTTAAAGTTAGATGATAAGACTAATAGGAAAAAAAAAATACTGAAAAAGTAGATTTACAGAGATGGTTGCTTCTTATTTTTTTCATTATATATTTGCTACCTATCAAAGTCACTAGAGTATTAAATCAATATGGAAACAAAGACAGTATTTTCTGTACTCTTAAAAATTAGATACAATTTAATACTTTACTTTCATTTATGACAGAGAATGTCCATCTAGGAGTATTTCACAACATCTAATTAATTTTGGGAGGAAAACAGAATCTGTAATTCTAAAGAAAATACATATATCAATTTTAAGAAATGCTCACAGGGAATACATTTTACAAAGAAAAATAAAACCTGAATGCTTCAGTTATTATTTAATTTTAACAAATAAGCCAATAATGCCTTTGCCAACAAATCCAAGAATTTCAGATGGTTTATTTTATTTTAAGTTAAAAAAGAGTTAAAATTCATAAAAGATTCTTAAGAACTAACAATAACCTGGGTAAGACTACAGGTCTAGAGACAACTTAGAATTTTCAAAGGAGCAATTGCTATCAGCTGATTCCTACTAGGATCTTTCTAACAGTAATATTTAAATAGAAAGAACAAGGAGGAGGAGGAGGAGAAGTAAGGGTGGGAGAGAGGTGGGAGAGATGAGAAAAGAAGAAGGAGGAGAAGGAGGTAGAAGAAAAGATTTTAAAAAGGCTTTGGCTAATGAATAGTATTTTATATTATTTATCTCCCTTCCTGCAGCCAGGTGCTTACAATGGGTATTAGTTATTTGTACACATGAGACTTCTTGTGTTATAATCTCTATGAATGTTTCACAGTTTTCTTTTTATACTTTAAAATACTTAATTGACAAGTAAAGATTGTGCATATTCAAGGTGTACAATGTGACAATTTTATATGTGTATACATTGTATAATGATTATCACAATCAATTTAATTAACACATTTATCACTACCCGTGCTATACATTAGATCTCCAGAACTTGTTCATCTTATAATTAAATTTGTAACCTTTTATCAGCATCTCCTCATCTCTTCAAACCACCAGCCCCCAGAAATCACCATTCTATTTTCTACTGCTATGACTTCAACTTCTTTAGATTCCACATACAAGTAACATTATACGGTATTTGTCTCTTTGGATTTAGTTTGTTTCATGTAGCATAATGTTATCCAGGTTTATCCATATTGTTGCAAATGGCAAACGTTCCTTCTTGCTTGGCTTAATAATATTCCATTCCATTCACATTTTCTTTATCTATTCATCTGTTGATGGACACTTATTGTTTCCACATCTTGATTACTGTGAATAATGCTGCAATGAAAAGAGGGTTGGAAATAACTCTTAGAAGTACGGATTTCACTTTCTCTAGATATATAGCCAGAAGTGGGATTGCTGAATCATATGGTATTTCTATTTTTAATATTTTGAGGAACATATGTTTCATTTATTTTTAAGTTCAAAAGTGAGATTTCTAATAGTTTAACTTTGTCTATACTTTTTAAACAAAATCTGATTAAACTTTTCTGATGTTTGTCCACATAGAATTTGCATAGAACCTGTAAAGGTTGGCATTTATACTTATGTTGACTGGCATATTGGTAAAATCGAGACTACCCAACGTGAAGTTGAATATAGAATCAAATGCATGAATAATGGATCAATTGTTTTGTTGCCCTAAAACAAAATGGCATGGAAAAGAGTGGCATGTTATGTAAATGCCACATTTAGTATCATTTCTTTTTTGGCAAATGCATGAATTTAAATATACTAAGCATGCATTAGAATATTTCCAAAATTATTTTCTGTACAAAGTAAAATATATTGTTTTGTTTCTATAATGCCACATGGATAATAAAAACTTTAGTAAGCAGTTTTTTAAATGCTAAAATGCTATTGGAGAACACATTTTAGTGTATTATTAATTTTCCTAAAATGTAAACTTATATGATGTTAAAACAATTGTTGTGACACATTTCTTGTACATTTTTATGAACTCTAAATCTTGTAAGATAAACACTTGACACTTAATAAAGATGTGCTATTCTATTCCTGTAAAAATACAAGAATAATAATATATTTCACATTGATGCACAGCTCAAAGACACATCACTTACTGACAGGGATAAGGCCACCTATCATAAAATTGTATTTGATCTCTGAAAATTGATATGCAACCAAGAAGGAAGTGAAATCATTTAATATTTTGTACGTATGATAGAGATATTGACCTTTTCTTCTGGGATATATGTAATCTATGTAATATATATGTAATATATGTAATGGGATATATGTAATATACATATATCTGTAAAAATCAAGTTACTGTCTAATTTTTCAAGCTATATGTACTGTTTAAAAATATAGCCTCTATCATTATCATTATCATTACGATATTGTTTTTGATAATCTTGCCAAAATAAGTGGATTTTAATTTTCACTTCTGAAATTGGAGATTTTAAGTAAACTTCATTAATGCAAAGCAACTTTAATTTGAAGACTAATTCTCAAAAAAAAAAAAAAACAAAAAACTAGTTCTGAAAAAAAAATGGACCTTCAGTTAGGGACCAAAGATAAATTTAGTAATTTTATAGTTTAAATCATTCAAAGAAAAATATTCATAATATAATAAGTTCCCATTCTGGTCCATCAACCGGGCCCCCAGGCATCAGGCCATCCCTGGCTTGAAGGTAGGGCTTCTCCAGGAACCTGTCCCTTTTCGCCCAGGAACATGTATGCCTCCTGCCTGGCCCAGGATGTTTGTGCTGAGGGGCGCCTGCAGGCCAGTGCCAAGCTGCCCTCAGCTCCCAACCCATTGCCCTCCCTTTGGTGCTCCTCAGTTGCCCAAAGTCCAGAGAATGCCAAGGCAGTAGGGGGCTGGCGTGTAACCACTGCCCTGAGCATGCGCACATCTGGCTGGGTTGCAGTAGCTCCCAGGCTCGGCCTCAAATTTGCTCCAAGATCAGAGCAGACACTGGGGAGCTGGAAGAGGCCAGGCAGTGAGAACAGGCACTTCCACACCTGTGGGTGCAGGGGACTTCCCAAGCCTCAGAGAGCACAGAGATGACCGGGTCCAGATCCGCGGCAGTCTCGGTGGCTGCAGCTGCGCCCAGGTAGCACAAGGCTCCCACACAGTAAATTCGGAGGTGGACAGGGCTTCCACCTGTTCCAAGCTCCTTCCCACTCAATGGAGCGCACAGCCCCCAGCTGCACCTCCCCATTGCAGCCGGCATCATGGCAGCCTGCTGCTCCAGGTGGACAGTGGCTGCCATCAATATGAGTAATGAAATATATAGCTAAAAATCAGAATATATAGTACCCTCAAACTGAGTGTACAGTACAATAATTTTTAATAGTAATGTTTTCTAATAATATATATTTTTAAATTATATTTCGTTATATCTGTTTGCATATATCTAGATATTACAAATAACATCTAGGATATAGAAATTGGATATTTATAATTATTTTGGTTGTGATTTTTTAAAAAGTTTTGTTATGTCTTTTCTGTAGTTATCAAGAATTATACTTAAAATTATAAACTAGCATACCAATACAAATTATAAATGAGCCTATTTTAGGGTTATAAAGTGTTATGTTTGACTTTTAATCATTTTTCAGAACCTATACTTTAAATTTTCTTTTATTTTTCCATCTCCTTAATATCCGTATCAAATAGGGATAAAATAATTGAGCTGGGAATTAAAAATCCCCAATTAGTATCTTAAATCAGCTATATTTTGTATGGCATTAAATGCCTCCTAGATTTATAGAGACTGAACTTAAAGCTAACGGTATGACTTTCCAAAATCTTAGTGCTTCTGCAATTGTTTACAATTTTCAAAGCAATATTTTTAAAGATAAATAAGATTAATATATTGTGAAAAAGTATTTTTAATAAAAATATAAAGAAGAAAAAATCAGCCGTGAGCTCACTCTTTATAAATAACTACCGGTAATAATCGCTTGAACTTCTTCCTTTTCTAATATGAATATATTCTTTAAAAAATAAGGTGGGATCCTGAGGGCAGGAATCAGATACATGATATATTCTCAGCAAACTTTGTTGAATTAATAAAACTTTTGCATATTCCTTAGTTTCCTCAAATTACATTCTAAAGGATTTTTCCATATATTCAAATATTCTTCACAACCATTATTTTTGAGGGAATATTCCATGTTCCTTCAGTTCTACCTAACCAAAAAAAAAAAAATTGTTAATTGTTTATTGTGTTCCTGAGTCAATCACCATATTTCGGAGGCAGATTGCAGACATCCCAATGTAAAATGTGCAATGCAAGAGAATGAATTGATTGGTTCATATATGTGAAAAACCTAGTGCCATATCATACTAGGTTACAATGTTGTCAGGTCTCCAGCTCTATTTCCATGTGTTTCTCCCATTTCTACCCTTGTCTATATGTAACTGTCATCCTCAGGCTGATCTTATAATAGCAAAAGTGCAGAAGCATCACACCACATAACTTCAGCTGCCCGAGCAAGAGAGAATTTCTCCAGTTATTAACAGTTAGAAGGGTGGTTACCAAGGGCTGGGTAGTGGAGGGAATGGGGAAATGAAGAAAGGATAAAAAGGATTCAAAATTTCGGTTAGACAAGAGGAATAAATTCAAGGGATACAGTGTACAACATGGTAACTATAGTTAATAATAATGTATTGTATACTTGGAAACTACTAAAAGAGTAAATTTTAAGTATTCTTACTACAAAAAATAAGAATGTGATATAAAACATGTTCTATTTAGCTTGATTTAGCCATCCTACAATGTATACATATTTCAAAACATTATGTTGTATACCATAAACATATACTTTTTTTGTCAAATAAAAAATAGTAGTACAAGAAATATTAGAAACTCCACTTTGAGTATGAAGAGGTCCTGCCTTTCTGTAGCCTAACTATCAGGATTTAGAAAGGAAGCCACTTCCCTAAACAGGAGTTCCCTCTTTATTCCAGGAATTTCTTGCCTAGGAAGATACAACTCTGTAAACTAGTGAATAATGTCATTGTTTGCTGACAGATTACTTAAGCTGCTCTCTGCTCAAGAAAACGTTTTGTTCATTTGAGCAAACAGCTGCTTTCTCAGGACCTAGGTGACTTAACTGAGCAAATTGCCTACTTCTCAAAACATTGCTTATTATCAAGGGTTGCTTCAAGGACTTCACTTATCTCTGTGCACTAATCTTAAATTATTATATCATAAACTTTGCTCCACTTTACTGAGATTCCTGTATTAAAGGGACTGGTTTAAACCACCAGTGCCTTGATCACAAAACCCTATTCTGACTTTCCTGTTGTAAAGTGTTACCCAGGCTCTGTGGAGATGATACTCTCCTTGGTATTATAGGAGTGAACTCAGCTTTCATGATCAACAGATACTCTTGTGGTCTTGGAAAATCTGTAGCTGGCACCTTTGAATTAAACCATTGCCAAGGATTCAGTGCATAGGTTGGCCAGCCTTTCTGTCCAGACCTAAATATCACTTTGGCAAGGAGAATGGGATTACTCTTAACAACCACAACATTTAATTTTTTAAAAAATTCTCAATTAAACCACCTTTATACCTCCGATCACACAGTCAAATTGGGTGACGTTTGAAAAGAAAACATCTTTGCATTAGTACATATCTAGCTGAACACTTTTAGAAACCATAAAAAACAGGAACGTAAATTCTAAATGCATTTTACTGAAATGCTTATCTAACTCATTATAAAATAGATTTCAGAGTGTTTAAATCACACACTATATTGGTTGATTGGTTTATATTCACTCATCGAAATATTATTTTAAAATATAAAAAAGTGCTATGGGTGGAAATGTTTCCAATAGTCTTTTCTTCAACCTGGGAGCTCATATATTTGCCAAAAAATAGATTGCATTCTGTCCTTGAAAGCGTTGAATCCATTTGACATATAAAATGCATTAGGTTTGAGTGGAGGCCAAACTTAGCAGAATGTTTTCACTCCTCCTTGCTGTTTAAGCCGGTGAACACATGACCTAATATACAATACATGGTTTTAGAATTGCTGTGAAATGTGTTATAAAACAACAAATAAACTGCAATATTTGTATATACAAATTTGATAGCATTTTAAATTGCTCTTAACAAATTTTGAAGCATTTAGAATTTTTCCTAAATGCTATTTTAGATATTATTGCTGTAACTATGTAATCATTATATTGTTATACATCAGAAATGTAAATGAAATAGTTAAAAGTGGCAACACTATTGTGTATCTTCTTTGGCCCTCTGTTTTCTTGAACACGTCTTTAGAAGATGTCTATTTCTTTCTGTGCTTATGAAAAAAATCATGGACTGAGAACACTTTTCTGGTCATCATTTTGCCCTTCAACAAGTGAAAGAAAGTGTGCAGTTGCTTAAATTGTTGGAATAACATTCAGTTTAGAAGTGGACATTTATCTAAAATCTACCATCTTCTGGAGATAATTTTGTATCTCTTGGAAAAGTTCCAGCCCCTGTGCTGAATGAACTCATGATTTAGCTTTGGAAGCAAAAATCCCAGCACATTCTAAAGTGAGATAAGCAATAGAGAAATAAATACACCATGTGCACTGGGAAGACATTAA
Organism: Homo sapiens; assembly: GCF_000001405.40. NCBI lineage: Eukaryota > Metazoa > Chordata > Mammalia > Primates > Hominidae > Homo > Homo sapiens. The sequence goes on from NC_000013.11 coordinate 104,487,334, forward strand.
AAAAACTATTTAATCAAGAAGAATAATAAAATATTAAAGTATTAGAACAGAAAGAAATCTGGGACATGCTCCTGCAGAACACTTGTAATTTCATAGGTGAGTAAAGAAAGGCCAAAGAGAAGGGGTTTATGTGAGGTGATCTCATTACTTCATGGCAGATATGAAACGGCAAAAATCCAGGATTCATTCTTCCTGGTCTATGACTTTTCTGTTAAACCTCAATCCTGTGTGAACCTGTTAGGTTAAATCCTTCATCAGTATTTGCATTGAGATTTCAACTTTGTCTTCTACAAACATTTCGTTTGATAGAATGTCATGTATGTCTTTTGGCAACAGAATGGGGTGAAGAGAACGCAACAGACCCAGTTCCTAAGTGAGGTTCATTTATGTCCTGCCCAGGAAGGAGTACTAAGACAGAAAAAAACATGACTTTAGAAAACTCTAATCTGTCACTTTGTGGTTGATTACCTTGTTTCTAACTGGATGGGAGAAGGGAACACTTGTTTAAATGAGAGTGAATTTATGGCCATATAAATCACTAACTAACTCTTAAGGTATCTTTCTCTCCGATCAGGAGAAAAAATGTCTACAAAGAGTAACCCAAGGCAATATTCAGAAAAGTTGATCTTCACCATGTCTCCTGATAGTTAGTTTAAAATATCATTAGTTTTAAATATACCTTTTTGTGATTATGTCAAAGTTTTAAATATACTTTTTTTGTGATCATGTCAAAAGTATTATATTTTAGCAGCTCAACTAAGAGAATTGCCTACATCTGAAATGGCATGCAATTATGGGCACATTGTCTATATTCACACACAAGCACATTCAACAGATAAATTTTATTTGCACATTACAGATGAAGATTGAAAATGTTAACTAAATTCTAATGCAAAACATGACAAAAAAATTCAAAATTACTCCAAGACTATGTATGCAAATATTCCTACAACGTAAGTGTTAGTACCAAAAATCTGTAGGGTTTCCTTAAAATAAATTATGCCAGTTCCAATAGTCAAAGTTGATTAAAGAAAGATGGAAGTTTACAAATGATCACAAACGGTACATATTAAATGAATGATTTTATAAAATGATAATTATGTGTACATTTAATATCAATAATTTGGTCATGAATATTATCCATAGTTTTAGAATGTGAAAAATTATAAACAGCATATATATATTTGTTATGAGTAGGAAAATCACATGTTAATGTGTATGTGTACATATATACACGTTAATCCAAACATAAATATACACACATATTTAGGAGGTATATATTTTGTTCAGATGAGTTCATAGCAAACATACAATATAGTGTATTATGTAGATTCAGTTAGTATAAAAATGTAATACCAGAGCCAGTAATTTATTCACATTGCAACAAAACAATTAAATTAAAACAACTTGATAATCATATACTAATTTCATTTTGTGATAACTTTACTTGTATTGCATTATTTAGTACAAATGTTCTACTTTTTCAATTACAAAAGATAATATGAAAAATAGCTGAGCTACAGGTGTATCCTGATAAGAATAATATAGAATAAGAATGTTACTGGCTGAATAATATCATGGTTAAATATTTTATAAAAACTTATTGAATCCTCACTGTGAACCAGGTAAGTTTCTAGGAGCTGGAAGTGCAGTGGAACATAAAAGAGCTCCTTTGCTTACAAGGAGCTAATATTATGTTTAATAAATAGCTCATTTAAGTTATCAATTTCGGGCAGGTATTAAATAGATGACTGCAATCTGAGAAACTGTAAGCTGGAAGGTCTTATGACCAAGCCCAGAGATGGGCTTCAAATGAAGACCAAGTGGCCCTGAGTTGATTACCTGAAAAAAATGTGGTTAAATGAAGTAGAAAATGGCCCAGGTGAGCTGAGAGACTTCTCTTTTCGTTCATTGTTCCTAACTGTCCTAGAAGACAGCCCAGGATTGGGAAAGCATTGTATTTAAAGTAGAATTGTTCACAGGAAGAAAAGTAAGGGAGAATGCAATTTAAAAGTAAATTTACTAAATACATTAAATAACTAGTATCAGAGTCTTGCAAGGTGTTATCATTGGTGGACACTGGGTAAAGGGCACACGGGATCTCTCTGCCTTATTTCTTACAACTGCATATGAATCTAAAATGATCTCAAAATAAAGAGCTTAATGTAAAAAGTAAATGAATTTAAGTATAAGTAAACATCCCTTACATGGTACTATCATTAGAAAATGGAGTCTATCTCAGATCATTCTTCCTGGAGAACCAAGTCCACTGGCTAAATGGGAATACCTTGGCCCATGTAGGCTCCATTTATTGATTTCTTGCCCATGCCCCGATTTGTGCCTCCTTTGCCCTTGCCTTCAGATTGCTGGGGGAATTTAGTTAATGGGAAGCACTGTTGAAAAATTGGAGTAGGAAAAGAAGAGAAACCAAGAATTTCTACCCTTCTCTTCTTGTCTTGGTGTCCTCTCACAGGTCTTACAGTCAGGTCCGCTGTGATTTCATCTTTCATCTTGTGCTTGGTGACTATAGCTTCTGGTCTTCAGTAATGTTATCTGTTTCTTTTGTTTAGTAGCAACTTAGAGGAGTTATTAAGCTTGGGGTTGCCTCATGCTCTGGTCTGATTGAGTCCCTCAGAATTTGTATGTTGAAACTTAGTGCCCAATGTGATTGTATTTAGAGGAGGAGGCTTTAGGAGATGATTACATCATGAGGTTAGAACTCTCAGGCATAGGATTTGTGCCCTGATAAAAGGGCTTGAGGGAATGAGTTTGGTCTTTTCTGCTCTTCTACAGTGTAAGGATACAGCACTTGTCCTCTCAAGAAAAAGCAGCATTTATGGTTCCATCTTGAATAAAAAGACTGGAGCTTCACCAAACACCAAACCTGTTGGCCCCTTGGTCTTGGACTGCCCAGCCTGAAGACCTGTAAAAAACAAGTTCCTGTTGTTTACAAATTACCCAATCTCAGGTATTTTGTTTCAGCTGTACGAACAGACTATGATATCTCATACGCCTGTGGCTGCTCTTTTGATTTTTGATTCCCTGGCAGAAACCTGTGGGAAATAACAGGGTAGCCAAAGTCAACTGAACTGAAGAAAACCAGTGTTGAGAAAGGGATCTTTAAGCAAGTGTTGTTGAAAAGTGCACAGAAACCGCAGATGTTTGGTTTATCAAAAGGAATATTTTCCTTTTTCTGTGTTCCCATAGTGTTTTATAGCATAGCTCTTACTACATCTTGTTTGTGTGTGTGCGTGTGTTGCCTTCTCCCCTAAGTACTCTAAGATTTGCTAAAGTATCTATATAAGGAAGGTTCTTAATACGTATTTGTAGAATTAATCAATACATTTTTATCTTCCCATAACTAAAATATTCTAATACTTTTTTTTAGAAAAACAAAAATTGAGTAAAACCAATTATTTAAATGCTCTATAAGCCTCCTAATTGCTGATCTGTATAAAATGTAATAAGAGCTCTACAAATTAAATTTATATAAATCAAGATTTTGTTACAGAGCAAATAGCATTTTTATATTAAATTTCTTAGTTCTCAGTTTGTTTCTTCAGGTCTTTAGGAACTGCATTAAAATAAAATTAGAGAACATGGTGCAGATGTAAGTGATTGAAGTTTTAAGTTTTTAAACAACACTGGTTAACTTTGTTTTTCTAATCGATTCTGCCAATCAACTAATTGTTTTTATTCAAATCATTTGATATTATCATAAATAAACCATAATTGCTCTTTTATTTTCTGTCCCGCCAACAGGCAGATGACAATAAAGTTGAATTCTGGAAATCTCCTCTATTCCTCAGTGGTATTGTTTGACACACCGAGTTTATCATCTTTATGAATAAAATTTGCCTACATGTACTAGAGAAATCATATATGACAGAATCTTGAGTAATATCCTTAGTGTAAATCTATGGAAGAATATTATATTTTAGAAAATAGTGTGCTGATCCTGCCTTGAGGCTTCTTCAGAATTACCATACATGTGACGAAGTGGCTTAGTGCTGTTAATTACTCTAAAGAAGATGTTAAATGTAATAGGAAAAAGGTCTTTGATATGGGCATCAAGAAAGGTAATATTTCGGATTAGACTTTTTCACTCATTATTGATGTTGTTTCAAATCAATGATTCCAAAGAGCACTCAACTACTCAGTTTTGTCAGTAAAATCCCAAGACATTAAAGCTCAAGATTTTTTTTTTTCACATTTAAGCTCATAGACATAATAGAAATATGAAATAGGCACTCAGATAGATCAGTTTGTCTCATATGGTTCTCCAAATTGGCTTCATTATTCTCCTTAATAAACAGACTCTTGTAGATTAGTGAAGGATGTGAAAGCAGTGTATTTGTTTTTACCAAGATGAGCAGTAATTCTTCTCATTTATTTTAAAATGCATCCAAAGGTTCATTTGGGAAGAACTTCCATAATTGGCATGTGTTAATCATACCAGAGTTAAACATGATGGGGAAGGCAGAGAAAGACATTTTCAGGGGAAATTAATTACATTTGGACTCTTTGGCAAGGGGATGATTAGAAAGAAAAGCCTAGCTGGAATGATGATAAAAAGCTTGATTTCTTACTCAAGAGATTTAGGAGGCAGTTTGAAAATTTCTTGAAAAGGTTTAAGGTTAACAAAAAAAACAAGCCAAACCTTTAGAAAATGTGATGGAAGAACGATTTCCATAATTTAAAATTATGTTAAAAACATGGGCACGTTTTCCTCTTGGCACGAACATTCAGACACAGTTTTAGCTGCCTGCCTGTTGAATACTTGGCCTTCCTAAAACAATCCATTATGTGTAATGTGTAAGCAGTGGCGAATGGTAACTATCATTACCAGGTGGTTATTTGCAATGCAAATTCTAAGTCCTAACTCATAGCTGGTAGGCTCTGGCAGTTGCCAAACAGCTGGGGTTTGAACCCTAAATCCGTAGTATAGACAGCAATGTAATTCCAGGAGAATTTCTCAAAATATATTAATTTTCTCCAATGTTATTCATTGTGATTATTTATAACACCAAAGAGCTCAAGGTGTTGTTAGAGACACCACAAAATTAAATCAGAAAGATACAGTCCTTTTTTTCTTAGAGAATAATTTTCAAAGAAAAAAATCACATACAAAATTATTGAAAATATGCATTAAATAAATTTACTGATTAAAAATTAAATTTTGCTCTTATTAGCCATATAAATACTAAATAACCACTTTTGGTCTGGCATTTGGCCCACCGTTCTAGCCAAATTATCCTCGAACATTACCAATGGCCTCCTGATTGAAACATTTTGTGTTTCCTTTTTCTCATTACTCTTATCCTTCAAGGTCAATCTGCGAGTACCACTATTGACCATCATTTCCTTCTTAAAATGCTTTCCTCCCCAGCTTCTATGATAATGAATTACTTAGATAGCCAGAATTTTGACTGCATATTCCCTTCTGGCAATATTTTCTCTTTTACCTCTTGAGTTTCTTCCCAAGGATGTTCTTTTGATTACCTTGCTTAATCTAATTTGTTCGGCATTCCTATACATTTCAATGGCCTTAAATGAGATCAGTGTAAGTGAATCATAAATATTTAGCCCTTGCATGCAGGCTCTCTCAAGCACAAATATCTACTTTTCTTCAACTTAATTTCAACTTGGGTCAAAATCAAATATATATTATTTTCTCCAAACCTTTTCAGCACCTTCCAGATTATCCCATGTCTGTTACAATACCAGTACTTTTTGTGAAGTAAGCCAGGATTGAGTTTTTAGGAGTCTCACACTTTCTCCATTTATTATTTGTCACCTAGTCTTTTTAAATTATTTTTAAAAATTCCCTCAACACTATGCCATTACTTCCTTCTGCATTTTCCTGCACTGTTGAATATGCCTCAATAAACCTCCACTCAATATAGGCCCATCAACATTTTTTTCATCCTGATTCTTTTACAGTGTCATACACATGCACTAGTTGGATTTAATTTTTTATTTTTTCTTTTTCATGTATTTATTTTTATTATTGTTATACTTTAAGTTCTGGGATACATGTGCAGAATGTGCAGGTTTATTACATAGGTATACACATGCCATGGTGGTTTGCTGCACCCATCAACCCATCTTCTACATTAGATATTTCTCCTAATGCTATCCCTCCCCTTGCCCCCCACCCCCCAACAGGTCCTGGTGTATGATGTTCCCCTCCCTGTGTCCATGTGTTCTCATTGTTCAGCTCCCACTTATGAATGAGAACATGTGATGTTTGGTTTTCTGTTCCCGTGTTAGTTTGCTGAGAATGATGGTTTCCAGCTTCCTTTGTGTCCCTGCAAAGGACATGAACTCATCCTTTTTCATGGCTGCATAGTATTCCATGTTGTATATGTGCCACAGTTTCTTTATCCAGTCTATCATTGATGGGTATTTGTGTTGGTTCCAAGTCTTGCTATTGTGAACAGTGCTGGAATAAACATATGTGTGTGTGTGTCTTTATAGTAGAATGATTTATAATCCTTTGGGTATATACCCAGCAATGGGATTGCTGGGTCAAATGGAATTCCTGGTTCTAGATCCTTAAGGAATCGCCAAACTGTCTTCAACAATGTTTGAACTAATTTACACTCCCACCAACAGTGTAAAAGCATTCCTGTTTCTCCACATCCTCTCCAGCATCTGTTGTTTCCTGACTTGTTGATCACCATTCTAACTGGCTTGAGATGGTATCTCATTGTGGTTTTGATTTCCATTTCTCTAATGACCAGTGATGATGAGCTTTTTTTCATATGTTTTTTGGCCACATAAATATTTTCTTTTGAGAAGTGTCTGTTCATATACTTTACCTACTTTTTGACAGGGTTGTTTGTTTTTTTTTTTCTTGTAAATTTATCTAAGTTCCATGTAGATTATAGATATTAGCCCTTTGTCAGATTGGAAAATTGCAAAATTTTTCTGCCATTCTGTAGGTTACCTGTTCACTCTGGTGATAATTTCTTCGTGCAGAAGCGCTTTAGTTTAATTAGATCCCAGTTGTTAATTGTGGCTTTTGTTGCCATTGCTTTTGGTATTTTAGTACTGAAGTCTTTGCCCATGCCTATGTCCTGAATGGTATTGCCTAGGTTTTCTTCTAGGGTTTTTATGGTTTTAGGTCTTAGGTTTAAGTCTTTAATCTATCTCGAGTTAATTTTTGCATAAGGTGTAAGGAAGGGGTCCAGGTTCAGTTTTCTGCATATGGCCAGCCAGTTTTCCCAACACAATTTATTAAATAAGGAATCCTTTCCCCATTGCTTGTTTTTCTCAGGTTTGTCAAAGATCAGATGATTGCAGATGTGTGGCATTATTTCTGAAGTCTCTGTTTTGTTCCATTGGTCTATATATCTGTTTTTGTACCAGTACCATGATGTTTTGGTTACTGTAGCCTTGTAGTATAGTTTGAAGTCAGGTAGAATGATGCCTCCAGCTTTGTTCTTTTTGCTTAGGATTTTCTTGGCTATATGGGCTCTTTTTTGATTCCATATGAAATTTAAAGTAGTTTTTTTCTAATTCTGTGAAGAAAGTCAATGGTAGCTTGATGGGGATGACATTGAATCTATAAATTACTTTGGGCAGTATGGCCATTTTCACAATATTGATTCTTCCTATGAATGAGCATGCAATGTTTTTCCATTTGTTTTTGTCCTGTCTGATTTCCTTGCGTAGTAGTTTGTAGTTCTCCTTAAAGTGGTCCTTTTTCTTTATTATGTGCATGTGTCTACCTGTCAAGGGCACCAGCATTTTAATTTTTATAAATAAATGTATGTACACACATTTATAATTATGTGTACATATGTATATATGTACATATGTGTGAGTTCACGTTTGTATATTTATATAATATATAATTTTTTCTTAGTAGATCATAAATTTCTTAATCCTGAGTTCACATTATAGTACTAATATGCCCTGTAGTATTAATATATTGAAAGACAAAGATATTGGCAGGCTACAAGTTGAGTGTTTGGAGGAAAAAATTGACATGGATGGAAGGATGACAAAATAGATTAAAATGTAGAAAAGCAAATGCACAGGATTTTTATGATGTTCTTAGGAGCTTAGGGAAGATTGCTATCCTCTATCAATCTGAGATAAGAAATTTACACAGTGTAATACATATATATATATATATATATATATATATATATATATATATAATGTCTTTCTCTTTGTTTCTTTGTTTCTTTTTCTTTCTTTCCTTTCTTTCTTTCTTTCTTTCTTTCTTTCTTTCTTTCTTTCTTTCTTTCTTTCTTCTTTCTTTTCTTTATCTTCTTTTCTTTTTTTTTATGTTTTTTTTGACAGTCTTGCTCTGTTGTGCCCAGGTTGGAGTACAGTGGCACGACCTCGGCTCACTGCAACCTCTGCCTCCCAGGTTCAAGTGATTCTCCCTCCTTAGTCTCCCAAGTAGCTGGAATTACTGGTGCCCACCATCACGCCCAGCTAATTTTTGTATTTTAAGTAGACAGGGGGTTTCACCATGTTGTCCCGGCTGATCTCGAACTCCTGACCTCAGGTGATCCACCTGCCTCGGCCTCCCAAAGTGCTGGGATTACAGGTGTGAGCCACCGTGCCCGGCCAGCACAGTGTAATGTTTTCATCAACAATTGAGGCTTATATTCATTAAGTAAATAATATAAATGCACAAGACCTGAACTTACTGGGAAACAAAAATGGAATGAGGAAGTCTGATACATCCTTTTAGAGATACACTCAGAAATTTTAACTATAAGAAATTAATGATACCATGATTAAGAGCTAGGATTAAATGTCATTCTGAGGTTAAAATTGTTACATTACCAATTAATTTTTCTGTGACTTTGGGGAAGTTATGTGGATTCTTAACTTCAGTTATCACATATATTAAATAAGAACAATAATAATATCTCCCCGAGTATCTTTTACTTGTTAATTTTGAAATAAAATAAACTGTTTACCACAACTTCAGCATAAAGTACGCTCTCAGGGAATGGTCGTTGTTACTGGATTGTCAAGAGACAGGCTCCCTGCCAGCTAGAGCTGATCAAATCAAACCATGCCCATTCTCTATTAATGAATGCATTATACTTTACTAGCATCACTCATTGCCAATCACTTTTGGTCACCAGTCTGTGAGCTGATTGTTACAGGATGCATGCCCTTTTTCTTCTCCTAGATATCTTCTACGCAGTCACATAGCCTGGCATGTTGTTGGTGGTAGAATTCCAAAAAAGAATTGTTGGATATTTTGTTATAAGTAAATAAATGAGATACAATAAGTATATATAAAATTATATTTCATTATATTTATATATAATTGTTTTATTTTATATATATTAGACATATATCTATATAATAAATGTATTTCATATAATGTATACACATAAAATATATAATATATAATATTTAATATACAACATTTAATATACATGTCTATAATGTATTACATACAACATGTAATAGGTACAAATTAATAAATGAATATGACTACATAAAATATATAAATTATAAATGTTTAAAGAATAATATATTAATTGCTCCTCTTATCACTAGTTTTCTCAATTTTTTCTAGTGATATTTTTCTAGAAAAAGACTAATTATGGCAAATAACAATTCAATTTCTCTATATTGTGTTTGCAAATTTAATGCCAAAGATACTTAGCAAGCCAGTTAATCTATAGAGTGTTCTCAACTTCCATTGTTTTAAATAGAGTATGCTATTTTTTTCACTATTTCATTTAAATTTCAATCAGCATGTCATGGCCAGCCCAACCATTAAGATGTTATGGAATGTAAAATGCAATTAGCACTCCAGTGATTAAATAAATGTTACTGTAGGACAACTAATCTTCTAAATACACTATAAAAACAGCACTGGCATAAAATAACAAGAGCATATTTGATCAAAGAAATTAAACTAACAGTTAAAAATTTTCTTTAAATTTATTGATTATTATGTGGTATGTCACATCCATATTGGTTCGTGATGATAATAATCTTAAAGTTCTGAAGTGGATGCAATGATGAGAAATTTAGAAAACAATTTTCCTTTTCCTCCAAAATTTTTCAGGTGTTAGAGCATTTCTACATCATCCAGCATGCCTTCGTATTTTTTTAAAAAGTCACTTCTTCATCTAGAATGTAATGCCAACTGGTTACTACATATATTTGGGAAATCCCTTCATTTTCATAAAACATAAAATAATTTTATTACAAAATTCTAAAACTGTAATATGTTTCTCATATGATACCTAATAATGTACCTATCCCATTTTGGTTTATTTGTAATGATGCACTTGGAAAAATGTTACAGTAAATGTTACCAACAATTAATCAATTTAGGATGAAATATTAAAATAAATTATGTTTCCTAAGAAAATCTCATGGAAATATTAGTTTATCAGTTTATCTCTTTTTACTGATATGTATCTACTGTCATTTAAAAATATAACTTTCTTATGAAGACCTCTGGTTCTGAATAGCCGATCAGTTTATTTTATGTTGATATAATTTGAGGTATAAATAGCATGTTCTAGAATGGATCATCCCAATCTTTTCTCCTTTTGTCTTTCCCTCCTTTCCTTCCTCCTTTCCTTCCTTCCTTCCTTCCTTCCTCCCTCCCTTCTTTCTTTTTCTTTCTGTCTCTATTTCTTTCTCTTCTTTCTATTGAATTCTATTTTTTGCTGTTTTTTAAAAAGCTAGTTCTTAATTTGTCCAATTTATGTTATTAAAAATCACAATTTTTATATATGAAAAGTTGAAAAACATTTGTGATTGAAAGCAAATTAGTATATGTAACCTTTAAATGTGCATATTGTAAGCTGTATACTATTAATGGGAAGGTCTCTTCCCTTCTCCTTGTTTTCTAATTAGTGATTCTAAGCATCCCAAGAAAAAATTCTTTGGCGTTGCTCCATCCGTCTCTTCCATCCCAAATTCAGTGTAATCTGCCCCAAGCCCCACCACTAACAACATCACCAACACAATCTTTATATATATATATATATATATATATATATATATATTTTTTTTTTTTTTTTTTTTTATGAAGAGATTTCCATTCTCTCTTCCAGATGCCTCTTGAATGCCGGCCAATATGAGGTTTGAGACAGAAGTATTTGAAAAATGTAACAACACTAATGGGATTCATAAAATTAGAAGAAATAAATAACTTTATAAGCTCTGATCTTAATAGAAGTTATTAATTAGATATTATTTGCTGAAACTTCAGCTGTGCTGCTTATTATATACAGTCTATGGAATTAATGATGTTGGCCTATTATTTCTTGCAAAGAACCCAATGGCTTCACTTTTATATTTGATTTAAAAATGTATATAGTGATCATCAGAGCATACCTAAAATCCTGCTACTCATGGCGTTATTAAATAATTAGCATTGTTTAAATAATTTTTGAAACACCAATTCTTAATGTTTGCTGCAACTCCATTTCCAGTGAAAAAGTGAATTTGGTATTTGCTTCAAAAAGATAATCATTGTATCTTGAATTTCATTTTTGCCTATTTCATTTTTATTTCCACTGGCATTCCATAAATACATACATACACACACACACACACACACACACACACAAATGTAACCTTTAAAAATTCAACCATGATTCAGAAGCAAATGGGGACAGAATAAGGTATTCATCCTGACAAATGCAAGATTTCTTAGCTTGCCATGAGCTTTTTTAGTTAAAAAACATACAGAATCTCAAGCCAGGTATACAGTCAAAATGATTTTCAGATGTTGACAGTTACATTCTTTTAAATGAATATAAATCTCTGCAAATAAATGTCAGCACTTTATACACAGAGAGACTGAAATTTGTATCATCTAGTAAAGGGAGTGATATGAAATAATGATTTACACCTCTAGCTATGAAATTCTTTGATGGAGAAAGTCAGATGCATTCAGTAGAAAATTCAAGAGTCATTCAGATCACTGTTGCCAGGAAAGATTGAGAAAACATATATTTTTAACTTTAAAGAAAAAAACTGTACAACTTTATAACTGTTTACCTGTCCTCTGGAAGTCATGGTATTATAGCTGATACAACACCATTCATTAATAAAAGCCACGATACAGGGATTTCCAGCTGCAAAGGGAACTTGTTTATGACATTTTCACCTGCTGTATATAAAGTTCTTATATCAGCAGTGCTATATTAAAATAGGAAAAATGGCAGGTTATTAATTTTGTGGACATGAATTTATTCTTCAGTTGTTTTAATTAGTATTCTGTTTTTCAAGTAATACTCATATGTATCTAAGTGTCTCCTAGCAATAGTATAACTAATTAAATTATTTTTTCTTCTCGATTTCAAATTAGTGGCAGGGGGAAATATTCCATTTCATTCTGAGAGAAATCACTCCAAAACTCTAATACTTGCCAGGCATACAGGCACACTGAATTTGCTATGTGACTTTATTAAGCATAATTGTACTATTTTCACAATCTCTGAACACACAATTATATATATTTATGAATATAAATTACAAACACAGACATTGAATGTTAAACTGTAGGAAGTCTGCATTACCATTCCTTAAATTAAATGAGAACGTTTGGTTTTTACAATCTTAAAACAAATACTATTTTTGTCCAGATTTCACTGCATGGGATGTATTAGTTCCTCTGAGCCATACACACATCTCCCATTGATTTATACAGAAATATTTAATATAGATGGAAAAGAATTTCTCATACCAGCTAGGAAGTATGGGAAATTATCTGTCTTTCCTTTACAGAGGACATAATATAAAGATTTTTCTTAGCAGCAAAGTGTAAATATATAATCTCCAAAATATAGTGAAATAGAAATACCCCAGAAAGTGACTCAAGAGATTAAATTGGTAAATTAAGTATTCCGGCACTCTCTACTACATATTTAACAAGACTTCTTAGGTGTAAACATTGCCACAAAAGTTTTCTCAAGTCCAAGGTAGTCTAATGGGTCTTGATGAAAATGCATAACATTCTCAGAATGAAAGATGCATCAGGATGCTTTGGTGGCCTCAGAATTGTGCTGAATAACTGTGTGGTATAGAAAGACGCTGGAAGGATGGAAAGGAAGGAAAACATAGCAAGGCAATACCGCTTCTCTCTTCACACTGTCTGTTTTTCAGAGGATCAATTTCTTTTTCCAGAGGATGATCAGAAAGATGAGTATACCCTTTCTGACATTTTCTACCTAAAGTAAGAAACGGGAGGACATTGACTGCATTGATTGCAAACCAGTCCTTATGTCCATAACCACTCTCATTGTCCAAGCATTAAAAGGAACTTTCATCTGCATGGTCTAAGTAAGAAGTATAACAACTGGACACCAAAACTATGTCTGCCCCAAGTTTTACCTTCTCCAGGATGGCCAACACATTCTTCTAACACTGGTTCGGCAAGTGACACCAAGCCCTAAAGAAGTTATTCTCAACCTGGGGTGATTTTGGGCCCCCTTCCCCCTAAGGGACATTTGACAATATCTGGATACATTTTTGGTTGTCTGTACTGAGAATGTGCGCTGCTGGTATCAAGTAGGGCAAGGCCACAGATGCTGCTAAACATCCTATAATGCTCAGAACACCCCACGTACAATAAAGAATTACTTGGCCCAAGATGGCAATTGTGACATGGCATCATTTGAAAGATATAAGTTAGAAAATATAAGGAGATTGTCAAGGAGGTAACATGGGGAGAGAGGAGGCAAGGGTAGAAAAGAGTGAGCATTTGTAGTTAAACTACAGGTGTGTAGGCACTATGTTAAAATCCATGGCAGGTATAAAAATTTTAACATGCTTTTTTTGGGGGGGATTCATAGTCTCGAGCTGTAGCAAACTGAATCTTGTAGTTTTCGAACTCTAACACGCTCACAAACCGTCATTCTGTGGAGTTAACAGGCAATATTTGTGAGGTGCCTCACATCTAATCAGAAGTTGAAACACAAAGCTGGGAAACTAATCACTACTAAGCATAAAATCTGTGCTAAAGAGAACTATGTTCATTTGGAAAACGGATAAGATATGGCAAAATAAAGGACAGCATAGAATAAAAGAGAAAATGATTTAAAATAGCATCTTATATAATTACATTTCATATTGAATTGTTAAAATGTTAACTTGTGAGTAAATCATGCCATATGTGTGTGTGTGTATATATAAACCTTCGTCATATATATACACACACATATAAACTTACATAAAAGACAGCTAAATATTGCTGTGAATGGGTCATATTAATGAATGTGCTTATGCTATGAAAAATTGCAAATTGTTAGACACAAAGAAAATTACATTTTAAAAATTATAATTTGGGTCCTAACTTGAGCAGCTCATTTTTAATTATGAATTTTCTTCTTCTCTTCCACGTGGCTTCTACTACCTTCCTTATTAGCGTATCTCGATTTGCTCTCTACCTTTGCTTCCCAAGCTACTCAACTGTAGCCAGCTTCATTTACCACGGCTAGCAGGAGATCTTGGGGCTTCAGTGAAAGCAAAACTTCAGGGATGGGCTCAGTGAAGCTCAACTTGGCTATTCTTTGATGTCTCCCTGCCTAGATAGGTCTCGTAACGATGAAGCCAAAGCCCTTCTTCCTCCCTGATATATGTGCTAAAAGATAGAGACAGAAAAATGCTGAGAAGAAAGAAAAGGCTGAGCAGTGGCTTCCAATGATCAACTAGATTCTTACAATGATGATAGAAGTTTATGTCTTCATTTTTACCATATAATTTAAGTTCTTTTTATGGTATATTACTATATGGTATATTAGTAATCTCATTGAACTCTTTTCCCATAAAAGCAGATTTTAATAAAATAAAAAGTCATTTATCATTTAAATTTAAGTGAGTCGAATGTCCTAGAAAAATGCATTACATCCTATTTAGTTGTTAGGGCAAGAAGAATTACTTATTATTTTGATACTTAAATTTAACCTGTGAAGAATTCAGTTTGTAGTGAAGCAGAATCCTCAGAGAGGAAGGATGATGGTACAGTCTATCTTGCCTTGTATATTAGGTTTTATTAAAGTTAAGCACAATTTGTTTCTTAATTTAATTTACTTACTTTGGTTACCTAGAGATAAGTAAGATATGTTTTTGATATCTTTATAATAGCCTTCCTGTTGGGACAGTGTAGATCTGAATAACCTTGGGGAAATAAATATACAAAATGTGTTTTAGGGGATGGAAAATCCAGCACGAGCACTTTTGTAAACTAACTTGTAACTTTCCTACTGTTTAAGCCTTGCCCATTAGGCTTTTATATTTTTAGACCTTGAAATTGTGTAACATAATTCTTGAAATAAAGGATTTCAATTTTAAGTGACAGCTTTGTGAAGAACTGGGTTTGAGTAATAATACTATTATTAATCTTGAAATCCTAAACACAATGTATTTAGTAAATTTTTGACATAAACAATAACTGTTTATGTCTATTTGAATTCCCTCCAAAAGAAACAGAGAACAGAATAAATTGCTGTTATATTTAGAAATCAATATTTAAGAGACTCTTTTTAATTAACCAAAAGTAGATGACTCAATTTAGATTTCATAGGATTGTTTTCTGATAACTCATGATATTATAATTCTCAAGCAGTTGAAGACTTGAAAACGATTGTTCTTGTTTGTGGGTTTTTCAGTATTTTAGTTTTGTATTTGTGATATCTTCACTTGTTAAAATATATTTTTTAATCTGTCATGCCTACATATGTAATAAACTTTAAATTAAAATAGTCCAAATTTGGTTTTGAGTTGAAAAAATTGGTTGAATAACAGATCCTGGAAATCAGGAATGCCATCCCAGAGTTTTAAAAGCACTGATTCAGCTCATTGGAAAATTAGCATTACCAGCTTATTAATAATTGCTAATCCTTGCAAGCAACCAAGGTGTCCTTTGATAGGTGAATAAGTAAACTGTGGCTGTGATACATCCAAACAATGGAATATTATTCAATGATAAGAAGAAATGAACTATTTAGCCATGAAATGATACAGAGAAACATTAAATGCATATTGCTATGTGAAAGAAGCCACCCTGTGAAGGCGACATCCCATATGATTCCAACTACACTACAGTACTAGTGGGCACATTTCGTTATACATTTGTCAAATCTCACAGAATGTACAAAATGCAGAGTGAAACCTGATGGAAACTATGGACATTAGTGAACAATAATATGTGAACATTGGCTCATCAATTATAACAAATGTGCCACACTAAATGTAAGATGGTAACAACAGGAGGTTCTTTGGGGGATGGTGAGGGGATATATGGGAGCTCTTTGCTTTTTCTGCTATTTTTGTTTTCTGTTAACCTAAAGCTTCTCAAAAAAAAATACGTATATATATATTAGATGTACATATATATATATATATATATATATATATATATATATATATATATATATATATATATAGGTTTTTATTTTTTTTTTCCTGCTTTAGGCCAGGCGTGGTGGCTCATGCCTGTAATCCCAGCACTTTGGGAGGCTGAGGCGGGTGGATCATCTGAGGTCAGGAGTTCAAGACCAGCCTGGCCAAGATGGTGAAACCCCATCTCTACTAAAAATAAAAACATTAGCTGGGCATGGTGGCGGATACCTGTAATCCCAGCTACTCGGGAGGCTGAGGCACGAGAATCACTTGAACCCTGGAGGTGGAGATTGCAGTGAGCCAAGATCGCACCACTGCACTCCAGCCTGGGTGACAGAGCCAGACTCCATCTCAGAAAAAAAAATCAATCTTAAAAGTTAAAAACATCAAAATATGCTAACATAAACAGAAGATTTATTAGAAAGAATATTCACCTAACTACTATAGTAACATCTGGCCTGTGGGTAAGTTAAATTCTGAGACATATTTACTTTTTTGCTATGTGAATGGAATAATATTCTATAATTTTGTTTATAGGAAAATGTATTCTTTAGAAGTGAAATTAAAATGTATTGATGCATTTTCTTGATTCTGCTACCAGCGAAAAAAGCAAGTGTTAATATAAATTATATTTTACTTGTATTCATAAGCTTCTATATTTAAAGCAATGTTTCTAATTCCAATAATACATTGCTTCTAAAAGTAGTAAATTATTTTTATTCAAGAAAATTAAATTGTCATTTTACTTAAGTGAATAGCGGCTTATGGGTAAGAAAGACAAAATGGCAAATTTGGTTAAGATATAAAGTTTGATATATAAAACAACACAGTAAAATAATTTAACATAATGCATTAATATTTCTGAATCATTTATATTTGTATGCTTTAGAATTTTCCACTTTTTATTATTTTTATTGATTTTATTTACCAATTTTTGTAAACAACCATAAGTATAATTTTTACCACAGTAGAATAGTAGTTTCCTTCTTGATTTTGGCTTTCTATTTGATATCCCTGAATGATTATAAATCAATGTAAACTGAGCAATAACACAGAAAACTATGATGATAATATTTAGTAATATTATAAATAATATAATGCTGTCATTCAAAAATTCATATCAACACATATCTTAGTGATAATGCAAACTAATTTTTATTACTTTAAATATGATTTCAGGAAGACTGGTACATCTAATATCTTCTAGCAATTATGTTTTCACAGTACATGTTCATTATAATTTCAAATACAATGTAAGTGATCTTCTATAATTATTTCCTGGGTGTCCACAATCTAATTTTGGTGTATTCAGCAAGTAAGTAGAGAATGGATGTGAGGTCAGTGAATGTTTACTTTGATGTGATTATCCCGTGTGTGTGTGTGTGTGTGTGTGTGTGTGTGTGTGTGTGTGTATGTGTATGTGTGTGTAGTAACCAATTTTAAATAGGGGAACCTGACTGATGTTAGAACCCAATTGAAATTCATTTTCTCTCTCCCTGTGTCTCTCTGTTTCTCCCCTCCCAGAGAAGTACCTCTTCTATTTCTTAGTCATGTGATACTGGATAATTCCCTTTACCTTTCTGAGACTCAATTTACTTTTACATAAAATGGCCTTAATAATGCTTTATCTGTATTACAGATTCAAGTTTGACACTGGATGGATTGCTATAAAAATATTTAATCTCATATATCACATAAAGACAAATAATTACTCCTAATCTTGAATAGTGAATACTTATTGTTACTACTGTCAGTGCCTATTCACCTGTGACTGCACTAGGATATTCAGACAGGTAATAGAGGTATGACAGAGATCTGCTCTAGATGACAAGCAGATGTCTCAGTAAGTCAGGAGTATATAGAGTCAAGAGAACCTTGGAGAAAATAATAGAAGTCTAAGAGGCCAAGAGTTGAGATCAAGCATAGGGGCAACAGGTGATGATGACTTTGTAATAAACAGTGAAGTTGGCAAAGCACATGAACCAAAGAAAACATGCAAGCAGCCAACAAGTCTATTAAAAATGCTCAACATCATTAATTATTAGATAAATGTAAATCAAAACTACAATGAGATAACATCTCATGCTAGTCAGAATGGCCATTATAAAAAAAGTCAAAAAATAACGGATGCTGGTGAGGTTGCAGAGAAAAGGGAATGCTTAGACACTACTGGTGGGAATGTAAATTAATTCAGCCACCGTGGAACGCAGTTTGGAGATTTCTCAAAGAACTCAAAGCAGAATTACCATTCGACCCAGCAATCACATTATTAGATATATACCCAAAGGAATATAAATCGTTCTACCATGAAGACACATGCACACATAAGTTCATCGCAGCAAAATTCACAATAGCAAAGACATGGAATTGGCCTAGATGCCCATTGGTGGTAGACCAAAAAAGAAAATATGGTACATTTACACCATGGAATACTATGCAGACATAAAAAATCCTAGATAATGTCCTTTTCAGCAACATGGATAGAGATGGAGGCCACTATCCTAAGTGAACTAATATAGTAACAGAAAACCAAAGGCCACATTTTCTCACTAAACATTGAATACATATAGGCACAAAAAAGGAAACAAGACACTGGGGCCTACTTGAGGGTGGAGGGTGGGAGGAGGGTGGGGATGGAATACTTACCTATAGGGTACTACAAGTATTACCTGGGTGGTGAAGTAGTCTGTATAGCAAACTCCTCTGACATGCAATTTACCTATATAACAAACCTGTACATGTACCTCTGAACCTAAAATAAAAGTGAAAAAAAAAAAAAAATAGAGTGATGTTTAGGAGAAAGCCTGAGATCCACAGTATCCCTTGAGGAAAGACAGCATATTCTGGTATTCATTAAGAGTGTATACTGGACAGAAGAATAAAGCAATGAAAAAAAGTTAATAAAAGTATTAACACAGGAATTGCCAATTAAGAAAAATCAAGTGTCTTCTTACTTTAAAATTACTCATTATTTCATGCTTCTAAATTTTCCTGATATAAATCTAAAATGTATAGTACCTTATTAGAGATCTTAAATAAATAATAGCAGTGCTTAAATGTTAGATTGAATTTGTATATAGCAATGGCTGTTTTAAAGACATTACAGAGATAACTGAAAAACACCCAGACACACACATACACAAGTGCTGGAGTATGTGTTGTCACAGTTTGTTGCTTTGACAAGGGGAAATCAGATTTCATTGTCTTTTTAAAATATGGCTTAGTTTTAAAAATACACACTACTTAAAAACAACCTCAGGAGGTGGCTAGAATCAATTGTGTAAAGGGATGTTTGTATACATGTAAAATTTCTTCATTTCAAGTATAATAACATTGACCATAACCTCTGTTGTCTGTGTTTAATGGCGATCAGAGAGATGCACCCAAAGGAATGGATTGAGTACTTTAGAAGAACAATTACATTTTATGTACCATCTTTTAAAAAGTGATATTGAATTTTTTAATGGTCATGAGGTCAGAAATCCAAATTATTTATTTAGCTAAAATGATTCAAAACAAAACGTTTGATGTTTCCAGGCACAAAACCTAGCTTGTGATTTCAGTAAAGTATCTGGGAAATAGTAGCCATTTCTTCAATAAAATAACTTGATTCTTCAATAAAATAATAAATACATCTGTGGACAAATGAGAATAAAAAGGATATTTATTTCTTTTTTAAAATAGATTCATCGGGTGCACATGCAAGTTTGTTACATGGATGTATTGAGTGTTGATGAAGTTTGGGCTTCAAGTGTATCCATCACCTGAATAGAGAACATTGAACCCAATAGGTTATTTTTCACCCCTGTATTCCTTACTACCCTTCCTCCTTTTGGAGACCCAGTATCTCTGATTTCCCTCTGTAGGTCCGTGTGTACCCACTGTTTAGCTCTCACTTGTAAGTGGGAACACACAGTATTCGATTTTCCATTTCTAAGTTATTTCACTTAGGATAACGGACTCCAGCTCCATCCATGTTGCTGTGAGAGACATGATTTCATTCTTTTTTATGGCTATGTAGTATTCCATGTTGTATTCTATTTAGTATACCACATTTTCTTCGTTCAGTCTCTGTTGATGGACACTTACATTAATTTCATGACTTTGCTATGTGAATAGTGCTGTGATAAACATACAAGTACAGATGTCTTTTTGTTACAAAAAAATTTCTCTCCCTTTGGGTAGATAGACACCCAGTATTGGGGTTGCTGGGTCAAATGGTATTTCTATTTTTAGTTTCTTGAGAAATCTCCATACTGTTTTATATAGAGGTCGTACTAATTTACATTCCTATCAACAGTGTATAAGTGTTTCCTTTTTCCACATTCTCACCGACATCTGTTGGATTTATTTATGTATTTATTTTTATTTTTTACTAACAGCTATTCTGACTGGTATAAGATGGTATCTCGTTGTGGTTTTAATTTGCATTACTAATTTGCATAACTCTGATGATCAGCAGTGTTGAGCATTTTTTCATAAGTACAGTGGCTGCTTATGTGTCTTGTTTTGACAATGTCTGTTCATGTCCTTTCTCTCTTTTTAATGGGGTTATTTATTGTTTTCTTGCTGACTCTTTTTGACTTTGTTGAAGATTCTGTTTATTAGACCTTTGTTAGAGGCATAGTTTGTAAATACATTCTCCCCATTTGTAGGTTTTCTGTTTACGCTGTTGAGTATTTATTTTGATGTACATAAGATTTTTAGTTTAATTTAGTCCCATTTGTCTATTTTTGTTTCTGTTGCATTTGGTTTTGGGTCTTAGTCATCAATTATTTGCCTAGCCCAATGTTCAAAAGGGTTTTTTTCTAGGTTTCCTTCTAGGATTTTTAGTTTCAGGTCTTACATTTAAGTCTCTAATCCACCTTTGGTTAATTTTCATATGTGGTGAGTAATAGAGGTTTAGTTATGTACCTAAGCCCTGGAGATTATGAACCTCACATAAATATGAGACTCAAATGCCTAATAAAAATAGTAAACACATTGACTCAGGAGAAACTAGAGGAAAAGAAAATGATTTATACTCAAAAACCAGATTTAGCCATGTACCAAGAATATATTGTAAAAAACTTTTCATTTAATTAAAATTAAAAAATAAAATTATCTAGAGGAATAATTTTTACTGAATTTTTACCCGACTCTGGTGGAGAAAAGCCTAAATAATTTAAAAGATCTTGGCCGGGCGCGGTGGCTCACGCCTGTAATCCCAGCACTTTGGGAGGCCGAGGCGGGCGGATCACGAGGTCAGGAGATCGAGACCATCCCGGCTAAAACGGTGAAACCCCGTCTCTACTAAAAATACAAAAAATTAGCCGGGCGTAGTGGCGGGCGCCTGTAGTCCCAGCTACTTGGGAGG
Source organism: Homo sapiens (assembly GCF_000001405.40). Lineage (NCBI taxonomy): Eukaryota > Metazoa > Chordata > Mammalia > Primates > Hominidae > Homo > Homo sapiens. The sequence continues at coordinate 104,509,049 of NC_000013.11, forward strand.
CTGAGGCAGGAGAATGGCGTGAACCCGGGAGGCGGAGCTTGCAGTGAGCCGAGATCCCGCCACTGCACTCCAGCCTGGGCGACAGAGCGAGACTCCGTCTCAAAAAAAAAAAAAAAAAAAAAAAAAAAGATCTTGGATGTGTAGCAACACAACAAATTATGTATTCCTGTTTCTAGATTGTACATCGGAGAAAATAATTTTGTTCTATGCCTTGTATGTAAGGCATACAAGGTCTGGCAACAAAGCAAAATATTCAGATAAGAAGGCACATGATATATTCTGCCTTTTATGGTAGGTTTTACTTAACTTTAGCAAAACTGGCTTCACTATTTAATCTACTTTCTTTGTTTTTTAATCTGATGCCAATTTCAATTTACAGTAAAAGGGAAAACCTTGGGCAAATTGCCTCTGTTGGGCAGCATATAGGTATCATTCCATAACTGATTATCTTTGGTTATTTATCTCAACTGGTTAGAGGAAGTTTTTAATAATGTTTAAAGGGGCTACAGATAGATAAACTGTAAATACAGAGATTATTCTTATGTTTACACAAGGATATAGGATAATTATATATTCCATATCATAAAACAGTTTGACAAATTCAAAGTAGTTCCAAGGCATAACTGAAATCATTCAACATAATGAACAATGTGGAAATGGGACTCGTGCTTGGGCCTATAATAGTATTATTTTGTCTCAGCGTAGGAGGAAATTTAGGAAGACCATGCTATTTTCAAAGGTAGCTACAAGTGCTCATATAGAATTTTTTCAATTGGATTTTGCTACTCCTCCTGGGAAAGATAGAGTATGGTTCTCTTTGTAAATCTGGCCTGGGCAGATGGCTCGCCTAACCAGTAGACCATGGCAGAAGTGATGCTATACATATTCTGGATGCGGGTCTCAAGGAGCCTTATATGCTTGTGCTTTCTCTATCTTAGAACACTGCCCTGAGACCCACCATGGAAGAAAACTGGGCTAGTGTCCTGGCAGATGAGGGGTCCCATGGAAGAGAAGTGAGGAGTGTCAGGCAATTGCCTATGCACATGGCCAGATACCTGACAAAGGCATGCTGGATCTCAGCTCAGTCATCTTGCAACTACATTGCTATTTTTAAACTGCTACAAATTAGGGTACATTTTTATGCAGCAATGGCTAACTGAAGCACTGAATCCTAATAGATTTACTTAGGTTACATTGATCAAATTGAAAACAGCTAATGTAGAATGTTATTAAAAATAATGTATTGATATTTTGGCTTTCTGTAATTTTGCACTTTCTAGAACATGTATAGAATATGCATTATTCCTTACATAGATGCCTCTCTTAAGGGAAAACTGTGTGAGTGTGTGTGTGTGTGTGTAATTCTAGATTATTACTATATATATATAATTGTATGCAGGAAATGTAGCTTTTTTGGTTAGTTTTTATATTTTTAAGGCTACAGAAAACAATTATACTTGAAATGCTTTAAGCCTTTGTATTCAGTAAATATTGACCTTTTCTGAAGCCAAGGGTTTGTTTATGACCTGCCTGGAACTTTCTGACTAGTGGGCATTTGTGGTGGGTACCGTGAACCAAGGGCTGTTATCAAACACACTTGAGTAGTTCCCATGTCTTTATCTAAGTCCGTAACTTAGCCAAAGGCATTTCTGTAGTTCATTAAATTGGCTTTTTGACCAGCTCAGAGTCAATGAGCAAAATGCTAGATAATTGACAGTGCAACCAGAGAAAAATCATTCTTCAGTAAAAAGCTGGTAGAGAGAGAAACCTTGAGTTAAATCCTCCGGTCATGTTTGCGCTCAGTTCATTAGGGTGACCCCAAAAGACTTTATTCACATGGGGCCACAAGTGCATTTTTGACATTTTTAACATTTGGAATCGGCTGTCGTATTGTGCAAAATACTCTGTTCTAATTTAGAATACTTCCAAAAAACCAGAGGAACAATACGATTGGTTTTCCTCAACTGGTGAACCTTCATGAGCACACACGGACATTGTAGATGTGAAAAGCCTGAAGTCAAAAACGCCCAGCCATGCTGATACTCCTGGGTAGCCTGGTGAAAAATATCTTGTTATTTTCTTTTACCTTTTTGCTTGATAATGATTTAGAAATAAATTTACTTTAAAAATAATTAAACTGGATGATTAAGTTAGGTTTCTAAATAAGATATTATTTTAGACATTCTCAGACTCTGCCCAGTATCTTCAGGAAATTTTGAAAGTGGCTATATTTTTGAGACTTGATTCAATGTAAATATCAAATTTTATTCTTCCATGTATATGTTGGTTCAAATCAATTATCTTATGGCTAAGATCGTACCAAAACTTGTCTGTGACGATCATCATTTAGGATTTGAATACTAGCTATGAAAATGTTTTTGGCAAAATTGGCATTATTTTCTTTTTTCTTTCCACTTTTTAAAAGATTATACAATGAGCATGGACCAAGATACTAATTACCAGTTCATATGTTAATACTTAAAAGATCTTAGGTGGTTACAGATTTTACTGAGTTTTAAATGTAATTTCAGTTTTATTGTGTTTTTATTTTTATTTCTTTATTTTATTATTATTATACTTTAAGTTCTAGGGTAAGCAATGTGCACAACGTGCAGGTTTGTTACATATGTATACATGTGCCATGTTGGTGTGCTGCACCCATTAACTCGTCATTTAGCATTAGGTATATCTCCTAATGCTATCCCTCCCCCTTCCCCTGACCTATTGTGTTTTTAAAACTTGTTTTCCACAAGCTTCTATTTTACTGTTGAAAGAAATTAAACTTTAAATCAATGTACTTTGTTTCATACAAGGACGAATTCTGAAAATTTGATCAGGTTTGTAATGTAATGGTCTATTTTTGTATTCTTCTAAGTAGAATATTTCTACAGAAGAAAGTGAGAATATTGACTATGAATAAAACTAAGATGAGAAATTGTCTAGAGTATTTTCAGTTTTGCATGTAACAATTGCAATCCTTTTTTTTAAACTGAGCAATACATCTTATTATTGGAAGAAAAAGAGAAAGAATTTTTTTTTTCCCCAGAAAAAGAGAACAGAATCATGTAGGAGAGAAAAATTCCTCTTTTAATTAGATGACACCAGTTTAGTTGTTGGGGCCTAGCCAGACTGTAAGCTTGAGGTTTTCTGGGCTATAGAATTAGTTTATTTTCTAACTCCACAACTAAATTTCAATTAAAAAGTGAATTGAATTCAATTAAGTTGAATTCAATTTAGTCCAAAATGTATGTACTGAATGTACTGACTTCCACAAGAAGCTATGAGAATACACCAAATAATGCACTATTTTTCACAACCCAGTACTCACAGGAAAATGAAAAAAAGTGCCACATGGTTTCAGTAATACATGTTCCTCAAATAACATTTATTTTGCAAATAAGTAGTTGGTACCTATTATTTTATTAAGCCTAAGTTTTAATAAATTTAGTATTTAAGAAGAGGCAAAAAGCACAAAACATGCTGTAGCTTCAAAATTACTACTAATTTATATTATCATTAAATGCTGGAAAAGAGGTATTAATACTGGTTCACTTATCCCATCAAACATTACTGTAATGAAACTTTCTTAACTTTCATTAAGCCTATGAAGTCTATAACGTATGGAAAATAATGATAGAATTACTGATATATAAAATATTAATTTTATGTTCCAAATGATTAGCATCTTTTAAAAAATAATTAAAGTATATTCAATGCTAATTTTGTTTTTTTTAAATGTCACCCAAAATATTCTTTGACAACAGCTGCTTTAACTTTTTTTTATTGTTGGGACTAACAACAGTCATGTAAAAATAAATAGGTATAGAAAACACATTTTTCCTACTTTCAGAAAATAACATATTATTTAACCATAGAAGAAATACTTTTTCAACATTTTTTTACTTATTATTGCAGAATGCTATGAAAATGCTATATGTTTTAGAAACTTATAAAATTATGATGCAGATATATTCCGATATGATCCAATCAGTTTTATAAATATACATAGATGTATAAATATATGTGTGTTTGCGCATGTCTGTATATTCGTGTATTTAAATTACACTTGCATCTGTATCTATGTCTCTCTATATAAATCTATAGATTTTAAAATAACCTCACATAGCCAGTGTCACTCTGCAGAATTTGGGGAACTTTGGGAAAGCAGAGAAAAAGTTCAAATTGTTCCCATATTCTGATACCCAATTCAAACATGATCCATTCCATCAATCATTTCCTAAAGTCTCAGCGTTATGCCTTCCAGCCTTTGGATGTTGCTCTCCACCTTCACGCCACATAGCATGTGAACAGAGGCAGTCAGCTATGGGGAAAGTATATCTCTCTACTGTGAACTACCCTAAGTATTTCATCTATATTTTATTAAGGACTTTTATCCTCATTTTCCTTGCACTAAAGTTCAGTGCAGATTTATCTAGCTGCCAGCAAATAAGTTTAAAAAACCTTGATATCCAATTATATATACCTCAATACATAGAATGGACTTTTAAACACAGTGTAGTCAATACAATTTTTGTGATATACCTTGTGTGCACTACCTTATTTAATCCTGACAAAATTCATATAATGTAGCTTCTATCATTATATTCAGGTTGAGAGAACTAATGCACCAAGAAATTTTATGTCCTGTACCAGGATATGAGAGGCTAGGTTTGAACATAGTGAAGTTCAACTTTCTATCTCTGTTCTTGTTAGAGATGTATTAATGAAGACAATTCCCTGCATAATCTATATTATGTAAGTAAATTGCAAATAATATTTCCTTAAAAATCCTAACCCATCATTTGCATGCTGTGCTAACTTATTGCTTGAATATATCTTTTCTAACCAATCTGAATTGAAGTTATCTAACATCAGTCTCAATCTTTTATCTAAAACTTTATCTTAATATAAAAGACATAAAATTATTCTTAAGCTGCAATGTTTTTATGCCATGGGACTACATTTTACAAGAATTATGATTAATTATCAATAATATAATTCATGATTTTGTAAAAAATGTTCAATCTACAAATTCAATAAATAATTGATTAAAAACTTAATTATGCATGCCTGTGGGCAAATACTCAGTCTCAAGTCAGCAATTTTGGTGACATAAATTAGCAGAAATTTCCAAAATAATACGCTAGAACCCTCAAACTGTCAGTAACATTCAAAACATGTTCCAGTTGTGTTATTATGGGATAGAAGCAAAAGCAGATAGATTACAGTAAGCTACAATTTTGACATTGTACTGGCCTTAGGAAATTGTCAGACTTTCCATACCAGCCAACAAATAGAATCAAATGGAATTGGGAGAAGAATCAAGAACTTCTGGCATGTTGTCTTGTCCAAGGACTCTAGTTCAGTCCTACATTTTGATGAGTATGCTTTTCTACATTACAACACATTTTTTAAAATACTGTGCTGTTTACTTGTTGGAGATAATCCTTGCTGCAGTGGTTAAGAAAAAGATTGGATCATCATTATTGCTAAAACAGCTACTAACACCGTTGTTCCTAAGCAGAGGTGGCCACTCAGAGAATGGCATGGGATCATGACAGAAAGCCTACACCTGTACACAAGTTCCTTTCCAAGGAGGTTGTTAGGGAAGAGATTGCATCAGATTGCCACTGTGTCTCAGCTTCCAGCAGTTCCTGGGGGAGTTAAGCCCTAGCTGCCCAGAGCAGGGTACAGCTGGATAATGCATGCTATCACTGGTTTCACTCCCTTCCTACGTCAGCTACTCTTCCTTTCTTCCTGGGAAAACTTTCCAATAAGTAACCTGGACATAAATTCTAGGGCCAGACCCCGAGACAGGGCTCCGTCAAGTGACATCGGGAAACCTTAGAGATCATTTAGTCATAAGATTTTTCAGGAATGGTAGTAATGCTTAAAAAACATTTTATGGGATTTGCATGAATTTGGTTATTGTCAGAAGCAGTTAGTGACATACCTGGAAAGCAATGAGCACAATTTGGAGGGAGTGGTCAATACAAAGGCTGTAATTGATGGGGATGAGCAGAGCTAATGTTCAATGGGCACATGCCATAATGCTCGTAAGAACATACCAGGCTTTTATAGACAATTTGTGTTTTTCTTGGTTACTGCTAAGGCCCTCTTAAATGGAATGACACATCTAATAATGAGTAAGAAAATATTCAAAGCAGAAGATGCCAAGGGAAAGTACTTATGAGGACTCTTGAATACATAGGGCGCTGCTGAGGAGCTTGGGCTCATAAGATGGAAAATGAAAAGGAGTAGCAAAACCAATGAACAAACAATAATGATGAGAAATATTGCCTAACTTGCCTTCCAGAGTCGAAGCCTAACTGTGATATAATAAAAAGATAAAATATAGATGTGATTAATTATCAAACCTATAAAAATAATGCACATCCACTGAAGAAGATATGAGAACCACAAAAGGGAGGAAATATTAGCAACAAAGCACAATTTTCATAGTTTTCAGCACTCAGAAAGTGATTAATTTTCTTTCTCAATTCTAAGTTAGAAAATCCCTATATAGTATGGTTCAGAAAATCCACATATGATATAATCAGTTCAGGTAAGAGGGAATGTGTCACCTCAAATATGTCCTATGGATCAGAGAGGGGCAGTTCTCAAAACAAAGATAAGGTGTTGTAGAGAAAACATATGTGGCCTTCACAAATCCAGTCTTTCTACTATGATTGTTTTTGTTTTTAACGTTCCTGCAAAGTTTAAAAAGTTAGCTTTATTGAGGTAAAAATTACATGTAATAATATTCACTAATCTAAGTGTTTTTGATGAGTTCTAATGAATACATGTAATCATTCTACCACCACAGTACACAAAATATAGCATTTTTATCAGTGAATAATATGATTTCTTATAACAGTTTTCATTCAGTACTTTGCCCCATCTCATTCTGTATCAACCTTCATTTTCCTTATAGTTGTGTCTCTTCTAAATTTCTGTATATATGTAATCACACAGAGTATAAGCTGTTACCATTTTTTGCACGATAACAAACAAAAAAGCTTATATTGACTTATAATGAATCTCAAGACCATTATACCATTTAGCATAATGGTTTTGACAGTCATTATTCATAATACATTATTGTGTATATTAGTAGTCTTTTGTACTTATATTGCTGATTAGTATGTTTGGAAGCGGTTCCCTAACTATGGGTTCATCAACATAGTAAAATCATTTTTCCTACCTATACATTAAAATTTGTACTGAAATGTTTATTTAAAGTATTTATTTAAAGTAAAAAATTATCTTTTCTAATTTTAATTTAAAGTAAAAAGGTATCATTGTAAACCACGTTATGCCACAATAAGTAAAGTTCTTTTTTTTAACCTAACAAATTTCTTTTTTTAAAAAATTTTTTTTAAGTTCTGGGGTACATGTGCAGGATGTGCGGGTTTGTTACGTAGGTAAATGTGTGTCCTGGAGTTTGCTGCACATATCAATCCATCACCTAGATATTGAGACCAGCATGCATTAGCTATTTTTCCTAATGCTCTTCCTCCCCCAACCCTTTGCCCTTGACAGGCCCCATTGTGTGTTGTTACCCTCCCTACATTCATGTGTTATCATTGTTCAGCCCCCATTTATAAGTGAGAACATGCAGTGTTTGGTTTTCTGTTCCTACGTTAGTTTGCTTAGGATAATGGCTTCTAGCTCCATTCATTTCACTGCAAAGAACATGATCTTTTTCCTTTTTATGGCTGCATAGTGTTCCATGGTGTATATGTACTACATTTTCCTTATCCGGTCTACTATTGATGGGCATTTGGGTTGATTCCATGTCATTGCTATTGTGAAAAGTGCTGCAATGAACATACACATGCAGGTATCTTTTGTAATAGAATGATTTGTATCCTTTTGGGTATATACTTACACGTGGGATTGCTGGGTCAAATGGCATTTCTGGTTTTAGATCTTTGTGGAATTGCCACATCATCTTCCACAATGGTTGAACTAATTTATACTCCTACCGAAAGTGTAAAAGCATTCTTAATTCTCAGCAACCTCGCTAGAATCTGTTGTTTCCTGACTTACTAATAATCGTCATTCTGACTGGCATGAGATGGTATCTCACTGTGGTTTTGATTTGCATTTCTCTAATTATCATTGATGTTGAGGTTTTTTCATATGTATGTTGGCCACATGAATGTCCTCTTTTGACAAATGTCTGTTCAGGTCCTTTGCACACTTTGTAAAGGGGTTGTTTTTTACTTGCAAATTTGTGTAAGTTCCTTGTAGATTCTTGATATTAGACCTTTCCAGATGGATAGATTGCAAAAATGTTCTCCCACTCTGTAGGTTGCCTGTTCACTCTGATGATAGTTTCTTTTGCTGTGCAGAAGCTCTTTAGTTTAATTAGATCCCATTTGTCAGTTTTCGCTTTTGTTGCAATTGCTTTTGTTGATTTTGTTGTGAAATCTTTGCCCGTGCCTATGTCCTGAATGGTATTGCCTAGGTTTTCTTCTAGGGTTTTTATAGTTTTAGGTTTTACATTTAATTGTTTAATCCATCTCGAGTTAATTTTTATGTAAGGTGTAAGGAAGGAGTTGCTTCAATCTTCTGCATACAGCTAGCCAGTTCTCTCAGCACCATTTACTAAATAGGGAATCCTTTCCCCATTTCTTGTTTTTGTCAGGTTTGTCAAAGACCAGATGGTTATAGATGTGCAGTCTTATTTCTGAGTTTTCTATTCTGTTCCATTGGTCTATGTGTCTGTTTTGTACCAGTACCATACTGTTTTAATTGTTTAGCTTTGTAGTACAGTTTGAAGTTCTGTAGTGTGATGCCTCCAGCTTTATTCTTCTGCTTAGGATAGTCTTAGCTCAAGCTCTTTTTTGGTTCCACATAAATTTTAAAATAGTCTCTTCTAATTCTGTGAAGAATGTCAATGGTAGTTAAATGGGAATAGCATTGAATCTGTAAATTACTTTGGGAGGTATAGTCATTTTCACGGTATTGATTCTTCTTATTTGTGAGCATGGAATGTTTTCCATTTGTTTGTGTCCTTTCTGATATCCATGAGCAGTGGTTTGTATTTCTCCTTGAAGAGGTCATTCACTTCCCTTGTTAGCTGTATTCCTATGCATTTTATGCTCTTTGTAACAATTGTGAATGGGAGTTCATTCATGATTTGGCTCTCCTGTTGTTGGTATATAGGAATGTTTGTGACTTTTGCACATTGATTTTGTATCCTGAGACTTTGCTGACGTTGCTTATCAGCTTAAGAAGATTTTGGGCTGAAACGATCGGGTTTTCTACATATAGGATTATTTCATCCGCAAACAAATACAATTTGAATTTGTTTCTTTCTATTTTAATACCCTTTATTTATTTCTCTTTTCTGATTGCCCTGGCCAGAACTTCCGACACTGCGGTGAATAGGAGTGCCGAGACAGGGCATCTTTCACTTGTGCCGGTTTTCAAGGGGAATGCTTCCAACTTTTGCTCATTCAGTATGCTATTGTTTGTGGCTTTGTCATAATTGGCTATTATTATATTGAGGTATGTTCCTTCTATACCTAGTTTATTGAGAGTTTTTAATATGATGGAATGTTGAATTTTATCAAAGGCCTTTTCTGCATCTATTGAGATAATCATGTGGCTTTTGTCTTTAGATCTGTTTATGTGATGAAACATGTTTATTGATTTGTGTATGTCGAACCAATCTTGCATCCCAGGGATAAAGCCAACTTGATCATGGTGGATAAGCTTTTTTGTGTGCTGCTCTATTCAGTTTGCCAGTATTTTGTTGAGAATTTTTGCGTCAGTGTTCATCAGGGATATTGGCCTGAAGTTTTCTTTTTTTGTTGTATCTCTGTCAGGTTTTGGTGTCAGGATGATACTGGCCTCATAGAATGAGTTAGGGAGGAGTCCCTCCTTTTTAATTATTTGTGATAGTTTCAGAAGAAAGGGTAGCCGCTCCTCTTTGTATTTCTAGTATGATTCAGCTGTAAATCCATCTGGTTCTGGGCTTTTTTTGTTTGGTAGACTATTTATTACTGTCTCAATTTCAGAATTTGTTATTGGTCTATTCAGGGATTCAACTTCTTCCTTGTTCAGTGTTGGTAGGGTGCATGTATCCAGGAATTTATCCAATTTTTCTAGATCTTCTAATTTATTTGCATAGAGGTGTTTATAGTATCCTCTGATGGTTGTTTATATCTCTGGAGGGTTAGCAGTGATATCCTCTTTATCATTTTTTGTTGTGTCTATTTGACTCTTCTCTCTTTTCTTCTTTATTAGTCTACCTAGCATTCTATTTTATTATTTTTTTAAAAAAACAGCTCCTGGATTCACTATTTTTTTTGGAAGCGTTTTTTTGTGTGTTTGTGTGTGTTTCTGTCTTCTTCAGTTCTGCTCTAATCTCGGTTATTTTTTGTCTTCTGCTAGCTTTGGGGTTTGTTTGCTCTTGGTTCTCTAGTTGTTATAGTTGTAATGTTAGGTTGTCAACTTGAGATCTTTCTAGCATTTTGATGTGGGCATTTAGTGCTATACATTTCCCTCTTACTACTGCTTTATCAGTGTCCCAGAGATTCTGTTATATTGTCTCTTTGTTCTCATTGGTTTCAAAGAACTTCTTGATTTCTGTGTTAATTTCATTATTTACCTAGGAGTCCTTCAGGAGCAGGTTGTCCAATTTCCATGTTGTTGTGCGGTGTTAGTGAGTTTATTAATCTTGATTCCTATTGTGCTGTGGTCTGAAAGGCTGTTTGTTATGATTTTTGTTCTTTTGCATTTGCTGAGGAGTGATTTACTTCCAATTATGTGATCAATTTTAGAGTAAGTGGCACGTGTCCCTGAGAAAAATGTATATTCTGTTGTTTTGGAGTGGAGATTTCTGTAGATATCTATCATGTCCACTTCATCCAGAGCTGAGTTCAAGTCCTGAATGTCTTTGTTAATTTTCTGTCTCAATGTTCTATCTAATATTGACAATGGGGTGTAAAATCTCCCAATATTATTGTGTCGGAGTCTAATTCTCTTTGTATGTCTCTAAGAACTTGTTTTTATGAATCGAAGTGCTCCTGTATTAGGTGCATATATATTTAGGATATTTAGCTCTTCATGTTGAATTTACCCCTTTACTATTTTGTAATATCCTTCTTTTTCAGATCTCTGTTGGTTTAAAGTCTGTTTTGTCAGAAACCAGTATTGCAACTCCTGCTTTTATTCTGTTTTCCATTTGCTTGGTAAATTTTCCTCTATTCTTTTATTTTGAGTCTGTGTGTTTTTGCATGTGAGATGGGTTTCCTGAACACAGCACACAGATGGGTCTTGACTTTTTATCCAGCTTGCCATTCTGTATCTTTATTCTTTTTGAGATGGAGTCTCACTCTTGTCGCCACCTAGTCTGGAGTACAGTGGCGAGATCTTGGTGCACTGCAACTGCTGCCTCCCGGGTTCCATCAGTTCTCCTGCTTCGGCCTTCTGAGTAGCTGAGATTACAGGTGCCTGCCACCATGCCTGGCTAATTGGCTAATTTTTCTATTTTTCGTAGAGATGGGGTTTTACCATGTTGGCCAGGCTGGTCTCAAACTCCTGACCTCAGGTGATCTGCCCACCTTGGCCTCCCAAAGATCTGGGATTGCAGGCGTGAGCCATAGCACCCAGTCTCCATTCTGTGTCTTTTAATTGGGGCATTTAGCCCATTTACATTTAAGGTTAATATTGTTATGTGTGAATTTGATTTTATCATCATGATGCTAGCTGGTTATTTTGCAGACTTGTTTATGTGGCTGCTTCATAGTGTCACTGGTCTGTGTACTTCAGTGTATTTGTGTAGTGACTGGTACATATTTAGTGCGTTCCATATTTAGTGCTTCCATTAGGAGCTCTTGCAAGGCAGGCCTGGTGGTGACAAATTCCCTCAGTATTTGCTTGTCTGAAAAATATTTTATTTCTCCTTTGCTTATGAGTTTGGCCAGATATAAAATTCTAGGTTGGAAATTTCTTTTCTTTAAGAATGTTGAATATTGACCCCAATCTCTTCTGGCTTGTTGGGTTTCCACTGAGAGGTCTGCTGTTAGTCTGATGGGCTTCCCTTTACAGGTGACCTGGGCTTTCTCTCTGGCTGCCGTTAACTTTTTTTCCTTCATTTTGACCCTGGAGAATCTGATGATTATGTGTCTTGGGGTTGATCTTCTTATGGAGTATCTTATTGGGATTCTCTCAATTTCCTGAATTTGAATGTTGGCCTGTCTTGCTAGGTTGGGGAAGTTCTCCTGAATGATATCCTGAAGTGTATTTTCCAACTTGGTTCCATTCTCCGGGTCTTTTTCAGGTACTCTTGTCAGTCGTAGGTTCAGTCTTTTAACATAATCCCCCACAGTTCTCACAGGTTTTGTTCCCTCCTTTTTATTCTTTTTTTCTCCAATCTTTCCTGCCTGCCTATTTCAGCAAGATAGTCTTCAAGCTCTGATATCTATCCTTTCTTCCACTTAGCTTATTCGGCTATTGATACTTGTGTTTGCATTATGAAGTTCTTGTGTTTTTCAGCTCCATCAGGTCATTATTGTTTCTCTTTAAACTGGTTATTCCAGTTAACAGTTCCTGTAATGTTTTATCATGGTTCTTAGCTTCTTCGCAATGAGTTAGAACATAGTCCTTTAGCTCTGCGAAGTTTGTTATTACCCATCTTCTGAAGCCTACTTCTGTCAATTCATCCATCTCAGCCTCAGCTCAGTTCTGTGCCCTTGCTAGAGACATGTTGCGATCATTTGGAGAAGAGACACTCTGGCTTTTTGAGTTTTCAGCATTTTTGTGTTGATTCTTTCTCATATTCGTGGGTTTATCTACCTTTGATCTTTGAGGCTGCTAACCTTTGGATGGGGTTTCTGTGGAGTCTTTTTCATTGATGTTGTTGTTGCTGATTCTTTCTGTTTTTCTTTTAGCGGTCAGGCGCCTCCTCCATAGGTCTGCTGCAGTTTGCTGGGGGTCCATTCCAAACCCTATTCACCTGGTTCCCTCCGGCCTCTGGAAGTATCACCAGTAGAGGCTGCAGACCAGTAAAATGGCAGCCTGCTCCTTTCCAGGGGCACCAACCTTATGCCGGCAGGAACACTCCAGTATGAGGTGTCTGGAGAGTCCTGTTGGAAGGTCTCATCCATTTAGGAGGAGCAGGCAAAGGGACCTGCTTAAATAAGCAGTCTGACTGCCCCTTGGCAGAACGGGTGTGTTGCACCCTCGTCCTAGCTGCCCTGACTCTCCAGAGGCGACAGACAGAAAAGGCTGACTGCTCATCCACCATACCGCAGCCACCCCTCCTCCCAGGGACTCCTCTCTGATCGGGGATATGAGAGTTCTGTCCATAAACCTCTGCCTGGGGATGCTGACATTCCCACAGAGAGTCCCCGCCTGATGAAGCGGGGCGGATCATCAAGGTCCTGCTTAAAGAAGCAGTCTGGCCTGGAACTGGCCCAGCGGGCAGCTGTGCTGCACTGTGGGGAATTGTGGAGAAAAAAAGAATAAAAAGGAGGGAACAAAACCTGTGAGAACTGTGGGGGATTATGTTATGCGGACTGGAGCCGCAGTGACGGTGGCCTTCTTTCCCCGCCCCAGAACATGGTCTTTTTAGGAAGTCTGCAGCCTGCTGCGGTGGCCAGTGGGGATTCCAGGCAAGTGGGTTTTAGCGTGTGGGGACCCATGGGAGCAAGGCCGCTTGGCTCCCTGGCTTCAGTACTTTTCCCACGGAAGTGGACGGATCTCCTGCCTCACGGGAGTTCCCAGAGCGCAGGATGCAGATACTCCTGTGTTTCAGTGCCTGCTCCAATGGCTGCCCACCCCAGCAGCTGCTGTGTGTCTTCACAGCTCTGTGCTTGAGACCCAAGGCCCTGGTGGCCTGCGCTTATGTGGGGACCTCCTGATCAGCAGGTTGCAAGGATCCGTGGAAAAAGCGCCATTTTCGTGGTGGAGGGGGAAGGGTAGGGACCGGGGTAGCAAAATCCCTCATGGCCTCCCTTGGCTGGGGGAGAAAGCTCCCTTTGCCCCGTGCATCTCCCTGGTGGGCCCTCACCCCACCCTGCTTCTCCTCCTCTGCCTCGGTCATGCCAACTGCCTCATTAGTCCCAATGAGAGAACCTTGGTACCTCAGTTGAACAGGCAGAATTCACAGGGCGTTTTTGTCCTTCTTGGTGGGAGCCCTAGAGCGGGGCCGTTTGCAGTTCAGCCATCTTGGCTCGCCCTGAAATATTTTTTCATACTCCCTTTCTATCAAAATGGTGATAATTTTTATGACATCTGCTATGGTTTGAATGTTTGTGACCCTCCAAAATTCTGGTTGAAATTTAATCCCTGTTGTGATGATATGATGAGGTGAAGGCTTTGGGAACTTGATTAAGTCATGAAGGCCTCACACTCATGAATATGATAAATGGCTTATAAAGGAGGTTTCAGAGAGCTGCCTGCCCCTTTGTCCCTTCCACCATGTAAGGACAGAGCATTCTTCACCACTGGACGATTCAGCAGTGAGGCTCCATCTTGGAAGCAGCCAACCAGCCCTTACCAAATAACTAATCTGCCAGTGTTTTGATTTTGGACTTCCCAGCCTCCAGAATTATGAGAAACAAGTTTCCATGGTTTATAAATCATCCAGTCTAAAGGACTTGGTTATAGCAGCAGGAACTGGCTAAGAGCATCTAAAATATTAGGGTGTCTCGGCAAAAAAAAAAGGGATGCAAACACTATGGTGTTCATTTTATATCTTTTGCCCACAAATTCCAGAGTTTTCTACCGTTAAACTTACCTTCAGTGAGTAATGATTTTTAAATGTAAATTAAATTGAGCATGGAAAGTACAGAACATGGAAGGACATTTTATCTTTATTATATCTAATTGTTGCATTCCCTGATTTTATCTGTGATGCAGAGTATTTTTTACAATTTGTAGTCCATGAGTAGATGCTTTCTCTGAAAGCTTAACCTTTTCCAAATTGTATGTGATATACCCTGTGCATTAGTTTTCTAGGGCTGCTATAATGAAAATTTATCCTTTCACAAGTTTGGGGACCAAATATCTGTAATCAAGTTGTTGGCAAGGCCACACTCTCTCTGAAGGCTCTGGTAGAGAATCCTCCCTTGCCTCTTCCAGCTTTGGGGGCTCCTAGCAATCTTTGACTTAACGGAAGCACAGCTGAAATCCCTGCTTCTGTCCTCACATGATTTTTCTCACTGTATCTCTGTGCATTTGAATCTCTCTTTCTTTCTCTTATAAAAACATCAGTCAGTTGATTTAGAACCAATGCTACATCCAGAATGATTTCATCCCAAATCCTAAACTAGTCAGATCTGCAAATAATTTATCCCCAAATAAGGTCATATTCTGAGGATCTGGGTGGACACAGATTTGGGAGAGACGCAATTCAACTCATTAGACACGGGAAACAAAAGAAAAAACGCATCACCTCAGAGTTGACGTTTATAAGATGTGCTTGTTTCTGTTTTTGTTTATTCCGAGCACCAAAGACTTTAAAGTCACACTCTTTGCATCTAATTTGCATCCCTCACTATGGTTCCAGATAGGGTTCATTCATTGTAACTTTCTGAGAATGATGGAACATTTTGTTAAGAATACACGAATCTAAACAGTTGGAGGGGTAGTATATATACACACACACACACATATATACACATACATATGTACACATATATGCACACGCGCGCACACACACACATATACACATACATATGTACACATATATGCACACGCGCACACACACACATATATATACACATACATATGTACACATATATGCACACGCACGCACACACACATATACACACATACATATGTACACATATATACACACGTGCGCGCACACACACATATACACACATACATATGTACACATATATACACAAGCGCACACACACATATACACATACATATGTACACATATATACACACGCGCACACACACACATATATACACATACATATGTACACATATATACACACGCGCGTGCACACACACACACATATATACACATACATATGTACACATATATACACACGCGCGCACACACACACATATACACATACATATGTACACATATATACACACGCGCGCACACACACACACACACACACACACATACATATATATATATATATACTGTTTTCTACCAAACCCAAGTGCAAAGCTGATGGGTTCTGAATTGTAGTACTGATTTCAAGGCTCTCATCACTAAGATCATGATGGTAATCCTTTATCAAAGTGGCTCAGGGAGGAGTGTCTGTTCTGATTCAGTCCAGATGTTCTTCTGAATTCCAAGCAGTTTTAATTTAATGTATTCTCATGTAGGATTTTCACTTCTTCCTTTAGGGACATGCATGCTAAAGCAATGCATATGTTTCTAGCACACATCAGTCAGTGGACATTAATAACATTCAGATGTTCCAAGCCCCACAACTCTTATCTGCATAACTAATGGGCTTCAGCACCCTTGTCCACATTACCCTCCCCCTTTGGGGTGCTCCAGAATTCTCTCTTGTGTGTTTACAAATCAGTGCTGACTGCATTTGTCCTGCCACCACTGGTCTACTCTGAGACCCCACCTAGGCTGCCCCCACTGGTCTACTCTGAGACCCCACCGAGGCTGCCCCCAACTGGTCTACTCTGAGACCCCACCGAGGCTGGCAGCACTGCCTGGCCATTCCACTGCTTATGACACTGCACTCCACACAACACTGATTGAATGCTGCACTCCATGCAACACTCCACTCCACACGATCAACTTCTCTTCGCAAGGTGTCGTGCAGTGCTACCACCACTGATTGTTCCTGTAGGGATACAGACAATTTCTGAAGCATTTACAGAGAACTCCAACTCCATATGGAGTGATCATCTCAATCTAGTTAAAAAAAATCACTTTCAAAATGCTGATTCAATTTCTCTATAAGCCTTCTCTCTCTGTCTCTTTTTCATATACATATAAGCGTTTACATGTGTATTTGTGCATGTGTCTGTATTGCTTTCAGAATACAAATAGAGTATAATGTCCTATTTTCTATGTTGCTTAGAGTTAGATTTCTTTAAAAGAAAAAGACTAAATTAAAATCTAAATCTCATCATCCTGATCTCTCTCAATGATTTGGCCAATATCTATAAATTTCCACTCATCAATAAAATCCATAATAATTTCAAACTTAATTAAAATACAGGATAATTTCAATATTAGGTACCAAGGGTTTGAAATAAGATAATAATCAATCATAGTCTTTTAACTTTTAACTCAATACAAATAAATAAATGGGCTTCAGGGCCATATCAGAGACTGTGGATTCTCCCTGCTGTGGAAGGCTTTTACTAATATAGCTAATTCATTTGACCCGTAAATTGATTTTAGGATTGAAAGGGCAGGTGTTCTTTTGAGAGAAGTCTCTCCTCAGTCAAATTTAATGTCAGTTGAGTCAACCTAGTTTTAATTTCATGCTACATTATACATCCCTCAGGATTCATTGTTCCTTTTTAAAATAAGGTTGTATATGATTGATTATTTAAATTATCAGTAAAGGGAGTACTTCCATTTCTGTGCTGATATACAAATTATTTAAAACTGTTTCATAAACCTTTTTTGTGAATCTTAATTCTTTTTGTCTTTCCAAACACTCACAAAGGATAGTCAAAATGTGTTCTCAGTTGCAGGAAAACTGGTGCCAAGTTATTCAACTATAAAAATATTTTTCTACTTCTGTTGTTTTTCCTGGCTATACTATTAAGAATTATCCTAGTTCTTAAAGCACATGTCTCATAAAGCAAGTGGACCTAATTAGTCAGTTAAAGGTTAGAATATTGGGTGGGTGGCCTTGGAGGGCATATTTTAAACAAGTTTTTCAACCCAATTTCCTTTGCTTTTCCTTTAAAAATAAATTTAAACTTAAAATGAAAAATATGACAGCTTTTATTTACTATGGAAAGTTTTATAGTGACTGTTCATCGTACTTGTTTTTTTTTTTCCTTCCAGATGCCCTGAAAAAGGATATATTATTATTTTAATTTATTTTTTAAAAATACTCATTTATACAAATATTCCAGAGTCCATAGCTTCATACATGGCTATCTTGTGGTTTCAGGGTAGTTAATCATGAGTAAGATATTTTTCATTAATCCTATAAGGATTTATCAAATGGGTACTATGTGGGGAAAAAATTAGTCTTTTAAATTGTGTTTCTCTATCTTTAGCAAAACTAGAAAATTTAGCACGTTCAGAGAAGGCAGCCCTTGATTAAGTCTTTGGGGATACAAAGGGCATCCATATGGCTGTTGAAAGTAGGACATTTAGGGTAGAAGAAAAAGAAAATAAGATATGTGAAGTTGCAGATGTGAAAATGTACAGTTCATGTTTGAAAAATAACTAGTGGTGTAGGTACCCTTATTAGTTTTTAACAATAAAATTTAAAAGCCAAACAGAAAAAATAAAAAGTAAAAAATAGAATAAAGCTTATAGAATGGGATGTAAAGAAAACATTTTTGTGCAGCTGTACAATGTGTGCATGTTTAAAGCTACATGTTATTACAAAAGAGTCAAAAGCTAAAAAAGTTTTTAAAGCAAAAATGTTACAGTAAGCTAGTTAATTTATTATTTAAGAAAGAAAATTTAAAAAATAATGTGTAGTCTAAGTATACGGTGTTTATAGCATCTACAATAGTGTACAATAATGTCCTAGGCCTTCACATTCTCTCACCACTCACTGATTCATCCAGAGCAACTTCCAGGCTCACAAACTATTTTCATGGTATGCACCTTATACAGATGTATCATTTTTTTTTATTCCTTTGACTGTATTTTAACTTTACCTTTTCTATATTTATATATGCTTGATACACAAATACTCATCACTGTCTTATAATTACCTGCAATATTCAGTACAGTAACATGCTGTACAGGTTTGTAGCCTAGAAGCAATAAGCTATATCAATGCCCTAAGTGTGTAGTAGGCTATCCCATCTAGGTTTGTGTGAGTCTACTCCACGATGTTCACATAAGAATGAAATTGCCTAAAGATGTATTTCTCAGGACATATCCTTATCCTTAAGTGACTCATGACTATATATATTATGGTCCTGCCCATAAAATATATTCTTCAAATTTCCTTCTTCGCCTTGATGTTTTTGTACAACCTTGCCCCACCACTTTCAAAACATTAGATACACATCCATGTTTTTAAACCGCCATTTATACACTTATAAGAATAAAATGTATTGTATGGACATTGCAAACTTGCTCTAGACCTCATTTCCCAAAACCTCTAATCCAATCTGTCACACTCAACATTTCCTAATGCAAACTTACTCTCCTGTTCAACTCTCCAGCTTTGCTGTTTTCCTAGAGCACTGAGTGGCACAAGATCCGCTATTGTGAGTGACCTGCTACCTTTTGCCACTGCCCTGGCTCCAGACACCTGTAAATGATTGCAGTTCCTTTATAAGTGAACTGTTTATTTCTAGTTCCTGTTCTTTAATCCTCTAATCTACTGTATCAAGACTTAAGTTCCAAATATATATGTGTTTATGACACTGTCATATTCAAATCCTCTGATTGCTACTCATTCTGTTCAGAATTAGTTCCAAACACTGAAATACATTTCAATGGCCCTGATTTTTCAGAGCCTTCTCTAACACCGAAGAATGAACTCTTAGCCCAAGAAATTTTGTCTTCTAGAATGTTTAAATTGTACCCTTGAGTTTCTATATAGTATGACTTCCTTTATGAATTTGATAAGTAATCAATAAAATGTATACCAAGCGATTCCAAGGCACTGGGGATTGAATCTTGTGGGTGAGTGGGGTGAATACAAAGAGAATGAAGGACAGTTTTAAGAACCGTAAAACCCACCCCCTCCCCCACTAAGGTGTGGAGAAGGCTGACCTTCTTTTATATTTGTTATTTAAGTGCTCCCTATTTGTAGGGACTCAAATGCATCTGTTGCAAAAGGGGAATAAATACTTAACTACCTGTGCTGAAAATAGGCTTTGACTGAAACTTTACTCACCAGTTAGAACTATTTCTTTTATTAGAGTAATTTGTACATTTGTCTCCATCCTTAAGTTACAAATTTTCAGAAGACGGGTTTACCAGTTCATTAGTTTCATTGTTTCATCCTCTACACATTTCATATATTAATTGTTTAATGGTCCTTTAATTGTGTTATTCAGTCCTTTAAATGCATTAGTCAAGGAGGGAAATCTGAAGGTACCATTGCATTTTAAGCCAATTTATAGCGTTCTGTAATTGGAAGGAGTTTCACAGTATTCATCTCTGGACAGCAAGAACCACGTGAGACTTCAACTAGAGTAATTTTCACTGGGATTTTGACAGAGTCAAACATTTATTTTTCTCATAGTTCAATTTTATATTTCCATTATCGATTTATATAGTTTTAATTTTAGAACTTTTAGGATATTTTTAGGATTTTTTGGAATTTTAGGACTAGTTTTCATTGTGGGTCAGCAGCATATATCTTAGAACATGAAGAGCCTTTATATAAAAAGAATGGTGACATTAGTAGAGTATTCCTTCAGTTATGAATAAATCTACTCCATTGCATATTTCACCATAGAGTTTTCAATATTATGTAAAATTTGATACTTGTGACTCATAAGGTTCATATATCATCTTGATGACTTTAATAAATATTGTAATAATCATTTTTTACTGCTCTGCTATAGAACATCTCTGCTTCCAAAGTCCTATTAAATATTAAAGAGAATGGCAACCACAAGGTAGAAACGAGGTTACTAGAATGTAAAATTTAATTTAAAACTTTTAGAGATACCTGTTGCTTACCTTAGCAAAATGCTATTTCTTAACATGGAAGCAAGCTCCTGGGACTGACAAATAATTCTTTTCAATTAACATCTTGATGGCTAAAGTAAAAATGAATGAGGCTGGTATTAACTTTTCAATTGGAGTGCACGCAGTTTCTAAAATTACCTGTAAGTGCATTGGCAAAGGATTTTGGAGTTGGCTGTGTTCTGTACATCTGAAAAGAGGGGACTGTCTACTACAAATCCCAAATGCAGTGGGTTTGACCAAAATTACATTTGGCTTATCATTTATTCTCCACCTGTGGTTTAGGGAAATAGAAATATTTCATCAGTGTCACCAGATAAGCTATGAGTTCGGGTAGGTGATAGGATATCTGGAAACAGAAAATTAATCAGGCCTGTCTTTGTCCCAGCTACAGTTGAAAGTTGGTGATTGCTTGTTGATGTTTAATGCACCTAAGACTCGATCAACATGAACGTGTCGCATATTTGTTGTTTTTGTGATTGTGATTGTTATTGACTCTGACCCCAAATATTATATTAAAAATAGCCTTTCTCTTTTCATACTCAATCCAATTCAAAATGAATTGAAATACAAAATTTAATTAAAATACAACTTCCCCTTAAATGATCACATTGTAAACAGCTTTAAATTACTTTTAATCTTTTACATATTTTGGGGAATGGATATCATATTTGCAAAATGTATTTATTTTTCATCCATAGAAGTGTAAGAAATTGGAATTTTTCCTTGCAAGAAAACACTAGGCTTTTTTGAGAATATGTTCCATTTGTTTACTTGAAAGTGAGTTACCTGAATCTTAATAAAACAAAATAAAGCACCAAACACTGTGACATTACTTAAAGCTAATGCAATGGCATTTGGAACTATGTTCTTCATTCTGAATGGAAACAAGGTTGATCACAGTTCTCACAGACAATTTATTAAAATTAGGAAATTGTCAGGAAGACTCCAACAGAGGCATGACATTTACTTTTTAAAGTTGTCCTCAGCTTAACAATAGATATTTGGATAACTTTTTATTCTCTTCTTGGGCTCAGCTGGAAGAAATGTTTGCCACAAAAGAAGCCTGATTTTATGCATGTTTGACTTAATTCAGAGGGATTTATGAATACCACAGTAGCCTGTTTGGTTTGGCTGTGAATAATGTGAGGCATATAGCTTTTATTTCTTTCAAGCAGAAATATCTGATGTCTTCTTGGTAACCCTCTTTAGTGAAACAGACAACTTTTTAAAATACTAGAGTCCAAACATCAAACATTCTTATTTGTTCATTGTCTCACACACTTTCTGAAATATGTGAGAAAATATGACTTTTACAAAAGCAAGAGCCTAAATGTATAAAATAAATGTAGCTAAGTCAGAAATATGGTGCCAACTCAGACTTAATATTTTATTTTACAGAATAACTAAAAGGAAACAGATGTAGAAATAACTCTGTTAGAGTAACACACACACACACACACACACACACGTACAACTGGCATTGCGATATTTGATTACAATTAAAACGTAGTCTGTATGTGGCTTTGAAGCAGAGATTGACGTGGATCAATATAATTTAGGGGGTATTTATTGGCTCAAATCATGATTATAGAGATTTTGGTAATTATAGCTTGCTTTTTCATTATTTGCACTTACATCACTTGGTGATGGTGGTGTCATTTTACATGAAAGTACTTTGTTAAGTCTGATTAGAAGCAATAAACTCACTGAAAATTCTAATTGTCATGGATTCTTTGATTTGCAGTTTGCATGTGCGAGAGACTAGAGCAAGAACATCTCATTTCTGAAACACGTGCATATTAATGCACTTGATGAATTTCATCCTCTGGCAGATGGTAATGAAGGACAGATCTTATGTGAAGTTTGGCATTAGGGGTGAAGGGTTGTGAGGGATATGGGGACAGTTTAGACATTGTCCCCTGACTGGAAGGAGCCTTGATACATAGGAGTCTAAGGGCATCCTTTATGGGAATAGTATTCCCAAAATTTCATTTAACTGTCTTCTATGAATCAACAGCCTCCAAGTAAAGAATGTGAGAATGTGAGGACCCTAGCTTTGAGATGGCAAAATGTTTCCTAAAAAAATTTCAAGATCTTCAGGGATCCAAGACATAAAAAAGAAAATATTTTCACACTTCATATATTTTTATTATTATCATCCATATAAAAAGGAAAGCTAAGAAATAGATTATGGCATTGATTCATTTATTAAAATTAATGATGTGTGAACCTGGATCCTTCCTTTAAAAGATACTAATCTTATCCTATATTAATACATAAAACTTTTTTGTCATAATTTTAAATTGTTTTAGAATCCAGGAACAAAATGTTCAACTACTGGTGTTATGTCTCTTCAAAGTTATTAGCTGCTTAAAATCACCAGTTTTTCTTTGAGTTTGATTTAGTGTGAAAACATTTGTGTGTTTATAAAACAAGTATTTGACACTATAGTTTTAGCTTTTTTGATTTGTTTAGTCAGCATTAATGACTGCATTTATGGCTGGATTTATGATTAATCTGCTGATGAAAATTTATCACACTTGGCTACTTCTAAAGAATAATTTATCATCTGCCATCATTTTCTTTAACTTAATCTCTCCTCCAAACACTGACATTAACTGAAATTGTCCTTTTTAATATAAGTAAACTTTATCTCTCATAAAATGAGAAAAAAAAACATTTTGATGAAATATTTGCCTACATGGAAAAAAATTGTAATCAGGGATTGTGGAAGATTTGGCAAAAATGATATCTGAAAGTTTTCACAGTTGTGGCATACATATGAAACCTTCCTTGAAGATCTTTCTTTATGTTATGTAAGCACCAAATCAGTAAACAGATCCACGAGTGTAGGTACTCTTTGTGATTCCTTTCATTATGGGAAATATTCTTCCACAGTTGAGTATGTAAGCATTGATGTCAAGAGATAATTATACTTTATTTTCTAGAGACTCACTTAATTTCTGGTAAGTGAAGACTATGTCTTTTGCTAGCACCACTGAAGCATGTTGTATTTTAAAATAAGATATAAATTAATTTGCTTTATATGCACAGTTTGAGTGTTTACATATTCCTTTCTCTGATACTCACTGAAGCACAGTGTTTCTTGGGATATTTTCTGAAGACTTAATAAAATTTGAAACTTTCATCTACTATTGAAAACTTAATAAAACTGGGATTCATAGTGGGAAAAAATGTCTAAAGTTAATATCTCACCTTCTGTACGTGACATTCAGAGGACGATTATAATTTGTTCTGTGGGTAGTCTAAAATTAATTTTCTGCTTCTTTATTTATTAGATTTTTCTTTCTCACACTGTTTAGATAGATTTTTTTTTCTGGGCTCTTTTATTAGTGTAGAAAAAATATGGAGCCTAAAAAAAATTTGAAATCCTTAGCCAATATTGTTTCGCAGTGCTCATTTAGTACATTTTCAAATAATTTAAAAGAAGGGTTTAAATTCCAATACTACCTAAGCACAAATATGATATTTTTCTTATTTCAGGGTCATTGTCATCACTTTCAAAGACAGTCTCAGGAATAAAGGAAGATACAGATTTACCTACTTGAAAAAGTAAGTGACTTTTTTGAATTGTTGTGATTAATTGATCCAGTTTCAATTTGAGGGAAAGGGCTAGATTGTTGTCAAGATACACACATTCTTCCATTGATATAGCCGGCCTGTATACCTATTTGGCCATCATAACCTCGAACTGAGTAAATAAAGGCAATACCAAAGGTTTTACAAGTCACAGAGTGGGTGATCATTTACTATGGACTCTGAATGCTAGCACACCTCTGAGGATAAGCCCCCCAGTAAGCTGACGCTGTGTCTGAGTTTCCATTCAATTAAGTTCAAGACAGTTTTCTCATCTGTTCTGTAGAAGTGAAAGTTGCTATTTCTTTAGGGAAAAGTTAGATGCCAATGGCTCAGCATCCTTATCTTTAAAATGGGAATACAAATCATACCTATTCCACAGAATTAATATAAGGAATACATGGATATTGTCTAGTAGATATCAATATGCTGTTTATCATTATCTTTTATTTACTGAGCAAAATCAAATAGATTATTATCAGTGAGCTTACATTTCCTTTCATTCTTGATTTGTTTTTTTTTCTTTTTTATGACCAAAATGTTATGATGAAAAGTTAAAAAAAATCAGTTTCGGTGTTTTTGTTTTAAACTGCAATAGTATAATTCAGGAACAAATTTCAGAAAGAAATGAAGACAGGCGTAACTAAAAGGTGCTGATGGCCAGAAACCCTGAGTTGTCAATAATAAAGGAGATTCTTCTCTCTTGCTGCTGGATTTCAGATACTCTTCTATCTCTCAGATTGAAGCTCTGCGTCTCTCAGAAATATGGCTGTCATTGGCCTTCTAGTCAAGGCTTTCAGATTAACTGACTTATTTATTTTTATATTTTGATGGGGACATAGGAGATAAAAGAGTTTGTGTTTTGACTAACTGGAGAATTTGTCAGTTGATATTGGAAAGAATGTCTGCCTTTTTTTTCTGATAACCTAAACAAGATGAGAAAAATTTAAAGATAAATTTTCCATAATAATAATGGTAATGGTAATATTGTAGTAGATCAGAGGGTATGGGAATTATATTTGTTGATCTAATATATTCACATATTTTAATGTCTTAGATATAACTTTTGTTAAAATAGATTCTACCTGTGGTAAAATCAATTAGAAGCACATCTAGAAGGGAGGAAGCAATAGATATTCTCTTCTTCTAAAGAACAAAACAAAACAAAAACATTTACGAACCTGTTTAACAGTATGTGTTCCAAAGCTTATCTGGCAGTTTTATTTGCTAAACTTAATGAGAGAAAGAAGACTTGTTGTTAAAATATGAAATGTATTTATTAAGAATCACATTTATTCAGTATTCACTTGATATTCAGCACCATTCTAGGCGCTGGGGCAGGACAATGAACCAAACAGTCATGTCCATGTTTTCCTGGAGTTATATTCCAGGCAGGAAGAAAGAAAATGAACAATGGGGGAGAAATTCTTCAGAGGATTGTAAGTCCTAGAAAAAAATAAACCGGGTAAATTGTAAAGAGAGTGAAAGTAGATGGGGTGTTGGTGAGATTTCGATCTGACTGATGAAAGGAGCTACCTATGGCAGATCAGGAATGAGAATGACAGATAGGGGGCAGCAGAGCTGAGATCCTTAGGCAGGCGCGGGCTTGGTGTTTTTGAAAAACACAAAGGGCTGGGCATGGTTGGCTCACACCTGTAATCCCAGCACTTTGAGAGGCCGAGGCGGGTGGATCACCTGAGGTCCGGAGTTCGAGACCAGCCTGACCAACAAGGAGAAACACCGTCTCCACTAAAAATACAAAATTTAGCCGGGTGTGGTGGCACATGCCTGTAATCCCAGCTACTCAGGAGGCTGAGGCAGGAGAATCACTTGAAACCGGGAGGCGGAGGCTGTGGTGAGCCGAGATTGCGCCACCGCACTCCAGCCTGGGTGACAGAGCAAGACTCCATCTCAAAACAAAAAAAAAAAAAAAAAAAAAAAAAAAAAAGAAAACCACAATGGAGGTCAGCGTAGTATGTGTGATGGAGGATAGTAAAGAAGGGGTGATTCGAGGGAGATGAGGCTTGAGCAACGGGCAGAACCAGTATGTGGAGAGACATATTTAAGCTATGGTTAAAAAAAAAAAAAAAAAAGGAGAGCTTTAAGCAATGCAGTAAAATGATATGATTTGTGTTTTAAAATGAACGTGATTCTTGCATAACTACATTTACACACTCTGATAAATAAGAGATCACAGTGATAAAGACCAGAATCTGTATGAGATGCAATTATTGTAATACTATGTGACAATTTTGGGTTTATTTTCATTAACTACTTAGTAATAAAAAGAGATCAGTGGAGGTCTTTGGAAAAATAAAATCTAACTGAAAGATACAAATCTAATCCAATAATATCACTCAAAATCTTATGAATAACCACCAAATGATAGTATCTAGAAATTTAGTTCTGCTATTATGATTCAAACTTGACCTACACTCACTTTTAAAGTGCTGTCAACAAATTAATTATTGGATATCTACTATATATTACATTACTGTTAACATGACCAGGGATCTGGAATTCTCTATTCAAATCTGCCTTATGAAAGATAAGCAATATAATTGTATTACCTGTATGCATACAGATATACAATTTAATATTTCCTTTCAATAAAAGCTCACTTTGTTGTATACTGTAACTTTCTATAGGGAGACAATAAATGTTGAATTTTGAAGATTAATGCAATGATAACATGACAATACTTTTAAAAGATCCAAAAATCCAACTTTCCACAAAGAAAATTTATTCTTTGCATTTGGTAATAGAATTGATATCATTTAATATTTAGCATTCTTATCACTATTTTGAATTTTGAATAATTATTATTCAAAAATACTGCTAAAAGAGCACCATATGTAATAATGATAGATTTATCAATGAAATTGAATATTACTTTATCCCTCTGTTGCTCAGTATTAGCCAATGATTAGAGCCTGACCTTCTCCGAAGAACTGAATCATTTGATCATGTCTATTTTATGTTTATAGTTTATATGCTTTGGTACACAGAAACACAGCTTCCCCAGAGATGTTCATCCTCTAATCCCAAGAACCTGTGACTATATTACTTCACAGTGAAAAGGGGTCTTGTGGATTTGATGAAGTCGACAATCCCGTGATGGGGACATGATCTTAGATTGCCTTGGGTGGTCCTGATGTTATTACAGAGGTCCTTCTAAGAGGGAGAGTGGGTCTGGCATAGTGACTCACACCTGTAATCCCAGCTCTTTGGGAAGCCGGGGCAGGTGGATCATTTGAGGTCAGGAGTTTGAGACCAGCCTGGCCAACATGGTGAAACCCCGTCTCTACTAAAAATACAAAAAATTAGCCAGGTGTGGTGATACATGCCTGTAATTGCAGCTACTCAGGAGGCTGAGGCAGGAGAATTGCTTGAACCTGGGAGGCGGAGGTTGCAGTGAGCCAAGATCATGCCCTTTGCACTCCAGCCTGGGTGACACAGCGAGACTCTGTCTCAAAAAAAAAAAAAAAAAAAAAAAAAAAAAAAAGGGAGAGTAGAGGTCAGAGGAGAGAAAGCAACATGACAAAGGAGGCAGAGATTGGAACGATGAGCCCCTAAGAATAAGAAAAGGAAGACTGGAAAAGACAAGGAACATATTTTCCCTGGAGCCACCAGAAGGAACTTGCCCTGATGATAGCTGGATTTCAGAGACATAAAGTTCATTTCAGACTTCTGACCTCTAGAACTGAACATAATACATCTGGGTTATTTTAAGCCAATAGGTATATAGCCATTTGTTGTAGTGGAAACTAACAAACACGCTAAATTGTATTAATATGATACAACAGATAAGATGAAATTCTAAAATAAAAAAATAATAATAATACATATTCCTAATTCTCTCCTAAGAAGTTGGAAGAGAAGAATTAGGCATTACTTAGAGATGTAAAATTATCATCTACTACATAAAACAACTTTATATTCGTTTTTGTGAAATATACTTGAAAGCAAACATATGAGTTTCCTCTAAAAAAGCATTCAATTGAAAATAACCTTTGGGGATATTGAAGACTATTAGTTTTCAAATATTATTTATGTTTATGTCTCCCTCATATTTTTGGGGGGGAAAAAAGTACGTAACGTGTGGAATTTATGAGGACAAAGTCCTCCCTTCACCTGCATGCACATCTGTGGTCTCTAACCAGAGTCTTAAGAAGCCCTCACATATGTTCATGGCTGAAAGAATGGGGCTAATGCATCTAGGGTGCTTCTGATCACAGTTAGATCTCATCCTATTTCATCCTTTGTGTCATGCACAGGACAGCATAATTGTAAAATGCCATACCACAGTCTGACATAGTGCAGCTCCGCCTCAGGTAGGAATTGTTTCTGAGGGTGCTATGCCTCAGATCACTGTTGTAAAGCTCTTTAAACCTTAACCAAAACAGTGAGGCTCCTTTTGGCTTGAGGACATTACTTTTTGTCATTGTAACAACTACAAGTTCAAATGTGAGGAAGCTTTTTTTTTTTTTTTTTTTTTTTTTTTTTAATGCACATTGTTCACTTTTTGCTTTGAGCTCCAGCTGTGAGTGGAATTAACTTTCAAAATAAAGAAAATGGCCTCTGCAGCTGGGGAAGAAAATTTGGGGCCCACTTGAATCAGGCTCAGTTAGTGAAAGGAGAAAATATCACGAATATCCTTCCACTACTTTGGTGTCACTGTAGGAGGCCTTTTGTTGAAAGAATCCAAACATTATTCTGCCTTCCCAACTTCTGACTGCATGGATGGGTAGCGGTCCTTATGAAAACCTGTTCTTAGAAAAATGCTGGTTTTGGTCACCATTTTTCTAAGAGGGAAGGAGTCTTTCAAGGAAATGCACTCTTAATAACAAGAACAGGATTACATATCTAAGTCATCCGGACTCTTGAATTCAAAGCCTAAATAATGGAATGATGTGTAACACATTTTCTGGTTACTAGTTTCCTGAGCTTCCAATTCTGGTATGCAACTATTTGTAAAATCATATTTGTATGCCATTTAAGTATTTCACTGATTAAACTCTGTAATAAAATTTAGTTTTTACTATATTTAAGAATACAACATTATTTGTAATAACTCCGGGTGTGTTAAATTATGTCCTTGTGTTACTTTTCAAAACTAAACAATGAACCTATTTGTTCTTATTATAACTTGCAATGAGAAAAAACAGAAACATAATTCAATTTTGCAGTGAATTTATTTTTATTGTTCTTATGTATATTGATTTATCAATTTTTTTGAGTACCTGCTCTGGATCAGGCATTGTTCTAGACATTGGAAATTGATGTGGAACAAAACATATGATACCCTTGTATTCATATAGCATTAATTTTTGTGGGAAAATGTAGGCCATAAACTAGGAAACGAATGTTAAGATTATCTCAGATAGTTGTAAACATGACAAGGAAAATAAAACAGAAAGTGATGGCAGTGGGGCATTAGAGATTGATCAGAGAAGATTTTCCTGCGAAGACCTAGCTGGTGAGTCATGCAGAGACCTGACAGAAGGGTTTTCCAGGCTGAGAGAACAACTGAATTAGTCTGTTCTTGCACTGCTATAAAGAAATATGTCAGACTGGGTAAATTACTAAAAAAATAAAAAATAAAAAAGAGAGCGAGAGAGAGGTTTAATTCACTCACAGTTCCATAGGCTTTACAGGAAGCATGATACTGGCCTCTGCTTGGCTTCTGAGGAGGTCTTAGAAAACTTCAAATCATGGCGGAAGGCAAAGGGGAAGGAGGTCTTCCTTACATGGCCAGAGCAGAAGGAAAGAGAGTGGGAGAGAGTGGAGAGGTGACACACACTTTTAAACAATCAGATCTCATGACACCTCACTCACTCTACAGTACCAAGGGGAGATGGTGCCAAACCGTTCATGACAGCTCTGCCCCCATGATCCAGTCACCTCCCTCTAGGCTCTACCTCTAATATTTTGGATTACAATTCCACATGAGATTTGGGTGGGGACACAGATCCAAACCATATCAACAACAAACACCAGTCCTCGAGGCTTTCATATATTTGGACATCTTAGTGGAGGAGAGGTATGTGGAAGGAAGGTAGAAAACTTAGGTAGGAGCTAGATCAAGCAGAGATTTTGGAAGTGTGGGTTTCTATTTCCCAGATGACTTTCTATGCTATTATACAGAGAAAGTCTGCCCTCTGCTACATATTTCTTTCTTTCTTTCTTTCTTTTTTCTTTTTTCTTTTCTTTTATTTTATTTTTGAGACAGAGTCTCGCTCTGTCACCTAGGCTGGAGTGCAGTGGCATGATCTCGGCTCACTGAAAGCTCCACCTCCCCAGTTCTCGCCATTCTCCTGCCTCAGTCTCCCAAGTAGCTGGGACCACAGGTACCCACCACCACGCCTGGCTAATTTTTTTTTTGTAGTTTTTCTGCTACATATTTCTAATGATCATTTGAGTTGATTAGAATATCATGAAGTTATGGTAATTTGTTTTCTTTGTTTGAAGAGATTCTTCAGCCTATGACCCTCAATGATTCTTGCCAACACTGACATAGTTTAGATTTTCTCTCCATCATATTATAACATCAGATTAAAAAGAGGGATACATTTGTTTTTCCTGAGGGTTCAAAGAGCCAGTTAAGTCTTAATAAAGCTTCAAAAGGTTGCTTTTAAGTAACCTAAGTGCCTTGTTTAAGTATTTTTTGGAGTATTCCTTTTTTGACTATATTACAACTATGTTGAGAGTTACATAGCAAAGAAAAAGCAGAGATGAAACATGTTTTTCATATTCACTTCCTCCTTTTTCATCTTGCTGAGTTTTCTCTCCTTCACCCACTACTTCCAACATATCTTGATGTTAAATTTCTATCCCTTAACATAATTCCCTAGGCTATTAGTTCATTCATCCCATTCTGAGTTGCATATAATGAATCACTATTTTTTCAACATCAGACTGTACTAGACCTCCTTTAATGAAATCATCTATGTCATCTCATCACTTCAGGTAAAAACAATTTTCCATATGTTATACATCCTTCTCATGACTGCTAAGATGCCGTCATGGTTACATACTACCTAGTTTACATTGAGAAGACAGAATGGCAGCTTACTAGAAAATAATTCTCAAAAGCTGTAGAGCTATTCATCAGCTAGTCTCGGCTGCTATTGAATGAATTTCCATGATTAAGACCTGGGCACTGTGCAGGCAGTCATAGAATCTGCTCTTTTCATGGAACTTGATAAATTAATTAGTCATCTTGTGATTATGTGGCTCTGTTAGGAAGAACAAAGTATTGCTTGCATAGCTTGAGATAAACAAGAACATACTGCTTTGTTCTCCTTTTTTTTTAAAAAAAAATAATTCTGAGCAGTTAAATATCTTTAAAACAGATAAGGTTACTAATACTGTATATAGTAAGAATCCAGTCAGTTAAGCCTAAATCTCAGAAAAGACACCAAATACACAGCATTCAAATAAGAGCTAAATTAAGTCTAGTGAGATGAAAATATATCTGTAATAACTTGATATTGTGTGTGAAATAATACATCTGCAATTGAATTTTTAAATTTACAATTAGTTGTAATATCGTATGGTCATAAACAATGGTATGAGAATGTAGGAGAAAAAATAGTTTGAAGGAACAAACAAGCAAACAAATATAAACACACATACATACAGAATATATGACATAACATCATTGTTGAATAAGCATTTATTTATAACTTACTGTATACATGCTGCTGTACATATTCATATGAAAGACTATTCAAGGGAAATATTTTTCCAAAATAATTTTGATATAACATTGTCCAAGAAATATTAAGATTTCAATGTTTCTGTCACATTACAAGAAGAATGATATTATCATTCCCTCACTTTTAAGAGTCTTCAGTGGGCACTGGATCTTTACAATCTATTATGATGCCTTCAGGCTTCATTATTTGTAAAAAGATGGAAACATAACTTCAAGATATAGGAAAGCAATGTTAAGGATGGTTAAATGCCTTATTTCATATTGAAAGTGTTTGCTGTTGTTTTTAGATCTAGTAAAAAAAAAAATCTCAAGGCAATTTACAGGCAATGAATTTGTGGTAGCACAGAAACATGAGAGAGATAAGAAAAACTGTCAAAAATAATCATGAAAAAAATTCCAACCATCAGGAATCCTCAATATATTTGACAGACTTAGTTTGGGCTGACTTTCTAAGGCACAGAAACTCTTTTCAAATCTCTATTTGAGATTTTTGTCTTCTCTGTGAATCTAGTAAATCTCAATCAGGGAGGCCGTTTGGATCTTTCTAGTCTACAAATCCAACAGCATTGATGACTTTCACCATGAATAGTGTCAACCTCCCGTTTCATTTCAAAGTACACCCTGCCATTTGGAGTTCATGCATTAGTGGGAAAGTATATCATCAATTTGCATTAGAATCGACTCAAAGCATGGGGAGAGTGAACTGATCAAATGGGAACTGCTGTATATGGCTGTCTCCAAATGTATGAAGAGCTGTGATGTGGAAGGAGGGTAAGATAAATTCTCTGCAGTTGTAAGGTTCAGAAATAGGACCAAAGTCAGAAGTCACAGAGAGACAGATTTAACTCAGTGAGAGGAAGTACTCTCTAGCCCTGAAATTACTCACAGAATGGATTTGCTGTGAATGGAGAGAATAAGTACACTAGAAGAATTCAACAAGGGTCAGAATAACTGTCTATCAAGGTATCACAATGTAGATCATGGCAATTTTCAGTAGAAGATTAGCATGTGTAATTATGTAAGGCAGTTTCTCAGACCTAAGATTCTCTGATTATAATCAGATTCGTTGCACTATTATTATTTTTCATAAAATCTAAACATTTTCATGTCAATAGAAAATATCAGATTACATTTTTGCTGTATTTGTTGTAACAAATTTGGTATTAAAATACACTATAAATACTACTGGTTATAAAAATGTTATTAGATACCCAAAACTTTTAAAAAATGACAATATACTGAAGCTCTATAGGAGTGATTTGAATGAACTAATTTAAAAAGAATAAAATAAAAGTTTCTCTCACACTGTTAAAATGATTGGGAAAGGCTTCTTGACACTGGTCTTAGCAATGATTTCTTAAACTTGACACTAAAAGCACAGGGAGCAAAATCGAAAATAGACAAATGAGACCACATAAAACCAAAAAGAAAGCTTTTCACAGCAGAAGAAACAATCAACAGAATGAATGACAATCCATGGAATAGGAAAAAATATCTGTAAGCCACCTATCTGATAAGGAGTTAATATCCAAAATATATAGAAATCTCCTATCCTATACTCAATAGCCAAAAAACAAATAATCTGATATTTTAAATGGGCAAAGAATTTGAATAGACATTTCTACAAAGAAGACATACAAAGAAGGCACACAAATATAGCCAATAGATATGTGAAGGGTGAACTGACTAATTATCAGGGAAATGTAGATCGAAGCCGCAATGGTACATCACCTCACACCCTGAGGGTGGCTATTATAAAAAACAAAGATAAATGTTGGCAAGTTTGTGGAGAAAAAGGGAACTCCTGTATGCCGTTGATGATAATGTTTATTAGTAAACCATTATGGGAAACAGTATGGAGGTTCCTTGAAAAATTAGAAATAACACTACCATATGATTTAGAAATCCTACTTTTGGATATGTATCCAAAAGAATTGAATAAGGATCTTGAAGATATTTCTGCACTCCCATGTTAATTGCAACATTAATCAACATATAGAAACAACCCAATATCCATTAACAGATAAATGGATAAGGAAAATGGGGGCTATATTTATATATATATAGAGAGAGAGAGAGCGAGAGAGAGAGAGAGAGAGAGAGAGAGAATATTATTCTTTTAAAAAAGGAAAAAAGGAGATCCTACTATTTTTGACAACATGGGTAAACTTAGAGGACATTATTCTAAATGAAATAAACCAGCAAAGACAAAATACTGTATAATTCTACTTATATGAGGTATCTAAAATAGTTAAATTCATGGAAACAGAGAATACAGTGGTAGTTTTCAGGTACTGGAAGGAAGAGAAAATGCAGAGTAGTTCAATGCATATAAAATTCATTATGAAAAACAAGTAAGTTCTAAAGAGCTACTGTACAGCCCCCCATTACTTGTACATATGCACATTATTTGTACCTATACAAATATGTACACCATTTGTACCTATACAAATATCTACACCATTTGTATCTATACAAATATGTACACCATTTGTACCCCATGTGTACCTGTAGTTAAAAATACACTATTGTGTACTTTAAAATTACTTAAAAGTGGATCTCATGTTGAGTGTTCTTAACACAAAAGCAAATCAAAAATGAACACAAGGTAATTTTTGGAGATGTTGGATGTTTAATACTTTTATTATGGTGATGGTATCATAATTGTGTATATATGTTCAAACTAAAGAAAATGTATACACTAATGGTGTGCATTTTTTTGTATATCAGCTTGTCTCAATAAAGCTTGAAGTGTGTGGAACTTTACATATACACAGACACACCAATGAGTAAACTAGGGAAATTTGAATTAAGTTGGTAGATTGTGTCAATGTCAGTATCCTACTTATGTTATTATACTATAGTTTTGTAAGTCCTTATCATTAGGGAAAATTGGGCAAAATGTACAAAGCATCATTCCATTTTTTTCTTACAACTTTATATGAATCTAAATTTGTATAAACAAATTTTTCAAAATTGCTGGCAGAATTAATTCAGTGTGTAGTGGAAAGATCAAGATTAGCCTTTGTAGTTGCACATCAGTGATCAAATTTTGGCTAGCTTGATAGTGAGAAAGTTGTCACTAACAGATATTTGAGCTAAGTTTGGTTTTTGAACTTACGACAGTGGTTTGAAACATTCTTAAGTGACATTTTCCTCCTTGTTAGATCTTATTATTGCTCACAGCGTATGAAAGTCCCATTTAAGCAGCATTCAGTGAAGCAAATACTTATAAGCAAATTCCATGAAGTTAAAATTTATGGGATTAGTTATCTTATGTCTTTTTTGAATCTACCTTTAAGCCAGCACTGTTTAATCAGGACATTTTAACAGGCATTAAGAACAGTTCAATCTGCAGATCACTCTTGGCTCAAACATATTAGAAGAGATGGAATAAAGTATTGCATTGTATGCTTTTCAACTACTTGTTTCATTTTAAGGAAATTTTTTTATAAACTATTTAATACAATTTCTAGAAAGCAAAATAGCAGATTTCCCTCTTGAAATACTTGAATTTCGTAAGGTATGTCTTATACTATCTAGCATTGACTTATTTTCTACCATTAACTATACAGATACTGTCTGCATTTATTGCAGAAAGGCATTTTGTTTTTGGGTAAATGTAGACAACATTAATTATATTAATTAATTTCTAATAAATCATCAAATTTATGAAAATGTTTCATTCTTGTAAGAAAAGAATAAGACTAAGGAAATGTGACTATCCATTTTACCTTAAACATTGTGAATACATGTACCTGACTTGTTTATTTGAGGAAAACCCAAAATATATTGTAAAGATATTTTAAACGTTTAATTTTCATTGTGTAGATGTTTATGGGGTACATGGGATATTTTGGTACAGGCATGCAATGTGAAATAAACACATCATGGAGAAAGGGGTATACATCCCCTCAAGCATTTATCCTCTGAGTTACAAGCAATCCAATTATACTCTTTAAGTTATTTTAAAATGTACAGTTAAATACAGAATACACATTCCTTTCCTCAGCACCTGGATCATTCTCAAGGATAGACCAGATGTTAGGTCACAAGACAAGTCATAAAACATTCTAAAAACCTGAGATAATATCAAGCATCTTCTCTGACCACAATGGAATAAAACTAGAAATTAATAACAAGAGGAATTTTTGAAACTACAAATACATAAAAATTAAGCAATGTGCTCTTGAATGACCGATGGGTCAATGAAGCAACATATGAAAAACACTACATGTTTTACTAGGTTGAAATTGGTATGTCCAATACACAATTTGAAGTGCTTGCAATCTTGCAAAAATAAAAAGGCACAGGTAAAAGTAGTTTTTTTTTTTCTCTGAAATATGACCACTCAGACTGTAAATATGATTTTGTTGGGGATGTTGTGGCAGGGAATGTACCTCAGATCTGAGTGACATTTTAATTTTTGGATATACGCTTGGTGAAGAGCACTACTTACAAAGGTTTCTTTCATGTTGATGCCAAATCAATTTTATAGAAGGCTTTTTATCTCTCAGCCTGCCAAGGGAAAGTATGTAGTTTAAAACTAAACTATCTGTTAAGGAAATGAAAAAGTCACCCAGAGGGCTTCATGGTCTTTGAAAATTCATGCTTAAGAAATTGCAGATGTCCTGTCTGATTTTTAAAAAATCATTTACAATACATATAAACAGAAGGATAAAATTTCTCCTAAACATACTTCCTTTGGATTTTCGGTTTGTAATCAAATGGCATTGGTAAGAATCCAAGATAGTATGTAGACTTTTACCTTGAAGAAATTTAGTTTTATCTCTCCCACCACAGGAATGAAAGAGAAATTATTTCATATTTAAGGACAACACAATTAAGTCGTTTGTTTTTTCTTCCAGTGAGTCACTATTTATTTATTATTATGGAAACCATAAATGTTTCTTAGTGAAAATGTGATGTGCTGTGGAGTGCAGTTTTGCCTCACTGTTGTCCTTATTGTTATTTACTTTAGTTCAGAATGGACTTATTATACATCAAAGTAGCCAAAAATTACGTTCCATCTCTATGTTGAATCTTTGTCAATTATTGGTGTAGTACGTCTGAGAAACTAAGTACTGAAGAGGGAATGACTTATCTCAGTCAAATGTACAGAAGTAGAGGGCACATGTTCAGTTTTCAGTTATGCTACTGTACTGTGCTGAGTAACATGTAAAGATATATAAGATAAGTAAGTCTGGTGTATTATATTTTGCAATGTCTTCCAGTTATTTAAAAATAACACGTATTTTAGCTATTGAATTAGTGTGCTTGGGCCGCTGAAACAAAATACAAAAACTGAGTGGCTTAAACAACAGAACCTTATTTTCTTATCGTTCAGGAGGCTAGACGTCGAAGATCAAGGTGCTAGCAGGGTTAGTTCCTCCTGAGGGCAGTAAGGGAAAGATTTATTCCAGGCCTTTCTCCTTGGCTAGTATATAGCTCTCCTTTCCCTGTATCCTCACATGGTCTTCCCTCTGGGTGTATCTCTGTCTAAATTTTCTCTTCTTATAAGGATACCAGTCACATTACATTAGGGCCACCATAATGACCTCATTGTAATTTAATTACCTTGTTAAATATGCTGTCTTCCAATGCAGTCACCTTTTGAGGTACTGAGAATTAGGACTTCGACATATAGACTTTAGGCGTGTTTTGGTGGGTGGTTTGATGCAGTTCAGTTGATAATAACTATCCATGGGGCCACAGGCCCTGCTTATGTTCAAGAATATGATCCTCTACAGCCTTACCACTCTGAATGCACCTGATCTCGTCAGATTTAACGTTGTACAAGTATTTGTTGGGTGTTGTGTGTTTGTGATAGTTAGGAAGATAACTCATAAAAGAAAACAATAGAGGAAGAAGTAATGGCCTAGAATACATGTAATCTAAGGTCTCATCTATATACAATCCATTTTAATATAAATTCATAATGAAATTCCAATTACTTTGTGATCTCTTTAATATTGAGTTTGCACATCAGTGCCTCTCAATGTTTTTGCATCCCATTCCCAGTAGCTCACACCTTTAGCTCAGATCCCCAGTCTCCACTTGTCTTTACTGTTAACAGATCTTGAACGCAAAACTTGACTGTCACAAAATTAAAAACAAAAAGCATCTTTCTGGGTTAATTATTCTTGACTCCAAATGGTTTTTGTTGCATGTGTACCAATGCTATATTATCATGGAAATAGGATTTTAGTGCACAAAGCTACTGTATTTCTACTTAAGTCTATTTTATATGTGGCTTATTAATTTAGTTTATGCATGACATCTTCAAATAGATTCAAACATGCTAAAGGGCAGTTCATGTTCCTTTCATTTATGTTGTTACCCAAGGCAGCATCTGGGATTGTGCGCTACAGATAAGGGGTCCTTGGCAAATGTTTCCTCACCAACTTTACGTTGCTGCGAATAATCATTCTACTGTGCTATAGAGTTTATAGGCTGAATTCCCTCCTCTATAGTAATGTGTGTGCAACCTTGTTTTACCATATCTAAATTGATCCAGGAACCATGTTTTTCATGATGTATGCCTCAAGCTAGCTGCTATTATGGGAAGTCAAATTATTGGTCCGAGATGTTACTTGGACTGTGCATATCCTACACAAACACTCTATGTATTATGGATAAGACTACATTTTCTCTCATACAGCATGGTTACAAGTCGTTTCACATATTTTGCATGGGTTATCTTTTGAGCAGGTATGCGAAATATGCCATAGCTTTCAATGCATTGTATGTATAATCTCTTGTTGTTGACATTTATTTTCTTCTGTAAAAATAAATGAAAGGAATGCATTGCTAAAAGCTAAAGAAATTATATTTTAAGTGCCAAACTCTCCCTGACATGTAACTCACCTGCTTGTAGTGAGCTGGGCACTTTGAAAAGTACACTAACATATGTAGCATCTCAGAGTAAGAGTTAATCTATTTTCAAACTCTGGTGGCATTTCCTGTCTGTAAAGTACGGAAAAAAGTCACAAATATGTTGTGATGTAGTCTACCCTCACTGAGTTAGTCTCAGATTAAAAGATCATTGATTATTAATGACCCCTGCAAAATTTTAGGTGTCCATATGGAAATACAAGTGTTAGGACAAATATAAATATGACAGAAGGTATTTTTGTTTCTCAATTTCCCAAATGTTGATTTAAAGAACTGGTCAGATATTGTTTAATATTTTATTATGGAAAATTTCAAACATATACCAAGTACCCAATAGTAATGGAGCCCTATTGCCTGCTTCAGTAATTACCAACGTTTTCACTCATGCAATTTCAAATCAGATTATTTATGTAGATTGTGTGGCTGATTTAATTAGTCAATTATATCAGTTCTGTTAAATAATTATTAAACTTGATATAACACACCACTAATATTTTCTGATATTAGGAAGAAATCAGGGTAGGTGTTTAATGAGCCACCCTATCTTTTTAAATTAACAAACCTTATTTTTTTAGAGCAGTTTTTGGTTCGCAGCAAAACTGAACAGAAAGCACTTAGTGTTTGCATATACCCCTTGTCACCACACACACAACCCCTCATTTTCAAAATACCACACTGGAGTGGCCTATTTGTTCCTTTGCTCCAACTGATAAAAAGACATCTACACATTATTATGACCCAAAGTTCATAGTTCACATCATGGTTCACTCTTAGTGTTATAGATTCTATGTGTTTGGACAAATGTATAATGTATACACCATTGTTGTATCATACAGAACAGTTTCACTGCCCTAAAAATCCTCCACGTGCCACCTAATTATCCCTCCTTCCCCCAGTGCTTGGCGACCACTAACCTTTAGTCTGTCTTTAGGGTTTTGCCTTTTTAGGATGTCATCGAGTTGGACTCATACAGTATGAAGGCTTTTCAGACTGGCTTCATTCACTTAGTACTATCCATTTCACTTCCCTCCATATCTTTTCATGGCTTGGTAGTTCATTTTCTTTTAGTACTGACAAGATGTATGATGTATGTATCTTTCTTTCCATTGTCTGGAGTTACCACAGTTTCTCAGTACCTTCCCCTATAAAGGACATCTTAGTAGCTTCCAGGTTTTCACCTTTTTTGTTGTTTGTTTGTCTCATCAGATTAGCATGCCATTATAATAATTATTATTATTATTATTTTCAGACACGGTTTCACTCCTATCACCCAGGCTGGAGTGCAGTGGCGGTCTTAGCTCACTGTAACCTCTGCCTCCCAGGTTCAAGGCATTCTCCCCGCTCAGCCTCCCGAGTAGCTGGGACTACAGGTGTGTGCCATCACACCAGGCTAATTGCTGTATTTTTAGTGGAGACATGGTTACACTGTGTTGACCAGGCTCATCTTGAACTCCTGACCTCAGGTGATCCACCTGCCTTGGCCTCCCAAAGTGCTGGGACTGCAGGTGTGCGCCACCACACCAGGCTAATTTTTGTATTTTTAGCGGACACGGGTTTCACCGTGTTGACCAGGCTCGTCTTGAACTCCTGACCTCAGGTGATCCACCTGCCTCGGCCTCCCAAAGTGCTGGGATTACAGGTGTGAGCCACCGTGCCCAGCCTAGCATGCCATTATGTTCACTACTTTGGTTGTAACATTTACTGATTTTACTGGAATTGAATGCAATGTGCAAATTATATTTTTTAGGAAAAAATCAGATTCTATAAATCAGGAGAAATCTTATTGGAAAAAGCAAATCAAAGGAATTATTTGAGGTCATACTAAGTCTTGTTATTATTATTTGGTTTACAAGTGATAAAGAGAATAGATTTTTTTAGCAATAAGAAAATAATATGAATCAACCCATGCTCCATGTGCCTGGATAGTTATATAATTTATCAATTCGCTTGTTCACATGCTGAGCCATTAAGGATTGAATGCTTCTGGGTGCCAAGCCGCCCCTAAGCATTAGAGTGACAGTGAGCCATACAGACAAGATCTGACTCAAAAAACTTCTTGCAATCAGTCACTGGCAGTAGAGTGTGTAAAATGAGCTGTTACCGACAGTAGAAGGTGTAGAAAATGTTAAGGGAGCACCCAACCTAGTCTGGAGTTAAGGATGTCTCCCTCAATAGAGCAAATGACGTGGAGACTGAGACTCCTTAGACAGGCACAATTAACATACATTTGCTTCCAGAGGAAGCCAGGAAGCCCAATCAGGAAGAGCAAAGGGAATAAGAGGAGGAACAGGGCTGCAAATAAAGTGTGGGCAGGGGACACTCTTTAAGAAACTGGGATTTATCCTGAGCCCAATGCAGCGGTACTCCAGCACTTTAAAGTTTAGTAGGACACAATCCTATCAACATTCACTCTGGTTTCAGGAGGAAAATGGACTAAAGGCAGTAAGGCTGCAGGCAGGGAAATGAGTTAGGAGACATTTCAATTATACAAATGAGGTAGGATAGCCAATTATAGTAGGGCAGTATTAACTGCATAGAGAGAAGAGAACAAAGGCATAGAGATGATACAATCCTTTCCTTTCATTATTTTACTAAAATGGAATAAAACCCAGTAAAGATAATTAACTTCCCCAAAATCAAATTACAGATTCCAGAGTTTTCTATAGTCCAGCTCTTTTTGATTTCACAGTGCTACCCATTAAGAAAAGTCTGGAAGCTTTAAAAAAAAAAAAAAAAGCCAAAAACTATCCTTGTAGCTTAAGAGTGCATATGACAGAAATATACCTCAGCTTCTCAATCAACCTGTGCTGATTTTATGTCTTATGCTTTATTCCCAGTACTCTTTGACTCAGCTTCTTCTGTCTGCTGCCATCTTGCTTTGAGTCTCTTCATTGCTAACTGGACTTTGAGAAAGTGCAATGCATGTGGAAGATACACTGAAGTCTCCAGAATACCTGATTATTTAAATTTATTCTATCTAATTAAAACTTGTCACATTCAAATGTCTTGTACCAGCAATTTGGGAGGCCGAGGCAGGTGGTTCACCTGAGGTCAGGAGTTTGAGACAAGCCTGGCCAACATGGCAAAACCCCATCTCTACTAAAAACACAAAAATTAGCCGGGCATGGTGGTGCATGCCTGTAATCCCAGCTACTCAGGAGGCTGAGGCAGAAGAATTGCTTGAACCTGGGGGTCAGAGTTTGCAGTGAGCTGAGATCGCACCATTGCACTCCAGCCTGGGCGACAGAGCGAGACTCTGTCTCAAAATAAATAAATAAATAAAAATAAATAAGTAAATAAAGATTTCTTGGTGTGTGTATTGTCCTCCTAGCCCCCAATCTTGGTTTGCTTAAATGTTTGCCAAAATATTTACTATATACAAAAATAGAATTAAAGGGTTAATTTAGTTGTTTTCAGAGGATTCTTTATGTTCAGAGACCTCAGATTAAATGACAACTGTGAGAAATCACAATTGA
Organism: Homo sapiens; assembly: GCF_000001405.40. Classification (NCBI taxonomy): domain Eukaryota; kingdom Metazoa; phylum Chordata; class Mammalia; order Primates; family Hominidae; genus Homo; species Homo sapiens. The sequence continues at coordinate 104,551,545 of NC_000013.11, forward strand.
TATTTCCTTCTCTAAATAACTTTCCATAAAATCAGCACAGTCTTTTGGGTTGGTTTAGAGAAGCTGCAATTAAATAACAAGACAGTACATGGTAGGTATGGCCAATTCCAACAACCCATCCATTTAGGGAAAAAAAAATAAGCCAAACTGGCAAATAGGTTTCATATAAACTGCCATAATCAATAATAGCCACAGCTGTCATGAAACTGAATTTTAAAACTTTACTTAGGATCCAGAGCTTAGGTGAGAAAATAAGATCCTAGGGTTTAATTTAGTTTTATCTCAAGCATTTATTTGAAGGAAGAATTCATGCTTTTTTTCAAGTTACTCCTATTCATGATTCTCCTTTGAAAGAGGTTTATTTACACAGAAACCTAGTCAGACGATTTAGTTGAATTTGAATTAAAATGTGGCATGTCTCCAAAGTCTTATCGTATTTACAGCCCTGGCAAACCCTAAATATTGCCGGAAGCTACATATTGGTGACCTCTGTAGGGATTTGAGGAATTTTAGTGTTTAAAAGTTCTTTTTGGGTTATGAGAGCTTCCTAAAGGAAATGTTTTGTGGCTTTACAAACTTGAAGGTGATCATTCTTTCAGTATGCCAAGTTCACCAGTTTTCTGTGGGCATTAATTCTCAATAAATGAAATAAAAGGAGCACAACAGGAAACACTTTCTACCTAAAATTGTTTACTCTAGATCAGCACAATCAGAAATTACCACCAACAAGTTAAAAATTAGCATTTAGTGTGCTGCTTAGTTTTTCAAAGCCGCACACACAGATTTAACAACAGGACTCCCATTAACAGCAATCCTTGCCAAACAGCAAACTCCCCAAGGACTTCATTCAACATATATCCTGAAGTGTACATTGTGTTTTTTGAACAATCACATGTTATTAAAATGTCTTCTGAAAGACATTTTAAAAAGACCAGGAGTATTGATTATTTTTTCAACTGTATTTGCATATTTTATAAATGTTCACTTCTCTCCCCTTCAGTAAGATCATGAATGTGTCTAATTTAAATTTCCCTGTGCTCTCATGTTTGGATCATAGGCTCTTGGAACAGCCTGACTTCTTATTTCAATATTCCTATATACTTATCTCTTCCCCTCACTAGACACTGAAATCCTTAAGAGTCCATACTGTGTCTTATTCCTGAACCTAGCAGAGTGGCCCCGCCATGAGAGGCAGCAAGCAGCTATTGGTTATTGAATGTGGTGACCAAATCTGATTGGATGGCGAAGGAAAATACCGTGATGGCCACATCCCTAAATGTGTGTTATGGACATAATTTGGCAGCACAGTACTAAAAGTATAGAATTCAAGTTGTTTCCAGGACATTCCAATAGTATTGCTGGAGCAGAGAATACACCTGTTCTCCATGCTGGAGTAAACCCTTCAGGGCCAGGTTCAACAGAACTAAATGCAGGAAAAACATTTGCTCTGACACCTTCACGTGTTTCCATGCCTCTTTTGTAAGATCATTATAAATAGATGTAGACATGTTAAGGGACAACTTCTGTGCCTTTTAACTAAATTATCTGGAACATAAATTTCCAAATCATAGATCTGCAAAGAGAAAAAAAATGTTTTATGTTCTCCTTACCTAGATCTTCTCTTTTCTAGTTGTACAGAAAATTCGAAGGCCGTTCCTCTCAGGACATTGCCTTCTTTCAATCACAGGCCAGTCAGATTCATTGTGTGGTGTCTTTATAAATTTCCCACTCTCCTGTCTGTGACTCTAGAATTACATCTATTGTGATTCACTCCCTATTCATTTGTATCAGCTTCCTGTAGTTGCTGTAGCAAATTATTCCAAACTCGATGGTTAAAACAACACACATTTTTTGTTTTGCTGTTCTGGAGCCAAGAAATCCAAAATCAGTCACACTGGGCTTAAGTTAAGCTATTTGTAAGGCTGGTTCTTTCTGGAGTCTCTCCAGGAGAATCTGTTTTTTTCATTTTTTCTAGCTTCTAAGGCCTCCTGTACTCTTTGGCCCCTGACCCATTTTCCCATCACTCCAATCTCATGATTCTGTCTTCACATCACCCACTTCCTTCTTTGACCTGCTTGCCTCTCTCTCATAAGGACCCTTGTGCTTACAGTTAGGCCCACCTGAAGGTGACCCAGGATAATCTCCCCATCTCAAAGTCTTTAGCTTATCACATTTACGAAGTTCTTTTTGCTATATCAGGTAACATTCACAGGTTGCAGGGATTAGGAAGGGGCTATCTTTGACTGGATATTATTCAGCCTGCTACACCATTTCTTCAAAAACAAAACAGAATGAAACATTCCCCACTAAAAGTAAGCAAACACTATCAGTTCCACCAGGAAATTCCTATAACAGCAGCTATTATATTGGGAACACAACCTGACCCTTAATTATTTATCCATACTGTAATACCTAAATGAACGCTATGACAGAGTTCAGTAAGTGATTACAGTGTCAGGATTATAGTGCAATCTGCAAACAAATGATCCAATTCAAGTACCTACATAGTGAAAGTTCTGATCCTGGTCCCAGGCATAATCCATCTGGCTGCCTCAGGCTTACTTCTCTTCTCTTAGTTCTATATGGAGTCTACCCATATGCTAAGCAAGAGTTATTTTCCTGCATGTCCAATGTTATGTTGGAGAGAAAAAAAAACTTTCTCTGATTTAAAAATACTTGTATGGTTTCTGAAACTTAGAGAAATCCTATGAAACCATAAATTTTAATTAATTTCTTTTAATTTCTTCTAAGTATGGTGAATAATTCAGTTGAGAGGAATTTACCTACAACTGATTTCTTGCCAGACACTGCCCAGGGCTTTTTATAGCCACCCTTCTAGATTCACTTCCATTGGATGTTTTTATCCCAAGAAGCTTCTTTTATTTTTTTCTGATTCTCTTGAAATTACAAACCTCTCACTATCAATCTTGAGGGCTAACATTCTTCTTTTTTATTGTACTTTTGCAGATTATTTCTGGTCAATGTAAGGCTTCTCATTTTATTTAATATACAGGAAAAGCATTTTGTCTACAGCAGATTTATCCACCCAGCCATCAACTCATTCAATAATAACAGATATCACTTATTGAGGGTTTTCACTGTGACGTGTAGTGAGCCCTGCACTGTATTCATATTACCTGATTTAATAGACTTCCATCAAGAAAGAATTTTGTGAGCAGTATGATGATAGGTCTTTTAATAGGTATAGAGACTAGTGGTTTACAGTCTAGTATAAGAACTGTATTATTAGGCAAACTTAAATAACACTTGTATATCTTTTGTGGATGCATAAAACGAGGGACCAGATAACGTATGAGAAACTAGTCTGGGCGTGATGGTTCAGCCTGTCATCTCAGCACTTGGGGAGGCCAAGGCGGGTGGATTACTTGAGGTAAGGAGTTCGAGACCAGCCTGGCCAACATGGTAAAACCCCGTCTCTACTAAAAATACAAAACTTAGCCAGGCATGGTGGTGCATGCCTGTAATCCCAGCTACTCAGGAGGCTGAGGCAGGAGAGTCATTTGAACCCAGGAGGCAGAAGTTGCAGTGAGCTGAGATGACACCACTACACTCTAGCCTCAATGCAGAGTGAGACTCTCAAAAAAAAAAAAAAAAAAAGAAAGAAAAAAGAAAATAGAATGATGTTTATGGATAGGGTGGTATCTGAGAAGGAAGAAAGAGACATTGGAAAATCAGGGAAGGTTCAAAACGCCATGCACATAAATGTGAACAGGATTGATCATCTTATCTGTCTGTTTCTTGAATGTGCTGGTGCCTGATATTTGAGAGCCAGCAAATACGGTAAATATGTTTAATTAGGTATAGACATGATAAGCAACTACTTCTGAGCATCTTAACATGATTAATCTGAAGACAGGTTCCCATAGCTCAAAAACTGAACAAGAGGAGTAAAGTTGGTGCTCTCATTACCTACATCATTTGAGTTCGAGCATCTACAAAGATCCTCTCTCTCTGTTAAGGACCTTTTTTATTTTAAAACATTTCTTCATTTTTTTTCTGCTGATTTTTTTGCTTTGATTATCGATGGCAATTTGTAAGCACTTCTCATACTTTTTGCTTGGTTAGAGCTCTCGCTATATATTTTTCCTTATTTATCATGAAAAAGTTTCTAACTTCCTTGAGGCTACCACTGTATCATCATTATATTTTTCACTGTTGGAACCTAGTACATGGCATTATTTACATTAGAAAAAAATAGATTGAAAATAGTTATTGGCAGAAATCAAAGAAGAAGGAGACGATGTAGTGAGAAATGTTAAGGGCAAGGTGGGTTTACAAGGGAAATAAAACCTCATGTCTTGGCAAAATACACTTTGATTTTGTACTTTCACTTCTCTGTGAAAGTGCAAGCTACATATTCCTGTCCATGTTTTTGCCTGGGGGAAAGCCTAGGAGTCTTGATCTCCTCATATGCTTAGGAGGCCACAGAACAACCAACCTGCTATCTACTAAGACATAAACAAAGTGTGCTCTGTAGTAGGAGTTCTCAATATGTAGGCACCATGTTCCCTGGGCCCTGACCCTCTGACTGTAGAGATTGAGCCTTGAGAAACAGAGATACCTCTACTCCCTTATATTTCCCCTCCAGTGTAAATGAAACACCAGCTAGCTGTTGCAATGGATACAGACAGTATTTGCTTTTTGTATTTGCACAATATTTCCACTGAATCAGACCTATTTAGTGTTTTGGTCAGCACTTTTAAAGATGGATCTGCTCCTGGTGATGAAACATTTCTTCTCCTTTTCACGAGACTGCTGGTTGTGCAGGATATGAAAGCACTTTGAAAACTGTCGCGTGCCATGAAGACTTTGCATTCTACATCTCAATGTGTCGTGGCTCCTATGCTTCCTTCCCTCTGTGTTGGCTCCCAGCTGGGCTTTCCTGCCCTTGTCCTCTTTGCTCTTCCCTCAGCCCCACCCAGCCTACGCACAGCAACCAGAATGGTCATTTTCCAACCTGAAGCCTAGGCCACCCCTTCCCAGCTTGCCTTTTCTCTTAGCCAAACTCTACAAGGTACATGTGATCTGGTCCAGCTCTTCTCTCTGACTCCAACCCCATCACACCTGTCTTTTCTCACTCTGCTCCAGACCTTTTCCTCTTGCAGCCACTCCTCAAGTGCACTAAACATCCCCTGCTCATGGGCCCCCAGCCTTGGTGCTTTGCTCTTTCTCGGGTCTACACTCAGATGGCAGCATGTCACAAAGTTCCCTGTCTGAGCGATTACCATTTCGCCACTATCCCACCCGTAAGGACTTTCTCACTCATGCTTCCTTCCTTTATTTTCTATATTGCACTTATCATGGATTGATTCATTGAACACGGTCTGTCTCTCCCCACTCCATTTCAAGTGAATCTCATTTGTCAAATTTGTTCAATAAAAGTTGAATGCTGTGTGAATAAATAATTCATGTCTTTTTTTCTACTTACATGCATTTGATGTCTACCTTTTTGGAACAAGCATTCTTAACTACTTATTGTTATTCACAGTTACCAAACCTATAAATAATGGGGATTTGACTCTCAAGATATTGTTGGAAAATTTCTGCCTTATGAGAAGTTGCCAAGGTAAAATGGTTAAGGGTTTCTTTGGCAGTTCCAAATGGGTTGTCAGCTAAGCCCAATTCAGTTATCATTTGTGTAACTTGGCACAAGTTACTTCACCTACCCATGTCTCAGTTTCTTCTTCCACTGAACAAGAACTGTGACTAAAAAAAAAAATACTACCTCAGAAAATGTCTATGAAGAAGAAATGACATCACATCTAGCCACTCATGGAACAAGACCTGGCCAATTGCAAGCACTCTGTAAATATTCGTTGTTACTATGAATTGAATATTTTTAAAGGGTACACATTTAGGCTCTTAATGAGTATTAGAAGTATTCTATAGCTGACAAATAATTGATTTTTTGAAAATTCATGATATTTAATTTGTTAAAAGTTTAACAAGACATCGTATCCCACATTATACACGTTTTTCATTCTCTGAGTCGATGACACATAGGCTTTATTGAAGTTTATATAGAGATCAGTATAAAAGTTCTTCTTTAAAAGTGTTGAAATCATATACTCTTTAGATATAAAAAGACAAAAATATTTGATGTGGAATCTACGTAATGACTTCTATCTGCTAGTTTCATTTTTCACTAAAAGCATCCATGGGGAACCAGGTATGTTGATATTAGGCTTTATGAAATGGAAATGCCAATTATAATCTAACAAAATCACACATTGCTTCAAATTCAGCTGGGCCACAGCTGGAATTGAATCTGTAAGCTATAATTAAGGCAAATTGTGTGTGTGTGTGTGTGTGTGTGTGTGTGTGCGTGTATATCTAAAATATTGGATAGAGAGATATATATTAAAAACTGTTATTTCTCTTTTTATAAAAAATTAAAAATATAGAGGAAAAATATCCTTCCCAATGGAAATCCAAATTGTATCAATTTCATTAAAGAAACTAAGCTGGTTTTGTAAGACAAAATAGGAATTATATGCATAGCAACGTTGATACAAACAAGATACATTTTAATTTTTAAGAAGTCACTCATTCTTATTCTCTGTGTAACTACTGTTATTATTTGGTGAGATGTATGTTTTGCAGCTAAAATATCCTGGAGATTTTAATAACAATTTAAAAATCAATCAACAGACAATTATTTTCTAGTGTACATTTCCAAATATTATTTAATTTAAGGAGAACTCATACCTCTTCTTTGTAAGCAGATTATTTAAGTGAATAAGAGGCATTTGAATAATTTTGTCTGCTACATACTACAGTATAATATGTTTATTGAATTTGTTCAAGACAGAAAATGAAGATTTGAAAATTATTTTCCTATAATACTCACTGCTTCTATACATTTGTATTTAAATATTGATTTAGAGAATAAAAGTAATTATAGAAATTTAGTATATTTGCTTATTTCTCTAGCACACTTTTTTAACCTAGAAATCTGCAATTTGAAGAAGCTCAGATAGTTTTATAAATAAATTCATCATATTTATGAATGTAATCTTTTTGTTATATTTTTTAACTTTTATTTTAGTTTTGTGGGTACATGTGAAGGTTTGTAACAGAGGCAAACTCATGTCACAAGGGTTAGTTGTACAGATTATTTTATCACCCAGGAGTTGAGCTGAGTACCCAATAGTTATCTTTTCTCTTCCTCTCTCTCCTCCCACCCTCCACCATCAAGTAGACCCCAGCATCTGTTGCCTCCTTCTTTGTGTTCATAAGTTGTCATCATTTAACTCCCTCTTATAAGTGAGAACATGTGGTATTTGGTTTTCTGTTCCTGTGTGAGTTTGTTGAGGATAATAGGCTTCTCTCCCTCTGTGTTGGTTCCCAGTTGGGCTCTCCTGCACTTGCTTTCTTTGTTCTCATCATTTAGCTTCCACTTATAACTGAGAATATGCAGTATTGGGTTCAGATTTGCATAGTGCTTCAATGCAATCAGACCTATTTAGTGTTTTGTCCAGCATTTTTAAAGATGGAACTGCCCCTGGTGATGAGACTCCAGCCCCATCAATGTTTCTGCAAAGGACATGATGTTATTTTTTGTGTGGCTGCATAGTATTCCATAGTGTGTTTGTACCACAGTTTCTTTATGCAATCTGTCATTAATGGACCTTTAGGTTGATTCCACGTCTTTGCTATTGTGAACAGTGCAGCAATGAACATTCACGTGCATGTGTCTTCATGATAGAATTATTTGTATTCCTCTGCCTATATACCCAGTAATAGGATTGATGGGTCAAATCGTAGTTTGCATTTAAGTCTTTGAGGAATCTCCGTACTGCTTTCCACAGTGGTTGAACTTATTTACACTCTGACCAACAATGTATAAGTGTTACCTTTTTTCTGAAACCTTGCCAGCATCTGTTATTTTTTGACTTTTTGATAATAGCCACTCTGACTGGTGCAAGATGGTATCTTATCGTGGTTTTGATTTGCATTTGTCTAATGATCAGTGATATTGAGCTTTTTTAATATGCTTGTTAGCCATAAGAATGTTTTATTTTGAAAAATGTCTGTTGATGTCCTTTGCCCTCTTTTTAATGAGGTTGCTTTTCCCCTTGTAAATTTGTTTAAGTTCTTTGTAGATGCTGGATACTAGACCTTTGTCAGACGCATAGTTTGCAAAAATGTTCTCCCACTCAGTAGGTTGTCTGTTTACTCTGTTGACAGTTTTTTTTGCTGTGCAGAAGCTCCTAAGTTTAATTAGATCCCGCTTGTCAATTTTTGCTTTTGTTGCAATTGCTTTTGGAGTCTTTGTCATGAAATCTTTGCCTGTTCATCTGTCCAGGATAGTATTGCCTAGGTTGTCTTGTAGAGTTTTTATAGTTTTGGGTTTTACATTTAAGACTTTAATCCATCTTGCTTTGATTTTTGTAAAAGTTCAAAAGAAGGGGTCCAGCTTAATTCTGCGTATGGCTAGCCAGTAATCCCAGCATCATTTAATGACTAGGGAGTCTTTTCCCCATTACTTGTTTTTGTCAGCTTTGTCAAAGATCAGGTGGTCATAGTTATGCAGCCTTATTTCCGGGCTCTCTATTCTGTTCCATTGGCCTATGTGCCTGGTTTTGTACTAGCACCATGTTGTTTTGGTTACTGTAGCCCTGTAGTTATAGTTTGAAGACGGATGACATGACATCTCCAGCTTTGTTCTTTTTGCTTAGGATTACCTTGACTATTCAGGATCTTGTTTGGTTCCACATGAATTTTAAAATAGTTTTTTGTTTTCTATTTCTGTGAGGAACATAATTGGTAGTTTGATAGGAATAGCATTGAATCTGTAAATTGCTTTAGGCAGTATGGCCATTTTAATGATATTAATTCTTCCTATCCAAGCTTGGGGTGTTTTTCCATTGGTTTGTGTCTTCTCTGATTTCTTTGAGCAGTATTTTTTATCTCTCATTGTTGAGATCTTTTACCTCCCTGCTTACCCGTACTCCTAGGTGTTTTATTCTTTTTGTGGCAATTGTGAATGAGATTGCCTTTCTGATTTCACTCTCAGCTTGGCTTTTGTTGGTGTATAGGAATGCTAGTGATGTTTGTACATTGATTTTGTTTCCTGAAACTTTGCTGATGTTGTTTATCACCTGAAAGAGCTTTTGGGCTGAGACTATGGGATTTTCTAGATACAGAATCATGTTGCCTGCAGGAGTGCAATCTCAATGTTATAAGTAGAAAGATACATGTAATAAGTAGTGCCTGCTTTTCTAACACTCTGCTTCCAAGTAGTGTTTAAAAGTATTCAATATCGTAAAACAGAATTTTTTGAACAAAAGTTACTGGAAAATGAAACTAACAAGGAACCTTGGACAATACATCACTAAAGCCCAATTTTGTTCAGGCACTGGATTCTGAGGTCACTTCTACAGTGCAGCTTTATGGTTGGTTAAGACTGAACATGAGAAAATATTTCGTTCAAATTAGTTTCTGAATCTAATTTTATAAATGCATTTGCTTCAGTGTGAATTTTTTTCTCTCTAATTTTACTAACCTAGTCATTTATTTGTGCTGATAATACTTGTGAAACTGGCCCACTAAAAAGCTGATTAGAGAGCCTTCTTGAGTATTATCACCAACCATCTGTACACTTTGCAACTCAGGCAGCTTTGCCTGTTTGTGACTTCAGGATAGTACTAGCCAACCCAGAACTCCTGCAAAAAAACAAAGGTACCTTTTTGGGATGAATTTAGACCTTTGGTCATAAGACTTGGAGACCATAGTAACAGGTAGATTTCAGCCTAGAAGTGCAAAAGCCTTGTGTTGTATACAAGCTGTACCTTTATATACAATTGCCTAGTATAATTTACAGCTTATACTTGAGTAGATGTAATCAGATTCCAGGTATTAGAGACTTGATTTTATTATAAAACAATTTTTTTTTTTTTTTTGAGACGGAGTCTCACTCGGTCACCCAGGCTGAAGTGAAGTGGCGCGATCTGGGCTCACTGCAAGCTCCGCCTCCCATGTTCAAGCAATTCTCTGCCTCAGCCTCCCGAGTAGCTGGGATTACAGGTGCCAGCCACCACACCCAGCTAATTGTTTTTTGTATTTTTGGTAGAGACGGGGTTTCACTGTCTTGGCCAGGCTGGTCTTGAACTCCTGACGTTGTGATCCACCTGCCTTGGCTTCCCATAAAACTATTTAAATCAGCTGACATAACCACTTAAGAATCACCCATTTATTGAAAGAATACCAGTGTACTTGCTTAAAATGGGTGTTTTTTAAGCTCATTTTATAGAATTTCCTTGAGAAAATATCATCTTTTGTAGTTTTTTCTTACATTAACCTTAAATTACTTTTATTCATTGTGAATTCAAGTGAAATGGCAAATGAAGACTTTATGAATCACAATATTGTACTGTATATGGTCTTCTCATTAACACCAGCTTACCATGAAGTGAAAGAGTGAAAATAAATTTCAGTATTGGACCTAATGGTTAGTTGACAGGGCTTCACTTATAGACAACTTAGGTTAAAATCCTGGCTTTGTGTTGGCTATAGCTAGTGGATCTCTCTAAGCCTCAATTTCTTCATTTGTAAAAAGGTGATAATAAGATTGCCTGGTGCTGAAGTTTTTAATGCAGGACAATTGAGATGGTTCATGCCACATGCATAGGCTGGTATTTGACTTGTGATGCCTACTCAGTAATTTGAGGTGATATGATTGAGACTCGAGCAATATTAGATAATATTTTTAAATAGTGGCAATCATTTGCATCCTGAAAGAAGATGTACAGCTTATATAATGCTACATATTGCTTTTCTTTTCTTTTCTTTTTTTTTGAAGGAAAAATAAGAGGATAGTATGAGAAGCAAGGCTATTTCTCTTGGGATGGGAAATGACTCTGTGAATCCCTCTGCCCTCCTCTCTGGGAGGTCTCAGCAGTACAAATGGCTGCAACCAGTGACAGAGCCACTCATTTGGCCTTTACATCTTCTCTCCAGACTAAACCTCCTTGTTATATAATGATTTGCTCTTCACATGAATTTATCCATAAGCTAGTAAGAGGAATTTCTAATCTATCCTAAATCACTGTGAATATTATCTACTTATTTTCCTCTTGTAATTCATGAAAGAAGATGCTTAACTGATATAAGATCTCTCAGTAATAGGAATGCTGGATTTAAGTGTACCACTTTCTTCAAGCACTTAATCCATACTTAGCCAACTTTTACCATTAGGGAAGGACAAAGGCACAGGAAAGAGGAGTAGCGGTTCAATATGCCCTCAATATTTTCTCTTAAAAAAGAAAAAAAAAAAACAGAAAAAAAAGCCTTGTATTATAGGCCTCAGAATTAATACGTAGCATGCGTGTGTATGCCAAAGAGCATGATGATCTCATTAAGAATAATTTTTTCCATACTTATTTCACTATAGGCATCAATCTCTTTCTTTTCTGCTAGTACTTTTACAAATATGTTTTCTTAGAATGTAGTTTTTGTTGCTCAAGTGCTGCTTCTGTTTCACATTTTTGTAAAAGAGCTGTGATGGGAATTATATTTGAATTAACCCATTTTTACATCCAAATATTTTAGATAGAGAATAGCATGTTAAATAAATGTTGATATAAAATCTTCTTGGTGTGATACAGAAATAATGTGAAAAATACCATTGTATATAAAACCAAGTTTCTTTATCCTTGCAGTTTCTAATATAGACTCCTATGTATTATGAGATTCTTCTGGGCTTTTCTCTTTTTAAGGGCATCAAACTGGAAGGAAAAGATAAAGTAATGTAAAATTTAAGAACTTCATCCATAGCAGTGTGATTCTGTATTTAAAGGCATTTTACCAATTTAAAGTAAGTATTTAAGGGAATGTACAATTTGTACATAGATATTTTATAATTAAAAATTTGCATTTTTTCAGTATTAATAGTAATGCTTTTACTTGCATACATTTTTAATTTCAAAAAGTATTCCTAAGTGTGACTTAATTTTATCTCATAATAACTATGCAAGATGCCCAACACAAGTCTTATTATTTCTAATGTACATCAGTTTTCTAATGTCAACTCTTCACATTTTTTGATGTTTTAATTTCTGTTTGTGCCATCATCTTGATTCCTCAAACCATGCTTTGCTTTTTCTAACTGCCTCTCTTGGATGAGAGCTTTCAAAGGAACTCTGTTACATTTGGCTATTACACACTGCTGTAAATTGATACGTGTGGCTATGCTATTCACAGTCATGGTTCCCAGGGACAGGGACCCAGAGCCAGGTAAGTGCCCCGCTTCTGTTCCAACCTACTTACTTGGGGAGACAGAACCAGGTTCCACTGCACACAAGATGGGCGAGCTGGGCTATGTCACTCAGCCTCCCTGGGTATTCATTTCTTTTCTTTTTTTTTCTGAATATCCAACAGCAAGCAATGTGTATCCATTACTTATTTGAAAAATGTTGAAGTTAGAGAAAAAGAATCATCTTATAAATGCCACTAGTTTAAAATGCTGTGATTCCATAAAAGAGACAAAGCCCCACAATTAATGCACATCCAGATTGAGGCCGGAGCCCAGGTCTCTACATTTCCACTTATCTTCTCTGTACAACCTCTTCCTTGGCATTTGACACAGCACCAATTAAATGATGACATATAAAAAGGGAGCACAGTAGTGGGTTCCAACAGTGCTGAAAACAGTCACCTCGTCCAAAACTCTTGTGGCACCACCCAGAGCTCAGGGTAAGTGATACCAACCCCATGAAAGCTGCTGAAGGTGACAGAAATGGGACAAAGATTCGAATTTATTCTACTCTCTGACCATTCCTAATGGGAGGTCACCATACAGTAAGAGTGATGATAGTGTTCACAGCCATAGCCAAGCTGGGCTGATCCTCTGCTTATTTCTGCTTTGGTCATGTCTATTAGCGTCTCCTGTCTCAGCAGTTACCAACCATCTGTTGTTACTGAGCTCTGGCCTCAGAAAACAATCTCTTAAATACCTATACACTGTTAAAAAGTCTCACCACACATGGACTCACACACATGCTCACACACAGGCTCACACTCACACACACATGATCACACACAGGCTAACACTCATACTCACACAGGCTTACACACAGGCTCACAGACACACGTTCACACATACTCACAGGCTCAAATTTATACACAAACATGCTCACACACACCACACACAAGCTCACACACCCACATGCGTGCTCTCACACACACACATGCTCACACACAGGCACACAGGTTCACGCACATCCTCACAGACACGCATGCACACACAGGCTCACACACACAGGCTTACACACACACATGCTCACACACAGGATCACACAGGCTTGCACATGAGGTTACACTTGCACACTCACACACATGCTCATGGCCACATGGACCCATACTTGAACACACACACATGCTCACAGACTCACACAAAGGCTCACACTTACAGTCTCACACATGCTCACACACACAGGTTCATACAAGCTTGCACATGGGCTTACACCTACACACACATGCTCAAAGACACACACGCTCAAAGACACACACACAGGCTCACACTCATATGCTCACACACACACAGGCTCACAGTCACACACATATACAGAGTCACGGAGCACAGTGCTTTAGGGCAGTGGTCCCCAACGTTTTTGGCACCAGGGACCAGTTTCATGGAAGACAGTTTTTCCATCAGTGAGGAGGAATGGGAAGGGATGATTTCAAGATGAAACTGTTCCACCTCAGATCACTGGGCATTACATTCTCATAAGGAGCCCACAACCTATATTCCTCCCCTGCACAGTTCACAATAGGATTCCTGCTCCTATGAGAAGCTAATGCCCGCTGATCTGGCAGGAGGCCGAGCTCAGGCAGTCATGCTCACTTGCCCACTGCTCACCTCCTGCTGTGCGCCCCAGTTTCTAACAGGCCACAGACTGGTACTCGTCCACAGCCCAGGGGTTGGGAACCACTGCTTTAGGTGACATATATGACAATGTCTCTTCTTTGTAAACTAAAAGGAGGCCTCCTATGTGTTTTGATGCCCTGATCAAACTTAGTATTAAAAATTGCAAAAGCTTCTGGGAGAGCTGGATCACGCCTGTAATCCTAGCACTTTGGGAGGCCAAGGCGGGCGGATCACCTGAGGTCAGGAGTTTGAGACTAGCCTGACCAACATGGTGAAACCCCATCTCTACTAAAAATACAAAAATTAGCCAGGCATGGTGGTGGGTACCTGTAATCCCACCTACTCGGGAGGCTGAGGCAGGAGAATCACTTGCACCTGGGGGCGGAGGTTGTAGTGAGCCGAGATCGCGCCATTGCACTCCAGCCTGGGTGACAGAGCGAGACTCCGTCTAAAAACAAACAAACAAACAAACAAACAAACAAAAAACAAACAAAAAAAGCTCTAAGAGAAATAAGATTCTATTTTATACATAAATGCCTCTCTGTTCTGAACGACTGACAAATATTTTGTTTGCTTGACTTTTAATGGCTCAGGTAGGACTTAAATATTTGATGAACTCCATCAGTTTATAGCATATTTGTCAAATACAAACTCTGCACCTTGTTTAGGATTAAGGAAGAAATGTTTTGTTTGTTTATATCGGCAAGTTTTTGAATAGACTGCACACTGTCACTCTCCTCGTATTTAAATTGCTTATCTCAGGTTGCCAAATTCAGCATCTGAACTCCTGATTTGAGATCTCTCGTTCTCTTATTCTTTTGTGTTTTAAAAATAATGCTGTCACCTAATTCCTAGCCATATCTTTTCAGGGGATGTTGGAGTAAGCAAAAATGAATAATTTTTCCTATCTTTTAGATTTTTTTTCCTAAATGTGTGAAAAACCTTTTCTCTATCAAATAGTTTGTTTAAAAAGAAGAAAGAAACCAGTTGGCAGAAAATATATTGACAATTGCTTGCTAAAATATTTCAGGGTAAAAAAAATCATGAGATCTATCTAATTTTTATAAGTCACTGATTAGCTTTATGTGAGTTATACACCTTTTGGGGTGTGCAATCTAACTAAAAATTCTCCTGAGGCAGAGGAGGCGTTTCCAATTCCCTCTTTTTCATTATATCATAATACCTTTGCCTCCAGGTGTTAAAATTGTAATCATAGCCTACACAAAAATTGTCATTTAGAAATGTATTATGAACTGAAGAAAACATTCAACATATAAATTGATGAATATCGACGCTCCACCTAGATGTAGAAAATGACATGATTGGCATGAAGGGTACTTTGATTGAGAAAAATTAGGACTCTGTTAGGACGGAAGAAAACTTAGATGATTGTTGTTGGATAGGCCCTGAATAGCATTCACTAGTAAACCTGGTTGTCTTCCTTGATGAAAGCTTTTATGGTTTTGATGGGCAGAGCTATGATTCTTTTTCTTACTGTCACTTCACAGGGCTCCACATAGTGCCAGGCTGTGGAGGAAAAGGCCCTGAGTGAGCAAAGCTGATGGGCAGAGTGATCTTCCAGGCAGCAGTCTAGTCCCTGAAGTGAGAGGGGAATTAATGTAAAATTTGTCAAAAGTGGAATTTAAGGAAGTCAAAACAGCATAGCTGCATTAGTGAATGATTGGATTTGGGCAGATGGGGAGAAATGAAATGAGCCCACTCCTTGTCTTTTGATTGAGAGGGAGTGGTATCATCGTTGAGGAAGGAGATAGAGGCGAGGAAGCCAGTTGTGGAGAAGGGTGTGGAGAGAATGAATTCAGCTGCAGTGAGCTGAGCTGAGACATCATTGCAGCAGGTTGTTTTGATGGAGGTGATAAGACCAGACCCAGGCTGGGTAGGGTAGGGAGGGCATTCCTCAGGCACAAAGCTGACATCATCCACGATAGCTACAGAAACTAGGCTTGAGGGCATGTGTACGAAGGAGGAGAAAGGTACACTGAGGCCAGATTGACAAGACAAGAGAAGAGACAGTAACAATTAAAGATTTTTAAAAAGTATACTATATCTACCGTGGGCAATAATGAAAGGTTTTTAAGCCCTACACTTTTAATAGGGAAATTCTGGTAAATTAGCCAGGCAACGGTATGCAAAATCACATGATATGTTAAGAAAATAGTTATTTTTCCCCTACTATGTTTCAGACATTGCAGTAAGCACATGAATTAATAGTGAATAAGACAACAGAGGAAAGAATCTAGAGATAGGTGTGAGAGTTGGAAGTCTAGTGGGATATTTCAGGTTTAAGGATAAAAGACTTGATTTGAAGTTGCACTAGTAAAAAAGAGAAAGAGTGTTTTCATTTGTTTTGTCTTTTTGGTTTTGGTGTTTTGTTTTAGAAAGTAAACAGAATGTGACATATTGTTGAAAATAGGAAGTTGGAATGGGAAGTTTGTAAGCGATGGACATAGACTATGAAAGACTGGCTCTTGTGAAAATTATGGAAGCATGGACAGAAGCGGAGCAGGAGGGAGGGGCCTTTTGCCATGGGGAGTAAGTAAGAGAAATCTTTTTACTTTATTTTTTGCAACAACTCTAGAGATACTTTCACAAAGCTTTGCCTACATTTTCCCAGTTATTTTATTGTATGTCCTTGAGATTTTATCCATCACGATTCATCTAGAGCATGAAACTTTGAGATCTCTTGTGAGTTTTTCTTCCTATCCTACTTTAATGAGATCATTACAGTTGGACAGAAGAGGTGGAATATAGGTGGGTAGTTGTGTGATTAGGTGTACGCATCTGAGTGTATATTCTCTATGTTACTGTGAAAAAGAGACTCTACTTTTAAGGTGAACATTGGCGAGAAACTAGTTAAATTTTATTTGCAGTTAAAAGTAAGTTTATATTGGATAATGCTATTGCATTTCCCACAAAAATTAAAAGCATCAAAATGATACATCAACATCAATTTAAAGCAGGCCACGTGTCTAACTGTACAAGCCTGTTAAACTCTCAAACCTGCACCAACGTGTTATGTAGAGTTCCCTGGGCTTTTGATTTCTCGTCTTTGAAATGAGGAGGTTGGGACACATAATTTCTTAAATACCTTTTCATTTTTATTGATGTGTCTGATTATGTATAAAAAGTACTTACAGGGAAAATAATCAGTTTGATCTCCCTTGTAAAACAGGAATATGTTTTATAGAATCTTTCCCCATCTGAGAGAAGAGCAAACCATTTCCCATCAAGTCAATGTATAGGATTGTGTGTGTGTGTTGTGTGTTGCGTGTTTTGGGGTAGGTAGGGATGCCCTTTTATAGTTAATATAATAATAAATTGATTCTGTTTTAATTTGAAATATCTACAGTGTCTAAATTACCAAATCCTTAATTATCCAGTTACCAGCAATGACTTCCAAGTCCCATGGATTTAGATACATTTGAAATAAACCACCAGCTACCTCAAATCTTGGAAAAAAGCCCATTGCCCAGCTCAAAAATTACAAAACTTCCCAAATGTTTATATATGCAAGGTCACGTCTGTCTCAAAGTTTATCTTCAGCTGTTTTCTTCTGTTGCACCTTCCCTAGCACAGAACTCAAATTTACAGCTCAAAGACAGGAGAGGGAAATCTTTTAAAATTTATTTAAAAATGGAATACCCTCTCTATTATCAATTGGTTGCATACAGTATCCTATGCAAGTTCTCAAAAGCTAATCAGCTAGTCCTCTACAGAGATACTATTTCTGGCCACTTGACTGTAAGTTCCAGTTTCCTCCAAGATTGCCTCCTCCTTTTTCCCCACTTCTCTCTTTAGCATCCCCTCAGTCCCGTTTACACCTGCTAACTCTGTCGTCTCCCTTAAGCCCTTAGGTTTAGAATCACTCTTTTCAAATTCTAAGTGGCAGGAAATTCATTTTCCTAAACAAAGATGGCTTCTTCCTAACTGTAATGTGGGTAGGACTATTAAAATCATGTATGCACAAATCTGTGTGACTGCATGGCTCTCTGTGTGTACCCCAATTGATATTCACTCTTTAGGAAATGTTCCAATCTTTAAACAGGCCCCCATAACTCTGGCTCTCATGACACCTCATGATGAGCAGTTTTGTTGAATTCGCTGTCATGCCCCATGGACCCACTACCATGTAGGTGAAAGAGAGCACTGACTCTGGCAAAGCCAGCCTGTACCAGGACATGCTTCCCCATATTTGCAGCTTGGGTTCTGTGTTTCACCTGGCAGGAGGAAGACCTTGTGGACAGCTGTGCTGCAGCTAACCCACTGGCAGCAGCCTTTTGGGGGAAAAGTGCTGGAACCTTTGCAGGGTTGCCTTGTGCCTTCTTCTTGATGTTTCTGGGAATATGCAAAACTTCAAAGAATAAGCAACAATCACTTGTGTCCCTGTGATTCCTGATAGGTCATGCATGCAATCTTGTGGCAGCTTTTCAAGAGCAGCCTTGTCAGTTGTGTGTGGGTGCATGAAGCAGGCATGTGCAGACCATTTATCACATGATGTTTGCACTAATTAATGAACAAATGAGTAAAGTTTAAAAGAGGGATGGGGCCGGGCGCGGTGGCTCACGCCTGTAATCCCAGCACTTTGGGAGGCTGAGGCGGGCGGATCACGAGTTCAGGAGATCGAGACCATCCTGGCTAACACGTTGAAACCCTGTCTCTACTAAAAATACAAAACAAATTAGCCGGGCGTGGTGGCGGGCGCCTGTAGTCCCAGCTACTCGGGAGGCTGAGGCAGGAGAATGGTGTGAACCTGGGAGGTGGAGCTTGCAGTGAGCCGAGATCGCGCCACTGCACTCCAGGCTGGGTGACACAGCAAGACTCTGTCTCACAAAAAAAAAAAAAAAATGAGGGGTGGGCAGCAAGCTCAACTGGTGCTTTAAAAACACGACACAGTACTTGAGAGTATGTTTTGAAAACTAAACTAAACTTTGTATTTTCTAATTAACTATTCTCAACAGATCTCTCCTGACCATGCCGTTCATTGCCCTTGCTGTCTTCCTGATTTTCCTTTTTGGGTCTGAGTAATTTAAAGAGACTGACTTTGTGATTATAAAAAAGAGGTACAACATGAGATCTCCAATTACTGCAGACCACTGTGAGCTGGCGCAGTTAATCTTAACACCATACCTTAAATTAATTTAATTAAGTCATTACTTATGCTGTGTAGTCATAACTCATAGACTCTAGAAATAACAGCAAAATTAGGTTGTATACTTAATAAATTTCACTGTAGGTGGCATCACAGGCTGACAAGATCTGACTTAAAGAGAAGGATTCAAGATATCCAGTTGTTTTATAAATCCCAGGAGGTTTACATAACCCAGATCATAAGAAAATCTAAGCGAAGTTCTATGTTGAGGTCTGATTGGAAAAAGACATAAGCTCTGGATTTAAAAGTAAGTTGAGTATATATGGATTTTTATCTTGGGTCTAATTATTAGGTTATTACAAAAGTAATTATGTTTTTTGGCATTATTTTCAAATGGCAAAAACCGCAGTTACTTTTGCAACAGCCTAATATTTAATAGCCTTGCTTCTTTCTTGGAAACTGTTCTTGTTACTTTGAGTCTCTACCAGTCCCATCTTTTCTTGTTCACGATGTAATGTCTGTTTGGACAGATGTATCAAAGTACCTTAATCTAAGACACCAAATAGGAGAAAAACCTACACTTTTCTCCCATATAAATCCAGCATTATTCTCTTCTATTACATTTTTCACATAGACTGTAAATTAAAAAAAAAAAAAAACACACACACACACATTCTTGGTAATTGTCATGAAAATGGTATCTGCTGAAATATTTATGGAAACATCTGCGGTAGGTGAAGAGTCCCACAGCAGAGGAGCTATTTGTGCTTGTCTTAGTGACACGGGCTGGTTCTTCAGGTGACTCAGAACGTGTGTTCAAATTTGGTATTTGACAATTATCTCGGACACATGCAGAGAACCTCTCTTCCTCAAAAGCAGTTTAGAGAAGCTTAAACTTGGAAAAGTTGTACTTTCTCTGGTTAAACATAAGACTGGTAATAAAGGCAGCAATCTTTGTTCTAAGGTGAGGGAACTTGAGGCTTTGGAGCAGTAGCTTTGGAATTCCTAAAAGTTTAACAGCATTGAAGCTACTTGAAAATGGTGCATCGGGAGCCCATCCAGACTTGTAACTAATAACAGTCCTGGCAGGACACCACGCACCTCCTGCTTAGCGTCAGCTGTGACTAATACCCACAGCCACCTAGGGGAACAATGGCATTTTATTTGCTACATCACATGGCGAAAGAGCAACATTAGCCCACATCTCGTCTGTGACTCGGAGATCCAGTCTCCAAGCACTGACTGGTAGGGAAAGGCATTTCGTGTGGACAGTAAAATTCCCTCCACCACCAGTGGGAGCTCTTTACTTAACTGTTGTTCAGAGCAAGTCCGTAGGAGAATGAAATTCCAGTTCCACAGCCCTCACTGAAGCAAAGGGGTCGGCCTCTGTGGAACTCACAGAAGTTTGTGTGTTTGTGTATGTGAGTGCAGGTGTGTGCCTGTGTATTATGTTTGTTTTATGTCATTTTAGATGTGTTAAAAAAATAACAGAACAGAAATGGAGAAAGGAATGCTATTGTCAAAAAAGGAAAGAGGGGAAAGAAGTTACATTACGAAGCTAGCTTAGTAACCCCCAAACTTCCCACACAATTGTTCAAACTTAGTCCTTGCAGGTCAGTGCCCTATAGGGCTTCAAAGCTTTTCTGCTGTTTGAGGCCTCTCCCCCAGCACCTGCCTCTCACACACACCCCTGTTGTGGTCTTTTTCCCCCAAACTCATATATTTTGTTCTGTTCTAGTCCAAGTAGTTTAAAAAAAGCTTCCCTATTGAAACCACACACAAATACCGGAATCCAAGTATTTTTGAAGAGCTTTCTTTTGTTGTTATTTTTTTGTTCCTTTTTACTTAAGAGAACAAGAAATTAGAGGATTGCCAAAAATAGAAATGGAGAAAAACGAAGATGAATGTAACAATGAATACGTGAGATATTTTAAATGTCTAAACTGGTACAATTCAAATTATAAATGACATTATGGTCTGTGTTGCATTTGGCAGGAGTTGTTGCATGGAGATTGTATGGCAGGAGCCCATTTTCCTTCCCTGAAGCCAAGCTGGGTGTGTGGAGGGTGTCAATCGAATTAGGAGAGATTGTGTTGCTTTTGGTGGGGGTGTAGGTGGGGCAATTTGTGAGTCCTCAAGCCTGCCTTCTATGCCTCACTCACTAACTAGAAAGGTTATTCAGTGCAAGAACCATGATTAACAAGCAGCTGTCAGCTGAGTGTGATGGCTCACGCCTGTAATCCCAGCGTTTTGGGAGACTGACAAAGGAGGATGACTTGAGGCCAGGAGTTCTAGGCTGCAGTGAGCTATGATGGCGTCACTGCACTCCAGCCTGGGCAACAGAGCTAGACCCTGTCTCAAATGAACACATAAACTAACAAGCAACTGTCAAAAAGCATCCTCAAAAGTGGGAGTGCACAAGGCCACTGGCCAATAAGGCTAATAAAATGAGCCCAGTCTTCCCCCCGAACACAGTGGATTTCCATCTATGCGATAACGTCGTCGGAGCATTGTCCCTGCATGAACTTGACCTTGTCTTCTGATTCTACTTCTCAGATTCAGCAAGAGAAAAGAAGGGCCTGTAAAGGAAAGAGAAAGAGAGAGGCTGTCAAAGGTGCGTAGCTGCCATCTTGCTTCAGTGAGTGAGGCCGTGGCACCTCCAAATGTCCCCTCAGGAAAAAAATTCTGAAAAAGCCACGAGGAAATATTAGAAAAGCAATGAGCATTGGGATTTTGACATGGCTTTGGGATGCAATATAGCTAGTAGTTCATTGAATCGCAGACAGTATTGTGGAGGGGCAATAGAAAACGCAAACGTTGATGAGAGCAGGTGTTCTCTAAGCTCTTGTTGTCTTAACCAGGATTTAGATGATGCTCAGAGAAAGGTGAGAGCTCTGGGAATTTGGAAGTTGAGCCTAGAGAAAATTGAACTGGAGCAATAAAATCTAGAATCTACATAGATTTATTTAAATTTATATTCATGTACTAATAAATATTAAGGACATGCTTTATTATAAGACTTTTTATTGATTTTTTTGCAGATGCTGTTTATGTCCTTTTTTTCAAAAACAAAAAGAACTTTAAAAAATATCATCAAAATTATGTATATTTTTTCAGGATTAGAAGAGAGAGAATGTGATGTTTTATTTAAACTGGAAGTTAAAGCAAAATCGCAGGGAGAGACAATTACAAGATAAGTAGGTAAGGTAACTATTGCCCATAGGAAGCTCTAACCTTCTGTTGTAGGCAAAATTCTAGGAAGTTTCCAAGATTTTAGTCCTGTGGTTATTCAATTAAACACTAATCTAGGTGCTGCTGTGATGGGATTTGCAGATGTAATTAAGGTCCCAGATGAGTTAACTACAACATATGGAGAATACCTGAGCGAGCATAGCTTAATCAGGTGAGTCCATAGAATGCACAGTTTGCTCAGGCTGGGTGCAGAGGTCAGAGAGATTCAAAGTGTGGGAGAGAGTTGATGTGAGGGACCCATCTGCTGTCATGGCCTGAGAGCCCCATGGGATGGAGAGTGAGGGAGGTATCTGGGAATTGAGGGCAGATCCTGGCTGGCAGTAGAAAGGGAACAGGGACCTTAGTCCTAGTGTTTCAGGGAACTGGGTTCTGCTGGTAACTAGAATGAACTTGGTAGAACCCTCGGAACTCCTGGAGAGCACAGCTGACCCCTTGAGTTCAGCCTCACGAGGCCCGCAGCAGAGAATGGTGGGACCCTCTGAGACTTCTGACCCACAGAACTGCGAGATGATAAATAAGTGTGGTTTCATATGGTCTGGATCTGTGTTCCCACCCAAATCTCATGCTCAATCGTAATTCCCAATGTTGGAGGTGGGGCCACGTGGGGAGAGATTGGATCATGGGGGCGATTTCTCCTGCATGGTTTAATACCACCCCTCTTGGTACTGTCCTTGTGAGTGAGTTTCTCATGAGTTCTGGTTGTTTAAGTGGGTGGCACCTCCTCGCTCTCTCTCTCGCTCCTGCTCGCACCATGGGAGATGGCTCACACCCTCTCTGCTTTCCACCAAGATTGGAAGCTCCCAGAGGCCTCCCCAGAAGCAGAAGCCACTATGCTTCCTGTACAGCCTGGGGAACCACGAGTCAGTTTTATTTGTGTTTTATTAAGTTCCTTTTTGATTATTTATTTTAATTTATGAAGGGAAAGCTAAATTCTTGTAATAGATCACCACTATATACTTAAAATTATTCCAAGTTCCGAATAGTGGAACTATGGAACACAAACTGCTAGAAAATTGGAAATTCCCTTCGGTGTTCATGTGCGTGTTTGTGTGTGTGTGTGTGTGTGTGTGTGTGTGTGTGTGTGTAAGTGACCCCCCCTTTTAATTTGCAGACATTTCTACTTTGAGTTGAGTAGTAGAAAGAAGTAGAGACATGTTAAATGTCAGATGATTAAAAAGTTATTCTGTCATGATTTCTATTTAACTTTGGGAATCAGTGAAGAAATTGTTAGAGCAATAACTATACAATGCCTTCTAAAGAAAATTGAATAATATCTGCCCCACCCCTTTCAAGTAAATAAATAATCTCATTATTACAGTAATGAAAACAAGTTAGGGAATTTCCCAAGAACGTAGGGAGCCAAACTTTATCCTAGTATCTGCCTGATAGAATCAACAGGTCCATATTTGCCAAATGTAGCAAGGGTATACCTCACATCTTTGGCATAGATAATGAAAGAAAGCTTAGAAAGTACTAAGGGAACAAAAGAGATTTCCTCACTTCTCTCCTGGACACTGTTTCTGTCCACATTTTATTTTTTTTCCAGGCTCTACCCTGAATTCACGTATTATGAAATAAAAAGACATCTTCTTCTTGTATTTTCTTGTCAATAGTGTATCTGTGTGGGCAGGGATTCTAAAGTCGAAACACTTTTGGAAGCAGCAGGAACCTAACTTAAAAATTACGTAAAGAAGTGGATGAAGTGAGATGGTGCTGTGAGAGCTCTCTGCCTGCCGAGCACTTTAAAATTTTTCTGTCTACTTTTTTATGATCTAAAAATATCCAGAACAGATCAACTAAGACTGCAAATAAGGAAATAAGGATGGGGGAAAGGCAATCAGATATTGAAAAATATTTATCTTAAAAAGCAAAGAAAAATTAAAGAACATTTTAACCAACAATAGAACAGTTTTTTCTGGTTATTACTAACATAGTATACATGGAAATTTTATAATGTAATCTCCTAAGTCAATGTGTAGCAAATGATTGCAGAAAATGAACATTTCAAGCCTTCTCTCCCACCTCCTTATCTTTTGTTACTTATTTTGAAAAAGTTTTTCAGAGATGCCTATAGAAGTTACCGTGGATATATTCAAATCTAGAGAAAGAGATAAACTTAGTAAGTTTCAAGGGTCTAGCTTCATTTATCTACTTCTGGTTTGACCACATTAAACACTAAGCTGATACTCAAAGATATGAATTCATCTTAAAACAAAACAAAACAAAAAAACAAAATCAGACAAGTAACTCCTAGAAGTATTGTTTCTACAGGCAATAACTATTTAACATTTATAGGGACTTCAACTGATAGAGGAGATGATTGGGAATCTATGGGGATCTTGTCAGGGTTTGGTAAAATCGACTTTGTTTTGTTGGGTTGGTTAGTTAGTTGCTCTTATGTAACAATTGGGGAGTCAATCATTTAAAATATATCCTAGCTAATTTAGAGTTCTCCTTCCCTCCCTTAATAGCATATTAAATAGATCCTTAAAATCTTTTGGAAAAAATCCACTTAAATTTCACCTATTTGATGCATATTAAAAAATTAGTACATTTTATTATTAAATCTTTGAGTAGGCGGTAGGTATAATTTCCCAAAATGCCTAACTGACTCCCACATAGTAGCTTCTGTAATGAAAAAAAAAAAAGGGTGATTCAGACTATGGGTGAACTGTTCTTTTTCGTTTTATCATGAAGTTTGGATACAGAAGACGTTCATTTGGATACGGTTCAGTAAACATAGGTGGCTAAAGCCATGTCTTGTTTAGAAAAGTCCTTATTTCATTTGTTGACCACATGAAACAACTAAAATTTCAATTTCAATTTGGTCTGTTGTAAAAGCACTGTAGTTATATTTATTTGATATTATAAACACATGATCTAGTGCAATCTGAGAGTGGCGAGAACTGTCATTTACTTATCACTGTCTCTATGCGAGGCTTGATGCTTATCAAATTATATATTCTGTTCATCACCTTTATTCTCACAATGATAACCTGCTGTCACTAGGAAGTCAGTGAAGAATCAACCTAGAACTGGTAAATAAATTGATTGAACTTAAAAAAAATAAATAAATAAAAAACACAAACGCTTTCCTATTAGGAACATGCCAAATACCTGCTTCAGTATGAAGCAGGGCCGATTCCCCTTCTGGCTACCCCTCCAGAGGTACCCACATGATTGACATTGAGGTTTTGGACCCAGAAACAAAATGATTATGTAGTCTTTTTCATTTGGTAATAACTCATCTTTTTGTGTTTTATTCCCCTTTTTCATGAGAAATGTCTTCATTTTCAAAACGTAGGAATACATATTCTTTGTCTTTCTCTGCCATCATTTAATTCTAAAAAGCATCTTCAAGTGTCTGTCTAGTTTCTATGGTCAGATGACTCACCCCTCAAACTTACCCCTGTGTGTGAGCAAGAAGAGAAAGAGATAAACTTAGTAAGTTTCAAGAGTCTAGCTTCATTTATCTACTTCCAGCAATGCTTATCTCTGCTATTCTGGATCTCACTTTTGGAGTTACTTCATCAACAAAGAGGCCTAAATGTAATTTGGCTCTTGCTAAGCTATGATATTTCCAAATGTGCTCATAATTTAACAAATAGAAAGTATTTAATTTTTTCTGAAATGATACAAATTTAACTCTGAATGAATTAGAAACCTGATTTTTTAAAGATATAGTAGATTAAGATAATATTACTAGTAGACTCTTCGGTTTATAGTTAATTTTTATACACAAACCTCTGCCTTACATTGGAAATATTTCCAACAACTATTGACTCAGACTTTCCAAAGGTTGCTCAGTAAAGATAAAAGTATCCTTGACTAAGGGCCCAGCATTATGTCAAGTCTTGCTTCTGGCAATCGGCAAGAGCCCACGTTTAGCATGTTTAGGACTTGGCTCAAGATTTCTGTTCCTTAGATACTGGCTTAATTTAGTGAATTTCTATTCTTCATGTCAATGTGCCTGTGGTTTTACCTTTGTAAGTGAATAAATGTTCCACCTTTATATTTGTATGATGAAAGACATTCAGGTAAATAGGTAAAAGGTGCACTCTAGATTGTGAAGTCATTAACAAATACTTTGTGAAGGGCAGCTGTAATCTTTTATAATTTTTTAAATAAAATACAAAGTGTTCCATGATTGCTTCAGTTAAATATTAAAATGAAAAAGGGCATTATAATAGGGTTACCGTAATTATTTGGCATATTAAAGCAAATTATACCCAAAGGCCCCACATGAAGAAATTAGTTTAAACAGTCGCTCGCCTCGGCAGGAATCAACTCTTCCCTTTGTCTGGAAGGCTATGTCTCTCTTTCTTCACATTCTAAGTACTACTCATCCTTCACCAGCACAGAATGTTCAACGCTCTCGTCCCCCATACAGGTAATCCTTTATTATCTTCACCTGTCTTGCAGGTACGATTCTGACTGAGCTATCCCCTTCACACCTTGCTCAGGACACGGGGAACTTTAACCACTTTAACCACTCTCTGCCTGCAAATGGCAGGACACTAGGCCACAGAACCTGTCTCAGGCAGGGCCCATCTACCTAAAACTCCTCCCCCACCATTGAGCCTCTACCTCCTAGAAGCCATGCTGGACGTGGGGCATCTAGAAGTAACTTGGAAGGTGGTTAGGCTTCATCCTAGGAAGTTACAAAGGTTCTTCTATACTCTAGAAACACCAAATTTTCTGTAATTTCCCTTGCACCCTCTTTCTGAGCTTGACTCTGTGGGAGAGATAGTAAGCCATGTCTCACTGACCAGCCGATATGTAAGTTCTAGTCATGTAAGTTTCCATCCTACTAACATCATCTTTCTCTGAGTACCTTAAGCTTTGCTCTTTGTACTCCAAAATGCTTGGTTCTCTTAAGAAAAGCGTGTATCTTAGGCGCAGTGGCTCGGGCCTGTAATCCCAGCACTTTGGGAGGCCAAGGTGGGCGAATCACCTGAAGTCATGAGTTTGAGGCCAGCCTGGCCAACATGGTGAAATCCCGTCTCTACTCAAAATACAAAATATTAGCCAGATATGGTGGTGGCAGGCACCTGTAATCTCAGCTACTCAGGGGGCCGAGGCAGGAAAATTGCTTGAACCTGGGAGGCAGTGGTTGCAGTGAGCCAAGATTGTGCCACTGCACTCCAGCCTGGGCAACAGAGTGAGATCTGTCTCAGAAAAAAAAAAAAAAAAAAAAAAAAAGCCCAAAGGAAACATTAACTCCAGTGACAGGCAAACCCAGACCCTTTAGTGACTTAGGACAAATAGAAAGTTATTTCTTATTTCTATCATGTCCAATCAGGATGGGTACATTGAGTGAGTGCAGTGGAGCTTCTACATCATGGGATAGTCAAGGCTGTTGGCAGAGGAAGCTCGGCTTTCTTGAACATGTGGCTTGCACATTTGCCCCAGGATTCAATGTCCAGCCTGCTGGACATTACGGGATATGGACAAAGTGGGGGAGTGCAAGGGACATTTCTATGGGCCAGGCTTTGAAGTGGTTTATGTCAGTCAGATGGCCATGCTTAATGACAAGGACAACTAGAAAACATAGTCTATTTCTGTGCCTGGGAGGAAAGGGGAATAGGTATAGTGAGAAACTGACTAATCTCTAACATGCATATTAGCTGTCTCATGAAGAATGTTTTTATTTGTTATGAGTTTTGTGTCTGCTAAGAGCACTTGCTCCCATGCACAAACAAAACAGAGAACAACAAAGTAAAATATGGATCTTTATTCTCAACTATTGCTTTTTTTTTCTTCTAGAGAAATATATATAGAAAGCTTCTTTACTATCTAAAAAGAATAAAAGAGAACAATGGGTAAAGGAAGATATAAAACATCAAATTTTGTTAATATTGTAAAATATTTTTACTATAGTAAAATATATGTAGTATATATATAGATAGTATATAACTATAGTTATATATTATATATATATATAATTATAATAAAATATAGTATAATATTGTCTTGGTATAAAATACTATCCAAGTACATACCTATAACATTTAACTCTTTGCTGGTTTTTATTCTAATTAAACATCTTGCTGGATTTCTGACTTCTTGCTGTGTGCCAGCACTGCACCAAGCACTATACCTAAAGTATTTGATTTATTCCTCCCCAAACCCTAGGAAATTGGCATAATTATTACTCCCATTTTTCTGAGTGATTGTGATGTTCCATTCAAGGTCCAATGATCTTCCCTTCAGTTTGGTTTCCTGAGGACGTCACAGTAGCTATGACGGAAACTTTAGTGTGAGTATGTCTTGCCTTATGGGATCATTGCATTGCTCTATTTCATAAGCATATTTTACATGCTCTAATGAAGCTGACTTTTTAAAGATTTCTTGATGTAAAAATTTCATAAATCAATTTTTGTCTTGTGTTTTTTTCATACATTAAGCGAATGTTTATTTTAGAGTATCTACTTTCTGCTCACTTGTAAAAATAAGTGTGAAGTAGAATTAATTATGACATTTACTCACAGGGCTCTCTAAAGCTAAATCTGGCAATAACAATAAATAAAATCTGCCAAAGAAATGGAAAATAAAGAAAACATGAGACATAACCTGAATTGTGTTATATCAATCTTAAATGCTTATTAATGCTCTTCAAGGATTCTTATGATCAGAGAACTTTTCTGTGTGTGAGGAGGGAACTGAAATAGGACAAAAAGAAAAAGCCAGATTACAAAATGAAGAGGAAAAGTTCGTTGAAGAAACTTCAGGAGACAGCTCAGAGATGAGAAGATGTGGGAATCCAAACTAGAGGGAAAGTTCAGCTGAGGAGTGCAAGGAGGGTGCTTTGCCGTGTGGTTTAAAAAAAATAAATACATAAATAAAAATATGCTGAAGACTCTGGAGCCAAGGACAAGCGACACTGGAGATAAGAGATTGGGTTCAAGAATAAAGGTTGAGACACAGATGTGTGACTTCCCATTAACATAAAGGTGCTATTTCTTCAGAATCCGTCCATTGTTTTCCCAATGGAAAACAGATTAAGTACATAATCTCATCCTCCGACCTTTCAGATCAGATATCTTCTTTGTCAAGGGATTATTGTGAAAGTGAATTGGCTGATGTATGTGAAAGTGTTTTCTAAACACTGCTGCTCTTTACCCCACCAGTCTCATCTCCTTTTATTCTGGCAATGAACCCATTTTGCCCATCAAATATACCTTGCATATTTTTGGCTACGAACTTGCTGCTCAAATCCACAACCCTCTACAAAGGTCATTGGAAGCCTATGTGTAAGACATGGCTATTGCCTAAGCAAAGAGAATTCTGATTTGAGAAACAATTTGAAAAGAATTTCCATTCACCTATGATTAACTTATCTGGAACTTTCCTTTTTTGAAATCCAACTTTGCCTTGACCACTGAAGCTGGGTTTAGCTCTCCCTCCCTCATAATTTCCACGGTGCTTATCTGTTTGCATTTAACACTTGCATGGAGACTTTAGGATTCCAACCCTCATGCATATCTGACCTCCCAGACTTGAGTTTAATATTTG
Source organism: Homo sapiens (assembly GCF_000001405.40). Taxonomy (NCBI): domain Eukaryota; kingdom Metazoa; phylum Chordata; class Mammalia; order Primates; family Hominidae; genus Homo; species Homo sapiens. The sequence goes on from NC_000013.11 coordinate 104,581,310, forward strand.
AAGATACTTAATCCAGTTTGTTAACTACTTTCACTAGCATCACCTCCAGGCTCTAGACTCTCTGACAATCTGTTCATTTGTTTTTTTGTCTTCCTATTCTGGAGTGAAATTTTCATAAACATAACGAGGTATTGGTTATAGTTGCTGCTAGATCTCCAGTGCCTAAGAGTGTGTCTGACACGTATTAAACACAAAAGCAACACCTGGTTGTAGAGTCAGTACTTGCTACCCCCAGGGAGCCCTGCTCACATATCCAGGAGTAGTGAGAACAAAGTGCTCTATGTTCCCACTTCTCTACGCAGTGTAGACCAGAAATGAACAGCTGGCCCAAGGGTAGGTTGGATTCACTCAACTGACAGTTTGTGTTAAGCAAAAGAGAGTTCATCAGCTAGTCAGTGATGAAAGTTGAAATTGGAAGGCCATGAGATTTTTGGAGATGGGGCGGCTCTTTGGGACACATGCAATGTCTTATTTATTTAAGACAAAAGCTGCTAGAAGAAGACAATGAGCCCATAATCAAATAGTGGCAATAGGGAGAAAGATGGCCAACTATTCCAATGAAATACTGAATTAGGAGAGATTAACTGAGCATGAGGAAAAAAATCTAGGAAAGGAAAACAGGGATCTTAATGCCGCCTAAAAGAGTACTAAAGGAGAATTCAGCAAACATGGGTTTCAGTCACAGATTCCCAAGGAAATGTTTTGGTGACCCACAGAAAGCCTCTGGTTTTTATAATTTCAACTTTTATTTTAGATTCTGGGGGTGCATATGCAGGTTTGTTACATAGATACATGGTGTGATGCTGAGGCTTGGTGTACGAATGATCCTATCCCCTGGGTAGTAAGCGTAGTACCAAATAAGAAGTTTTTCAAACCTTGCCCCCCTCCTTCCCTTCCAAATCTAGTAGTAATGGCAATAATAATGTCCATTACTGCCATCTTTATGAACATGAGTGCCCAATGTTTAGCTCCCACTTACAAGTGAGAACATGTGGTATCTGTTTTTCTGTTCTTACATTAATTTGCTTTGGATAATGGCCTCCAGCTGCATCTATGTTGCTGCAAAGGTCATGATTTCATTCTTTTTTATGGCTGCATAGTACTCCATGGTGTATATGTACCACATTTTCTTTAATCCACCACTGACAGGCAACTAAGTTGATTCCATGTCTTTGCTATTGTGAATAGTGAGAAAGCCCCATTATATTATGAAGCACTATGCTCTAGACGTCAGATGGAGATGATATCATTTGGCTTTACTTGCTCACTGTGCTTTTGTGGCTTTTATGGAAATATATGGAAAACCACTTTGAAAATTGGCAGTCATTGTACCATTATTAATATAATGTGCTTTTTGGGAAAATTGTTAAGAATACTAGGTTAATTTTTTTTTAAAATATACTTATGATTAAACAGACATTTCCCTGTAGTTCTTTCCTTTTGCAAATTCTTTTAAATCATTTATATTAAAATTAAAGTTAGCAAAACTTTATTAGAACTGCAAAAGATCTATTGCACTTCAATGTAAAGACACTGACAGATTAGGAGTGAAAATACATTTGAAAGATGTGAGCAGGATGTAGGAAAATAAGAAATACTAGTTACATTTTCTGTAGCATCTCTTTGAGGTAGGCACTTCCAAAACAAAGCTAATCTTTACAAATCATTTTGTAATGTAGAGGCATTATATCACATTTTACAAAAGAGGGCACCACCAGAACTGAAAAGTGCATGCAATTTAACAAATATTTAAATACTTACCATATTTTGACCCTGGGGGAACAGTGTTAAGTAAAACACAAAAGAAAACTGTGTTAGTAAAGCTTAATGGAGCAAGACATATAATATATGAATAATATATGTTTGACATATAAGTGGGGGAAGACATATATATATATAATCATGAATATATAAATAAGTATATAAATACATGAATGATAATATTTCAGAGTCATAGTGTCATAAAGAGTAAGCAAGAGTGACATGATAGTGTCAGAACATGGTCACTTTCTCCAGACCAGATGATCATGGAACTTTTTTCTAACTTGAGCTAAGACTTGCATGAAAAGAATAAACAATGTGAATTTCTGCATTCAGATAAATACAGCAGAAAGAGGGAACAAAATGAAATGACCTTGAGGGAGGACAAATTATCAAGCATAAAGGATCAGCAGAAGCAGTGCTGGTAGCACTCCATAAGAAAGAAGGAATGGAGTGGAGCTGACCTCAGAGATAAAGGCAGGAACCAGATCACTTAGGCCATGTAAGGAAGTTGATTTTTTTATTCTAAATCCAATGGGAAACTGTTGGAAGTTTTTCAGAAGAAAAGTAATGTGGTCTGATATTTTAAAAGCTGACTCTCTCTGTCAGGTGGAGAAATTTGGAGGGAGATGGAAGGAGTGGAAGAATGGAAGAAAATATACGTGTTAGGAAGTTTTTAGTAGTCTGTGCAGAGAATGACTATGGTTTTGGCCAGGGTTTTAGCTTGAGGATGAAGAGAAGTGAGTGGGTGTGAAATATAAGTTGGTAGAAACCTTAGCCATACTCACGTGGACTACAGATGGTGGGGATGATGGGAAGCACAGAGTCAATGATGGCTTTCTTTTTGGTTTGGGCAACATGTAAATGATGAAACCACCTGATAGAATGGTTATTCAGCAACTTGGCAGATGATCTGCTGGACATCATTCAGATAGTGAATAGTAAATCAGACAGACATTGGAAGGTTTCAAAGATTTTGATACTTCATGAATCTGGCTAGTTAGAATACATGTAAAAGGTCAGAAATGCCTGCATGTCCATAAAAAATTCAAATTATGAATATATTTAATTGTTTACATAGAATACACTTTTGTAAGTCTTTCAATGAGTAGAAGCTGCAGTACACTGAAACACATAGACATGCACACACACACACACATAAATACACACACAGAATGCTACCAGCTAGCCTGTTACTAATCTGGTTTTTCTGATGTCACGCTGTAAGTGGCAGTGTCTGCATGTTCATGTGTTTGCATGTTTGGTCATGAGAACAGTTTCTCTATGGATTTTTGAACATATTCAACCTGAAAAATGCAAGAAAACCCAGAAACTATATAAAGACTATATATCAAAGAGGAGTTTTGCTACTAGGTGTAAGATATTTACTCTGTTATTACATTTTTATTGCAGAATTTGGGCCCTTTAAAGCTGTTTTAGTCTTCTAAACTTCCTAGAAAGATAGGGCAGAGAAAAATGCCAGGCGCTAACACAAGCCCATTGAGAATAAAGCAAATTTTGTTATACAAAAATATTGTAGTAAGAGTCCAAATATAGATGTTGTACAGTGACTTAAACACTAAAACATCTAAGCAATTGTTGGTCCAGCCCTGACTACTAGGAAAGTTCCCACACTTCATACTTAGTGAAAAATTAGACTATGTAATAGTCAGAAAAGAAAATTCCATCTGGTCTAGTACTATACATTTTAAGTGAATTATAGGTCTCATTCCTCTAAGCATTTACCATCAGTCACTGAAACCTAATTGTAAGTGTTAAGTCATCAATCTAGGTTACATGAGCACTTAAATTAATTGGATAACGTTAGAGATTCCCATGGTTAGAACTTGGAAGTCAGGTTCTAGTTTCTTGGTTAGCCACTCAGTCTTGCAAAGTAGGTCAACCCTAACATTTTAGGGTTTTAGTTTTACAGCATTTAAAAAATTACCTTTATTTATAAGGATGACAAAGCAGATCTTGGGAGTGTCTATGTGGTGATTATTATAAACAAATTTAGATTCAAATACTTAATTTGAAATATATAATGTTGCATGAAGAACCTCAGAGCAGCATAATATATTTCAAATAAAACACTTAAAATTTAATATAGATATAGTTACACACAGAGACACACCACACATGCACACACAGGGACACACATATATGGTACAGACATAAAATAAAAATCTCTAAACACTCAAGGAACAGGTTCAGAACAACTTCAGGACAGTGATTATTGGCAGAAGAAGGAAGAGGTGGAAAGGAAGGGAGCGTGGCATTTTAGCTGTTTATTGCAACTCTTCTCTTACAAAAACAGATATAAAGAGGGGAAAGAAGATCAGTAAGTCACATTACAGAATCCTGAAACAAATACAGAAATGTGTAACGATAGAACAAAATCAATTTATTAGGGCACACATTTGCTACTTTTGCTCATTGTATGTGTCATGATTAAGGATAAAGCTTATAAATCAAAATAACTTCTTTTTCTTTAAATGCCACATAGTCTTATAAACAAATATCAACCTCCGTGAGGACTGTGTGCCACCCTTAATATATATTTGATATTCTGGGTGATGAGTTAATTCTGAAGAAAACATGCCAAAGAATAATTTTAACATAGAAGAAAATCTGAGCTTCCGGTGAAGCTGATTCCTTAAAGGCTGATAAACAATATTTACCCTTGTCCTGATCAAGAATTGAAGGTTTTTATTTTTCCAAATTAATGAATGGAAATTGAAAAATACAGTCTAAGTACTTTGGTGTAAGTTTCTGCCCTGATTATAAGAAAAACCTGGGGCTAAGCAGCGTGAAGAAAGAGATCTGATATATCTATGGAGCAAAGGGAGAAAGTGAGGCAATCTCATTAAATACACTCATCTCTATCTAATAAGAAGGGTCCACTGTGCATAATTGTCCTTTTATTCTCTATGTATTCTCAAAAAGGTCACCCTTAAGGAGTCAAAAGTAAGCACAGGAGACTTGTGCAGGGCATTTTCAGTGAAAATGTGCAGCTGTGACTTTTGCTCTCACCTGGCAGTTTGCCTAAATGTAAGTGTGGAGACTGGTGGAAGACACGTCATCCCCTGCAATTTCTTGACTGTAACCGAAATCAGGAATGCTTTCTTTGCGATCGCCAGAGGTGGTTATCAAGAAGGATGGTGGTGTCTGCTGTCTGGGGTGGAAAGTTATAGATTAATGTGTTGTTTTAAAGTATGTAATGTGCCCATAGGCTGTCGCAGTAGTGAAATAAATCTTTGAATTGGGGGAGGGGTGCAGGAAAGATTTAGGAATGCTGGCATGGGGGAAACAGAGTATGCGGGTTGCCAGGGGAGCGAGAGTTCTGATTAGTAGGAGAAGTATAATAACCTGTTCCACATAAATCTCCAGGGTCTTAGAAAGGAGCTTTCAAGTAGGAAGCAAAGTTGATTCACTAGTTCTCCTTTGAGCTCACTCTTCAGATCTAAATTAAGTTGTTTATGATACATGATAACTTCCTTCACGTGTGATAGTACGATCTTGCCCTCAACAGGCCAACTAAATACGCAGATGTTTTCAAGTTTGAATTTAGAGTGCAGCGAAAAAGCCCACAGTTCAACTTGGGATCAATTTTGGAAATAAATTTCTAAAAGAAAGTAAAAACATACTCCAATCAAGTTAGGTTAGAAAAACAAAATGTGCTTTAAACTGTCAGATTGTTTTTTTAAAGTATAAACTTCCATAAAATATAAGGTTAGGACGAAAGATTATATGTACAAAACATTGTGAGCAAGCACAGTAAAATTATAATGTGAATTGCAATAAACTTTGTTCCATTTGCTTGCAGTAAATACATATAATTTATAGCGATATATTATTGATATAATGGATGTTTTCTGAGAAAACATAGAATCCTGCTTATGGAAGAGAAGAGGTCACTGAAATCTTTCAGGCCATAAAAATGCATTAAGTATTAAGAATTGAAATTGTAAGCACAACTACTTTTAAGAACAAACCAAGCTATGAAAACCATTTTCTGCAACATGATGTATCATTCTGTATGTGAAATTCCAACGGAATGTTCTCAAGGTATCTTTGCTCTCAGGAGAGGCAGGCAATAGTACTTCACTAAAGTTAAGGCTTTTTAAGTACTTTTTCCACCAAATGTGGTTTTCAAGTTTCAGTATTAACTGTTGGCATCTTGGGGAAGTTGCATACCTTTACCATGTAGGAGACTGAGAGATGGCAGAATCGGTTTTTTTTTTTTTCATGACTACGTTTGAACATCTTTGTGTAACACGTTTTTTAGAAATGACTTTGTTGAAGTTCCCAGCAGGAGCCTTGGGGTAAACCTTCTCAGTTATTGCTCCTATTTTCATCTGACACTAAGGAAACGAGTTTGGATGTGATGAGGACATATCTCCCCTCAAGACCAAATCAGAAATAAAATTATGACAGCTTGTGAAGCTAGCCAGTCCCTGTAGGGGAAAAAAAAAAAAAAAAAGAACAAGAACGGATGGGCGCAGGCAAATTCAATATCTGTCCTGATGAGAGAGTAAATGATGTTCCGAGGTGTCCAGATCCTTGGGCCTAACAGAGGATCAGGAATTGAGGTTTCATTCCCTGCAGTTCAGGGACATCCCTTGTCCTAGCAGATAAACCAGGAAAACACTATTGTCTAGGGCTGAGGGGGTGCTTGCACTGTAGAGCATACCAATGAGGCTGACTACACTCGGAGCTGAAGAACGAGTTTCATTTGCTTCTCACCCTTTTTGTCATTGTCGATGTGCAGGGTGCTCATGGATGGGTGCTGGGTTTGGCAGGGGTGGAAATAAAGTTTGCTTCTTTTGCTTTGTGTTCCTCACAGAGTTTATTTCTGTGGCAGGCTTTTTCATAAAGGATCTTTCTTTGGCATCCTTTGATGGTTTAAATTGCTAAATATGTTTTCGTGATGGATATTACACATAATGTTTAACCGAAAGCATTTGATATTATTTTCCCAAAGTCAATTATTATCTCCCTAGCTTTTGTATGTCTTTAGGCAGGATTTTTTCTTGGTAAGTGATCCAGGCCTATTTTACCTTTTCCTGAAATGTATACCACTCTCAGATGTCTCAGAGAGTCTGGGAAATATGAATTGACATATCACAAAACTTAAAAAGTAGGTAGAAATTAATTGGAATAAGTTAATTTTACTTCTAGTTGGAAATATTATATGAAGTTCCTTTGGGTTAAAAAAAAAAGAATAAAGTGTCTATACATAAAGCAGCAGAGAATTAGACTCTGCCTTTCAGTATCTAACTCCCTCAGGATGTAAGTTGTTTTTGATCAGCATATGTTCATAAAAACAAAGATCATGCATTTTATCTCTGCTTTTAAAAGCCAGCGAAATTCAGAGTACAGTATCAGGCTCCTAGAAGGTGTTTACTTAGAAAGAAAAAATCTGTTGATTTATCGTAACTTTAGCATCTGGTACAATTGGAACACCAAGTAAATAATGAAAGTTTATGTTTTTCTAGTATATAAAAAAGTTGAATAGGAGCTTCCCATGAATTATGTACCAACATTTACAGTATGCACCAATCTCAGTTTGAATGCAAATGTTATGGAACCTCGTTCAACCTTGATTTAGAGGCCAATACCCTGGGAATATTTGGGTATTGGGAGCTATCCCAAATTGAGGGACCATACCATGAAAGGGATGATGCGGATCTAGGAATCAGTCAATTACCAATCAGTATGGACCCTGTTAGGACTTAGGTTTGCGCTTTCTCTGCCAACTCTCATTGTCTCTACCAACTATCCCTTTCTAAGTCAACTGTCAGCTTCCTCTAAGTCACCTCTCCACTTTAAACATTGCCAAATTTTGTTACTTCTTTTGTATTCTATTATAATCTATTTTGTCTCCTTTGTTCTTATGGTTTTATGGCTTTTTTATTCCCTTATAGACATTTTTAGCTTTTTAGTAGGGTTTAGGGACCAAGCATAACTGGAACATGTGTTCAATCTACCATGCTTTCTCAAAATTCCTAATTTTTGTATAAAATTAGTAACTCTTTACCATGATTGCCTCATATATATCCTACCCAATCTATTATTTACTTTTCTGTTTTACTTGCGATTTTATAAAATATATTTGGACATGATTTCTTTTTCTTTTCATCATTTATTATTTCATTTTCTTTATTGTTTCAAGATAAATAATAATGGTTAATATGTTCAATAACAACATTTTAAAAATAATTAAATCTTAAATGTAGCTGTACTGTCTTTTGGTTTATCATGTAACTTGAGGGTCTAATTTGAGTATTTTTTTTCATAGAGCTTTACTTGAAATAAATTGTTTGTTTAATTTTCCATTTCCCATTGTTAGTGAGGTTTCTATGATTATATTCATATATAAATAACAAGGTCTAATTTTGACCCATCTTCTATTCTGATGACTTATCTTTTCAGAAGAATAAATTATAGTTTATATTATAAAGGAATCACATATTTTCTATAAGGCTTATTCATTTCCTATTTATTTAAAAAATTTTTAAATTTTAAAATCATTGTTTCTTGAAAATCTTGTATGCTTAGTTTATCAATTTTACATTAAAATCTCATTGAACTTTTTCAGCTCAACCTGAAAAATAAATGGAATGAAAATGTCTTGGAAGACTGAAATTTCATTTCCATTCTTCCTATAGAAAAGGAATTACAAATAATTGGCATACATGAAACAATCAAAGAGTATGCAGTCAAACAAATAGAAAAAAAAATATGTGTCACACAGTTAACTAATAAATACATTATGTTAACATTATGCTATTTCCCTGTGTGTTTGCTATTCCTTCCATCCTGGAACATGAAAGTAGTCTATCTTTTTTCATTTATTTTTGTCTTCTTTTATATCTTTTATATCTCTCCTTAGTTGGAAGTTCTAATAAAGCATCTATATATAGTCTTTGCAGATGTATTACCTCATGTTCGTAAGAATTATATTAGTGCAATTCAGAGTAGGCAAAAAGGGATTTACCATAAAATTAATAAGCTCAAACTTTGACCCTCATTTATTTTCCAAAACTCTGGTAGGGGTTCTAGGAAAGTTCTTACTAGTTAATTAAAAACAATCATAAGTGTATTTAAAAAATTATTTCACTAAAAATTGGCCTTGTGTAGAGAACATAAATTGAACATCTGAAGTTTCTAACTTCAAGATTTAGATATTCCTTTGCCAGCTATACATGGCCTAGCTCCTTTTCCATTCTGTACATGAGCTCTCATGCTGCGGTGAGAATCCAGTGAGATGAACTATGCAGAAAATAAATAATGCTGCACACTATGAAAACATTGGCAATTGTTGTAGATTATGAAGGATTTACTTAATTTAATCAGAAACAAAAGAACATAGATTTTTTTGATACTGAATGTAAGATGGGGCCAATTTATAGGAGGCTTTGAAAGCCAATAGAGGGAAGTTTGTCAGATTGAGAAGACAATAGGGCGATGCTTTGTTCTGTTTAGTTTTTCAGAGTCAAACAAATATCATCACTATTGTTTCTAGAGCAGAGTGTGCCGTATGCTTGTCTAAAAGCAGGCCATGTGGAGGAGCTTTCAAGTAATCAAGAGGCAACATCTTCACTCCTTTTGTATACATGAAGAAATTGAGGTGTTGAAATTTTAAGTAACTTCCTCAAATTTCCACAAATTTATAAGACAGAAATTGAATTGAAATTCATGAATCTTTTCCAAGAGCCCACAGTACTAAGCACTATATCACCCAGCTTCCTCTTGGGCAGTAACTAAAAATAAGATGAGAAGAATCATGAATAGCATGTAGGACTATATTATATTTAATTAGGTATAAGTTTGTTTGCAGGGTTGTTGAAGTGAAGAAAACATGCATATAAGACACAATTCAGGGTAAATATTGACAAATTCTAATGATACCTTTTATTAGATTGATGAATCAAAGAGATAAAAATAAATTCAAACTTTTAGATTGTAAGACTACAAAGATAATGGAGTCTTTGTCTAATTTAAAGGACTTGGACTGTAAGCTCATGTATTTGACTTGTTTAAATGCTACTTTGAATAGAATGAAATATTGATTTAAGTAAATTAGATTTATGAATCATGCCACAGATACAAAAATTGTTATAGCCAATAAATATTTTGAAAAAAAACCAAACATTTAAAATAAACATGAAACCTGGACTGGAAGGACCTATTTTACGTATTTTAGAGTACATTTGTATGGGAACAAGCACAATAGGATTGGAAACGTATAATAAATATGAGAAATCCAATCAAGTAAGAGACAATACCAGTCTAACCTGAGGGTGCTTAAGAACCTCCTCAGAACCTCCTAGTAATTCTAGGTCAGAAGTCCCTTCGAGTAAAGACTAAGCTGACAGTGAAATCAGACATGGAGATGAAGTCATTGAGCAATTAGCCTCAAAGTGAGTGGTCAAAATATGAGAACAGAAGTTCTCCAATTGGACAAGGTGGAGAAAGAATATTGGAGGGCCAACAACTAAATATGCTTAAGTACTCATAGCACCATTCCCTCTGAGAAGGGAACTATGAAATGCACAAGAGCAGAATAGGTATCTGCATCTTGGGAACTGCCATAAGGACAGTGATGATGATAAACAGCTGCTTCATCTACTTATGCTTGTGCACAGAGCTGCTGTTTCAGGAAGCCCTTTTAGGAGCATTGCACGACAATCTTTATTTCCCATTTATCTCCAGGTGGGACCACTTTAGCTTAGTTTCTACAAGTAAAGGCAATGACACTGTGTCATTGGGTCCTGCATTTAAAATATAGCAAAAAGCCATTGTAATGGCAACTCACACTTGAAGGTCTTTGCATCAATGCACACGCATTTTACTGAGGACATGGCTATTTTATAATATGCACATAGCTATTTTAAGAGGAAACACCCTAAGGATGTAGTATCTTAGCACACATCCAATGTAAGTTATTTATACTTTACACATGATCTTGTCAATACATTAGGTTTTGGGGGATACTGTGATTCCTTTAGCGTAGCAGATATTATGAGGTTTCTGTTTCCAGGAGAGAAAAGTACAAACATAGCATATTTGAAGGATACTCTTTAGCAAGGGTGAGGTTGTCATAGTTCCTAATGACTCTTAGTTTTAAGTAAACTACTTCTCCTCTCCTATATGAGGTAATGAGTGAACACAGATGACTGGATTCCATTCTGCAATAAAACACAAGGAATGCCAGGGAAGACATGGAGAGTTACTGATCTCAGGAACCCATGCTGACTAACTAACCATGGAATTTATTCAGCACAATGAAAGAGTGAGAGATACAAATATAAAACAGACACACTAAAATTAGACACCTTTGTATTTATCAGATTGGGAAAAATATAAAATCAGATAAAAGATGTAGACAATAATGCCCAAACTGAAATAGATAAGGAAACAATTTACAGCAGTTTTTGATTCTGTGGACTGAATTCATATGTAACCACATGAATAGAATGAAATATTGATTTAAGTAAACAAGATTAGATTTATGAATCATGCTTCAGATACAAAAAAGTATTATAGCCAAGAAATATTTTGAAAAATACAAACTTTTAAAAGAAACATGAAACCTGGACTAGAAGAACATATTTTACATGTATTAGAGTGCATTTTTATGAGAGCAAACACAATAGGACTGGAAATGTATAATAAATGTAGGAAATCAAATCAGAGAGAGTACAACATAGCCTGATGGAACTATGTCCCAAATTGTAGAGTGAGCAATTCAACATGGTAACTGGAGGTTCTTAAGGAAATTATTCTCTCTTTAAAAACCATTAAAATCTGTTTTATTTTACAGTGTTCTTTAGTTTACAAATTATTTTCACACCCTTTATTCCATATACATTAGTCTGAGGAAAATAGATATCTAGGCTTACTTAAAAAGAACAGAAACTAAATAGTATGGACCTGTTAGACCATAATTCTGAAAGACTACCGCTAGACCAGTGAAATTCTCCTCAAAGAAATTGATTTATTGTAAGAAAAGCGGCCCACAGTTCGCATGCTCCAACATGTATTCATGATTGTGGAATGTCAGGTTACATGCTTCCTTTTTGTTCTTATCTATTGGCCTTTCCTCAAATGCTATACAGACACAAAACAATTTAGGGAAGGTTAAATGGGCTTTTACTCAAATCTTTGCTTGTCCATCCTGTGGAGATAGAAAATTACAAACTGTATATCCTTTGGTTCTATCCTGGCCAGAGGACAACTAAAGCCTGAATTCTAGCTTTCTTTAGCCACTGTAGTTGAAGTATCCTCAACAAGCTAGAAGTATGTTAGCTAATGAGCAATGGAACGCGTCCTCCCCCTGGTCCTTCAGTTCTCGTTAGATATGAGTAAAGCCAGAGTCTTTCTGAAGACACACAAAACACAAACTTGAATTCACAATCAGAAAAAAAATCCTGTCCACCTTATGATATTCTTTACCATGTTATACAATATTCTTTTTCTTCTCGAGGTTCCCTTGTGACATCTAGACTTAAAATTCTTGTTAACCTTCCTGAAATGTGACACTTACCTACTAAGCAATACTTACGAAGCTGTGATGAAAAATTGCATTCACTGCATCACTGACATCATTCTGTATCTGTAATTGTAAATAAATGGACTTCATTTTCAGAAAGCATGCAGATGCTTTACTAGGTCTCAGCCTTTAGGGCTTGGCTGTAAAAACAACAGTGCTACTCTCTTAAAAGCAATGCAAGCATGCAGGTTTCTCTGACAGCTAAACGCAACCTGAATTCAGGTGGGTGGGTGGGGCATGGAGCTCCTTTTCCAAGGACTTCTGTTCCCTGCACTGTTCAAAGGTCTCAGGATCTTGTCCCCAGGTTCTCTTTCCCTTTCTGCCCCACTCTGTTTCCCTTTCACTCTCCCCTTGTTCTGCCTTCTCTTCTCCTCTTTCTCTTTCCTGGTGCCCTTGCTGTTTCCGTTCCTTAAATAAGACCACCTTAGCAAAGGAAGTCATTCAGGTCCAGGCTCCCTCTGCAATCTTTGAGATTTCCCAGTTTTTACTGTGTTCAGGACTTACTGGGGAAAAATTATAAACCAAGGTAAACATTTCATCCTCTCTTAAAATGCCACAGCTCAAGTACACCACACACTGTGATAATTATTTCTCTACTTCGACACCCCAATTTTATTTGCTTGAGGAATTTCTATTACCCTAATTTACATAACTCCATCTTCTATCTCCTGAACTTATTACCCTAGCTGTGTTTTACTTAGAGATTATTTGCCTTCTGTAAGCCCTGAGATATATTACAAATCTTTCCCCTATTGGTTGAAGCTAAAGGATGCCAAACCCAAAATTCCTTTTCCTAACCTAGTTTTCTTCTTGGTTACTGTAGAAATTGTGTAATATCATTTTATAGTAGTGTTTGCATCCTGCACATCTGGATTTGAAGAGATATCCATGATTTCCATTTATTATTTTTTCTCCACAAAATCTACAACTGCTTAGCAAGTATCTTGAATGTTCCAGGCACTCTGCCGTATATTTGAGATATAAGATGAATGAAGTATGTGATTCAGGTACCCATCAGTCCCTGTCACTTTTGATTCATGTTTCATTTATGATAAAGATATAGTTTCACGTACCAAAATCGCTCTTTATGCATGTTTACCAATGAGGAATTCATCATAATTTTCTTTCAATGAGAAATCTAGACATCATATTTTTAAAGACAGACTCAACATATGGACTGACTCTCCCAAATCCATTTCCCAAATGGCAATTATGAGTGCCTAATTGGCTTTAGGGAAACTGAAGAGAGAAGCCAGAAATATCAAGAAGATGGATCAAGAACTGGAGTCAGCGTCCCCTGGTTTGCTTTGTGGTTTCACTACATGAACTGAAGTTACTAGCTTGCCAACTCCAAGTGCAAATTAATTTAGATCACAATTGATGTTTAGGTTTGGAGTGGGAGAGAAAAAAAATCAATGGTATGTGAACACTGAAACCATAAATAGTAACAAGTGAAAATCGCAAACCTCAAATGCTTTTGAAGCATGTTGTAAAATCCTTCAAAAACATATGCAAGAGTATAATAGACAAAATAATCATGGAAAGTTGGTATACAGGCCTTAAGCCACAGAGACCACTATTGGATATTTTGTTATTGTTATTCTGTAATACTTCAATGTAATTTGTGGCATAGAAAAATATGCATGTGTTTAAAGAGAAGAAAAATGTGCTTATTTTATTAGTCTTAATTATAAGGGAGAACAAAAAAGCACTTGGAACTTTTTTTAATGAATTCATCTCATTCACCAAAATCAAGAGCCCAGAAATTGCTTCTAGCTTAAAAATGCATTTTTTTCCCCTAAGATTGGGGCACCGATTTGATGAATGTTCTCAAGTTAATCACCCATATAGGACTTCTTGAACATTACTCCGACATTGAGTGCTGTCTCTGTAACTTAATGTTATAAAACCTGGAAGGCATATTTATAGCCTAATCCAGATGGACCAAAGCACAGCACAATTATTCCTTCAAAAGTCGACCTTTGCATACAGATTACAATGGATTGCTTCCAAGATTCAAATGGAGAAATGTACTCATTTCTCCAATTGTCGTGCATTCATTATGGACCTATTGGACCTGGTTGTGGGCAGTGCTAATTAGTGGCATGTCTGTGTTAAAAGTTGGACTCACAGCCTGATTTGCAAAGTGGCAGCAGGAGCAGTTGTTATGGAACTGATTACAGCTATCAGAGATGGTGCTATTTTAAACAGGCTGTGAATTAAGTGTCTTCACAAAAGCAAATGAAAATCATCTTACAGTTGACAATGAGCATTCCCGTGTAAACACAGGAATAAATGTGTTTGGGCACTTCTAGATAGACACCATGCGATTCTCTCTCTTAAAACATTAAAAGGAAACTCATTCGTTTTGACTTCCATTAGGAGTTAGATGGTGGAAATTTTCTGATCTCTTTTACACACACACACACACACACACACATATTAAAGACTCCATTGTTTTTATTTTGGAGTGTTTATAGATGTTATATATATATATATATATACATATTTTCAGAATCTTTGCTATTATCATGTGCTATGAATTCTTCATAAATGTTAAAGATCTAACTCTTAGCACTCTAATCAAAAAGTCTATATCCCAATATTTACATAGGAATAACTGGGGCTCAGGTAAATTAATTTTTTTTCTAGTCATCAGTCCATTTAGGGCAGCCTAAAAATGCAAAATTATGTATTTCCCACTCTAGAAGTTTTTATAAGGAGTAAAACAATTTCCCGCTGAAGAATCTGGCTATGTAGTTCTAATGATATTGGGATGTACAAAAAATACGTATCCCATATATATGCCAGGAGATCATGTTGTAGAATAAGCAGATTTTCTAGTAGATACTAACTTGTTGAGGTGGGTGTGTGAAAACATTTTATTTTCTAATGACCATTTCTGCACTATGCTACATAGGATCACTCTTCATGCTGTATTGCAGCAACTTTAACCTCTTATTGACCAATTCCTTAACTTTTTAATCACTTTACTATATTAGAAAAGTTTTATCCTGTTGTTCAAGATCAATCCAGTTCATCTTAAAGAGCCTCTTTCATTCTCCCTTCCAAACTCTTCTTTTTCCTAACACAGACTAGTGTTGTAATTATAGCCAACTACATGTGGAAACAAGCTGTGGACAAACTCTTCTCTTTTTCCCGCTTCCAAAAACAAGTCCCATCATGGTAAGAGTAAGGTAAAAGCAAAGGGGAGGTAAAGAAGGAGGACAGAAAGTTGGGTGGAGTTGGGGTGATTTCTGTTCTTGGCCAAGCCTGTTTTTCTAACAACTTGACCTATGGTCTTGTTGAGCCTAGGAGGAGATTCTAATACATAGTTATATCCTAGTCAATTCCACAAACATTTTTTGAGTTTCTGCTCTCAAAAAATTGTAGATATAATTGGAGATAACTAAAACATGTTTTTATGGGCTCAAAAGCAGAATATTTAAATTTTTATTCCTTTGAAAAACTAATAAAGTTTTGATGATTACTGAAGCATTTTAAACATCCTTTATATATAATAAGTATTACAATAGCACTTCTCAAACTTTAATATGCATTTCAATTATCTGGTGTTGTGTACTTTAACACAAAGTACAAATTCTGAATCAGTAGGTCTGGGACAGGGCCTGAGATTCTGCATTTCTGTTAATATTCTGCTGGTCTGTGAAAGACACTTTGCTTAGCAAAGGCTTAGAAAATCCTGCCTGTGAATTACATTTCTGAAATACATTGAAGGATACCTAAGAATCTCAATTGAGGATGAAAGTTATTTCCGTGACATCTGTCCCTTACCTAGCATAAAAGAAAAGAATTCTGACAAGGTATTATTTCAAGAATTCTCATTGTTTATTAAAACATGAAGAAAAACAATACATGTAAATGTACAGAGAGTTTCAGTGACAAGCACATTGTCAGTGGGTACGTTGGCCAGTGTTTCAGGATTGGACCTGACAACTGGAATAACCTCACTATTCAATCTCAAGTCTTGACTTTTGCCATTTTAGGGGCTGTTAACTGAAGTGTAGGGAAGTGAACTAACTCCTGCATCTCAATGATGAATGGTCCTGAGGTCAGCTGACCATCCATCTGCTGCTGCAACCCTCAGACACATTTCTCTGTAAAGCAACTTGATGCGGATGCTTGTAAATCATAGTATTGGCATTTGGCCTCATTTGCTGTGAGAGAAACTTAAAGGAGTGCCTAATTCTCTTTTATTTTAGCTTTCAATTTTCTTAATCCTGCCCCTGGCCCTCCTTCTTTCTGAGAACTGAAAGAGTTTGGCCCTGCTGAGTGTAGCCATTCTAATTAATTCACACTCACCCTTTTAGCATATGCATGAATCCCAGAAAGTCTAATGATTCTGTCCACATGGTAGTGAACATTACATCAGTTGCAGATCTCTCCCCTGCTGTTCATAGAGTTTAAAGTCCAAGTTTGTGGGTGTGTTTAGCCATTAAAGGATTTTACAATATGGAACAAAAAGGATGAAATCTCAATTGCCAGAATAATTTAAGAGCTCTTCACACCACTTGAGCTAAACACCCTTTCTCTCAATGATAAGCTTTAGGGCAGTTAATTAAAACCTTCACCTTTTCAATCTTGACTGGCATTGAGTCCCAGAATATTTCTTTCCCAAAGGAATTAACTTTATGGGCTGGGGGAGGGGTGTGGGGGGTGGAGAAGGCAACAAGAATCATATTATAGTCCAGTTAAAAAATATATATGTATAGATTTTTATAACAAAAGACAGTTTCAAAATAAAGTAGTGACTTTAAGAAATGTGTAGAGTCTACTTATTAAATTAGGAGGAAAACAAAATTGATGTTAGTTTGAATTTTAAATGCCTTGTTTCACCTCTAAAGTCTATAGCTTCCAACAAACTTTTATCCAGTAAGGGCTTCTTTATTGTTAGAACTTTTTATGAGTTTGAAACGTATTCTACATGCTTAGTGATCCTAAGTCAAACTTCCCTGATTGCCACTTTATGTAAACTATGTGAAGTTTGAACCACAGTAAATCAAAATTCAGTCCCTTTTTATAAGTGTCTGGACACTTCCATATTTCAACTTAGTTGGAATCAATCACCTTTCACAACACTTTGCCTTTATAATTTCTAATACATTTAGCCTTCAGCCATGTCTGGGCTCTCACTTCTATAAATGATCCTCCCACTCAGTTCTTACCTCTATTTTTTACATTTAAGACTATTTTACAGATTGCATATTTTGCAAAGTTTTATCTATAAAAAAGAAAAACCTCCTAGATGCACTATCCAAACTATTTGCTTTTGTAACATAGCATATTTTCAAACAGTGTTCTTCTTTGTTTGATTTATTTTCATAGCACTTCTATATCCAAGTTAATATTATAATATGTAATTTACATTAAAATCTCCACACAGAGATGTTAAAATATGTAAAAGTTACATGTGTCTTAATGCAAATTTGGAATTATGTTCACAGTTTCTAAATTTGTAATCTGTTATACAAAATACTGAGACCCAAAATAAGAAACATATGACAGTTCCCAGGAGCAGTCAATACTATCACTTGAGGAGAATGGTTGGGTATAGAAGAGGAACAAAAGGCATATTGTTTAAAACATGCTGCTGAGAATTTCAGCATGCATCAGCAAGTTGAGAACGTAGTTGGGAAACTTTGGAATAAGCAACTGGATATTTAGAAATTAACTTATCAGTGTTTTCAGTATGTGAACCCTCATTTCGGAAAAGAGCTCTGAGGCATCAGCCCACGTAATTCCCACTGTCATTCCTACATATACACTTCAGATCAATTCAGAATACACTGGTAGAGTTGTGGGGCTTTGGACTTACCTTATGAAACCTGAGACTTTTTACCTTTAATTACAAGAATTAATCTAAATTTCAAGACTGTGTTATAAAACATCTGCCCATCCTATAGCAGAGAAATACGAAACTTCTTAGGCCATGCACCTGCCAGAATTTACTTTGATGATAAAGTGATAAAGGACATAAAAAAAGTCTGTGTCTCTTCTTTCATACTTAATGAAGTAGTAACAGTTGTAGACACTAAGATATTAATCTTCTAGAAGAGTGTTCTTTTCATTCTTGGCTATATTTTTGAGAATATGGGAGTTTCTGGTAGTTATCCTTTTTTAAGGACTGAACTTTCCAAGAATTCTACTTTTTGATAAGCATGACTAACTTCATCTCTAAACTGTTTTAAAAGACTAAATATACCAAAATTCATAAAGCTTGAATTGGGGATAAAGATGAGTTAAAATAGCTTTCCTCGTTATCTGTACTCTGAAGGTGATCTACTAACAAACCCCCAGGACTTACATATCCAAGAAAAAAAAGAAGTATTGTATACATTTTTTTTCTGCTAATTCCTTGATTTACACAGCTATCTGTAAATATATTCTGTTATTCATTAATATACTGCTGATTATTTTATTACTCTTGATGGTTAATTGTCTTCTTGCCTCAAGTGCTCTGTTGGGTCCATGTAGAGTAAGGTGAATCAGAATGAGTCCTTACTGCAAAGGACTTACAGTTACAGAGTAGCAAGTGGAAGTTATCAGAGCTCAGAACATAGTATCATGTAGCAGATGGAATTTCCCCTGACTTTTGAGGCATGCCTAAGTAAGTGACAGGCAGACAAGGGAAAGAAAACACATTCAAAGGAATAACGTAATTGTAAATATGGGATTAAAGTGCAAGTCCCAATTTGAGACTATGGCGAGTGGATTTTATATAGGATTGGAGAAAATGGCAGTAGGATAAATAGTTAGAAGTAATATCAGGCAAGATTTGGAGGAGGGATGGGAGGTGGTGGTGAGGGATTCTCAATATCTTTTTTTAAAAATCTTTTCTTCCCATTCATTTTCAATGCCAGTAATTCCCCCCCTTCATCTCTAGATATGTAGAAAATATAGGTGGTAGCTGCAAGAGTAAAGTAAAGGTTGGCTCAGGTAGTCAGCATCACACTGCTCTGGGAGAGTTTGGGAGGCATATGGGTCTAAGTGTTTATATCCATATCACTCTAGACTGCAAAGATCCCTGCTGTAAGGTACAGCTATGGAGAAATAGCCATGAAAATATATAGACAGCCCAGCTGAATCAAGAGTTCTTGTCCACCCATTTTATTATCCATTTGGTCCATCGTGCAAAATCACCGAGCCTCATCCTTTTTATCTGAGCTACAATAGCCATGTTCTCTTCTCTATGTTTGAGAAGTTTACCAGGTCCAGTTATTTTCTGGATTTCCTTTGGAACTAAGTTCCATAGTTCTGTGACTACTTGCTCATTTTTATTGTATCATGAGTAATGAATAGAAGTAACACTTCTGAAATATTTAGTCTGATGTATCTAACATGTAATTCATTCCTGTCGGATGTAGAGGTGTGTGAAAATGTTAAGAGTGACAGGCAGAAGAGATCACTGTGTTCCTGTCTAGGACACATTTCCTAAGTTAAATCCAACTTTCATTGTCTTTGAGTTTCTTGAAACTCTGCAGTTATAGAAGACTGATAGCAATCTAAATAATCCTCATCCATAAAATGCAAATTCTGTCAGGTGGAGATTCAGTTGATCATTGTCTTAGGGGTAGTAATCAATTTGTAAATTTATCTCTCCTTCCTAATACCCCAAATATCTATGTGTTTTTAAATTCTCTTTCGAACCAGTTCAAACAGTTTACTAGTTACCTCATAATCAGTTAAATAGTATCTTTGGTGAGTCTTCATCTTGTACTTGTTTAAGAGTCATGATTTTACTGTAACAATATTCTTTAAGGAAGGAAGATAGAGGGAACTGCTCCTCCCACACCCTGCTGTTATAATTTACCAGGGTAGAAACAGGGTAATTTTTTTTTCTACTCCACTTCTCTCCTACATTATAGTGGAATAAAACACAGGCAGATTAACTAAGAAGGGCTTATACTATGGTCAACAAATAACATGAAGTACATACACGTGGATTGTCAATGAATAGAATAAATGCAACAGCAAAAGTTAGTTGTTAAAATTACAAGACATCAGTCAAGCACCTCACTCTTCGAAATAATTCATGAATCTTCATCAGTATCAAATTCTGAGTAAGGATTTCCTTCCTCACTTTCTCATTTTTCTTTTTTTTTTATTTTTAATTATGCTTTAAGTTCTGGGATACATGTGCAGAACTTGCAGGTTTGTTACATAGGTATATACGTGCCATCGTGGTTTGCTGCACCCAGCAACCCAACATCCACCTAGGTACTTCTCCTAATGCTATCCCTCCCCTAGCCCCCACCTCCCAACAAGCCCCGGTGTGTGATGTTCCCCTCCCTGTGCCCATATGTTCTCATTGTTCAACTCCCACTTATGAGTGAGAACATGTGGTGTTTATTTTTCTGTTCCTGTGTTAGTTTGCTGAATATGATGGTTTCCAACTTCATCCACGTTCCTGCAAAGGACATGAACTCATTCTTTTTTATGGCTGCATAGTATTCCATAGTGTATATATGCCACATTTTCTTTATCCAGTCTATCATTGATGAGCATTTGGGTTGGTTCCAAGTCTTTGCTATTGTGAATAGTGCTGCATTAAACATACGTGTGCATGTGTGTTTACAGTAGAATGATTTATAATCCTTTGGATATATACCCAGTAATGGGATTGCTGGATCAAATGGTATTTCTAGTTCTAGATCCTTGAGGAATTGCCACACTGTCTTCCACAATGTTTGAACTAATTTACACTCCCACCAACAGTGTAAAAGCATTCCTATTTCTCCACATCCTCTCCAGCATCTGTTGTTTCCTGACTTTTTAATGATTGCTATTCTAACTGGCATGAGATGGTGTCTCACTGTGGTTTTGATTTGCATTTCCCTAATGACCAATGATGATGAGCTTTTTTTCAAAAAGACAGCAATTTTCAGTGAAACAAAATTAGATCTCCAAGAGGTATTTTATTGCAAAAATTTCAAAATAATTTAATTGTCATGTCTTTTAGTTGACAAATTTCCGACTGAAAATAAAAATAAAAACCTATATACAGAAAGGATTGAGAGGTAGAGGCGGAGGGGCATAGAGGGAGGGAGGTGGAGACACACAGGGAAGGAAGGAGGAAAGAATTAAATTAAAAAATATAAAGAATTACTACCCTGATTGCCCCACTTAATATATTCCTCTTCAGGGGCAGTGGTAGAGAAGATATAATGCTAGAAGGTAAATTGAATCAAGAAAACATTTTTTTAACTTTACAGCTTTACAGAACTAGCACCTGGGCAATTCCTACCTTTATCTTATTCATTGAAGAAAAACTATTTGTCATCAAGACTTTTAAATTATCTCCTCACACAACATACCGCTTTGCTGGACCATCCCCCAGTTTAAGTGTTTTCTGACATTAGAGATCAAAACTTTTTATTACTCAACCATGACCATTCTTGGCTTGCTGCAACATTGGCTTCTACTACAGGACTTTAAAATCTAGGTTAAAATGATTAAATTTCAGCTGTCCAACATTCTGTTTAGAGACTGCATTATGTTTTGACAGCTCTACCCATTATGAGTTATTATGATTTAGTTTTCTTGAAAAACATTTCCATTGCCTAAATTTTTCAAAGAAGTCACTCTCCTTCTTGTACCACCTAAAACATCTTCACTTTATCCTTAAGGACCACAGTTTTACATGTAATTATCTTCCTTGTGAATACATTTTTTAAAAATATTATATAATTGTTAGTTCATGAAAGAAACTATCCTAAGTTTGATGATCCCCTTGGGGGAAACAGATACTGGACCAACAACTCAGAACCACTTGTATTCATCACAGGTGAAAGACTGGAACACATTGAGAAATTTGACTAATTTTTTATATTTGTACTTACAAGTTAAAGGAAGTTAAAATCAATGAAGAGACTTTTGTTGCAACAATGAGAAGCTAAAATTAAAGTTAGAATTTTCAGTGAAAAAGATTTAGTAGTTTTATATTATTTACTATGACCATTTTTACAAACAAAAGAATATGTAACAGCATATCTAATGCATTACAATTCAGTTCTCAGATATTTTTATATATTTTTCTCATTAGAAAAATATTAATAGTGCATGGAAAAAAGCCTGGAGAATAAGAAAGTACTAAGAGAGCATTAAAATCACCAGTAATTTCACTCTTTGGATACAATTACCACTGTCATTGTGATTTATGTCCTACAGGGGTATTTTATATGCATACACATATTTTATATTCCTTAGCCGCTCTTAATGTTAATAATTAGGAACACTGTTTTCTTGAAAAAAAAAACCTAAATATATGAAATGTAACTTTTGTCAGCTGCATAGACTGTATTGTATAGGTGATTCTGATATGGACAGGAGACAGGGAAATACTGGGAAGAAGAGGGTGGTTCCCTGGCAAAGGCCCCACCCTCAAGGCTTAAGACCCACAGCCCTAAATGGGAACAGGCATTCCTGTTTTTGTGCCCAAAAAGTTGCCTTTTGGCCCGCCATGCCCCCTATCCTGCACCCATATAATCCCCGAGCCCCAGGCTACAGAAGCAGACCCACAAGCCAGCAGACCAGAAGGAAGGCAGAATGACATGTCAGAGAAAGAGAGAAGAGGAGGAACATCTGAATGCTGAGAGGAGTTTGCCTGGGCGAACCTGACTCCAGGGGAAGACCACCTTCCCACTCACTCCCCACCTTCCCACTCACTCCCCGCCTTCCACCTCCCCGTCCATCATGCTGCAAGCCACCTCCACCACTCAGTAAAACCTCAAATTCATCCTTGAAGCCCACATGCAACCCAGTTCTTCCGCGACGATGGGCAAGAGCTCAAGATACAGAAGGCTGGCACATTGGCCCTCTGCCCTTGCAAAAAGGCATAGGGTCCATGGAGCTGTTTAACACTCAAGCTGTCTGTGGATGGCAAAGCTGGAAGAGCTTTGTAACATTGGGGTTACAGGCACACACTCCTAGACACTAGCATGGGGCCGAACCCCAAAACACTGGCCCTGGGCTCTGCACCTGCCCCTCTGCATGCTCCCCCTCCCAGTAGGGGTTTGAGCAGCAGGGTGACCCAACAGGTGAGCCACACCTCTGTCACATGTCTTGCGAAAGGGATCAGGGAACTCTACCATTTCAATTCCACAGATAATTTGTGGTTTGAAAATGTACTTGTTCATCAACAATTACAAAGAATACTTCATTAAACATTCCTGCATATGGATAATATACATGTATGTATCTGTGTTTGAATGCTTCTATGTATTTTGCCATGATTCAATCCCACCAGTAAAATAGTTTCATCAAAAGTTAAGCGCCCGGGCGTGGTGGCTCACGCCTGTAATCCCAGCACTTTGTGAGGCTGAGACGGGTGGATTACTTGAGGTCAGGAGTTCGAGACCAGCCTGACCAAAATGGTGAAACCCCCTTCTCTACTAAAAAATACAAAATATTAGCCTGGCATGGTGGCGCATGCCTGTATTCCCAACTACTCAGGAGGCTGAGGCAGGAGAATCGCTTGAACCCGGGAGGCAGAAGTTGTGGTGAGCTGAGATCGTGCCACTGCACTCCAGCCTGGGAGACAGAGCAAGAACCCTTCTCAGAAAAAAAAAAAGTTAAATTACCCTCTGGGATTATCAGAGCATTTTATGCACTCAGCAACAGAGTAACAGAATGACTAACATTTAAAACAGAGTAACAGAATGACTAACATTTAAAAATAATTCTTCAGGGTGGGCCTGGTGGCCCAGCAGTTTAGGAGGCAAAGGCGGGCGGATCACCTGACGTCAGGAGTGGAAGATCAGCCTGGCCAACATGGTGAAACGCCATCTCTACTAAAAATACCAAAATCAGCTGGGCGTGATGGCAGGCACCTGTAATCCCAGCTACTCAGAAGGCTGAGGCAAGAGAATCGCTTGAACCCGGCAGGCGGAGGTTGCAGTAAGCAGAGACCGCACCAGCGCACTCCAACCTGGGGGATAAGAGTGAAAGTTCGTCTCAAAATAAATAAATAAATAAATAAATAAATAAATAAATAAATAAATAAATAGAATCCCTCTTGGCTAGCAAATATTTATTAAGCACCTATTAGGAAAAGAATCATTCCATTTCAAGGTATTTTATAAATTATTTTCTAAGAAATATTCATGTCTTGAAAAAATAATTTTAATATTAAATATTTTAACCAAGAGTTTGGTTACTATTATTAAGAAAAGAAAGTTGTTATTCAAACTCAACAATGTCAATAATAGTTTAAAAACTTGATCTTTCAAAAATACTGAACTAAAAATTTGGGAGGGTCCTAAATCTCAACATTTTTTATCTGAAGGTTGCATCCAACCTGGAAACTGGTGGTGAGATGTTTTGTTGAGCATGAAGAAGGAAAAGAAGGAGAAAGAAAAGGAAGAGAAGAGAATGAGGAGGAAGAGAAAAGAAAAGGAGGAAAGAAATGGAAGAGAAGAGTGGATGGGGAAGGGAATAGAGTGGGGCGGGAAAGGAGGAGACAGGGAAATCCAAAGCAAAGACGATAACATCTTTTTAAATTCTTACTCTTGACAAACCAAGTCCTTCCCTTGCCTTTTCCTTTCCTCAACTTCTCCGATTTCTGCAAAAATGGTATTCTCATAAGGAGTAGGAAATAGCTCCCTTAGGGAAAATTGCAATTAAATGTCTAGCATATTAAGCAAACACAATGCAAATTTCAAGATTATCAAGGATCATCTTAGCAGTCAGTAGACAACCACAGAGTGCTGTAATTATGAACAATGCCTTACCACTCTGCTTCAAAAGCACAGTGAATTCAGATGCACGGTGCCTGAAAAATTGTCGTCTTAGGTTATTAGAAACGTCATGAAAACTTACTTCCATGAAGCTAAGTTTTGGAGTCTCTTATGCTCCTGGCTTGTATTTATAGTTCTTTTTTTAGGAAACATTTGTCAGTTCATGTGTGTGTGTGTATGTGTGTGTGTGTGTGTGTGTGAGAGAGAGAGAGAGTGTGCACATGTGAGAATCTTTGAGCAAGAATAAGAATGTCATGACTATTGTCCAAAGACTTTTTGCGTTCTGGGGATTTAGCTATTTAATGATTCTGAGCAACCTCCTTCCCAATGAGGTCTAATTATCACCTCTTAACTATTTCAGCAATCATTTGGAATTGTAGGTAAAAAGTTGCTGAAGACATTTTATGTCACAGAATTCACAAACTGAGGTGTGTGTTATTGACTATATTTCCACTGGCATTTGGAAAATACCCAATTATCAAAGCAGACAGTAGTCATGGATAAGCAGATGTAGATAAGAGAGTATTTCTTTCCATGGTTCACACAATGTTATTGATTAATGTTGATTTGACTGTTTCTGCCTCATCAGAGGTTGGGGTGGAAGATATGATGGGATTGTGTTTGTGACCTATTTTCAGTCAAGATCTCAAACACTCAGGCATTCTAACTGCCTGCAGTTTATTTGCCTCATGAGGCATTCTTGCCTGAGACATAGAAATGATGATCTCTTTTTTTGGAGATTCCAGATATGGCTAATTCTAAAAAGAAAAGTAGTCAACATAAAAACTGAAATAGAGAAAAATAGCTATACCTGAACTTGAAAATTTCCTTCTGCTGACAAGCAATATAAAAAGGGAATCCTATGACCTTAACACAACTACTGAACTTTTCAAAAAAATGATTCACTGAAAAATCACAGATTTTAGACACTAAAGAAGATAAATGATGAGTGAATGGCATCAGGTGTCCTTCAATATCCTCGGCAATACCCTGGAGTTCCATTTGCATTTCAGTATACTCAGCAGTGAGGTGAGCTATGCTAAGCGTTTATTGAATTTGTAGTTAAGGTGCTGGAGAAATAATCAGTATCTGCATGGCCTGCCTTCTGGGGCAACACTTGTTTACCAAACGTATTTTCTTGAACAATCTAATAGTGGAGTGGAATAGCTTTAAACAGAACATAAAGAATGAGGTAATTTATTTCAGAATTTTCTCCACTGCTTTGTTTAGAATTGCTTTAATACATATCCCAAATTTTTACTCAACAATAAAGAAGCACTCTGGATGTCCTGATTTTCCAATATTGCTGTTTAAAAATATCAAAATTGTAATGATAAAGTGGAAAGTAAATCTAATAGATACAATGAAAAATGACTGAGAGTAAAATCTCAGGTAATAATTCACTCAAGAGGACCTGCTGATGTCAGAAATGTGGAGTAAAGCCTGAGTTATTTATATTTAGCAGAATTTGAAGAGTCAACAATCACAGCTTTCTAACTCAGGTGTATTGTCTTTTCTGTATCTATCTTGAAAATTGTCAACCAAAGAGAAAAAAAAATTACCAGTTAACAGAAAAAGCAAAAACCCCAAACCAGATTATTCTTTGGAATCATTATTCTTTGCGAGGTTCTTATCCTTTGCACAAAACTGTTGTATTGTGTACTTTTAAGCTAAAATTAAAGCTACATAAATTCATTGTGCAAACAATCAAGTAGCTAAGAAAAGAAAATCAAGTAGCTAAGAAAACTTATAGAGGTTTCTGTAATCAGTACTTATACCTTGTATTTTCTGTATCAGATAATCCTCTTGAAATGATAAGAAGCTATATGTTACCTTTCATTATCAATTTTCTAAACTAAGGGAAACCTTATAAAATATTTGAGTTTCTTTTTTCCAGCCATATGTACTGATGACACCACAACCTAGAGGTAACATGAATCAATTGTGCTTTAGATTGGAATGTAGATTCGGGCTAGAATGAGAACTTGAGTGAGAATAAGGTCTCCACCCCTAATCTGCACCTGATCTCCTGATCCTAGCTGCCTCAAGAGCTTCATCCTGCTCCCCTACATCACTGTGACTCCAATGCTTGATCACATGATTTTTCATATCTACTATCTTCATGGTGGGTTAACCTCAGCCTGATTTGCTTTCTTTTTTTGATCTGAAGAAGTTGCTTCCTGTGCGTTTACTCTCTCTCCTGCTTCCCCCATCACCCACAAACAGCATTGATCACTGCCATCTAAGTCTCTACTAAGGAAAGGAAAATTTCTGGGAAATTTTCTGTAGTAGGAGCATGAGTAGTCTTCCTGCCTTACTCTTATTAATACAGAGAATGATATTATCAACAGCAACAAAATAACTCCTCCTATGCAAGTAGTCTAGCTCATTCTCTTATCTTATTTTCTATTCCATGTGCCATCCAATACAAGGCTTTCCAAATACAAAAAATCTCTTAAGAGTTTTCTTTTTACAAAATAAATGTAGACATCTTTCTACTTTCTCTCTCTCTCTCCCTATGTGTACGTGTGTGTGTGTATGTATACATACACACACATATAATACAAGTGTGTGTGTGTACATATATATATGTATATATATTTCAGTGTAAAACAAGAGGACTGATTGATTCATAATACCTTCATATTGTGGTCTCATCAGTACTTGTGCTTGGGAAAAAAATCCTCAAATATTTTATGAAGTTTTCCTCAGTTTAGAGAAATCATAATGAAAGATAACAAAGTTTCCTAATTATCTGATTTAAAAATGATCAAGGCATATGCACACACATAGTCATATGCCACTTAAAGACGGGAACACATTCTGAGATATAACCTCATTAGGTGATTTTTTCACTGTATGAACAACATATCATGTACTTACAGAAACCTAGATTGTATATCCTACTGCACATCCAGGATATATGGTATGGCCTATTGCTCCTAGACTATAGACCTATACAGCATGTTACCATACTGAATGCTGTAGGCAATTGTAACACAATAGTGAGTATTTGTGTATCCAAGTATATTTAAACAGAAAAGGTTTATATTTAAGCATAAACATAGAAAACATAAACATTAAAACATATTTGTGTATCTAAGTATATTGAAACATAGAACAGTGACAATATAGTATAACAGGGTCACTACTGATAATGCAGCCCATCAATGACCAAGTGTGGTTACAGGGGCCATGAGGCACACATGGACAAGCAGGATTCCCAGGGCAGATGTGCTCCCCATGGCCTTTGTTTGTTTGTTTCTTTGTTCTTTCTATGTCTCTTCATCTATTCCAGAACAAATTCATTTTCTTAGCATAAGGAGCAGACTCTCAGTATTAGAGTCTCTTGGAGGTCTTAATAAAAATGAAAACTTCTTTACAACCATCCAAACTACTAAATCAGGATAGCCAGAAGTAGCACCTTAAGGAAGCACCTAAATAAATATTTTTAATGATAAACTTGAGACAAATTAACTGAGAAGGCCAGGTTTTTGGCTTTATTGACTTTTTCACACTCATTCCTGATTCATTGTGTGTGTGTATATGTATGTGTGTATCTATATATAATATATATATAATATACATGTATATGAATATATAATATATATACCAAAAATAATTGTACCGGTTTCAAGTGTGAATGTGTGTGTGTATGTGTGTGTGTGTGTGTGTGTGTGTATATATATATATCTCTCCAATATATATCCATTATCTAATAGATTCCATTATCTAATGGATTCTTCCCTACACCCACAGAAAAACCATAGAAGTGCATGCAAATTACAGTTACCAAAAAAAGTACTTAATGTTGCATGACATGAGTTGCAGTGGCAGAATAATCACTTACCACAATAATTGTATATATTCCCATTATTGATATATTTCCATTATTATATGTTGCTCTATAAACACTGTAAGACATTTTAATATCACAAGTGTGATGGTCATACAATGTTTATACATATTATTAAATATGTATTATAGTATTTTGAGTCAAAAATAAATAAAATGCAAATAAAACACAAGTACTGTGTTATAGAATAGGTAATACATGAATACATGAACATATTTAAAGTTACATTATTTTGCAAGGTATTCACCAATGCTGGATGATTTGTAAAGTGAATATGTCATTGGAAAACAACATAAATCATTGCTTCTTAGAGTCTTGTATTCAAAGAAATGTCTAAAATGTGTTTTTATTAGCAACTTAAGTCAATTTCCTTTTCTAATTAAAAAATAACTGATAAAATTATGATATAATTATTGTATCACCCGAAAGTTACAAATCACTCAATGCTTTTTTTTTTTTGAGACGGAGTCTCGCTCTTGTAGCCAAGGCTGGAGTGCAACGGTGTGATCTCAGCTCGCTGCAACCTCTGCCCCTGGGTTCAAGTGATTCTGCTGCCTCAGACTCCCGAGTAGCTGGGATTACAGCTGCCACCCCGCCCAGCTAATTTTTTGAATTTTTAATGGAGACGGTGTTTCACCATTTTGGCCAGGATGGTTTCAAACTCCTGACCTCAGGTGATGTGCCTGACTTGGCCTCCTAAAGTGCTGGAATTACAAGCATGAGCCACCGCGCCCGGCCCATGCTATGTTCTTTAATGTTAAAAAATCTCCCAATTCCTTGGGAAAGTTCACTTAAATATTTTAGTAGCTACACATGATAATATTAATATTACATTAGCATATGATAAGCTACAGGGCTGGGCTCATTAGAATGATCTTAATAATGATTTCTTCCTACATTAGAACTGGAATATAGAGAATGGAATCTGAATGGTAAGTATTGTGATAAATATTGTGTGTTTCAGTTAGAGAATTCATTTAAAAAACGAGAATCGTTCTTGAAGCGTCTTTAGCCAGGAACAATATCCAAAACATGATGCAAGCTGATTGGATAAACTACTGCTTCACTGAGTCTATTCAGTTCATGGAATCTATTCAGTATACAAGGTAGATTTATTATTTTTATAATAAATAATATGTTGATTGTAGTGACATCAATAAATTATATTATGCAGTCAGTATCTTTTCACCTGTATAATTCAAGTTTAGGCATTTTCTATTTTTCACCTCTTCTATTTTTAAGGCATTTGTACATATTTAATAACATTCTCAACGTGCCATTCCAACACTAAATAACCACCACAATCTATTGGAATCAAAGATGCTGGACCATTGGCATTTCTGGGGGTATGTTTTATTTAGCATTAATGTGTTGAGTAATAAACCATCAGGATTTCTTTCATAAAAGGCCATAAGACCACCAGTGAAGTTTTGGAGTGTTGTTTGTTTCTCCTGTGTAAACAGGGGTCTGCTATCTATGACTTGTCTAACTCATGAGGACAGGACTGGCTTCGTGGGAGTGTAATCTGAGCAGTCCTACAGCCTTGTGCTCAGAAGGATCCTATGTTTATTATAGGGTTCTGTTATTGCCTTCTTAAATTCTTAGCTTTCCAACAGAGTGCCTTGCATTTTACTTTGTATTGGTCCCTGCAAATTATGTAGCCAGTACTGGGTGTGTTCATCTTAAAGATTGAAGAAAATAATAAAATGTAGGATAAAGCCCTAGAAAATCTTTTCTTATATTATCCTCATAAAAGCACTTGTTGAAATACCTAAACATAAGGAATAGGCAAATTAGTCATCATTGAGCCATATGTCTTCATGTTAAAGAAAATCACATCCATTTCAAAGTTGTTCTGTTCCTTCAATTGACAGCTATTAGCAGTAAGCAGTTTTAGTTGCAAAAAGCAATCACAATAGATAGCTTTAGCAGAAAAGATATTTCTTTTTCTCAACCCATTTTCAATGTGACAATTATGGCCTAATCCTATAAAGCACCCATTGTATATAATGAGTGAACTTCCTTCCCATGCATGTAGAATGGTACTATTATCTATTATCCTTGGGAGAATTGAGAAAATAATGCTTCATAACAGTTTTGCGTTGTGTGGTTCAGTTGAGGAACTCTGTTAAGATAGTGCTCAAAGTGTCCAGAGTCAGGAGAAACGTGAGGCAAGATGCCTCCACAATAACTACTTGGCTGCTACAGGCACTGCAGCTTGCATCACAGTTGCCCCAAGTACCAGGCACCATCACTGTTCCCTAAGTGGGAACCCTCCCTCATCACCCTTGATGGAAAGTGCATTCCACAAAAAGACTGCTTTCCAGACTTCTCCTGCTCAGAACCCCAGTCCTGTGCTTGGTCCTCTTACTAGTGCAGCCCAGGTCATAGGCACATGGCCATGTTTCAAGAGAAGCCAGAAAATCAAGTTTATGGCTTCTACATTAGGGAGAAAAGAGCCATAAAGTAGGAAATGCTGAGCTGTGATGATGTGATATTTCATAGGATGATCATGAAAAATGTCCAGTAGAGAGGCAATCCCTTCTAATCCAGTGGTTCTTACCTGAGGGTGATTTTGTCCCAGGAAACATTTGGCAATACCTGAGGACATGTTTGGCTGTCACAACCCTGGGTGGGAGACAGGGATGAAGTGCTGGTATCTAGTGTACAGAGCCCACAGATGCTGCTAAGTATCCTACAGGACACAGGACAATCCTTCACAACAAAGTATCCAGCCCCAAATGTCAACAGTGCCATTGTTAAGAAACCCTCAATCTGTGTGTCTCCAGTACCAACCACAGAAGCTCACACATGGCAGCAAGTACAGGTGAAACTGGGGAATCTGTATTGCTTTCAGTGCTTTGAGTGATACTGAAATATCTAAGATTTGCATTCTAGATAGAGCTTCTTAGTGTAGGAAACACGAGTGTTTTTCAATCTAGAATAATAAATATAAGATATTAAGACTTTACTAGCCTGGGTGCGGCAGATCACACCTGTAATAGCACTTTGGGAGGCAGAGGCAGGTGGGTTACCTGAGGTTTGGAAGTCAAGACCAGCCTGGCCAACATGTTGAAACCCCGTCTCTACTAAAAATACAAAAAAATTAGCCAGGTGCAGTGGCACGCACCTGTAATCCCAGCTACTTGGGAGGCAGAGGCAGGAGAATCGCTTGAACCCAGGAGGCGGAGGTTGTGGTGAGCCGAGATCCAGATCACACTACTGCACTGCAGCCTGGGCTACAGAGCAAGACTTCATCTAAAAAAAAAAAAAAAGAAAAAAGAAAAAAAAAAAAAGACTTTACTGAACTGTAAATTCTTTATCTGCTTACTTTTTTTTTTCTTTTGTCAATAACTGATCTGTATCTCCTAGAATAACAGTTTGCATCTAGGAGCTCTTAAATGGTATTTGTTTCTTGAAGGAGGAAGCTATGTTGCCTAACTACTATATGACAGACATTGTGCTGAGTGCTTTTACATCATAATTTGAGTAAACTCACAACAAAATTCTACTACAGAATTTACCATTCCTGTTTTTTAAATGAGAAAACATGAAGTGACAAATAATTATATAAATTAGTCATGTTTACCATAGGCATTTAAATTAGATCTTGTAGAATTCCCAATTTTCCCCCATTTATTTATTCATTCATTTTTTTCAGTGATTCAATAAATATAAATAGTTAACAAGAAGATAAAAGCAGTCCGATTGTTCCACAAAACTAATGTTTATAATTTCTTTAGAATAAACATAGAAACTGACCCTCTCAGTCTTGAAACTTGAAAAAAGTTACATTTGTCTTATCTGAGTTCCTTTGTCAGAAAACCAACCATCAGCCCTCCCAGGTAGTATCAAGGAGCTGGAAGGTACCAGATCACTGCATCTGGACAGTGAGACACCAGGCCTCTCATCCATCATGATTGCCTGATGGACCTGCTTTCTGTTGACCAAGTCCTCTTCCTTACCACTCCCTAATTCCTTTTCCTACACATGGTTACATTTCTTCCATGCTTTATAAACCCCTAACTTTAGTCAGTCAGGGAGATGTATGTGAGTCTGATCTCCCATCTCTTTAGCTGCAGCACCCAATTAAAATCTTCTTCTCTGGTAATAGTCATTGTCGTAGTGATTCTGCATAGTGAGCAGTGGGACCTGGACCAAATGCTGGTGTTATGGTAACAAAGACAATTACTGCCTTCAAGTTGCTTGGGGATCTCATTGAAAAGATAGAAAAATAGGCCCTTTTCAGTGTATTATGAAACAATAATGCCATCACAGAGTGTAAGGGGTCTTTATAGAAATTGAAATGAACCCCACACCGAGCAGCCGGGGAGGATTAACAAAAGCCAAGCTGGAGAAGAAGCTGTTGTCTGCTCTGAGATTCAGCATAAGAAGAGAGCCAGCCAGCAGGGACACAAAGGGAGGTCACTGCATGTCTGGTGCAAAGTGATCACTTTTAAAAGATTGTATTTGTTCATTTGGGGTAATCCTTTTAAGCATCAAATGTCATGTAGGTAAAAATAAATCAGGCAGTTTAAAAAAGGGTGGAATAAAGCAACCCCAAATTCATGTAAGAGATACTGGTTATTAAAATTCAACAAGTGGCAGTGAGGCAGGAGAATAGGGTTTGGAGGCAGGGAACCTGAGGCTGATTCATGCTGAATTTCTAGAACTGAATCAATAGGGAAAACCCACCTCTCCACATCAAAGTAACAAAAAAATCAGAGGCCACTCCTTTTGCACTGCGTAGCAGATGAAAAATGGACAATACCTCTGATTAGTCCTCTCCTGCAACTAATCAGAATGGTCGTGGACCAAGTCTTCGTGTGTAACTTCGTGACTTCACTTTAGCTTCTGATTGGTCTTCTCTGGCAACCAATCAGATTGGTTGCAGGCCTAGTCTTCATCTGCATAGGGGGTAACTTTCTAACTTCAGCCTCTGATTGGCCCTCTCACAACCAATCACACCAGTCACAGGCCTAGTCTTCATTTACTTAGGGTGTAACCAAGTAACCAATGGGAAACCCCTAGAAGATATTTAAACTCCAGAAAATTCTGTAACCAGTGCTCTTGAACTGTTTGCTCCAGCCTACTCCCATTCTGTGGAGTGTACTTTTATTACAATAAATCTATGCTTTCATTGTTTCATTCTTTCATTGCTTTGTTTGTGTGTTTTGTCCAATTCTTTGTTGAAAACACCAAGAACCTGGATGATGCATGGTCAAGACCCTCCACCAGTGACAGCAGGATTTGCTGACTGAATATGAGGGAAACAGAGAAGGCGGTAGACTAAGATGGGGCCTATGCTTTCAGTTGTTCACCATGATAGATAGTGATACAAATTAGTGCAAGGAGGATCACCTGGGATACAGTTTAAGAGAGGATGATGAGTTTGGTTTTCAAAGTATTGTGTGGCTATTAGGTGGATACAACCCCCTTGGGGCTTACTCTTGGATTTATTTCCCTTCTTGTTGGAGTATTAGTTCTCCAATTTTTATTCCAAATGTAGTCTTTATGTTTAAAAGTCTGATTATTCTATGCTGAAACAGATCTTTATTTTACCTTTTCCTTTAAATATAAATTTAGCTGGTTATAAAACGTTGAGCTCCACATTCTTTCTCTTCAGTATTTGGGGCTCTCTTCATCTTGCATATGGTGTTGCTGTTGATAGGACCGATGTCCATTTGATTCCTAGATTTTGGTATACAATCTGCTATTTCACTCTGGAAGATTCATTTCTTGGCTTCTGATATTTTAAAAATTTATTTAAATGTGTGAGGTGTGTTTTTGCTTGGCGTTTTATATGTAGCGCTATGGGCCCATTCAATGTGACTTTTTAATTGGTTACTTACATACTAAAAATGTTTCACTTGATTTTTCATATCTGTGTTCTTCTAAGGCTTTTATGTTCTTAACTTTTGAGATTTCTATTTTGCAGATGTCAAGATATCTTCTTTAGATTTTAAACTCATTATCCATGTATCTGGTAGGCTCTTTAGTCTACCCCCCCCCCATTTTTTTGCCTTATTAATTCAAATCCTTGGCCTAATTTTGTTATTTATCCCATCTATTGAGTTTTTTATTTGAAGTTACATATGTATCATTCCCTTTTGTTGGTTCTTCAAGAATACTTATTGTTTCACATTGTCAATCTCAATCTCTATTTATTCAAATATATTGTTGGGTTTTACTACTTAATTTGTAATTTATCATGTCCATTAGTTATGCTTTCTCTCCTATAGGTTGTCTATTTTGGGTTTCTCTTTTATGTTGCATATATGCCATAGATGCCTCATACATTTTTCTTTTAAGGTCATATTCTTTTGAAGTATCTACTGCTATTTATGCTGTTGGGCACACACAGGGGTGATCAAAATCAGGATCCAGTTACAGACTGGCCAGAATGGAAGTGTAGAAATGTCCATTGTGAAAGAAAGCTTCTGGTGTGACATTTAAGGGCTTGGCTATTTTGTATCCTGTCTCCCCACAAAGATACATATGGGTTTCCTGTGTCCCTCAGGATCCTACTGTCTAATCTCCATCCTGAGCTTTCTAAAGAAAAGGCTCCTGCAATTTAGGAAAGAAGGATGGTGGATGTTGTCTTTTTTTTCCATTCATTCCCTATCCAAATGGGGTTTCCAGACTGACTTATTATGCTGTCACTTGTGCCACTATCTCTGGGCTGTTATATTCCTACCTCATGAACGTGACTTCCGCTCCGGTCAATGTGGAGAGAGAACACAGGACTGTTTGTGTCTGTGAACCCTCTTGCAATCAATTGCTCATACCCATTCCTCCTAAGTATTAACTCTCCTGCCCACTCCTCACCACACATGCCCATTGCACGCTTCGGACCCCTTTCACTTTTGGTTTCTAATGGCTTTTTCATAGGAAGTGATGAGAGGTTGTGAGACCTACCCACACACCTTCTCTTTTATATGACCTTTCCAGAGACAATTCAAGCAGCCATTGTTGGTTTGCTATCTTCTCCAGAACCGGAAACCTCAGTTTATCAGTCTGAGTATCTGCTTTCTTACAATGCTGGCCTCACTTTGTGGTCTTCTGATATTTCAAGAAACACTTCTAAAATAAGAATACTTAAGTGTTTCTATTGGTAAATGCTATTCTACTTTAGAAATCTGACAATTACATGTGACCATTACACATGAAGTTCTTTGAGCCAAGAAAGAACCACTCTATTGTTTTACCTTAAAGGAATAAAAAACCTATACAAATCTTTTTGCTTATATTATTTACAAAAATGTTGCACTTGGTATGAACTTCTCAGACTACCAGGATCATTCACTGTTACATGCATAGCATTTAGCTCAGTAAGATGTGATATAAGATGCATGTTCAAATAATGCCCATTCTCTTAAACTGCTGGAAAATAAAGAAGCACCACGCTTGATGTCATATAGAGTTAGGTGTAAATCCCTGCTGAAAAGTTAAACCAGATGTTTGCTCTTGCAAAATTTATTTTTTTAAGACAAAAGGGTAATACTGCCTGTCTTGAAATATTGAAAAATAAAATGCACTAATAAATGGAAAGTACTTAGTAAGGACAGTGTTTGGCACTTAATAAAATTTCAATATATCCTATTAAGTCTTTTCTATAATAATATTAATTTTATTTAGATACATGTAACTTTTTCAAATCTGATTCTCCACATACTCAGTAAATGTCTGAGCTGGCTTACATAATTCTAGGATCATCTAATTGATCCTGAGTACTGCTGTTAGATTACTTTTTCTTGAAACCACTTTGATCACTTCAGGTTCCAATTCAAAACCTTTGATGGTATCATTTCCTATCATAACTAATCACAGTTTATCTGCTTGGCTTTCATAACTTGGTTTGACCCTGTGTATTGGTACTAGTTAAGATTCCTTGGTTATAAAACCATGAAACAAGAAGATTCAAGTAAAGTGCAAGAGAAACAACTGTTTCCTACTGAAATACCACTTATGATGAATAGAAGATCTTGACACCATACCCAGTAAGAATGGAGCTGGTACACAGCTGGAGAACAAACCCCTTCTTAGGATTCAGGAGTGACATGCCCTCTTCTTTAGAAATCTTTCTGCTTGACAATGGCAATACATAGCCACCAGCTTCAAGTAATTTTTATTCTGCAGAGCCAATGATTCCCCACATCAAGCTAGAGCTTCTGCATCTTCAGAGATGCTAACCAGATTTGGACTTAACATCTCTGTACTAGTCTCTTAGAGAAGTAGCAGAGTTGGGAGACGGCAGGTGAGTTGGTGAGGTTAATTTCCATGGAACGGTTGCTAATAGAACCTCTACAAATGAGTATCCAATATAGTCTAAATAGAGCATCCAATATGATTTTCCAGGACACACTCTCTTTTCAGGGGTGTCTCCCTTGTAATCAGAAACAAAACATGCTCAATCCTTCCTCATTGTATTTGCTCCTGATGCTAAATCTTAACAAACAAATCACATCTTTGGCTTCTCCTTTACTTCTACAAGCTGGCAAGTGTCTTCTAAATGGTTAACATGGCATGTATGTATACTTGAATAAGTGAGGAGATGAGTGAATAAATAACACCTTCCAGGATTAGTCCACTTTTTATTGATTTTCTATTCTGCAGTTTCATAAATGTTTCTGTCTGCTCCATAAAACTTAGCACATAATGGTATGGTGAACAAAAATGAGTTTCTTAAAGTGATTCTGTCATGTCTTCCCTGTTGTTTGATGTGTTTAATTTGAACTTCTGTAGGTTTTACATATTTTAGGGCATCCCTACACTTCTATCTTATGTCCTTAAAACCTATCATAGCACTAAGATTGTGGTTTAGATATAATAAACACTTGTTGGGCTAGGCCAACACTTCTTCAAAACAAGATCAAGCAAATTTAAAAAAAAAAAAACTTGGTTTGTTTTTACATTTCTTATAGGAATAGTGATATGAAGAACATTATGAAATTATATTTAATTTTTTCTAAGTTACTCATAGCAATAATTGCTCACTATTGACAAACATACTACAGCTCAGTAATACCATTTTTATTTGATTTTGTGATTTTCTTTTTAAATTTCCTTAATAAATTAAAATTAATTAATGATCATATGCAACGATAAGATAATTACCTAGATTACAATTTCAGTTTTAGTTAACATGAGAATGTGAAAGTAGGAATTGAGTGAGCTCCATTTGATGGATGAACATCAGGACATTTGTTAATAGGCATCATAGACTTAAACTGCATTATGGGCACAGCTGATGATGAACAAAGAGTTCTAACTGCTCTTGTCTTAAAATATCATAAATGTAATTGAAGATAAGGTTTTAAGGCATATATTCATAGTCTATAATGAGAAGAACAACAGCTATTTTTATTGAGCAATTACTATTTGTCAGGCATTGCACTACTTACTTTACATAGATTATAGATTTTATTATCATAACTAGGTAAGGGTTTACTAATATTGTGCCCCCAAGAAATTGAGGCTGAAGTAGTTGGAGTAATTTGCCCAAGGACACAGCCAATCAGTGGCAGAGCTGTCATTCAAGACACTCTGACTTCATAATCCCTATTGCCTTAAAGCAAAGCAAATAATTGAAGATAACTGATGATACCAAGCAGCATTGTGTAGAGCTTAGTTGATTTTGAGTATATTCACCTTTCAGAATATAAAAATGAACATACAATCATTATGTTGAATTCTTTTTTACTATTATTTATTGATATTAAAGCAAAAATAATTTCTTTGAGAAATATGAAATGTGGGAAGAACAATTTTAAAGAAAGTTATATCTCTCTATATTCTTTTATTGTTCAGTATTTAAGATTAAACTTGTGGTTTATAGGGACAGAGGCTCTGAATCTGTAATGTATTTATTATATAATAAAATTTTTCTGTAATTTTAGGGGAATTTATTAATGCAAAAAAATTTTGAATTATAATCTCAAATAATTGCAGTGTGCAACATCAGAGGTGACTCACAGCTTTTGCTGATCTCTATGAAGTGTAGAATTCCTTGCCATGCTAAGGAGGATGTATGCTATTATGCTGTCTTACGTTTCTTCTTTTTCTTCTAATTACTAATGAAGTTAGAAAGACCAGTTTGGCACGCTGAAAATATTTCTTAATTCATCTTGTTATCCTCTGGTTAGTATAGCATTTCCACTTTGACTTTATTGCTAACTCCAAATTTTATCTATCTCTGCTTGGAGTAAGAAGGAAGAAGAGTTGTCTATGGCTTCTCTGAGTGCTTTGTTCAAAGCAGAAAGATCCAGAAAAAAAAAGAGAAGCAAAACACATGTTCATCACTTTGTTCTCCTGATTTCCCACCTCTACGATTCCAAACTTAGTCAAGCATGCTTACGTAGATGTAGATATGAAAAGCTTTGCCATACATTTGATTTTAAATCAGACAATAAAGGAAAGCATGTTAAATGACACAGATTTATCGGACAATGTGTAAACTTAATGCGATATTTTCCAGATAGTACTTCTCGACAATTAATGTGCATACCAATCACCTGGGTTTTGTTACAAAAAATTCTGAATCAGTAGGACTGCCATGGAGCCTGAGATCCCACATTTCAAATAAACCTCCAATAGATGCAGTCCCTGTCTCATTCAGGTCCATTCTTTGAGCAGAAAGGGTTTAGCTGGTATTTCTGGATTTTTGCTACATTTTGAGAGCCAAAGTGTTACAAGGAGAAATGATGCAGGTGTTTATTTAAACGACGTGAGTATCTCTTCCTTCTACTTGCCAGATCACTACTTTGTTTTGACTGCCAGATCATGGATGATACAAATAAATAACTTCCTATAGATATATCTAAAAATCACCAACATTTCTTCAAGACCTATTAATTTTAGAAATTCAGGTATCTAGTTATAACTTTATCATATTAAAGTAGTAGCTATGGTCCTATAAACTCAAATGTATTTCAGAACCAGGCGGATGCCATGGAAGTTTGACAGAGTCTGATAGAAGGTGGCAGGACCTATTTATTATTGTGTACCTTGTCCTACATAGAATTATTATTATAATTTTTAGAGCTAGAGTCTCGCTCTGTTGCCCAGGCTGGAGTGCAATGGTGTGATCTTGGCTCACTGCAACCTCTGTCTCCCCAGTTCAAGTGGCTCTCCTGCCTCAGCCTCCCAAGTAGCTGGGATTACAGGTGCCCAGCACCATGCCTGGCTAAATTTTGTATTTTTAGTAGAGACAGGGTTTTGCCATGTTGGCCAGGCTGGTCTCGAACTCCTGACCTCAGGTGATCCATGCGCCTCGGCCTCCCAAAGTGCTGGGACTACAAGCATGAGCCACTGCATCCCGCCCCCCTGGGACTACAAGCATGAGCCACATAGAATTCTAAGCAAACTCTCAATGTGTCATACCCATCCATAATCCCCTCTCTTAGAGTGTGGGCAGGAGTTTTAACTCACTTCCAATCAAGAGAATATGGCAAAGTTGGAAAGAGATGTGACTCTCCTGATTATATTTCCTTCCATGGCAAAGGTGAGGAAATTTTGTAGTTATAACTAAGGACCCTAATAAGTTGACTTTACGTTAATTAAAAGAGATATTATCCTGTTGGGTCTGACTTAATCAGGCAAGTCCTTCAAAAGACAGTTAATGAGTCAGAGGCCAAAGAAGTGAGAGAAATTCTTTTGCTGTTTGTGAAGACAGACTGCCTTGGTGTGTGGATAGTCTCTAGGGCAGGGGTGTCCTCTTTCGGCTTCCCTGGGCCACAGTGGAACAAGAAGAATTGTCTCGGTCCACACATAAAATATACTAACAATAGCTGATGAACTAAAACAAACAAACAAAAAAGGTCCATGCATAAATCTCGTAATGTTCTTAGAAAGTTTATGAATTCATGTTGGGCCACATGTGGCCTGCAGGCCGCGAGTTGGACAAGCTTGCTCTAGGGGCTGAGGGCCACAGTCCTACGATGGCAGGATACTAAATTCTATTAATCATTAGTGAGCCTGCAAAGAGGACAGGGAGGCTCACATGAGATCATAGCTGCAGGTTTTGCCTTGATTGCAGCCTAGTGAGACCCTCAACACAGAATCTAGCTGAACCACAACAGACCTTGACCTAGAACTCTGTGAGATCATAAAGGTGTGCTGTGTTAAGTCACTCAGTGTGTGGTGATTTGTTGTTACTCAGCAATGGAAAACCAATAAAAACATCTGCTCATTTAAGTTGCTTCTTAGAATCATATACTTGCTACAGAAACTGTCCACACACACACACACACACACACACACGCACACACATGTTACAAGTGATATGAGCCTCCATTAGGCAATGGTCCTCAACACCTCAGACTTTACAATCAGATTTATTTAGGGTTTGTTTTTAAATTGAGTCATGGACTGGCCATGGTTTTAATCTTGTGCAGCTTTAGTTGTCTTATCTACAAAACAAAGACTATGAGACTTATCTTACATTATTGTGAGTCAATTAATGACAGACCCCCAGAGCTCTACCTGCTCAGCATGAGACAGTCCCTGTCCTACCCTCTACACCACCATTGGCCAACAGAAGCGACTCTTTGCCAGTCTGAGCTGCTTTACCAATAACTGCTGTGATATATGACCTGAATTAATCACTTTAACCTCACTCTCCCAGCTTATGTCACTCCTCCAAAAGAGGTCGCGGTCACCTTTTGTTCCTTTAATTCTAATCTCCAAACAGACATGAAGTCAGTGAGGAAGCATTCTTCAAGTTTTTTATCCCTCTTCCCTACTTTACTGCACAATCCATCTATATTTCCATTTCTATCTACTATCATCTATCACCCATCAATCACCCATCTCTCATCCATGTATCAATCTATTATCCATCTATTATCTATTATTCATCTATAATCTATTTACCTTTCATCTATAATCTATTTTATGTTCCATTTATCTATTATGTGTGATCCATCTGTTCTTTATCATCCATCTATTGTTTATCCTCCATCTACCATCTACTATTTATCATCCATCTATCATCTATCACATGTCTATCATCTATCGATCAATCATCTATCATCTACCAATCATCCATCATTCATCGTCTCTAATCTCTCAGGTCCCATCTGTCTCTCATCTCCCATCTCTTATCTGCTAACAATCTATATCTCTATCATCTTTCTATCATCCTCTCTCTATGTCTCTGTATCTATCTAATTTCTGGAGCCCTGTGATTAGCCCTTATAATGTGATCAATACAAGTGAGTTTCTTTTCTCATTTCATATATAATCTGTAGTTGTGGAGATTAAGCTAAGTAATTCATATGGTGTAACTAGTACACAGAAAACTAAACAATTTTTTCCTTAAATATCTAAATGATGCATGCTAACTGGTGGAATCAAGGGATTAAAAGATAGCCATTGAGGTTCTATCACAGCAAGGTCCTATTTTGGGACGTATGTTGGATCCAGATGTATATTCTACTATAATCTACCATTAAGACCAAAGTTCATTGATATGAAATGCACTGATATTCAAACTCATTCACAAATTTTTTTTTTCCAAATTACATTTATACATCTGAAAAGCCTAAACATTTGAGTAAAATTATGAAATGCTCTGTGCCTACACAAATATTCTTATTGTCAGGAATATTTTTCATAAATATGATCAGATCAACATAAGCCTGGAAAGGCAGACCATTGACTCCTACACTGTAAATCCCATGGAGTTATTAAGATTATGTTATTATTATAAGTTTTCCAAATATTCCCAGTAACACCTCAGATTTTTAATTGCCATCTAAGCTAACCAGCAACACTGCCATTGTTTTTTTTTTTAAATTTTTGTATCCCAAAAGTTAGATATTCAATCACTTAACAAATGTTGTTTGAATGTTTACTGAACTATTCTAGTCACTAGGGTCATAGCACAGCATAAAGGTGGGGTTAGGGCTAGAGCATATGTATATAAGCCTAGTCTATGTAGAATTCTTCAATTTCAAGAAATAATTGAGAGAAAGAGATACAATTTACAAAGGAGATGTCAAAGAAAGATGAAAAACCCTAAGAATTTTTATAAATGAAGAAGTACTTAAATATGACAATGTGTAAAAGCCAGCATACTAAAATCTAGAAGACATTATTTTGTGTACTACTAAAATTTAAATATTTAGCAATTAGGTATTGCTAAATATTTTAAGTAATTTGAGACTCACATTTAGTAGTCACTATAGCATTAGAAAAAAGTCTCTAAATTCTTAAACTATCTTAGGTAAAACTCTTTTTTTATCAGAATAAGTTATCGTAAAATGATTGCATATGAATCTCTGTGTGCTTTCATGGATTTTCTCAAAAAAAAACTATCAAACTAAAGCAACTGTCAGTACAGTCTTGTGGTTCTTAGGAGAGATCAAAGAGGGTTATTATAATGCATAAATCATGTATGTTTATAGTATGTCATAGACATTCAAATGGATGTAACTACAATACATTTAGTTCCCTAATCTGCTATATAGTAGACAAATGGTTTACATTTGTTGTAGTTTTTACTTTTGATTCGAAACACTCTAACTTGGGTTTTGCTAAGCTGAACATTGTTTTAAATCTCACCAGACAACTTGATTCATTTCATAGTAATGCTCTTTGTATACCATATTTTGGCCTACAGCAAATCTCACTGAATACATGAGCACTGAAGACGTTGAGACATACTCAGTCAATTGATAGAATGGCCTCAGCTTCATGGTAATTTTAGATTCCTACACATACATCTCATGGCAGACCATATATTTATTTATTGAAAAGATATATACCCTTTTTTAAAAAGTAAAATATATCAATAAAGTTAAAGCAGATGAGGTCTTTTAGTCAGGAAATTAATTTTCTTTTGTTCTATCAAAACCACACATGCAAACTTGACAGAAATTTCTTATGAATTACTAATGGGGGTTTAATCCTGACAAGGCTTTATTTGTTCAAGTGTCAAATCCCAGGTCTGGTTGCTCAAAAAGCCAATTATCAGAAAATATCCTCTGTTGCTGCTGTCATTAAGAGACAGACACTGATGACAGTTTAACTTGGTTTCAGAGCGGCTCTCGGGCCACAGCTGCTTGCCAGGCCGTCCAAGTACCACCAGAAAATGCACAGTTGCATATTGACCCTGCAGTAATTGAGGTTATAAAAAGGCTCTTGTTCTCAGAACTCTTGAATGAACGCCTCTCCCAGCGGGACCCTGCAGGACCCTTGAAGAGAGCTGACCCACTGAACTACTGAACTGCCCAGAACCTCAACTTTGGGCTGTGCGGAGGTCAGGTCAAGAAGCAAATGTTAAAGATGGGACGTGAGGAATGCCAGCTAGTCACACATTGAACTGAAGTCATTGGGTCTTTGCATTGTCCTGCTGGCTGCTCTTCCTCATACGTTCTGCACGAAGTGAAGCAGGGGAACTGAAATCTGTTAGCACTTTTCCCTGGGTATCATGTGGAAACCTTCTCCTGATTTTTGTCCCCCCCCCCCATTATTAAAAGCAAGGGAGTGGTTGCTCGTACAGATTTCATTGGTGAAGCAAACTGAACCATCTGCTGAAATCTCTAGCAGTCTGCTGGCTGAGCCTGGCACAAGATTCCACGGCTAAACTCTTCCTCTCTCACCAGTAATCGCCATTACAGTCAAGTGAGAATTAACATGAAAGTGGTGCAGGAAAATAAGGATAATTAGTTCAATCAAATGAATTTCACGACAGCATTTTTTAGAAAAGCATCTCCCACCAATTAGTTATGCTATTACCCATGATTGATACTATAAAATTGTTTTAAAGTTAATAACAACAATGATCATGAATGAAAATTATTAATAGCTCAGTGTATTTTAAAGGTCAAGGTCAAATAAATATGCTTGGCTTTAAAAATGAGATAAAAAGTATATAGCTTTAGTATAGATAGTAGTATTTTATCTTATAACAAAATGAAGATTAAACATTTTGCAGTCCTTGTCTGGTTGGGTAATTGTATTACATTTTAAATACAAATGTTAATATGTATGTCCATGATAAAAAGGAAGGAGGCCAGGCATAGTGGCTCATGCCTGTAATC
Source organism: Homo sapiens (assembly GCF_000001405.40). Lineage (NCBI taxonomy): Eukaryota > Metazoa > Chordata > Mammalia > Primates > Hominidae > Homo > Homo sapiens. The sequence goes on from NC_000013.11 coordinate 104,626,286, forward strand.
CCAGCACATTGGGAGGCCATGGGGGGGCGAATCACGAGGTCAGGAGTTCTAGACCAGCCTGGCCAATATGGTGAAACCCTATCTCTACTAAAAATGCAAAAATTAGCCGGGCATGGGGGCGGGTACCTGTAGTCCCAGCTACTCAGGAGGCTGAGACAGAAGAATCGCTTGAACCCGGAGGGCGGAGGTTGCAGTGAGCCGAGATCGCACTACTGCACTCCAGCCTAGGTGACAGAGCAAGACTCTGTCTCAGAAAAAAAAAAAAAAAAAAAAAAAGAAAAGAAAACAAACATTTCCTTCATTCATTTAACTAATATTTATGGTGCTTCTACTATATTCTATATTTTAAGCAGCATACTAAGAGCCATAGACACAATAATTAGAGAAGACCAGAAATAGTCAATGCCATTACAGGGCTTAGAGTCAGGTAGAACACTTTTTCTAGTGGAAATTTAATATAGTGAATTATAAAGGATCATATTATAGTTTTTAAGGTCTGAGAAGCTGATACCTACCAATAATAAATAATTTTGTTACAAGAGAAGTAAGGATAAAAAACTGTTTACCAATTCAGCTTGGAAGCGTTTTTTAGACCCTTTGATCAATAGCCAAATCAGCAAAGTCATACTTCTATTTTTTGCATTTTAAAATTTTTCTTTAAATTTACTTTTTTATTTAGAATGTTTATCACAAGTAGAATCCCATTACAATTTTATTGTTTTTAAATCATTTTTAATGTAGATTGGAATTTGGTTTGTGCAATCTAACAGGTGGACTTTAATAGAGTGGAAGTTATAGTCGCTATGTTTATTTCTAGCTTCTCATCTCTCTTGGTGCTATCTTAGAGGTCACAGAGCAAATGCCTTAACTTAATAACCTTGATAATATTTTCATGTGCTGACTAGAGAAGCTTAATACAATCTAGTTATATATATATGACTTTGGATAAGAACTCAGAGAATTTCATGTGAGTCTAAGTTAAAGCCAGGCTGAAAATATGACTTATGCCCTGGCATAGTGGCTCATGCCTATAATGCCGGCACATTGGGAGACCAAGGTGGGAGGATCTTTTGAGTCCAGGAATTTGAGACCAGCCTGGGCAATATAAGGAGACCCTGACTCAACAAAAATTAAAAAAAATAAAAATAGAAGGGCATGGTGGCACATGCCTGTGGTCTCAGAAACTTGGGAGACTGAGGCAAGAGGATTGCTTGGGCTCAAGAGGTAGAGGCTGCAGTAAGCCACGATCACACCACTGCATGCACACCAACCTGGGTGACAGAACAAGACCATGTCTCACAAAAAAAAAAAAAAAAAAGAAAATGAAATTATTGCCTAAAATTTTTAATGCATTTATATTTAATATATTAAAATAATTGGTGCATCTAACAATTAAGAAGCAGTTAGTATGAAACAATATTAGGCTAAGGACCAGGTTAGCTGAGTTAATTGCAAAATTGTGGGGAATCACATTTTCCTGTGATACGTTTTCCCTCTATGTGAATTTTTCATTACAATGCAAATTAAAATCCCAGATAATGCTAATATTTTGGAATTAAATGTATCTGTGTGTACATATCATGGTATATACATATAGAGCATGGTAGACAGGAACGTAGGCAGGTAGAAAAGTATTACAGATTTTGTAGAATTATTGGCCAGAAAAAATGTAGGATAATGCAGGGGTCCCCAACCCCCAGGCTGTAGACTGGTAGCAGCCTGTGGCCTGTTGGGAACTGGGCCACATGGCAGCTGAGCAGCAGGCGAGCAAGCATTACCACCTGAGCCCCACCTCCTGTCAGACCAAGGGGCATTAGATTCCCATAGGAGGGTGAACCCTACTGTGAAATGCACATAGGAGGGATCTAGGGTGCATACTCCTTACAAGACTCTAATGCCTGATGATCTGAAGTGGAACAGTTTCATCCTGAAACCATCCCTTCTCTCAATTTGTAGTGGAAAAACTGTCTTCCATGAAACTGGTCCCTGGTGTCAGAAAGGTTGGGGACCACTGGGATAATGTAAACTACCTGTCTTGTGACTTTAAAATAACATCATATATGGTAAATTTAAGCAATCCTTAAAAAACACAGATTTGTTTTTCTAAGTTAATCCAAATTATTTACTTTATAATGTAATGAAAAAATTAAATATTGTACAGAAACTGCAATGAGATTCCAAATGTTTAAAGTCTAAATCAGCATTGTTTCATTTACTCTTTCTCTAGTTCTTGCTTTGTGAAGGCTAATTGTAATCTAGTTGATACATGAAAAATTGGCTGTTATTTATGTATTCTAAAATATTTTCTCCACTTTGTTATTTAATCACAATTAATATTAACAAATAGCTTAATATAGGTGATTTTATTTTCAATATTAGATCTATAAAAGATATTGGAAGATGATTTGCTTTTTGAGAAAAAGATGAATGTTTACTCTTAGGAAAAAGATATATTGGAAAATTATGCTAGAGTTCTCCTTACCCTTTTAATCTCCTGGGATCATTATGATTTCTTATATAACTGCCCCCCCCCCCTCTGCTTTGTAGGCAGTGATAACTAGGGATATTGTCTTACTTAAAGATAGGTAGCATTAATGTCATAAATTCTATACAGAGGTTCTTCTTCAATACTTCAGATCTTAAACTCCTAGGAATTTTGTGCTTTGCACAATGCTACAAATTGAGATAGAGGAGTTGAAAATGGTAATTTGATGTTTATGTAGAATTGTTATTTTTACCCTTTCAATATTCATTCGTATAATCATAAATCAGTTGTAGTTGTTTCTTCCATGAAATAAGAAGCAATGTGTAAGAATTGAATAGAAAATTTAAAGTTTATTAACATAGAAAAGTTGGTTGAATAGCATTTTGAAGATGTCTTTGTTCTCTCTCCATTGAAGTTTGACAAACTGAGCAGGCATTGAAGCCTAGAGAAGGAACCTGGGTTTACAATTGGAAGAAAAATGAGTTTGTGTTTGTGGCTATTCTTTCCTCAAGACTTTTTTATTTGCTGTGTAATTTTAAACTAAAATCTTTATCTTAAAGATCCTTGAGGATTTTTTGTTTATCTACAGATTCTTCTAATGGTTTTATGAGGACTTGTACCCAGGTTGCTTGAGTAGAGTGGAGCACCCAATGTATCTTGTTGGCCCTTTCAATATGCTGAGAGTTTGTTTTGGTTTTTTAATTTCTAAAAAGTTTTCTTAGATTATGATTTTAAATATTAGTTCTGTTTCATAGCTTTGTTCTTATTTCTCAGGGATACTGATTAAAAGAATGGGATTCTTTCTTTGGATGTCTTCTATTTGTATTTCTTTCTCCCTAAACCTTTTAATTTTTTTTTTCTTTATCGTATTCTTATCCTCTAGGTGGTTTGCCCACATTTTTCAATGATCATTTGTAAATTATATTTTGAATATGTTATCTCCTGAGCACCTTGCAATTTAATAATTTCTGAGACTTTTTTTCTTTTTGTCCATTTCTGAGTTCAATAAACTTTTTCATTTCTTCCTTTTTTTGTCAGTCCTGCTTTCTTTTAATATTGCATGTCTAATTCAAGGTAGTTTTTATATTCCTAAATGCTTGGCTGAGTGTATTTAATGTAGTTTGCATTGTAGCCTTACAGTTTTCTGCTGCTTCATAAGTGTTTATTTTGTTGATATAATTTTCTGATTAGTTATAATAAAACTGTATAGATTCACTGATGTATTTTTCTGTTCATATTTGCATTATTGGTATGGTTCATAAAATTTGTCATTCGATATACTCTTGTCAGTGTAGCAAAATTCTGATTCTTAGGTTTTTTGAGGGGAGGGTGGGTAGATAAGGGTATAAAATTTCCAGTTTTTGGTTCTCTTTTGTTTCTCAGGGCCACACAGTTCTACTTTTTGCTTCTTTTACCTTTAATCTTTTGTGGAAGGGTAGCTCATGCTTCTTTTTTTTGTTGTTTTTTCTCCCCTAAGATATGGATTATGAAGATGACCACTTTAAATGGCCTTGTCTTAATTCCACTACTTGTAAACTGTTGTATGATCTCTCAGAACATGCTTCTAGGATTTTCATAGTGGTGTTGGTTTATGCTTTTGGATCTATTTTACATCCATTGCTGGCCTCCTCTTCTTTCTTCCCCACCATTCTTCTAGGCCTATGCATGCTTGCACAGTGGACCAGAGCAGGAGAGACTGCTCACTTGTCCTCAAGTTCCATTGAGGAGATAGGTTTGTGTTGTTGTTTTTTTTTTTTTTTTTCTTTTTCTTTTTCTTATTTTTTATTTGCGATTTTGGGTGGGGGTTGGGGGGCCAACTGCCATTTTCTTCATATATATCTATCTAGTCATAATTTTTAAAATTTTTAGGTTTTCTTTATTTTTACTTACACATAAAATATTTATATTTGCTAAATGAAAATTATAATTACCTCTAATTCAACCATTCAGACAAATAAAATAATATGGAAGAAACTCAGTTCAAACTTTCTATATAACAGAAAAGAAAAAAACAAGACTTACTGTGCACTCACTCTTTATGACAGACTTTTAACATTTAATATATTTCGAAGCATTTCTTCTTAAACATAAATAAAATAATTTCTATAGCAACGTATTAGTAATTTTTTTTTTTTTTTTTTTTTTTTGAGACGGAGTCTTGCTCTGTTGCTTAGGCTGGAAGGCAGTGGCGCCATCTTGGCTCACTGCAACTTCTGCCTCCTGGGTTTGAGTGAGTCTCCTGCTCAGCCTCCTGAGTAGCTGAGACTACAGTTGCACGCCACCATACCCGGCTAACTTTTGTATTTTTAGTAGAGACAGGGTTTCACTATGTTGGCCAGGCTGGTCTAGAACTGCTGACCTCAAGTGATCTGCCCACCTAGACCTCCCAAAGTGCTGGGATTAGAGGGGTGAGCCAGTGTGCAGGGCCCATATTAGTAAGTTCTAATTTTTTAATTAATTTCTATTTCTGATTGGTTTTGTTTTTCATTCTCATAAACAACACTATATAAAGAACAACCTAAGGACAAATCATAAGATTCATCATTACTTGTTAATAGTACTTATTACACACTATCAAATTGTCTTCTGACAGGTTGATATAATTTATGCTTCAATAAGTGTTAGGGAAAAATGACCATTTATTTTTCTGAAATTCTGTTGGCACTAATTATTATATATTTTTAATTTTATAGATTTGATAGACACATATTTTGTGTATTGTGTAATTGTATTTCTTGGATAATTGGCTGTGACCATTGGATTCATATAGTTATTTGGGTCTTGTGGTGTGTGTATATGTGTGTGTGTGCATGCGTGTGTGACAAATGTTCTTATGATTCAATTTCCATTGATATACTTTTCTTGATGTTTTGAAATGTTTACATATTGATAATTTTTTGATATTTCTCATACGTATATTTTCTTCAGTTTGCTTAATACTTTTTAAACTGTTGATCATGATTATTTTTGCCAGATAGTTTTTAAATAGTAAAATTTATCAAATTCAAGTCTTTATTGTATTGGGTTTACATATATACTAAGTTTCTTAAAGCAACACAAGTTATGAACTACCCGAAAAAAAAGCTCTCTTCCCTCAAAATTTTAATAGCAACAGAAGCCGTCTATAAAATGTTGGTTATAATTATGGTTTTAATCAAAATTAAAGAGTGCTGTGATCTAAATACTCTGTATTTCTCCAAATAAAGACAAAAAAAGAAGAAAAACGATGGAATCATTATCAGTCCTGTGTTCTACAATATCTCTTCATTTTTTTTCTGTTTTGTCTGTTTCAAATGCTTCATTAGAAATTTCTTCTAAAATAAAGAAAATAAGCCCACACACACATATATTACACTATATAATATTATAAAAGTAATGAATTTTTTCACGAGGTAAAATCAGGTTTAAAATATAAGGCATTATAAAACTAGAAATACTGTTTTAAAAAGCAGTATTTTAAAAAGATTTTTAAATAATAAAATCTTAATTTTATTATTTAAAAAAGGAAAGTTATAAAAAGCAGTATTTTAAAAAGATTTTTAAATAATAAAATCTTAATCTTATTATTTAAAAAGATTTTTAAATAATAAAATCTTAATTTTATTATTTAAAAAGATTTTTAAATAATAAAATCTTAATTTTATTATTTAAAAAGATTTTTAAATAATAAAATCTTAATTTTATTATTTAAAAAAGGAAAGTTATAGTGTAAGCAGTCTGTCAAAAATTCAAGTAATTTTGTCAATAGAAAACATGTGTCCTGCTATTTTAAGAGACACAGGTATATGAATCATGCCCATGTATTTTATATATATATATATATATATATAATATATATGCCTGTGTGTATCTAATTCACATATGAGATAATCAAAGACAGAAGTTCAGAGACAGAAGAGTGAGATGACACATAAGAGTCAATGGCCACTTCTTAGATCATCTTCAGAAACACTCCAAATATAATTACCTTCGTCTTCATTAAACATTAAAAATAATAAACATTGCCTTGTTTTCTTGTTCCTGCATGATATCAGTTTACACTTTAAAAGGCATTGCAAGAAATTATGAATGAAAAGATAACACAGTGGCTTTCAACTGCCTCAGTAAACCATGCACACTGCCAACATTTTTGTCACCCATAATTCTCCCATAAACATGGGCCTCTCCTTTCATTATGCAGGCTGTCATGCTTTATTGAACCACATCATTTCACCTAATTAAAATAAGCAGTATGTTGTTTCCTCCCCCACTCTTTTTTTCTTTAGCTGGACAAATGCCAGTAATTATATTTAGAGTATCCTAAGTGGACACCACATTAAATATTCATTTTGGTGCTCCTCTGCACAATCAAACATCTCTCCTGCTGCTCTTTTAAATGTCAATATTCATTTTATTTATAAGATCTAAAAAAAAGTGCACTTTTAAAAGTAAAAATGTGTAAGGTTCATTGAGTTGTTTGTTATGCCAGCAAAGTAGGTTTGTTAGCTTCCATAAAGTTTGTAGGGTAACTTAACGAAGTAAAATCAGGTTTAAAATGTAAGGCATTATAAAACTAGAAATACTGTTTTAAAAAGCATTCTCTTTCTTTGAACCACTGAATCTCAATTTTATTATTAAAAAATGAAAGTCATAGTGGAAGCAATTTCTCATAAATTCAAGTAATTTTGTCAATAGAAAACATGTGTCCTGCTGTTTTAAGCACAGGTATATGAATCACGCCTGTGTAAGCAAGTAGTTGCTAAATTGTTTAATTTTTTTTTAAGCTAATAAAAGTTTGTTTTAGGCAGCCAGTCTTATAGGAAAACATTTTATTCTCTCTTTGTTTCTTCCTTATAATAAAAGTGATGGGTCTTTAACCTTATCACTTTCTGTGCTCGAATCATATTGCAACTACTCACCATCATTTTGGAAAGAAATTCTAGTATAATTCAGCCGAGGTGGTAGTGGATACACAGCTGAAATCCTGCATAACTGCAGCTCATCCTGCAAAGATACTTTCTAAGAAATTTCTACAAAATAAGGGCGAGCTTCCCTTTGTGCTTGAAATCAATGTAATTTTCTGTGAGAGAGGAAACGCTCCTCAACAGTATGCTCTTTGAGTTGAAAAAGGCAAAAGACGTATAGCCTAGCACCTACCAGCAATTCTGTCACCCTGACTGTAACTTCAGTTTCATCTGGTTTTGCATAAGGCCATAGCAGTTTCCTGATTCACAGGTAAACTAGCCCCAGGAAGGCACCTATGAGAATTATAGCAGCTGTAGGTTAATTTCCTATTAAAACAAGATGGTTGTGTAAACTAGGCTTAAAATTTACCACATCAACACCTTTTTATTCCATTTGTTCGCTTCTATTAACAGTTCTTACCTTGCAACTGAATTTCATTTTCAGACAGATTTAAAATCACACTGAATCCATTTGCACAGATGGATAGGCAGACACAGAAAGCAGGCAGCTTACAAATGACAGAAGGCAAAACTGAGTCACAGCCATTACCCACAGTGAGAGACGGTGGAGCTATGGTGGCCACAGATGGGTCTCCCTTACCTGGGCCACTGCTGCCCTTTCTTTCCTTACCTCTCCATTGGAATGTTGGATTTGGGCACAAGATATTAATTTAGATTTTTTCATATAAGCTCTATGGTGACTGGCACAAAATATTACCTGGTACCTACCACTGTGTGTCATGGGACGTACTCACATCACTGTGTGACCTTTACGACTTGTTTGAGATAAACTGTTAGACTTAATGTGATGTAACAATCTGACCCTTTTAGTTTTTGTTCTCTCATGCCAAGTATTTCCAACTCAATGCTGCTTGGGAGTAGATGATATTTACAAAGCCATCCTATTAATTGATGGTTTATGTTCTGCAAGTCTGTATATATTTTGCTTAATATAACCAAATAGAAGGAGACACGGCGTGGCCCAGAAGCGATTTCGGAATGTCTTGGTGAATGAACTGAGTCCATAAAGAAGGTGCCAGATTTTACAACAGAAGATTAATCCACCCTCATTGCCCCTCACCTTTTCATTTTTTTTGCACGAGGTAACATGCCTACTGTTTTCACACCATTATGTGAAGCAGATATTAATGGCTGTTTTGAATTATCCCCAAAGTCTTGGCTACTCAGACATTTTCTGTTGTGTCTACTCCTGAAACTGCCAATGGCATGATGCTGAGATTAATTATTCCCTGCTTCATCTGTTCCATAAAATAGCAAGAAACATGTTTTGTAAGTGACAAAAATTATTTGAATTTATGACAAGTTGCTTACACTATAACTCTTATTTTTTCTAATGATGGTAAGAATTTCCGATTGTTCAAGGGGAGATACTGCCTTTTTAAACATGTAATTTTAGTTTTTCTTTGCATTCTATTTTAAACCTGATGTCATATAGTTTTACTTTTATAATTGTTTCACCATACTGATCAGAGCAGGGTTGAGAGAGTGAGAAAATTAGTCAGGTTGTGAAATTTAGCATAATATAAATACAAGATGCCTAGGAATAACACATAAACTGAAAATTTCAAACAAAAATGTATTTAATACAATTCTGCTTTATCAAGGGTACAATTTTATAATTCAATTCCGATGTTAACTGAAATGGATTTTCCAAGAGAGCAGCAAATAGGCTCATGCAATGATTAGAGTTATTTAAGAACAGTTTGTCAGAAGCATCTTTTGGGGGTTAACATCAAAACAGTACCTGGGGATATCCTGTCTTGTACATATGAAACTTAGGCCAAAACTTCCATGCATAGGAAAAGTAGAAATTACTTTCTAGGCAGTCTAATGCTAAGGAAAAGAGGGTTATAGTATTTCATAAATTACTATGGGCTACTTACTATTTTGGTGTGAAAAGCAGAGATCATTTTATCAGTATTTTCTTTATATAAACATAATTAGATTTTGCTGTCTACCTCAAATAACTGAGCTGTGTTGTAGCACCAGGGTCAAATATAACAAAGGCATGATTTTCTTTTTTGAGAAAGATGCAGGCCCTTGATGGAAGTTATGTAAACAATGACTGGCTTAAAACACAGTGTGTTATTGAAGGAAGGGAAGAAAGTGTACTAGTTTCCTATCGCTACTATAATAGCATTATTGCCTTACATTTCTAGAGGTCAAAAGTCTGAAATTGGTCACAACTGGCGAAAATCAAGGTGTTGGCAAGGCTGTGCTTCTTTTGGACGCTATAGGGGAGAATCTGTTTCCTTTCCTTTCCCAGCTTTTAGAGGCTGCTAACGTTCCTTACCTGCTAGCCCCTTTGTTTTCCATTTCAAAGCCAGATATATCAGGTTAAATCCTTCTCAAGCTACTGGCTGTCTTGCTTTTCTCCCTCCCCTGCCTATCTCTCCTGCATTAAAGGAAGCTTCGGGTTACGCTGAGCTCACCTGGATAATTCAACATACCCTTCTTATATTAAGGCACCTGATTAGAAACCAATTTCATCTGCACCCTGAATTCCTCTTTGCCATGGAATGCAGTTAATTCCTATTTCCAAGGGATTAGGATTCTCCTGCCTACCACAGTGGGTGAGCTAGGCGGGCCTCTGTAGTGGTACTCTGTCCTTTCCAGGCATCAATGAGGTGCCCAGGAAAGATATTCTCCGGTTCTCAGCCTTGAGCTCAGGAGTTTTACTGGTGAGCATGAGAGAAAACACTCTCTATGGAGGGTGAGGGAAGCAGGATTGGGGTGAAGATGATGTCAAACTTCAGTGTAGTTGGAACCAAGGACTCAGTGAATTATAAGAGGAGCTTTGGACCTGAGAGGCCCTTCGGAGTTGGCCCAATGGAGGTAAGGGGCCCAGGGCTCTCCCTACCTAACCCAGTCCTCCCTTCAAGGGCCAGTCTTTGAAGGCAGATTGCCCAGGGATAGGTAAATAAGCATTTTTGTTTCTCTAAGAGTAATCCCTGAACAGAGTCTCTGCTGTGAGTCCATCAATTACTTGCATATATTTTCCTAATCTATTTTAAAGTCCATGGAATATTCTTTCCTATTTACTGTCAGTTTAGCTTTTATATACTACTATAGTTCAATAAATTAATCTTGCATTTGTAAAGTTTTCCTTAAAGGTTTCTTTTTTTCTGAAATTAACTGCTTTTGTTTTCTCCTTTTACCTATCTCATTAACATTATAACTGTATCTATCCCCCCAAGAATATTGAGCTTCAGGTGCTAGTTATGGAGTAGGGACAGATGGGATACAGAAAAGCACAAATATAAGCAAAGAAATATATATAACACCATGGAGACAAAGGAAAAGCCTATAGAAAATATAAAGAGTGACGACATTATGCAAGTGTTGAGAAGAAAGAAGTGATTTCTTCCCAGCTCAGCTGGCGTTTCTTGAGGAGTAGGGGCAAAGCTCTTTTGTGTTGCTATCTCCCTTAACAGGTCGCTCTGAGAAATGTTCTCAAGAGGTTACCTCAAATGACACCTGTTGTATTAGTGTTCTATACTTCGTGTAACACAAGGAAAACAGTCTGATGGTTTCTCAAATAATTAAACATAAAATTTCCTTATGTCCCAATGACTCCACTCATGGGAATATACCAAGAGAAATGGAGACAGATGCCATAAAGAAGCTGGCATAGGAATGTTTATTGCAGCATTCCTCATTGTGGCCAAAACATGAAAATAACTCCAATGACCTTCAATAGATTAATGAATAAACACTCTTGGTATATACAGACAGCTGAATGTTATTTGGCCATAAAAAGGAATGAAGTTCTGGTAGATGCTACAACATGGATGAACCTTGAAAACATCAGGCTAAGTCAAAGAAGCCAGTCACAAAACACATATGCTGTGATTTCATCGATATGGAAGTTCAAAGAGACAGACAGCAGAGCCTTGGTCTCTTAGGGCTGGAAGAGGGAAGAGGGGTAAAAGGGTGATAGGCAAAGTGTACAGTGTTTCTTCTTGAGATGATAATGATGTTCTAAAACTGACTGTGATGATGACTGTGCAGATCCATGAATATGTTAAAAGTCATTGAATTATACACTTAAAATGAATAAATTATATTTTAAACAAATTATATAGCAATAAAGTTATTAAAATTTTAAAAATTCAATTCATAACTTATTTATATAGACATAGAAAAATTATTGACAGGTTTGAGATCAAAATGGGGGATCTAACCATGAGATATCTCAGAACAACAAGGTAACTATGGATTTCTACCCCACACCTTTTTTGTGCTTCTTTTATTTTCCAAATGTTCTACAACGTACATATCTTACCTTCTTAATCAGAACAAAGACTTTTTTTCTCTCATTTTTAAAGCATTTTAGTAATGATGTCTCATGTAAATTGTTAATATTTTGCATAAAATAAAGCTTAGTACTGATTGGAAAGAAAGGACTTGTGCCTTTGGGAGCACATGGTAGAGAAAAATGAAGGTTATGCTGCTGAAGCTGAGTACAGCATATGCTGTATGAGGGGTGTGCATTTCTGGAGAAAAAATACATTATCTAGAGATATAACCTCTGGCAGGTTATGTGTTTTTCCACTGTATCTACAAAAAGCCCCAATCTAGATCTTGTATTCTAGCATTGATTTAATATCATACACATAAATTGCCCATTATGTAAAAGTATAGAGAATTATATGTAAGAAATAAGTACGCTGGTGGATTTGCTTTGTCTCTTCACAGTAAATATGGCTAAATGAAATATAACCACTCTGTGAGTACTTATATTACACATTCTATGATATTTCAGAAAGCAATTCGAGGACTGTTTAAAAAAAAGTTACTTTTTTTTCCTGATTCTTATAACTGAAACCTGAAAACAAACATGAATACATTGGGTTGAATTGTATGAAATTGACATTTTTATCTGTTAAAATCAGAAAAATATTTGCAACTTCATATGGTTCATCTATATGTAAATATCATTAATGTGTAATTTCCCTGAAAGAAATATTGTAGTTTTAGATCCTGTCATTTTGTTACCATTATTATATGGAACTGTGATCTTTTAATTATTCACCCATTTTCATAGACATTTTTCTTCTTTGCCTTTCTTTGATAGTTACTTTTATGTATAAAATATCATAATAATTTTGATATATTCTTTCTGTTGCATGAATTAATCCTACAAAAGCTAATTAGTTTTTTTAATATGGAAATACCTAAAATTAATTTTAGCTTCTACTACTCTAGCTATGACCTCATTCCAATGTGCAAGGAATGAAAAGATATAATTTTCAATATGACTCTTGGCTATTTTGAAACTGATTTCACTTAAATCAAATAATTGTTGTACATCACCTGCATACTACTACCATAAAGGATACAAAGATAATGAAGACTTATTACCTGTACTTATTAATACAGCAGAGAATTAGACATACACAATAAAGTTCATAAAGTGCATGTGGACAATACATGTATAAAATACAACCCAGGCTGGTGGAATCCTTGAGGACAGGAGTTTGAGACCAGCCTGGCCAACATGGAGAAACCCTGTGTCTACAAAAAATACAAAAAAAATCGCCAGGCATGGTGGCATACGCCTGTAATCCCAACTTGGGAGGCTGAGGCATGAGAATCTTCTTGAACCTGGGAGGTGGAGGTTGCAGTGAGCCAAGATCACGCCATTGCACTCCAGCTTGGGTGACACAGTGAGACCCCGTTTAAAAAAAAAATGCAATGCAAAGTAGCATAAAAAAGGTTCTATTAGAATTAAATTAATCTGTCATCAGTCCATTAATGATGTGAATGAAAATAAGCTGAACTTACCTTTGGGCCCCTTACCTGAATGGGATTCCTGGTAAGAAGGTAAGCAACTAGAGCAGCAATTGTTGTGATTCATTATCTTTTCCAATCAGTTTTCCCCTTTACATAATGACCTTTCATTTGGGTGATTTTGCAGTGGCCAGGGACAGTAGTAGGAGTCAGCTAAGAGGAAGTTGGGTCAGATGTACATTTAATTGCAGTTATTTGGATATGGTTATGTTGTTTGCATTTTCTTCTATGTAGTGTTAACTTACTGCTAGTCATTCTTGTGTAGAAATGTATTCCACTGTTACACGGCACTCACAGAGGGTAGTGACACACATGTGTGGTAGAGGGATTATGTAGTATCCTGTGTTTCCTAAAGCATGGAGCCCCCCAAAAGCATGTGTGCAGTAGTGGGATAACTCCTTATCATATAGAGAGGCAGAAGCTAGTCTATGGAAAATTCTTCCCAATTGTATAGCCTCTATATAACAGAAAAGTGGTAGAAATTCTCCAAATTTGACAGTAATTGTGTAATCATTTATGCTTTTAACCATTAAATTTATAAGCTAAAGGAAATTCTAAACTATCAACCATCTGAAACATTTTGACAAATCATGCTGAGGATATTGCTAAATTACATTTCTACTCTCTATATAAAATATAATTATAAAATCATTAGTATTATAGAAATCCAACAGGAAATTCATTAATAAAGTATTACCTAATATAACATAATTTGTAAGTTTTGTTGTTTTGACAGCTTTTTTTTTTAAAAAAAGATATTTATTTCCTCATTTGATGTGATTTAGCTCTGTATCCCCACCCAAATCTCATCTTGAATTGTACTCTGATAATTCCCTGGTGGGAATTATCACCAGATAACTCCCACCAGATAACTCCTGGTGGGGGATAACTGAATCATGGAGGCAGTTTCCTCAATACTGTCCTCATGGTAATGAACAAGTCTCATGATATCTGATGTTTTTATCAGGGGTTTCCACTTTTGTGTCTTCCTCATTCCCTCTTTGCCCATTGCCATCCATGTAAGACAGGACTTGCTCCTCCTTGCCTTCTGCCATGACTGTGAGGCTTTCCTCAGCCATGTGGAACTGTAAATCCAATTAAACCTCTTTCTTTTGTAAATTGCCCAGTCTGGGGTATGTCTCTATCAGCAGTATGAAAACAGACTAATACACCATTTAAATAAGTACTTACTATATTAGTCCATCTTCACACTGCTGTAAAGATACTACCTGAGACTGGGTAATTTATAAAGGAAAGACTCAGAGTTCTGCAGGGCTGGGAGGCCTCAGGAAACAAAATCACGGCAGAAGATGAAGGGGAAGCTGGCATCTTCTTCACAGGACAGCAGAAGAGAGAGAGAAAAGGGGAAATTGCCACTTTTAAACCATCAGATCTCATGAAAATTCCCTCATTATCATGAGAACAGCACGGGGTAAGCTGCCCTCATGATCCAATTACCTCCCACCAGGTCCTTCCCTATACATGTGGGGATTACAATTTGAGATGAGATTTGGGTGGGGACACAGATCCAAACCATATCACTTACAAACCCAAATTTTTACTTGTACTTTTTAATTGTTTTCTTTTCCAGGACTTCAAAAATTCTAAGAACTTTTACAAACCTAGATCTGCCTGTAGTTTTGAGGAAGTAGGGGAGGAAATTATTTTATGAACTAGTGAAAGAAGGGAGGTCTTCACGAGGAGAAACAAGCAGGACATTCAAATATAGAAAAGGCAGGTAAATGCATCACTTCTTCTGAGGGCAGCTGAGCAAGGGCACACCTGTGGGAAGTCATTGCATAGTCCAAGGAAATAAGTAAAGGACAGAAGGAGGCTGTGTCTGGGTCTGGGTCCTGGGGTTAGAGCCAAATGTTGCAGAACACAGAATATCACTGTGACCTTCAGCCCATCAGCCACGCTGAGTCATTGCGTTCTTTGAGCAGATCAGTGACTCGATATGATCTGTATGTTATTAAGAAAAATCTGGCAGCAGTGTGAAGGATACAAAAAGCAATAGATTGTATCCAGGGAAACCACTGCAAAGCAATTGAAATTGTTCATGTAAGAGATGATAAGCATCTGACCCCAGATGATGGCCGTAGGGACAGAGTCAGGGAAAGACCACGAGAGCCAATATGAGTTAGCAAGTCTGTAGACAGCTTCAGGGGAGCCTGGTAGGCAAAGGCCAAGTGAGAGCTAGGAGGACTTAAATATAATTTCAAGTGTATGAAGTGGGAGAATAAGGCAGAAATTGAGATAAGGATCATAAGAGAAGGTATAAAAAGCTTGAACAAGGTTATACGACAAGTAAGGAGGGTATTGGATTGAGTAGATACCTAAGACATTTAGGGATATCCAGTGTTCAGACTTGTGAACAGAGAGATCAAAAATCTTACCTGGAGTGGAGATAATTTAGAATAAAAAGAATAGGTAGCTGCAGACAGAAATTTTCAAAATTCTCACATTTAAAGGATTTGGGAGATTACAATTTTTTTAGGTGAGCGAATAATTTATATTTACATTTTACATTTGTACTTCTTGCTCTGGCTGGTTCATTAAGTAATGATTTTTAATGTACATTGGACAAAATAATAAGATAATCGTATATTCTTTAATTTGGGGTCAGTAACTAAAAATTTATAACGTAAAACATATTACCCTAGCCTTTAATTTTAGATCGATAATAACTTTTTTATTGAATACTCATTACATACCAGGCATTATTTTAAGGGCACTATCCATATGGATTTCCTCAATGGTCATAACAATTCATGTCTAAACACTATTATAACTTTTTCCTCTTGCAAGTGTGGAAGCAGTGGCACAAAGAGGTTAAGTACTTTGTCTAGATGCAGCAGGTAAATGAAGAAGCCTAGATTTAAAGCCAGCACTCCGGCTTCAGAATTCATTCTCTCAACCATAGCAACAAATGGCTTCTCAAAACTCAAACTGAGGGAAATGTTTTGATTGATAGATAATAAGCCAAACAATCTACCTTCATACACATCTAGGTCACATACAAAGAGATCTGACACTACTCCCACATAATTCACTCATAATTTTAACATGGCTGTACTACTTCAGAAGATATTCCAATAAATGGTTCATTACAAAACCTTTCCATCAACTCCCCAGTGAAAAGATCAGTAGACAGTGTGGGTCCTAAGATCATTTGAATCTCTTGCCTCCAAAATTGTTGCTTTGCTGTTTCCACTAGTCCTCAAATGGTTGTATGTTACTCCTCATCCACTCCTAATCAGGCCTGCCTTGAAGCCCCAATTTAAAACTAAGCCTCAACTTTATGTAAATTTCAACTTCACCTTCCTGCCCCAGACACTCCATCAAAGCTCTGCTGAGTTGCTCCTCTACCTTCTGGCAGTA
The DNA here is from genome assembly GCF_000001405.40 of Homo sapiens. Classification (NCBI taxonomy): domain Eukaryota; kingdom Metazoa; phylum Chordata; class Mammalia; order Primates; family Hominidae; genus Homo; species Homo sapiens. The sequence continues at coordinate 104,642,909 of NC_000013.11, forward strand.
AGCAATAAACTTAACCCCGACTTATCAACAGGCTGTTTCAGTAATTTTAGGAAGCTGGCATTCAATAATAGTGTGCATGTTACTATAATTCTAATAAAATGGCAGAAATTCAGAAGTGAGAAGGCACATTCTAAAAAAAAAATCATCCTTTTAAAAAACAAGGTCCTACTGAAGTAAAAATTAACAATAGAACGGATGATAAACTGATCTAGCCACTGAATGAGCAAAAGAAATTTCGATAAGCATTTCTCTAAGACCCAGATGTATTTAATGGGAATTAAAGAAAAACATTGCTAGTAACAAACTTATCATGAGAATTTTGCCCATCATATTTAGGTGAGAACATTTAGATAGTATTGACTTTGAGCTAAGAGTTTCTCATACTTTGCAAGCATTAGCTCATTTAACCTTCATAGCAACTCTACGGGGCAGGCTCTAGTAGTATTTCCATTTTACAGAGAGGAACAGAGTTTATAGAGCCTTCCAAAGTCACACAGCTACTAAGGGAAGGAGGCAGGATTAAATCAGTTATTGTACATCTGACATGCAGTTCACTACCTGGCTTTCTTGACAGTCACAAACATCGGTTGATTGTTGGTTACAGCCTTAATGAACTATTTGGACTTCTGTAGAGTGCATGAATGCCTTCAAGCCCCAATCTCTTTGACATGCTGCTTCTACCCTTACCTATCTGGAATATAACTATGATCTTTCAAGATGGAACTAAGCATTACCTCACCCAGAAGGCTTTCCTGGCCCTTGGTGTGGAAATGTAAATGGACAATCTTCCCCTTGGGCTGCTGCTGTGCCTGGCCACATTACTAACTGAATTATTCCTCCCCATACCAGCTTTTTGTAGTTCCTATCCCTGGGACATGATAAATGAGAACTGAATAAATAAGTATTTATTCCTCTAGGGGATTCTTTATCCACTAAATTTGGGAACTTATGTATGATAAAGCCATGGGCATTTTCTTCTATGTGGGCAATGCTAATTCACTTGCCCCTTCCTGTAGTTTCAGAGTATGAAGCCGGTGCTTCTTGCATCCCGACTGACTCGTTTCTTCTAGGCTTCTTTATTTGCTTTGGTAATTTGGTTCTGATATATTTTTCTGAGCATATGTCTTATTTGTTTTATTGGCTTCACCCCAGGTCTTGAACTCCTTGCTGAGGAAGCTGGCCCAATGATCCCCATTATTCCCTTTATTGGCCAGTTTGGACTGATTTTCTTCCCCAAATGGACTTTGATCTCAATTAGTTTTGTCTCGGAGCAGAAAAAGCAAAGGAACCAACTCCTGACGGGTATTAGCAATGCAAATATCATGGTCATATCAGGCTTTTTATGAGCAGAATAAACAAAATAATGAACTCATTAGGAAGGCCTTATAAAAATCCAAGCTTTAAGAACTTTGACATGGAAAGATGTAAATATGTAGTGGAATTATTTCCTTTATTCTGCTTAAGTCGTATTAAAGAAAATGTTCTAGTATTTGAAGTAACTTAAATAGATTATGGTGACTAATTTAGCATTCTTTCTGGCATTTATAGTTAAAATATCTTTCAGACATGGATTAATTTTCTATGGCCCACAGGAAAATTCCTGAATACCGTAATTTTAATTCAGAAACTTGTGGCTGGGAAAAGGATTCTGGACTACAGAAGAGGATACATTGGGTCTAAGTTTTACCATGCTACTTGGAAAAGTCACTTTTTTCAATCTGAATGCTCTCGTCACTAAACGTGTGTGTGTGTGTGTGTGTGTGTGTGTGTGTGTTTACAATCTATATCTTAATCATCATAAATATTTTTTAAATGAAATGTATTTTCACTGATAGTTCAATGATTCTGTGTTTTATAATTGTCTTTGATAAAAATCACATACCTGAAATAACATAAGGAATTACAGAAATGCTTACTGCTACCACAACTACAATTCGAGTCGGCATTTGTCTCATTATATAGACCTTTCCATGCAAATTAACTCCTGAATTTAATTCATTGCATCTCTTTCAAATTATATACAATCCTGCTTACTGCACCTGTTATATATCAGCAAATTTAATACTTTTTATTTAAAAAATTACATGAGGTGTCTATTTGCTCAAGAAAGGCATAATAAAAAAAACTGAGCGGTGGTAAAGAACTCATTCAGACGTGATTTTTACAATAATAATTGTTTAAAATGCCTAGCCTTACAGGCATATTTCACAAACAAAAAATATATAAAACAGTCACTTTTATAGGTAATTGAGGATATTTAAACCCACTGAACACTCAGAGTTGGTGGTGGTTGTTGTTTTAAATCTATGTCACAGCCACACGGCAGGTGTCAATGTCCTTCATAAGGATTCTGGCCCTGAGAGTGAGGAAGCCTGTGAGTCGCAGAAGGCCTAAGCATTACTTTTAAACTTATTAAGATACGTTGCCTGTTTTCTGATTTATGTAAGTGAAAATTATAGATTTTTAAATCAGTTCTACTTCCCACAAATACAGAAATAAAAATATGAAAGTCCGAAGTCTTGAATCTGCCTGCAGTCGCGAAGCAACACATCAGTAGAAGCAGTTCAGGAGAAATGGCCAATTCAGAAGGCTCATGATGGAGATAGAGTTGGTATAATATTTTATTTTTTATTATGTAGAGAACATGAAAAAGAATTAAAAACACAAGATTTGGGTTAAAAGTTTAATTTCTACTACTTAGCAGCAGCTTCAACTCAATTTCTAAGCCACAGCTTCATCTTCAGTAATATTATATTGATGAACCCTAACTCAGATAGTTAAGTTAAATAATGGCTGAAGTGTGCCTGAAATAAAGGAGATACTCTATTCCTGTTTGATACATTTTAATATCAAAAATATCATAATGTGGAGAGTGATTGATTGGTTGGCTTAATTTGATATAGCTAAAATCATATTAAGAAATTGGCCAGGTGTGGTAGCTCATGCTTGCAATCACAACAATTTGGAAAGCCAAGGGTGGAGGATCGCTTGAGCTCATGAGTTTCAGACCAGCCTAGGCAACATGGCGAAACCTCAGCTTTACAAAAAATGCAACAAAAAACTAGTCAGTCATGGTGACACACGCCTGTTATCCCAGCTATTTGGGAGGCTGAGGGAGTATGGCTTGAGCCTGGGAGGTGAAGGTTACAGTGAGCTGAATAGAATGCAGGTTACACTGCATTCCAGCCTAGGCGATAGAGGCAGCCTTTGTCTCAAAAAAATAAAATAAATAAATAAATAAATAAATAAATAAATAGGAAGAAATGTTATAACCTTAGAAGCATCATTTTCATTTTCTGTAGGTTGTATTTTGCTTTTGTCATTTTTCCCTCATTCCAACCCAAACCTGACTAGACACTGATATATTTGATTGCATGATTTGGAGTATTTACTGAGAATATGCAAATAAATTAATTAGATAATTTATTTTGTAAATAAGAAAGAATGTTTGCATACATCTACAGTGGAAAGTGTATGCGTTCTCTGGGAATCCAGTAACTTTTATTTAGAAAAATGTACAAATTCTTCCTAGCTATGTGCACTTCCACTTAACTTCATCCTGCTGTGCCCTTTAATTCCCTCATTTGTTAACCTAGACAGTAAACTCCAGCCTTGAAGAGTTTTTGAGATATTTAGATGAGATGGTACGTGTAAAGGGCTGCATAGAAAATGTCAGGCAAGAAATAGATCTTAGTTCCTCTTTTTTCTTCTTTTACTTTAATCCTTATTTCTACAACACTACATCAAACTGAAGTCATAAATCGATATTCTGAAACCAAAACTTTCTTCTCAGCCTTTCATTGACTCGATCTATTTTTGTTATTTTGACATCTACTGACCACTCATTTTAATTTAACAGTTTTTCCTACCTGCCCATATTAAAAGAAATTTAGCATTGCATAAGAGAGAGTTTAGAATTTTCAGGTACATGTAGTCTTCCATACAGTATGTCAGCTGAGCGGTCTTAGACAAGCTACTTAATCTTCCAAAGCCTCAATTTCTTTTCCCAGCAAAATAGGGACAATATTGCCTATCAGGCAAGTTTGTAAAACAAATTGGAACAAAGATCCTAGCATGGTGTTTGGCATAGCATATGTGCTTCAATTTTTAGAAATGAAAAATAACAATGATGATAAAATCCACCATTCACTGATACCTACTTCTGCCTACCCAGCATGCTCAAATTAGTATCTTTTAAAATGATCTGAATAAAACATATTTAATAGAGATTGAGCATCTAATTGACTTATTAGCCAGACTTGGCAAATGCTTTAAATAGCTAACAACAGAAATACAAGGTCTCAATTTCCTTTGCTTTGTGTTAAACTTCTAATGCTGACTCACTGGAGTATTTCCCAGATTTTTTTTTTTAAATAAAAGGTAATGAATTCTGTTTCTCTGTGAGTTAATAAATGAAGATACTATCAATTTTTGAGGCATATATTTCAATTCATTGATGATTCAAAAATACCTAGAATACGTGTTAGATCCAGAAAATTCACCATAATATGCTCTTTTGATACGTGTAACCCAGTCAGCACAAGATGTGGCATTGTTTTTCCACAGTCTAATTTGGTATTGCTCCCCAGTTCCCTTACTAAGCCAGCAGAGCATGAGCTACCCAGGTGATGCTGAATGAGGTATTGGAACATTTTCCAGAAAATGTCTAGGGAAAACTCCATTGAGAACATGGGGGTAATTAAAATATCTACAGCCTGGCATCCTAGGTAAAATATTAGTCTTTCTACATGATAGAATGAAGGTACAGGAAGTCAGAAGTAGCTATGGTATAAGGTTGATGAAAGAAAAATGGACCTGGTGAGCATATAAACCTCCAAGGTAGAGTAAAGATTATTTTACTTAATAACTTCTATGCATCTTCATCTTCCATGGTATATTTTTGGTATGGCTTTGAACTAAAGTATTACAGATAATTTATTGAAATGATACTCATTTAGGAAGACTTTATGTGTTTGGGGAGGAAAAGGAAAGACTTCTTGATTTTTTTAAAATCAATTTTAGGCGTGGGTTTAAAACTGAAGAATTGAAGCAGCAGATGTTTCTGCCTTGTGAGGAAATTCTCCACCTGCAGAATCATTCCTTGCATGTACCTCCTGGTACTGTGATTCAACAACTTTGAGATGGGTATTTAAAAAATAAGCACTTGTAGAATAATTTAGAAAAATAATTCCTTACTAAACGTCTGTTTCCATCAAATAGAACTGTTTCCACCAAATATATATGTGTGTATAGTGTATTTGTATGTACGCATGTGTATAAATGTGTATATGTGTGTGTGTGTGTGTACATTTGTGTGTGCGTGCATAGAGAGAGCATCTGAAAGTTTTCTAGGTGTGCGGTCCTTTGAATGTCAACTGAAATATAATATGTTTCTAAAAGCATAAGGGAAAAGAAAAAACTCCCTAATGGAATATTCCATTTAGAGCTTACTCAAGTTGGGAGCTGGGCTTCTAAGCTGGGTATTGCAGCATATCCGAAAGGAGGCATTGTGCTGCCAAACAGGTAACAGGCTGCCTGCTGATGCCCGTGCAGTTCCTACACCCACGGCTGCTGTAATGCGGCACAGCCAGGCGTCACGCCTCAGCAGATGCTCTAACAACAATACATCGATGAATAATCTGTGGAGGGTTGTCATGCACGTCACCGGGGATAATAAGAGCGTTCCCATCCTAGAGCTTGCTTGTGGATAGTAGACTGGGAAGGAAAGGAGCACGGCACAGGGAACAGCTTTTTTTCCAGCTCAGCCTGTTTAGCCATAGTCCAAAGCAGCCAGGGACATGTAGAGAACAGAGCCACACCAAGATAATTTTCAGCATCACTCTTTTTTTTTTCTGAGACTGAGTCTTGCTCTGTCACCCATGCTGGAGTGCAGTGGCGCGTTCTCGGCTCACTGCAAGCTCTGCCTCCCGGGTTCACGCCATTCTCCTGCCTCAGCCTCCCGAGTAGCTGGGACTACAGGCACCCGTCACCATCCCCTGCTAATTTTTTGTATTTTTAGTAGAGACGGGGTTTAGCCGTGTTAGCCAGGTTGGTCTCGATCCCCTGACCTCGCGATCCCCCCGCCTCGGCCTCCCAAAATGCTGGGATTACAGGCGTGAGCCACTGCGCCCAGCCTTCAGCATCACTCTTGAAACGCTTCTACACTGTGCTGAATAAGTGCTGTGGCTTTGACAGGTTGAACTACAGCCTGGGGAGCACAGTGTTTAGAATATTTGAAGACCTGATTTTCTCACAGTACTCTGACACTTAGATATCCTTTCAGTAGAAAATCAAGTTGTAACATTTGAAGATTAAGCAAATGAAGAGACATCTCTTAATAAGTTCAGATGTTCATGCCTAATTGAGGTTTGCGAAAAGGCACCTAAAGGTTTATCAATTTTCAGGAAAAGCTTCCTAAAATAAGACCCTCTGAAATGATTTCTTGTTTTGTTGTAAGAAATACTTTAAAATATATGTAAGACACACTTTTCAGAAGCACATTCAGATTTGTATGTTATTTTATATAGTCATGTGTGTATGTGTGTATAATGATTTCCCTCTAGTATTAAATAAAAAGAATACAATTCAAAACTTAAAAATCAAAATAAGAAAAAGGAAAGCTATTTCTTTAACTTTACATACTTTCCAAAAGAATGTATTATTTAAGATAATTAGTATTTTAATACTAAAGAGGATCTTAGAAGATGGCAATTGCCTGTTTGGCTAAGATGCGTCTCAACACTACACTCATCAATGTTGATTAAGTAAAAACTTCAGATTTATTTGCAGGTATAAAATGCCTAAGATGTTTTCCTAACTCTGCATATCATGCTGATAACATATAACAATTGGCTTGCTGGCAAATCTAACAAATCTAAATCTATAAGATGATAGAGTAATAAAACATTTATTGGCTTTTACCTGGGTACTACTAAAATAATATATGAGTGAGGTGCAAATCGGCTTTGTAATACTTATTATGTAATAATCAATACAGATCTTTCCACTTAATACATTCTTTCCATTGTTCATTCCATTAATGTGGGCAACATTTGACTTTATAAAGCACTGAGACAGTAAGACCAGGGGGAAAAAAGTTATTTTCCCTCCTTCTTTAATCCTATAATTTGATGATTCACTGTATACATTTTTGCAGAGCTTTTTATTATGCATGGAGATCTACCATTACTTTTTTTTTTTTTTTTTTTTTTTTTTTGAGACGGAGTCTTGCTTTGTCGCCCAGGCTGGAGTGCAGTGGCGTGATCTTGGCTCACTGCAACCTCCGCCTCCTGGGTTCAAGCGATTATCCTGCCTCAGCCTCCCAAGTAGCTGGGATTACAAGTGCACCACCATACCCAGCTATTTTTTGTATTTTTAGTAGAGACGAGTTTTCACCATGTTAGCCAGGATGTTCTCGATTTCTTGACCTTGTGATCCACCTGCCTGGGCCTCCCAATGTGCTGGGATTACAGGTGTGAGCCACTGCACCCGGCCTACCATTGCATTCTTTGGTGGGGTGGAAGAGGAAGCTTCTGTAAATGTTTCATTTCTAATGCAAGGCCCTGAATTCGCCCTCTCATTAACAAGTTGTTAGGAATGTGCACACGCAATATGAAGATTGCTTTAAGAAACGGTTGCTTCTCTGAACCTCTTCCAAATCCAAATGTCTCAATGGAGCTACAGTGTTTCACGCGTGGTGTTTTGAAATGTCTCTGTTGGAATGTCTACCTGCACGGCTATGCATCCTGTGTATCTCTGTCGCAACACCTGGTGGTTTCTGTGCGGAGCCGTAGGCGTCTGTGGGCTGGTTTAGAGGCAGGGCACTCTTCCTAATAACCTTATGGAGTGATCCATGCTGATTTATCGGAGCCCCTTCTCTTATCTTATTTTCCCTCAGCAAGAATAATTTTACGCTAGAATAACTTCATGCAATTAAGGTATTAAGTTTCATTGTTCATCGGGAGGAAGTTTAAAGATGGAGGCACAGGGGAGTTTGAATGGACTGTTTTCCCAGGATAAAAAAAAAATTAAAACAATAACTTTCATTATACGTTGTTCAGCTGCACTTGAAAAACTAGTATTTCTAAACAATACAAATCTCATTAAAATACAAAGAATGAGAGAAAAAATTATAAAGATATCAGAAAATGAACCTGCTTCTCAGGGTTTGTGCCATTTGGTGCTGGTCAGTGGCATTTCCATGTGGTATTTCTGAACGTGTCCACTTCCTTTCATCTTAACGCAGTGATACTGACAGCAGTCATTCTCCCTCTCCCCCACCACATCTTAGTCTATGGAACCAACTTGGTGGAATTAATGGGCACATAAAAAAGGAACTACACTGCTGTGTGTTCCTACGTCGATTCTAGTGACTCGATTCCCATAGCCCTCCTGGTGGATACTTCAATATTGTGAATATAAATTAACTTGCCAAAGAATGGAAGTTGCAGATTCGGTTGAGTAGTTTTCACCAGTATACATTGGCAAAATTTATGATATTTGGAACTCCATTTATTATTTTCATTGCCTTCTGGCAATCATAGGAGGAGATAAAAAGGTGGGGGGGGGGGGGCGGAACTTGTTTCCTTAAATAATTGAGTTATTTTCCTGATAAGTGTTTGGAAATATTTTAAATAATATGCATGTGATGTTATCTCATGTGAACACAGAAACATTTTAAATATTTTTCTTTTCTTTACAATATACACCATAAATTATATTGTGTACAGAAAGAACCAATTCTTGGAACATCTCATTTAAGAATTGAATGATAATGGAATTGCACCTTGTTTTTTATCGGCTCATTTCTTATTGCTCAAAAGATTCAATGTTTAAAGAAATAGAATCAGACTTGTGGAATAGCTGCTCTTATTGCTTCTCTTTTAACAAAAGCAGGTTCGGAAACAGGCAAAAGAAGGGGGGAGACTTTAATGAAGAAAATCTGTGCTGAGAAAAGACCAGAGAGGCAATAAAAAGCCTTACTTAATTGACAAGCAGCTGCCTTAGCTTTGAAAGCATTTATTCAAAGTTTTTTTTTTTTTTTTTTTTTTTTTTTTTTTGGCTCGCAGTGTAAGTTGTAGGAGAGATCTGCAGATGCTTATATTTTCTGTGGTAAATCAAGGTACAGAGACATTAACCATGAAAATGATTTGATTTTACATCATTCATTTCATGAAAGAAAGGTGGGAAATAATACTCTGTTGTTTAAGAGATTGAAACAAACAAAAAACCAGAATCTGCAGTTTTGCTTAAACTGAAAACGAATTTCTGGAATTGACCTTATAATTAACTTCCTTTAGTGAATGGGGAGCTATGCCATGCTCTCATGTTAGATATTTTTCTTCTCCTTTCCAGAAGAGCCTCAATTCTCTTAGAATTTAAATAAAGAGAAGTAATGGCATCATTAAATTCTGGTAAAGACTATTGCTGTAACATGAGATTAAAAGACTGAATTATTATAAAAAATTATATATTTCCATGCATCCACAAAATTCTAATTCTGTTTGTGTAAAGTATTTGGGGTTCTAAGATATGGAAACTTTGCAATTTTAGTCACATATACATCCTAAAGATCCATATTCTTCCATTTTTTTTCAGAAGCTTGCTGATCAAAACAAAATGAAGTTACAATATTATAGAAGTGAGCTGTTTAGTTCTCTGTTAAGTGATGTTAAAATTTACCAGTTAGCATTTACAAATTATTTCATAATATTAATGGTTTGACAGTGCAAAAATGAAAGATGATAGCTTTCAACTCTTAAAGCTGTCAGGTAATAAATACAACAATAAGTGTTCTTCTAAATTGTACATATCTATGCATATATATTTATATAAATATAGATAATATATTAACATACTGTGATAATTTAGAAAAAAAACCTCAACTTTAAGTTACTTTACAGTGACAGTAAATGCTACAGATAATTATTTGACAAAGTAGTTAAGTATAAATAACCATTGATATGTGCCTGGATAGAAATTAAAATGTAGTCATGAAATTATAAGACAAAATTTAAAAGTATCTAAGAAGAAGGAAATAACATTTTAAATACCTAGAGACTGACTTCTAGATTAAAGTAGGAAGTACTTGCTTGATCATAAATCCAAGGCCTATAGTATTTGGTTTAATGCTGACTCTCCCTGCAGTAATCTCTATGGAAATTAAAGGGAGGTTTTCTGAATGAAATAATTTAATCTATTTAAGAAAGGGGGTACAATAATTATTCAGTTCTTTAATGAAATGCCATAGTCTTTTGTCCTTTCAAATTGGCCGTTGGCATCATTGTGTCAAGTAATTGCCCCTAAACTGCACTCAATAATGTCCCCTCCTCTTCTTTAGTAAGTTAAGTAAATGACATGTGCCATCTGTTTACCTAAAGGAATAAGAGCTGTGTGTTTATTTAATTGGATGTAGCATGTTTTGTGGCTAAAATGATGGCATTTCAGGTAGACTTATTTTTTTCTGGTCCTGAGAAATATGCAGAAAATGAAAGAAAAAATTCCTTGTAAGAAAGAATTGTGTTTCGATAGGAAGAGTGTCCTGACTTGTCAATCTCTGAATATCCTTGATCAAGTCGTTGCTTCCATTGACCTATATCGCTCTACTTGATGCTTAGGTGTGTGCATTTGAGTATGTGTGTGTGTGTTCATGGGCATGACAGAGACAAAATGCAACAACAACAGGGTAAGGCAGGAACATGGCACTCATCAGAGAAAGAACAAAAAACAGAAAGGAAAGAGGGAGATAATGTGAGGCAGCAGACATGGGCACAAATTGACAGAGAGAGAAACAGACAAAGAGGGGCAGACAGAAACGTGTTTGTGCCTGCTCACACACGCACAGATGAGGATTAAGTTTTAGGTTAAAATTATACATATATAATGATATGCCCAAAGTATGATTTCATAACACTGTAATAAAATATGTCATGAAATAGGTAGAAATGATCATTCATTAAGCCTAGGGATGTTCCATGAAATGCATGAGTTCCATAAAGTGGATGAGTTTATGAAGAACTAAAGCACTACATGATCTCATCACAGAAGTTTGGAGCCAAGCGAGTAGCCTGGCTGCTCACTGGAATCATCGAGATTCTAACTGGAGATCTGGTCTGTGCTTCTTCTCTTGACTCACTGGAATCATCGAGATTCTAACTGGAGATCTGGTCTGTGCTTCTTCTCTTGACTCACTGGAATCATCGAGATTCTAACTGGAGATCTGGTCTGTGCTTCTTCTCTTGAATCACTGGAATCATCGAGATTCTAACTGGAGATCTGGTCTGTGCTTCTTCTCTTGAATCACTGGAATCATCGAGATTCTAACTGGAGATCTGGTCTGTGCTTCTTCTCTTGACTCACTGGAATCATCGAGATTCTAACTGGAGATCTGGTCTGTGCTTCTTCTCCTGACTCACTGGAATCATCGAGATTCTAACTGGAGATCTGGTCTGTGCTTCTTCTCTTGACTCACTGGAATCATCGAGATTCTAACTGGAGATCTGGTCTGTGCTTCTTCTCTTGACTCACTGGAATCATCGAGATTCTAACTGGAGATCTGGTCTGTGCTTCTTCTCTTGACTCACTGGAATGATCGAGATTCTAACTGGAGATCTGGTCTGTGCTTCTTCTCCTGACTCACTGGAATCATCGAGATTCTAACTGGAGATCTGGTCTGTGCTTCTTCTCCTGACTCACTGGAATCATCGAGATTCTAACTGGAGATCTGGTCTGTGCTTCTTCTCTTGACTCACTGGAATCATCGAGATTCTAACTGGAGATCTGGTCTGTGCTTCTTCTCCTGACTCACTGGAATCATCGAGATTCTAACTGGAGATCTGGTCTGTGCTTCTTCTCTTGACTCACTGGAATCATCGAGATTCTAACTGGAGATCTGGTCTGTGCTTCTTCTCTTGACTCACTGGAATCATCGAGATTCTAACTGGAGATCTGGTCTGTGCTTCTTCTCTTGACTCACTGGAATCATCGAGATTCTAACTGGAGATCTGGTCTGTGCTTCTTCTCTTGACTCACTGGAATCATCGAGATTCTAACTGGAGATCTGGTCTGTGCTTCTTCTCTTGACTCACTGGAATCATCGAGATTCTAACTGGAGATCTGGTCTGTGCTTCTTCTCTTGACTCACTGGAATCATCGAGATTCTAACTGGAGATCTGGTCTGTGCTTCTTCTCCTGAGAGTCGCACCCATAAAAGGCATGCAAACCTCCCTTTCTACACTAGACTGCACTACTGAGGACTCCAGAATTCCCTGATAAAAAAGCACAAGCCCACATCCAGCACCTACACAGCCCTGTGCTATGTCCATCCTCGCCGGGGCACAGACCACGTTCTCTCTGGTGTGCTGCACGCCCCAGGTGCCAAGGGCTGCTCAGAGAGCAGGTGGTGGGGTGGGAGGTGTGCATGCACACTAGTGGGCTGCAGAGTCTACAAGCTGTGTCACAGGGCAGGATAGAGCTGACAGTGAGGTGAGACAACAGGAGGCAGATCTCTGGATGGGGAGGTGGAGTCTGACTCACTTGATAATGCCATGTTCCTAGGATAAACTCCCAGGAATTCTCAGATTCAAAATTTGAACCTGGCCTTTCAGTGTTAATTATAATTTAATTTGCCAAGATAGGATGGTAGAACATCTCTCCTTGAGAGTTGAAAACATAATAGAGAACTTTCAAACGTTTCATTAGTGCCTGTGGGGCTTTCATTGGTTCTTCTGCCCTAGCTGTCAAATGTCAGTGGTAGACCTGATCTAGGGGACTTCATAAAGCACAAGGCCAAGCATCATTTGGCTTAGGCAGTCACTAATCTTTTGGGGGTTGGAGTGATATTACTAGCCAGGCTGGTTAAAGAAAGACTGGTTTATAATGATGCCAAAGCCACTCCTTGCAACCACCCACTCACTGATGAGGGGAAAAATATCATAAAACATATCCAATTTAGTCCCCTTATATTTCAGCCCAGATAACAGATTTATAAATATACGTTTCTTTAAGAACAACTCACTGACCAATCTAAAGTAAATACTTCTTCCCCTGCTGTAAATATGAATGTATTAAAAAATGGAAAATAGCATTAATGTTGAACACAGCTTTCTTAATTTAATTTCACAATAGAAGTCTGTACTTTAAAAACAAAAGACACCCACACTGAATCAGCTCTTTCATTGTTCTGTAAAAGCCACCGCTCAATATGAAAAAAAAAAAAAATTGTTCACACTATTTCTAAGCAAGTGAGAATTCCAAGGAGGAAAAAGGATCATTATCTTGATGCCTAATTAATTTTCAAAAATATTGTTATGCAGACAACTGTTCAAATGTAATGCTATGCTCATCTTCAAATTGGCAAAGTTCATGGCAATTGAAAAATTAGCAATTGCAATAAAGTGAAAAAAAATCAAAGGTAAAATGTTCAGCTTAAGGAGGAATATCTTGAACACAATCTGGATCAGTTGCTGTATAAATGAAAGAAATGATATTACTCTTTAGCACTTTCAAAACACTGGTACTGAAAAACGAATATTTTTAGTAACCAACTTACCAGTTGCAGGCTTATTATGTTTCTTGGAATCCTGTCTTTCTTAATTGAGATATTTGCATTTGGAAGTCCCTTTGAATCATCTTATGTTCAGTGATCATTTGCGAAGAAGATAATAAAGCTATTTGGAATGTATTCAGTCATCCTAATTAGGAGAAGCCAAGACCCTCTCTCAGAAAAATTATGAGGCCCAGGTGTTGTTCTCTAACTGCTTTTCTTGCTCTGGCCCGTGGGAAATAAATTTGATGATCTAATCAGACTTTTTCCTTTCAAATATCAATAAAAAGTCAAAATAATTAATTTTTTTTCCCGAGTAATGCTCTCAAAGTTAATATCCATGCTACCCTTCCCATATGCACCGGCGCGATGAAAGATTTCTGTGCCCCATCTTCCTAAAGATGCTGTAAGGTGAGATGGGTTTCACAGCGGTGCCCCATCCTTGGCTTATGACTTTATTCAGATCATCCCCAATGTGTGAACAGATCCTGATTTTACAGAGAGTGTGCCACTGGGGCAGCTTCGGGTCCAGTGCATGAGGATCCACTGCTTTCATTTTAGAAACCAAATTTTAGTCAAGTACGAGTCTTGAATTTCCTATCATTTAATTAATATTTTACTGCCTTATTTCATATACAAATTCTGGGTTTTAAACCATTATTTACTAATCCTATGGACAAGCATAAATCCCTGCCCTTATGCTTAAACTTGGTGTTGAATTCATTACTTACATTACATGCCTTAACAATATTTTGTTCACTGGCCGCTAATTAGGCAGACTGAATGTATTATCCATTACAATTGTCTGCAGAGACTTTGACTTTAGTTCTTCCTTGTTCATTTACTCAATTTGTTTTATTTCATTATTCCTCTGACTCTCCCTCCCTCTCTCCTCCCTCCCTCACCCTCTTCCCTTCTTCTCTCCCTCATGCTCTCCTTCCTCCCACCTTCCTTCCTTCCTTTCTTCTTTCCTTCCCTCTTTCCCTTTCTTCTTTCCTTCCCTCTTTCCCTTTCTTCTTTCCTTCCTTCCCTCCTTCCTTCCTTCCCTTCTTCCTCACTTCCTCTCTACTCCCTTTCCTCCTTCTCTCCCTCCTTGTTTCCCTTTCTCCCTCTGTCTCTCCCTTCCTTTACTTCCTCCCTCCTTCCTGTCAGTCTTTTTTATTCTTTCTACTTTCCTGATAATTTACTTCCTGTCTCATGACACTAAAATTTAAAATCCTAGAAAAGGAAATATTTTTTCACTATTTCACAAGTGTATCTTCAGCACACATAACAGCCCTAGTATAGAATAATAATGTTTAAATGTTATTTTAATAAATAATTGAGGAAAAGCTTATAATCTTCCTAGGTCTAATGACATGACTAAAATTAAGTCATAAAGATTAATGCTAGATATGTTAATACATATAAAAAAACACAAAATCCTTACATCATTTTACCAGGTAACTCTATTTTGAGTAAACAATTCAAAAAATAAGTGTACGATATCATAAAAATTTATAAGCCTAAAGAAATGAAATTTTCCAAATATTATAGTGTTAACATTTTTAGAAACAATCTATGAATATGAAATAGAAATTATTAAGTACATGAAGAGATCAACATTAAAGCAAGTACTTTTGCAGCCATTGATAATACATTTAAAAAGCAGTCAAATAGCGTAGAGGGGTCTTGCTTCCCTTTTATGTGAATAAAACAAAACAGAATTTTATTTACTGAATGATTACAACATGTCCTAAAATTTATATGCAGACAAAAGTTAGTAACATTAAGCAAAAAGTAGATAAGTTTTTTGTGTTGTTTTTAAGAGAGTATGGAATTTTATATCTTTTTATAGTTTATACTTGTATGTTTATAAAGTTTTTCAAGTCTGAAATGAAGAGAACAAATATATTTTAACAATTATTGGAATAGAATAGATAGCTGTAGATGAACAGAGAAAGAAATGTTAACTGGCTTTTATAAAAGAAAAGCCTAAACCCAAGAGGAAGTTGCATTCTCTATGTATTGAAGGAAGGTAAAGTTACAATCACCACATTCATTAACATACAACCTGTTTGGCACAACTGAGTTTAACTGAAAGGAAAGCCATGCTATAAAACTAAGATTCTCAAAATTTAGAGCAGCATTCTCATAAATGTTTAATTTCTAAATTTTTTTTCTTCTAAATCACAAATAGAAATTCAGTTTTCCACGTGAAAACTTAGAGGCCTTAACAGATGAAGTTCGCAGTGTTTTCAAAGGAAACACAGTATGTGTAAAGCTAAAAGTTAATTCTAGTTGTTTGTTAATTAATTCGAAGTACCGGCTTTTGATTACTATGCTCCATTGTTCTTACTCTTAAGGATATTGGTCTTACTCAAAATTCACAAGCAATGGAAAGAAAGATTGGCTCAGGTGTGGCATGTGTAGGGAAGCGTTACCACACTTCTCTGGGATGGCCTAGAGATTCGTGGGAAAGGCTGCTTCCACTAACATGGAGCTTAGAAAAAAACCTCACCATGATTTGGCACCAAGAGCTGAAAAATCTGTACCCTCCAGAACAGGCAATGAGCTGTTTATCCATTAACTGCTTGCCAATCAAGTATTGATAAGAAAATAAGATTTCATATTTGCATAGCCACAATGGATTACCACCAGATATTAATATCCGAGGTTCCTTTAAACCATGAGTTGGTATTCTCAAAGTTTGCTTTACCCTAGATTGTTGTGATTTTACTATAGTTCTACTTGACTGCAATCTATGGTACATGGAAAAAAGTGGTCAGAGATTAGGTTAGAAAGAAAATTAAAGGCTCATTCATAAAGATCCTTGAGTGCTATTTCAAAATAGTTGGTCTTTATCATGGACAAATGGAGAGAAATTGGTGACTCATACTAAGTGGGAGATGAGAAAGAGGAGATGCTCACATTTCATGAGAACTTCTGTTGTTATAGTGAGAAACATGGAGTGCCCTGATATTTTTTGCATCTGTGGCCCTGCCCAAATGTCATGTCAAAATCCCCAGTGTTGGAGGTGGGACTGGGTAGGAGGTGATAGGATCATAGGGACAGATGTCTCCTTTGATGCTGTTCTTGTAATAGTGAGTTATGAGATCTAGCTGTTTAAAAGTGCGTAGCACCTCCCTCCTCCCTCTTCCTCCTGCTCTGGCCATGAAAGACATGGCTGCTTCCCCTTAGCCTTCCACTATGATTGTAAGTTTTCTGAGGCCTCCCCAGAAGCCAAACAGAAGCCATCCTGCAGAACCATAAGCCGATTAAAACCTCTTTTCTTTATAAATTACCCAGTCTCAGTTGTTTCTTTATAGCAGTGCAAGAATAAACTAAAACCTGTTCACAAAGGGAGGAGCTGTGATGAAGTACACAATTCTAGAGGAATATATCTTGAGTGCCTCCATATACAATACATTCTAGTCCCAGAATGAAATCTGAGAGAGAAAGCAATCTACTCACAAGTTGTTTGTCACAGGCCCCCACCCTTGTCTTACATATTTCTTTCAAGATTTCTTATTATTTAACTACGTCTACCTTCTTCTAATGCCATTCTTATTTTGAGAACTTGATATATGTATCATCAGATGGAAGTCACCTGGGAAAATTGATTCTAATTTTCAAGGGTTTGATTCTTTTTAGAATTCTTCTCCTTTAAGAAAAGAAAAAGAAACGCTTAAAATATGAAAGATGACTGATTTACATTAAATACTAAGATAGCGCCAGAGATTACATAATGGTATGGTTTTTTTTATATATATATATATGCATACACACAGATTATATATATAACAAAAATATGTACATATATCTATATACATAGATATAAAATCTCTAGAGATCTATAAATGCAATGCAGATTAAATCTCAATGATCTACTTTTCAACATCTGAAGATTTTGTTTGCTTGTGAAATTAAAGCTCTCATCCCAGCAGGTAGGAACTGATATGCTGGAACCCTGTAAAACAAACCTCTCTCTCCAGTTAGACCAGCCTCCCTCCATCTCCCAGACAATCCACACTAATTCATTGTGTCCCATTTCCTATCCCTCTGAATCTACCTGTTCAAGGACAATCCCTGACTTCTGAGGAATGCTCAGCTGTGCTATTTTATGTTACATGTTTCTGGAATCACATGATCTGGCGTCCCTTCCCTGAAGGACCAAAATCAGCATTTTGAATGAGGTTGAATATGAGAAGCTAAGACACAGGAGCTTAATTTATTTTTTTCTCATTGCACTTTTAAAATGTATACAGTGCAAAAAGTTCTTCCTAAGTCCCTGGGTAAAAATTCTGACAGCTCGTGGCTTTTCTGTATACTATTACTTGGCAAAAGAAAAAATACCTTTGATTACTTCATGAAGCATTCACCAAACTCAAGTTGATTCTTGGATTGCCTATTCTTATGAAGCAGTGAAGCACTTTTTCAAGTTGAGGCTGTTCTACTGGCCCAATAATTGGCTGTAGCCTGGGAAGGAGCTGGGCTTGGCCTCCTCTCCCTTCCTCATTAATTGAGCACTATTTTTAACTTTATACAATGATATACATTCAGAAGAATAAAGTTTTACTTCACAATAGAGCTGTGGAATGCTGGTCTTTAGTTTTCCAGTAGCACCTGATGTTTATAGCTACCTCTTTTTTAGGTGGGGCACTTGGGGGTCCTGGGGAGACCTCACCTCTATTGCCAGGGCCATTGCACCTGCAGCCCTTGATTGTTAATGCCTGATTCTCTGCCTCACCATCCATGCCATTCTCAGTCTCTAGGGATTCTGTGATGCCCTTGGCAACTCTGGGTTGAGGGTGGTACCCCTTTTAGACAGCCTTCTTCAACAGGATTAAAGATGACTTCATTCTGGATCCCTCAGTTGGGTGAGGACCATGCATCCTTTCTCCTGTCAACCTCTGCTGGAATAAACCAGTCCCCCGGAGGAGCAACTTTGTATTCACACCCACCGTTGTGTCGGCCAGTGTCACTCAGCTCTGAGATTTAGCAGGCAGAAGTTCAGATTTCCCTGTGATGGTTAGCTTTATATGTCAACTTGCCTAGTCTCTAGCACATGTACCCTGTTACTTAATCAAACACGGATCTAGTTGTTTTGTAAATGTGATTAACATCTAGAATCAGTGGACTTTAAGGGAAGAAGATTATCCTCAATAATGTGGGCCTCATCCAGGCAGATGAAAGCTTTATGAGCAAAACGGAGGTGTTGGAGAAGAAAATACTCTCCCTCAGCACTGCAGCAACTCCTCCTGGGTTTCCAGTCTGCCAGATTTCCGTATAAATTTCAAAATGCCTAACCCCCACAATTGTGTGAGCAAATTTCTTACTGATCTTTCAGTGACCATCTATTATTTCCATCTCTCTCTCTCTCTAAATATATATTTATATAAAATCTCCATATCTCTCTCCATATATATGTGTGTGTATATATATATGTAAATATATATATATTCTTATATGAATGTAAATCCTGTAGAAGAACACCGACTGCTAAAACATGCTACATTGTCCCCAATAACTATAGGTGACAGGTTCTAAGCTTTACAAATGATCCAATTGAAGCCACTCTTACTTGGCTTGCAGTGAAAAGCTTGAAACCCACCCTAAGTAGTTCTGAACACATAATAAACGAATCCTTTCAAAACATTCCCCTGTACTTTCCCTTAGCTTTTTTCTACTTTGCTGGTTTAGCAGAGTTCATGAACAGATTCTTGACTCCTTAGGACAATTTCAATTTGATCATATAACTTCCTTGGTATCACTGAAGTTTCTTGAACAAAGCATGCACTTTCCTGTCCTTAAATATAATATCTTCTTTACATGAATATGTGACAGGGAATTCAGGAAGCATCTATTCAGAAGTTCTTGTACGGCCTACCATACACTTGCTACAGGATTCATGGAGCAGGCTCAGTTTTCAAGGAATTTACAATTCATTTGGAAGACATAAACATTACAAACATCTTATTATCCCTTAAAAGGAGCTAAGAAAAATCAAAAACATGGTCTAGAATTATTGGTGACCATTGAAAAGATGATACTTTTAAAATAATGGAGAGGAGAGGGAGAGGAAATGTATCTTGAAGAAAGGCGGAAGTTAAATGGATAGGCAAGATAACAGTGAGGTTGGGAGGAAAGAGTAAAGAGAACAGGAAGATGGAGGCTACATTGTGTGGACCAGTGGAAGATAAAGTTGGAGATTACTAGATTACTCTAGATACAGAAAATAAAACACATCATCAATTTGTATTTGATGTGTTGAGTGATAAGAGTTACAGAAGCAAATGATTGATTGGTGGTGAATTGGGCAGCTCTATATAAGAGGGGACCCGGAGGGCTATGGGGGAAGAGTTTGAGGAATGATAAAAATATTTGAAGGAAAACACACTAGCTAGAGTTCTGTTGCAAAGCGCCAGCTATGAGTGCTTACGGAAAGCCTATATTCAGCTGACAGGTAGCAGGTGCTACAATGCTAGAGTGGAAAGGCACTTGAGTGAATCATGGACTCCTCATGTCATTTTTGTGAAGTTACGATATGGTCTGTTCATGGGGCAGAATGGCTAGTGTCAGAGCTGGGACTAGACCAGTCATGTAGGTTTCCAGACATGGATTATTTGCTCATGGTTTTAATGGAATTATATCTGTTTAAAATTGATTATTATGAATCCTGACATAAAATGCATTCTCCCAAGATGCCATGCAAAAGTGTTAGTGATGATACACTTATGATATTATGAATCCAACACATATGATAAAGTATGGTGACAAAGGATGGATATTTTTCTTTTCGTTTTTTTCCCTTTTTTTTTTTTTTCTTTGAGACAGAGTCTTATACTGTTGCCCAGGGTGGAGTGCAATGGCACGATCTCGGCTCACTGCAACCTGCGCCTCCTGGGTTCAAGCGATTCTCCTCCCTCAGCCTCCCTAGTAGCTGGAATTACCAACGTGCACCATCACGCCCGGCTAATTTTGTGTTTTTAATAGCGATGGGGTTTCACCATGTTGGCCAAGCTGGTCTCAAATTCCTGACCTCAGGTGATCTGCCCACCTCAGCCTCCCAAAGTGTTGGTATTACAGGCATGAGCCACTGCACCCGAGCAATATTTTTATTTTCTTATGCCGAAAGCATTTTGTTCCCAACTCAGTTTCTTTTTTCCTTACTCAAGTGTCCACGAATTAACTAAAACAATACATTGGCAATACAAATAGAGAAAGTAAACATAGTACTCAAATATAACTCTGGGTGCTAGTTTTATTTTTTTCCATTTTTTCAGCAGGGCTGTTCCATCCTTTGTGAAATTTTGGCAGTCGAAATACCAAGTTCTGAGAAGGAAGGACGAGTGGGCACTTTGCTTTAAGGAGTGCTTTGGAAATGGATATTTAATGTTTTTGAGAAGTTATTTACAGGAATAGATTGGATAAAAAAGCAACATACAACACGAAGTGGCAGCAGCGCCAGCTTCCTTTCTCACTCTCAGTGGTGGGGAAGCACTTATGGTAATTGCTAGTCAAGTGGTAAACTCGGTTGGAAGTACGACATTGATTTCTACTCCATCCCACCCTGGGTATTACTTGTTTTGTAACTGTACCAAGTCTTTAATATTCCGTTTGGGCACAACAAAATTTAAAGCAATAGTGTTTTTCAAAATATTTTTAACAATAAAAAAAATCATAGGTTCAATGTATATATAGAGAGAATATGGATTTAACAAACTCTGTCATTAAATGTGCTTAATATTTTTTGATATTTATGTAAAACTTCTGCCTAGCATGGAGTAACCACATATTATATGTTTGTTGAATGAATACATAAAGGTTTAACATAATGTGCCCAGTAAATAGAGAAGGTCTTTCTTTTTTCCAAGCAAAAGCATGTTTGTACTTGTAAAATTAAATGTATACTTAAGATCCTACCCTTCTTCACATTCTTTTCATTTTGCTTAATAGTCTCTTTCCGTCTTTCCAGCATTCAATAACTATTTAAAAACTGAGTCAAATCTTGTGGCTATATCTTGACACTGAAAATCACTTGAAAAATATAATAGATTGAGAGATAAGATAGAATTTTTATAAATGTATTATAGAAGGTACATGTTGAGTTCTAATACCAAAGCCAAGGGAATTGTAAGTCGTGGAACTGGAAGCAATTCACCCACCTGGAATTGAACAGAGAATGGAAAGAGTTTGCCAATGGTGCTTCATTCAAATATATGGATATATATCTGAATATAGAATATATAAATATAGAGACAAATACATTATCAGTACTCATTTTAGCTCATCTGGGATCAGAGGCTCACAATGTACAACTTCGTCAGAAGGGCTTTTCAGTACATGAATTCTCTTCTATAATTCACTCATATCAGTTACAATGTTGTACCTCCTGTTGTAGAAAGGACATCATCTCTCCCAAGAGCAGAATTTAGAAATAATTACCAGTCTACCCTCAAAGACTCTCAATTGGAGATGTTTCTACATTTTTACCAAATATGATAAAGAGATAGATCTCAGAAGACTAATATTCACATTAAGATGTGCTGAGGAAAACTGGAGAAAGTGACATTTTGTAAATACTTTTTGAAAAACTGTTAATTCAACCAGGAATGCAGTCATCAAGATCTTAAAGCTTAAAGGGGTTTTCAGAGAAGTGGGCCAACATTCTTCAAGCTGCTGGGGTTGCTTGTCATTTTTGTTATGGCAAGCTAAGAATTCAGGAAAAGGGTTGATGTAAACATTTCTTGAAGTAAGCATAACCTTTAATAATTTGAAATGGAAGAGAGACAAAAGTTACAGTACTGATAAATCAAGGCAGCCAGAAATTAAGAAGCTAATATCTTAGTAAATAAGGTGGTATGTGGAAGTAAACTCTAGATTCAGCAGTTTCTCCCCTAAAGTACATAACACATTTTAAAGCTTTGTTAGTGAAGAAGCTAAGAAATTAAGCAAGACAGAAATTAAAATAGCCCAACTACCTTGTTAAATGGGGGGCCAATATCAAGTAAAACATAGATATACCTTGATCTAGCATTTCTCTCATAGCTATATGCTCAGCAATGGGGTGTATTTATGTGCATAGATAGATAATATTTAACAATATTTACAGCATCAACAGTCATAATGGCTCAAATTTGAGAATGTACCCAATGTTTCCAAATCAACAAAAAATAAATTTTGTGGTATACTCATACAGCAATAGCAATTAGAATGAATGAACAAGTATAAAAAAGAAACTCAGAGGCTGAATCTCAGTGGGGGAAAACAAAAGAATATATACTGTGAAAAAAAGTTATATATATATGCATGCAAAACTAACATAGTGCTAGAAATTGATATAATGGTTATTAGGGGAGCCCGAGTTGTGGTTTGGACAGCATAAGACAGGGGCTAATGATAATCATCTTTTCCTTGATTGATTTAGGTGATAATTGTAAAGAGAAATGTTACTGACTTTTACACTTGCGATTTGTAAACTTTACTATATTTATGTTATACTTCAATAAAAATTTTACTTAAAACATTATAGGGATGTTCTCTTATGAACAATAGAGATGAGGGATCCAAAAACTGTCATTGCTAACACATGACTTTAGTGCGTGTATACCGGAATTCTGCTACAAGCCTCCTCCTTTTTCTCAGGCTTCCATTTAGGCTGCTCTGACTTCCATGTTAGGGTTGGCAAAGGATGCGAGATATTAAGTGACCATAATTTTATATGTAAAACAAAGTAGGAAAAACCTGTTTTGGGGATTAAAACAAATGGTGACATTTTTGGTGTATCCTAGAGCAGCATAATAAGGATAATGCCAAAGAGAGGTGGCCGGACTATTATGAAAGGGGCCCAGTATTGATATGGAAATGGAACTTGGGATAAAAGCAAAACAGCACTAAGAGTCTTTTCTTTACTATGCTAGGAAGATGTAAGCATGGAAGATTATATTACAGGTGAATTCATGAGGTTCCTGGAAGAGGAGACAGAGACTTAGTTAGCAATACAGAGAATCCAACATGCCCAAAGAAATAGAAAGCATAACTGAGAGTCACATACGTGCGACACTAAAAACTCATGAATCCAAAGGATGTTGAGGTCTGAACAAAAGTTTGCAATGTTAAACGCAGTTTGGACCACATGTTCAGGTAGAAATGCAGACATCACTATGGATACCAATGTTGGTGACAGAATCATACCAAATAATTGGTATCTGTAATGTGGCCAAATGACCACCACTGGACTAGGTGCCTCACCATCATGCTTGCCCTAAAATCTAGATGCAACCACAAGGAGAAAAAAATAGGAAACACGAACTGATGTAGAAAATCTGGAATTAATGACATTTGATTTGAATCAGTAAGATTATGCTTTCCACTACTTGGTGGAATGGACCATTCAACAGAGAAATAACTTTCAGGTGAAAATCAGTATGGAAAGTCACATATTTTATAGTCTGAATCTTGCATAATTTCACAAGGAAGAAAGATGAGCAAGTGTATCCCAGGATATCAGACAAGTCCAGGTGAACAAAACAGCAACAGTTAAGATGAAGAGTGTGTAGATGTAGGAGTGTTGGCAGATGAGGTTGGAAAGCTGTATGGTGAGAATGATCCAAAGATATTATTTGTATATATTACAGACCTAGGAATCCAATGCAAGCCTTATGCTCCAATATTCGTTTTTTTTTTGAAGATGGAGTCTCGCTCTGTCGCTCAGGTTGGAGTGCTGTGGTGCGATCTTGGCTCACTGCAACCTCCCCTTCCCAGATTCAAGCAATTCTCCTGCCTTAGCCTCCCGAGTAGCTGGGACTACAGGTGCCTGCCACCACACCTGGCTATTTTTTTTGTATTTTTAGTAGAGACAGGGTTTCACCATGTTAGCCAGGATGGTCTTGATCTCCTGACCTCATGATCCGCCCGCCTCAAACTCCCAAATTGCTGGGATTACAGGCGTGAGCCACTGCACTCAGCCTCCAATGTTCTTTTTGTTATACAGTGCTGCACTAAAATATGAAAAGTGACTTTGCAATAAGCTGAAAGACACCAAAAAATAAGGATATGACTCAGACAATTCATAATCTAATTGGAAAGATAACCTTTAGAGAGATAACCATAATACAAAGTAGTAGATAAGTGATAATGGAATATGTAACACAGGCATTGAAAACAAGAAATGAATCATGGAGAGTTGGAAAAATAAGGGAATTTTTCATGGAGCACATTTTGTGTTTCTACTTAAAAATTTTAGCATTTCAATGAAAATAACAGAAGTAGCCTTCTACACATAAGTTATGAATCCAATTATCATAGGGTGATGAGAAAAGCAGAACTCCTATCTATGTCTAAGAACAGAGTTGCAGGGATACAGAAATCTTAATTGCCAAAATTTGGAACATTTTATCTGTATGCTGTTGATAATGAGGTGTTAGTAAAATACAACCAGCCTGTCAACAAACATTTGTTTAGTGCCTACTGTTTTCTCTTAGAAAAGCAGTGGTGAGATAATTTTTGGAAGTTAATTTGGTGATCATATTTATGAATCAGGAAGGAGTGGCATAAAACTATTGAAAAGTTCTGGCCAAGTAATAAAGGCCCAGTAGATGGTGATAATGATTGCAATGGAAATTAAGGGAGAGACGGAAAAGTCATTAGGAGGGAGCTTCAATTACAGTTGTTGTTTGGTTGCATGCTTGTGGTTAAGATGAGAAAATTGGAGCTGAAACCAAAAATATTGACTAGAAGTGACCAAGATGACTATGAAAATATCAACAGAAAATCTTTGGGAGGAAGAAGCTGGTTATTGGGGAATTACAATAAAATTGGTTTGAGGCATCCTGAGTGTAAATCTACAGAAGAGAACTGGAAATGGAGGAATGGTATGGATATGAACCATCTAGCAAAAAGTGGAAGCCATGCCAAGATAGAAAGATAGAAGGGTGTAGACAAGAAAAAAAAAAAAAAAAAACATTTGGAGTGCTGTCATTTGGAGGATATAGTGAAAATTTAAGTCCAAGGACAGGCTGCCAATTAGGGAGGTATAAGCAAATACTCCAAATGGTGAAGCCACGGGTCACAAAGGTTATCAAGAGCAAATGGTCACCATTGTGTAAACTCAATGTAAAGGAGAAATGAGACTCAGAAAAACTTTCAATTTAATAGCTATGGTTTTATTAATTTTCCTCTACATAAATGAAAAATGAAAAGAAAAGTGTGTTGAGTAGAAGTGATTTTCCACACATTTTTTTCTCTTGTGATTTAACTGTAAAAGTAAGAGGCAATAAATTGTTGTTTCTCTGAATTAGCAGAAATTCGACTGTGGGGAAGCTTAAAAACTCTTCTATATTTCATAGTTGTTTTTCATAAAGAAAGGAACTGATTTTCTTTCAAGCAGTGTTCATTGTTGTACACAGTAAGAAACACAAATACAGTTAAGTAACAATTATTCTACATTTTATGAGTACTTTGTTTAGAAGGAGTAATGCTGGAAGTCATTTAAAAGGCAGTAAATTCAATGTGCTTTGCTCTACTACAAATTTCATTATGAGTGAAGCTAAACCACTCTTCCTACAAAGAATGATAGTGATTACTGACTCACATGAATTTGGGAAGCCTACGTGAAAGAGTGAAGGAAGAGGGAAGCAAAGGAATTTTGATCAAGAATAACAAGAGGAGGAGTGCCCTAGCTCTTATAGGAATGTAGTATAAAGTATAGTAATCATCTATATATATATATATATATATATATATATATATATATATATATATATCTCTATCTCATTGGTGAAGCATATTATAAGAGAAAGACAAGATCCAAATAAAATTAATGTAAATATGGAATTTTATTAAATAATAAATGTAATATCACATAACACAAAGGAACTGATGGGTGAATTAGTAAATAGCATTGAGAATACTATCTATCCTTATGGAAACGGTAGTGATAAAACTTCACTAACTTTACACTATGGTAATTTTAACTGAAATTTAACTATATATATATTCTATCAATATTCTATCAATCTGTCTGCCTATCAGAGATTTTATTTTCAAATGTGATAAAATTTGTAAGCATAAAATAAAACCAACATGACATTAATGAAGACATTGAAACACAAATAATTATTTAAAATTAAAAGCAACTGTGTTGCAAAATACAGCATATGCTTAGCTCAACAGTAGTATCAGTCCAGGGAAATAACTTATGACACAAATAACAAATAGTGTCTACATAAAATATATGAAAAACTATGAATTATTGAGAAAATGAAAACAACCATATAGAAATAGACACAAATCAGGAAGAAGTCCCAAAAATGGTTAAGAGTCAGCACAGACCTAAAAAATATATTAAAACAACATACCATATTTTTCATCCAGACTGGCATAAATTTATGGAGTTATCCTGTCCAATATTGTTGAGAATATAGAGAGTCTGGCATTCTCATATACAACTGCAAGGAAAGTGATATAGTAGTAGTTCTTGGAAAAACCATGAGTAATTTTTGCTATTTTAAAAATGTGTATAGACTGTGTCCTAGTATTTCTACTTTCAAAAATTTGCATTTCTACAAGGATGTAGAGTTATTTGTATGAGAATTTTTTGCCATAGTACCCAAAATAATAATGAGAACAGAATAATTATAATGAAATAATGTGTATATAAACACACAGAGAAACACTAAGAATTTTGAGGAGTGTTTCCACTTAATAAGGTAAAAGATACATCAATTCTTATATTAAAAAAATAATAAACGGTACGGCAATTCGGTAGAGTGCTAATTTTAAAAGAGGAAAATACTAGAGACAAGAAGAATGGGAAGTGCTGTTTTAAAACTGCTGATGTCAGATGGTTATAAAGACTATGAGGATAAATGAAGGAGGAAAGGGGCATTGAGGGTTTGTATAGGGAGAATTGAAATTTAAATAGGGTGGCAGTAGAAGACTTTACATATAGGAGACATCTGAGCAAAAATCATACACAGTTGATGAGCAAGCCATGTGGATATCGGGGGCACTGAACACTCCCTGTCACCAAACGTTCAGGGAGGGACAATGAGGCCGTTGTGGGAGCGAGGAGAACAAGGAGAGAGGCACAAAATATGCCTTGAGACCGTTAAAGGGATGGGAATTGGGAAGATCGTTTGGTCTTGCAGGCAATTGAAAGAACGTCCCCTGAGGAAGAGGAGAAGCCACGGACACCTTTAAACAGAGCGATGAGTTGTATCATTTTAAAACATCAACTTTCATGCCCACGTTGAAAATGACTTTCAGGTGGGAACAGGGAAGCAAGAGGCTTCTCCGTAATAATCAAGGTAAGAAGTGAAGGAGACCGGGATCGGATGTAAGCCGGAAGTGTGGGGGAAGTGGTCAGATTTCCAATATCTGTTGGAGGCAGAGCCAAGAAAATGTCCTCAAGGACTGCAGGATTGGTATTAAATGAAATAGTACCATTTAGTACCCTGCCTGAGCGGCAAGGACACTGGAATTCCCATTTTCAGAGAGAGAAGAATCTGCAGAGCCAGCAAGGGAGGTATATTCCATCCCATCGTGCAGACTGTGCTCTGTACAACATGTTATCCAGCTAGAGCAGCATGTTTGGAATACAATCTAGATCCTTTCTCTCCAGACCATACATCCTGAAGGTAATTGAGTTTGTCAGAATGCCTTTAAAAAAAAAATCCAGTAATGCAGTATGCAGTTTGTTCCGCATCTATCCTAAGAAATCCATTTTTCTTATTCATAATCACATACAGTCCTTGTGATGTGATTGCAGTCCCCGCATGAAGGCAGAGAGAGGGAAATCAGGAGCTCGGTTTAGACATGAAATCTGAGATCTCTATTAGACATGCATGTGGAGTTGTCAAGGAGGCAACAGGTTTTGCTCATGTGGAAGGGAGGATGGACATATAAATTATATCAATTTGGGGCTGCTCGGAATAAAGTTATGTGATTGCCTGATTTCACCAAACAAATGAATGTATAAAGAGCAAAGGGAGGCCAGAGTTAATCTCTGCAGCACGTAGATATTTGGAGTTCAGCAAATAAGGAAAAAAAAAGCATGGGAGACTGAGGAAGAGTGTCCAATGAACACACAAAGCAAACTCTCATGTAAGAAATCTTCCAGACAACTTAAAGCAGCTCTCCCACAAAATGAATTGTATCTCATGTAAGTGGTGTTTACAAGTATTAATGTTAAAATTCCTTGCATGAAATGTGAAATAATTAAGACCTTCTAGAAAATTACTTTATGAGACATAAGTTGAGAACCGGTCCATGTGAATTTTAGGTGACCCTGATATTTTTACATTTTTTACAAGATACATGCTTTGTTTTTAATGTAAAATAAGAATAATAAAAATTAGGACAAAATATTTTAAACTTTCCTGATATGAATTGATAGCAAATAACAGATTCTTTTTGGCAGGAATGTGTATACATATATCTGTGTGTGTGCATGCACACATACACACACACACACACACACACACACATTCATTTTCTTTCTAAAACAATAAGTTCTAGCATTCTGCTGTTGATAGTACACAGCATACTAAGATTTGTAGAGTAAGATGTAGAATAAATATAGAGACATGATATATGAAAATATGAAGACACAATTTTCCACAAAATGATATGTCAAACAGAACTTTTCATATCTCCTGGGAACCAGCGTAAACATTATATATAGACTGAAGGATAAATTATATTGAGACAGATTTGGAAACGAAAATGACATTTGACAACTATCACGATCAAAAGTCAAAAAGAAGGAAATTAATGTTCTCTGTAGAGTTATCTCCACAGAAGTAAAAGTTTATTCAGAAAAAAATGCAGTCCATACTTATTTATCATTATTCCTATAGACTTCTGACAACTGCCTTCCAAAAATACATGATGATTGTTTTATATACATAAGTATATATTTTAAAAACATTTTTGGTAGAAAAAATACTTATAAATTTCATATCTAATATAGAAAGTAGGTTATCAATATCTCATAGCTACTTAGATGTAAAATGTATTAAATCAGAAAAATCAGAGTCCTACCACATATAAAATCAAGATTGAAAGAATATTCTCTGCTTAAACACACATTAATATTAGAAGTATTACAGTTGAATATTTGAATTTTAGAAAATATAGGGTTATAAATTAACCTTATATTTATACTTTCATTATACGTTTTTAGCAAACAAGTATTTCATATGATGTTGCTTTATTCATATGAGAAACTATGAATGTCAAAAATGCCCCCACTGCCCAAGTTACTATTATGGAATCTACAACAGAAACAAGAACGCTAACTTGATATAACAGTGATTGACCACAAACTCTGTAAGAAAAGGGAATTAAATACTATTACTAGTTTAAGGTGATAAAACAGAGGTTAAACATTCTTAAGAGGTTTCTCTAAAATTTGCAATGGTTGGCACAGGTATTGTAACTAAGTTCCAAGCTCCTAAGTAAAATTATTGCCTTTATATTATGTATCTCGTGATGTTTGACCGAAAACATTGCTGTACAACTTCATCAGATACTGAAGCACCACACTTAACTTTGAATGACATGTGTCTAATCTCTAAAATCAAATTTATTCCCAAAGAGCAAGATTTCTCACAAATGATACTATGTCAGCATTTATGAAAACAACTACAATAAGAGACTTGGGGTTATTTGGATGAACATAAGTATGGCAAAATAAAATATTTATGTCCAAAGTTAAAATATGGGAAGGTCCCCAATCTTTTGACCTTATGTGTTTTGATATACTTCTTTAAAAACTGAATAGTAAAGTAAAAATGTACAGTTGTCATTTGTATTAGTTCACATTTATTGTAGTTTCTTATACTTTCAGGAATAGAGCAGAGCACTGAATGGCATCCAAGTGGTCCATAAGTTAATTTATCTATATTAGTGTCTATCTTAAAACCAGAAAATGATTTACAGTTTGACAAGAATAAAGACCTATATGCACTCTATATATCAAGTCACTACAACTCTAACTAAATGCGAATTCCTCATTCCTTTACAAATGTATATAGCAACTATTTTTTCTGATTATAAAGGAATATGAAAACTCCAAAATTAGAATAAACATTTTAATTGTCAAGTATTGGAACTATACGGACATAACCATGATTAACATTTTAGTGTGTTTGTCTTATAAAATTTATCATATGACTTTGTTCTAATTGATGTAAAAACTCCTCATTTATTTTTGGTCATTTTTTGTTTCCTTTTGCCAATTATGTTATCTGGAAATAACATTTTTAACTGCTCAATATCAAAGTTTATTTTACTCTTTTGTTATAGTTTTTTGTTGCAGAATTGATAGGAGCTTCTGGATCATACCACAGATCTGTGGTAGACTTCATACTTTAAAATAAATTCATTTTAATTTAAATGTCAATGACTGTTTGCAATAGAGGTGTTTTCCTTAATATGATCATCTCCTTGTAGCAAAAAAAGTTTTTCTTCAGAAATGGAAGTTATCTCTTCAGTATCTCCTAAATTACCATATTTACTTAACTCTCCCTTAACCTATTAATGTAAAAAATTTATATTAATAGCTATCCTTTATCAAATTGTGTGTTAATTATATAGAATAAGCAACACCTAGTAATAGATTTTTTTTTCTTTTTTCTTTTTCTTTTTTTGAGACAGAGTCTCTCTCTGTTGCCCAGGCTGGGGTGCTGTGGCACGATCTTGGCTTATTGCAACCTCCGTCTCCTGGGTTCAGGCGATTCTCCTGCCTCAGCCTCCTGAGTAGCTAGGATTACAGGCACCCACCACCACGCCTGGCTAATTTTTGTATTTTTATTAGAGACAGGGTTTCACCATGTTGGCCAGGCTGATCTCGAACTCCTGACTTCAAGTGATCCACCTCAGCCCCGCAAAGTGCTGGGATTACACATATGAGCCACTGTGCCCGGCCAATAGCTTTCATTATTAAATGAATTCTGGAATTATTCTATGTGCCAATATTGTGTTTAAGATCTTGCATTCATATTGTTAAGTAAAACCAGCCTATGGCTTTCTGATTTATTTTTCTTCTTATGAATTTATCATAGTTGAATATTTCCCTAGGATACTCTTTTTCTCCAATTTATGATGGTGATTTTCTTATCTACCTAATGGAAACAGAGTTAAAGAGTGGAGTTATGGAGTGGAGAATTGTTCCTCCTTTTCCCCTCCTTTTTTCAATTTGTTTTATAAATACAGATAATTGAACACATTGTTGGAACAGGTGGCACAGAAATGAGGAGGAAAATACATGGAGCCTGCTTCAGGGATCAAACACAGTCATCACAGAAATAAACATGAAGTGTTCCCCTGGCCAGGAAGACAAAGGAGATCTCTGAGGAAGTAACAGTAGAGTTAAAATTTGAAGATAGGCTGAAGACAGTTAAATGAACTTGGGAAACAAGGGTGTTCCTGACAGAGAAAAAAACACGTTTAAAATCCTAAAAGAGAGAACCAGGAAAGAACAAGAAACAAGCAAGGCCCATGTGCCTGGAATATAGTGGGGAGGGGTGGCAGTGAAATACAACTTGTCAGCATTTAGACTTAAAGGATGTTGTAGGTTATGTGTGAGTGTGACCTTTATGTAAGGGCAATGGGAAGCTGTTGAATAGGAACTATTGGGTGATCCTCTCCAATTTGCCTTTTAAGAAGATAACTCAGTGCACAGTGGTAAATTGACTGGAAGAAGCTTCAAGGCAAGTTTAGATGCAGGGACAGTGGTTTGAATGATGCTTCAATAATTGCTTCGGAGATAAATGTTACCTTGAAATCGAGTGATAGGTTGGGGGAGAAAAATTGTTGTGCAAGGATATACAGAGGGTATGGAGGGTTAGCAAAGGTGAATATTATTGCTCTGACTTGAATCACTAGAGAACTATGGAACTGTTCACTGATATAGGCAGCACTGCAGGACCACCTAATTGGGTGTGGGCCATCATGAATTGAATTTTGGATGCTGCAGCAGAGACTTTTGATTGGTTATCTTATGTCCTTTGTTTTACGAATAACACTTTGTTTTTGTAAAGTTGTGGCACTGTAGATAGGTAAGAACTGGATTTTCCGTATTCTCCTGCATCCAGGAGTGACTTGGTCATTTCCAGACAAGGAAACTGAAATGGAAACTTTCTGGCTTGGGCTTCTAGGAAACCTATTATTCTAAATAAGTAATGACCTTTATTTGCACATGCATTTTGCCTTTTTCTTTTTCACTTATTCTTCCTTGAAATGAAGAGACATTCCTTAAAGAGTGGTAGCTTCTTATAACCATGGGGTGGGGGAAAGCCACACATTAAGGACAGTGCAGTGTGACTAAAAGAAGAGACTGGAGCATTGAACAATTGCTTTAGCACTGAACACATCAGCCTGGGGCTCATTATAGCCTGCAAAAAAATTACTTGTTTAACATACACTTTGTTAATTTCTGTTACATGAGACTGATAGCCATCCCAACTCCTGTTGCCCTGTTAAGTTTGCCTCTTCCAGGTAAAAGTATTTAGGAAGAAGGTAAATATTTGGTTCTGGGATCTTAAAAGACAGATCTGGCTTAGAGACCAAAACAACAACAACAAAAACAACAATAACAACAAAATTGAAACCTATGAATATGTGGTAAGTCAATCCCCAAATATAGATGAGACTGCAGAAGGAGACAGAAGAAGAAAGTGCAAAGTGAGAAATGGCTATGAAGGATGATTTATTGGTTTGCAAGATTTATTGGACAGCTAGAGGAGAAATAATTTTACAGATGACAATAGACTAACAGCCAAACAATTAAGAAAAATGTCGGTAGTTCTCATTCTGCTGGCCTTTCCCTGATTGGTCTGTCAGGCATTTCTTATGCCATGCAATGCATCTGCTTAAATGTCTATGATCCCTCATAATTTGATATTATATCATAATTTAATGAAGCTGACTGGTTTAAAGACCTCTTCATTGGGAAGCCAAGGCAGGCGGATCATGAGGTCAGGAGTTCCAGACCAGCCTGACCAACATGGTGAAACCCTGTCTCTACTAAAAATATAAAAATTAGCCAGGTGTGGTGGCACATGCCTGTAATCCCAGCTACTCAGGAAGTTGAGGCAAGAGAATCGCTTGAATCTGGGAGGCGGAGATTGCAGTGAGCCAAGATCGTGCCACTGCGCTCCAGCCTGGGCAACAGAGACTCCGTCTCAAGCAAAACAAAACAAAAACCTCTTCGCTATCTGAGGAAAGTGAACATTTTTCAGTCTGCTTTCTTAATAATTGTACTGGCTTTTTCCCTGTCCTATAACTTAAGAGTATCTTTTCTTGCATCGTGTACATTTGGCATTGTCCTCTTTACTGGAAGTGTATTAGTCACTTTCCTTTTTGGAATACTATTCATCCATCTTTTCTCAAATCCCAGTTCCTCCATAAAACTCTCTTCAATTACTCCAACCCAGACTTCTCTCTTCTCCTAAGGCCCATGATACTAAATAGTTTCATCACACAATCAGGAGAGTTAATGATATGTGTTGTTCTCTCATGGTTTTATGAATATTTATCAGGTCTTCCAGGTAGATGTTAAGCACTCTGTCTTATATTTTTCTTTTGTATTACTAAGAGTACTTAGCAAAATTTTACCCAAGGGAGGCTTGCTCTGCTAGGTGAGAAAAATGTTGACATAGAAATTCCCCTGTTCTCCATCTCATCAAATCTGCCCTCCCCCCATATATTCCTCTTCCCCAGATTTATTTTTCTGTGTTCTACAATGTCAAGTACTTCACTAGGAATTCTGTTTCACCTGTGTAACCCGTCTCAGAGGATGGCTATGTATGTCTCATGGCGAGATAGGAAAAATTTCACACTACTAATACTTAAACTGTGCTTAGGTGTAAGACATGACTGAAATAAATTATTTTTCCTTAACAATGAGGATTCAAACAATGCTTTTTCCAGTTCCGTAGGAACTAACCAAGTGTCAAGGTTTGTGCTAATATCGCAGCCAGCATAGGCCGGTTGGGGTGGGTGGGAATTTGCGTTACTGCACTCCTTTATCACCCGTATGACACAGTTGGATTTTGCAGGTACAAAACAGGTTAGTTGAACCTTTTGCAATGGGAGCCACCACACCTGTTATACTCTAAGTCTTTGATGTTGTGCTCATCTCTGCAGTTTTTCCTGAGATGCAGTAGATTCTATGATCTTGACTAGGGGCAGACAGCTTCAGGGATTAGCACTTGGCCTGCTTCCATACTAACTTACTCCACAGGTCAGGGAGCCAATAGGAACACACTGGATTTTAAAGTGAGCCTCCCCAGTCAGTTGCTAAGAGTATCTGTCACAATTGTACACTCCAGGGTCAGAGAAATGACAATAGGAATTGTGTGTTATCCCAATGGGCTTGCCGTAAATGAACTTTGGCCAGGGTTCAATGATATGACTGGCCTCCTCACTAGTGTATTCTATCTTGTCACAGTAAAGTGAGTGACTGCTGGGCCTTCAGGGAATGTAGTCAAGCAATGGGTTCTCTGGTCTCACATAAAATATCAAAACTAGTATCTCCTCCCGTGCCTCCTGAGCCATGCTAAATGTGCTAAAATGTGTCCAACATCCCTACCTCATTTTCTGTAGGTTGCAGTCATGTCCAAGCTTCAAGAAAAGAAATGTAAGCAGTAGTAAAAAGTCACTTCTTATCAGGAGCTACTCCAGGTGTAATGGTCTCCAACACCTGTCTCCACCCAAATACATTCTCCTTCCAACTTTAAGTTCTGCCCTTTGCGCTTCAGCACCCGGAAGGGTGACTCCTAACTGCGTCCTCTATGTCTTGCTGGTTCATAGCAGCTCTTGCCAGAAGTTGACTGCACTTTTTCCTCTGAGTACTGAGACTGTATATCCTTGCACAGGCTAAAATGTAATACTCTCAGTCTGGAGGCGTGATTTTTCCACTCAGCAGTATCAGCACCACCTGGGAACTCAATAGAAATGCAAATTATCAGCCCACCCAAGATCTAGTGAATCAGAAGCGCTGGAGTTAGGCTACAGAAATGATCCTAACAAATCCTCTAAGTGAGTCTGATGAAATTTAAAGTTGGATAACTGAGAAGTGGAGATCAGTGGTCATCAAGCTATGGCCCAAGGTCAAATTTCCACCTCTTGCCTGTTTTTGTGTGGCCTTCAACCTACAAATGGATTTATTATTTTTAAATGGTGATCTGTTCAACAGTTATATAAATGCCCACATCATGCCCTTGATTCAGATCCACAAAGCCTAAAATACCTATGATTTTGCTGTTTTCAGAAAGTTTGCCAACCCCTGGCCTAGTGCTAATGAGGGAAATTAGAACAGACTTTCGAAGGGAAGAACAAACATCATCTTGTGAGAAATCTGTCTCAGAAAATGTCTTTATATGGGCACCATCAGAGGTGAGAATGGTCTTTTCTACCAAGCGAGTGGGAGCTAGGTACCCTAGGTGACAATTGGAAGCAATTGCTGAGGATTCTCAGCTTGTCCACCCAAGCAGTGTCCCCATTGCAGGTCTCATGGCCATGGGTCTGCCTTATCACAGCCCTGAATTTAGTGAAGGTACTTACCAAGGGCTGCATTTAGTCTAATTATAGCTCTGCTAACTAATTGGTCTATATGTTGGGCCTGACTTTCAGCACAATGTGCCATGGAGCTGTAGGAGATAAGGAGGCAATAAGGGTTCCTTTGGTTGTTGCATAAAGGATTCCTGACTTTTATGATGTACTTTGAATTGATAGCTACATTGAGCATGTCATTTTCTGTTGTCAAGGTGTCAAAAGCCATTTTAAAAAGCCAGTTCACTCTACTGCCTTTACACGTACCATTGCCTCCCTCAGCAACTTTATCTCTCAACCACCACGTTAGCTCATCTCAAGTCATAATGGACATGAATCTTGCAATTGTGATGTTACTGCATTCTGGGAGATGCCCCCATTATTGTTACCACCAGCAGTGGTTCTGAAATGCTGTCAGATCAGTGAGTGATCTATTTCCAGAAATCTTCTTCCAGTCTACCTTCTAGAAGGTACCAGCTGTCTTATGTTTGGTTCCATTCAGGTCCAGAGCTAAGGCTGGGATTATGTGAAGATTTTAGAAAATAATCTCAAGGAACAGGAGAGTAGACTGAAAAAGTAAAATGAGGAAAGAGAAGTAGCCAAAGAAAAGAACTGTTGTTGAGCTGAATTCTGCTCTAGGCACCTAGATCTCAGACCCACAGGGATCCTCCAAGGAGCAATGTATACCCATAATTTTTCACTCTAAAAGTGGAAAAGCAGAGAATTTATACACTGATTCTTGGTCATGGAGTGTCCCAGCCAGGGGCCACAAAACTTCTAACTTCTAGGTTTGAACAAGGGTCAAAATAACTGAGACCCTCCTGCAGGTGGAGGAGCTGCAGAAGACAGCAGATGTCGTTGAGGTGGGGCCTTCCCAGGCTACAGCAGCAGAACCTGATTCCATCAGAATAGACTTATGCTTGTGACCCCAGGGCCCTCAGCAATGTCAGGAACAGGGGTAGCTAGACGGAATGTAGATGAAGGAGAAAAATCTCTGTTAAGAGATAAAGTATTTTTAGGCTCACAAAAACAGACAAAATATTTCAGAACACTGCTGTCTTTAAATGAACCCAGTGCTACACCTACACCAATACTGTCTCATTTTCTCACCGGTACTGGAGTCCTGTGGCTTCTGTAACATATTACCATGAAGTCTGTGGCTTAAATCAACAGGAATTGTTCTCTCGTCCAGAAGGCCAATCAATCTCACTGGGGCAAAATCAAGGTGAGAGACCTGAGCTCCCTCTGGAGCTCCAGGGAGATTCTGTTCCTTCATCCTTCTTCCTGGGGTGACTGCCAGCATTCCTGGGCTCCTGGCCTTATCAGTCCAGTCTTCAAGGCCAGCATCTTCAAGCCTGAGCTTTGCCTTCCCATTGATATTGTGTATGTGTGTGTGTGTGTGTGTGTGTGTGTGTGTGTGTGTGCATGAGATAGAGAGAACTTATGTCCTTCCACTTTCCTCTTCCAAGGGTACATGTGATTACATACAGTTGAACTCAGGAAAATCTCCCCATTTCAAGATCATTAGCTTAATTATAACTACAATCACACTTTTCTCACATAAAGTAATGTTTCCAATGATTAGAACCTGATATCTATGAGAGTCATTTCTGTAGCCTACTACATTGTCTATTCAGAAGCAATTGCCAAGGCCTAATTTGAGATTTGAATAAAACATAGATATATTCTACTCCAAATGCCCATTCCATTATAGAAATTTAATTTAATTTTATTTTAATATTTGTTATTCACAAGGTTTTAAAAGGAAATATATCAAAATGTTCATATTTCTAGAATTCATACTTGCCCTTTATAAAACCAACTTAGAGGATGTAAGTATTGTTCTTAGCATGAGATGATGTTAGGTGAATAAAACTGTCATGAGATGGAAATTTCATTCCCCCATTCAATTACAAATGGCCAATTAGGGGAATAAAGAAATACTAAGAATACAAGATATGTATTGTATTTTACAGACATAGGTCTTAAAAAATATTCAACCAACTACAATAAAAAATACTCTATGATTATAGCCTATGGTAGACTTTTTAACTTGGTAAAATTATATTAGATGGTTCACCATGAGTAGTCGCATATTCATACAGTGGAACTATTGCATAAACCTGATTGCAAAGTTATACTCAAAAAAATGATTAAGGAATGTTTCCTAGTATTTAATGACAGAGACATTCAAAATGAACTAATACTGATAGTGATTTAATAGTTCTTATTCTTCTTTGAAAACCATTTTTAAGGAAATAAAAATTTCTGCTTAAAAAGTTATTTGTAATCAGAAGAATATTATTTTCAAATACCTATTTCTCTGTTATACTTAAATTGCATATGATATATTTTGCCAATGTGTTTTTTTATGAAGGTACCTTTTATCTGCACATAGATAATATTAGGTATCACCGTGATTGTGATGGCAGGGTTACTTTTTTAGTGAAAAGTATGCAAAAATTCACATAAATTGTTAGCACTTAAGTTGCACTTGTCTTAAATTGTCAGTGTTCAGATTCTTACAGATTTTTCCAAGCATTATACTCCCTTTATTTTCTACATATTATAAATTTATTTATTTTCTTCATCCTACGGTCTATATTATACTATGAACTTAGTGCAAAAGACAGTAAAATTAAAGATATTTGATTTGAACCATGAAGATAATTACACATTTAAATTCAAATTATAAATTAATAAGAACAAATTTCAAGTTAAATATTTAAAAAACAGTCTTTAAATTATTTTAAAATATACATTGAAAAGTCCTGAAGACAATAATAAATATTTAATGCAAATATTTCCCATATTTGGTTCAGTTGTAACTATAACTGCACAGCCTAGTTCTGTGTTTATTAGTTTAAAAGATAGTGTAGAGTAGTAATTAAAGAGTACTTATGAGGCCTGAATAATTGAACATCCAGCTGTTGAGTCTGGTGTTTGATATGGGTATAGGGAAAGGGGAGATAGTGTTGTTGCAATATTACAAAGGACCATCTCCAGATGGTGGGAAGGCAGCCTCCGCCCTTTGGGCATTTCCAGGACATCTGGCTTGCCATATGAATCCAGACAAGATTAAGGGAAAGATGTAAAATTCTTGAATACTAAGGATTTCTGATCAAGTCAAGACTTCCATATTAAACTCCAACGTTGGCTAGCATTTAAACAAAGATGGTCTCCCCTGTTGACATGGAGAATATTGTTTATTACAAACCAGGGGCTCTTTGAAGGCAGAAATGGATCTTATTTTATAATTTATCATTAGCTCTGGAGCCAACACATATAATAATGTATTGTGGTAATTTATCCTATTATATTTAGCTTATTTAGAATGAGCAACATACTGCCCGGCACAGAGAAAATATCCTATAATTTCATTCCAATCAACTATTTATAATTTCAGGTATGTTTTCTTGCTAAGGCTAGTCCCACATAGCCATCTATTTGTTTACCCAAGAAAAAGGCAACAAATAAGAGATACCTGAGTACCTGAGAAAAAGAGATTGTTTGCATCGGACAGAAAGAAAAACGTCCAGGCTAAAACAAAAATAATGAAAATAATGAAGGGAAATTCTGCCTACGTTACTCTTTACAGTTGATGTAACTCAAGTTACTGATGTAACTCAAGTTAATTGTACCCCAAAGTAATTTCAAATCTAGGGAACTGGCCTGGCACAGTGGCTCACACCTATAATCGCAGCACTTTGGGAGGCTGAGGGAGGAGCATCACTTGAGCCTAGGAGCTCAAGACCTGTGCAACATAGCAAGACCCCATCCCTGTTTTTGAACCTAATCAATCAATCAATAGAAATCTAGGAAGGTCAAATAGGCTCCTAATTTTTTAGACTCTTTTTGTTTTATATTCACCCAGGTAAACAGCAGTGATATCATTCCAGGAGAAGAAAGCAGATAGTGGAGGGAGCACAGGACTTGAAATGGAAGACAGATTTCAAGCCAGCAATTCCACTTGAGAGCTGTGGAATTAACTGCACTTCAGTCTCTCTAAAGACTATAAGCCTGTGGGCACTGTACTTTTCTCAGCCTCAGTTTGATTTTGTTGTCTTTTGTTTGTGAGTTTATTGTTATTATAATCAAATGCATCTCATAGCAATCCTGGGAGAAATATATTCGAAAGCAGTTTAAAGCGCAAAATGCAAAATGAAAGTTAGTTATTATTGATAGCAGTAAGTAGAAAGTGAAGCTGGAGTTCGAGAGAGGAAATTGTCATATCTGTGGAGTAGATATCTTTGTTACCGTTTTGTTCAAATGAGGAAAACAGGTTTTAGAGAGGTTAAAGGTTATGCATTTAATTAGAAAACATGCAAATATCAGTAAAAGTCACCTTCATTCATTTGGCTGCTCCAATCAAAAGACATGGACTCAACCTTGACTCTTATATACATATATGAATATATTTAGTTTTTTATATATATAAACAAAATTTAATCCAAATCTTATAAGCTGTATCGTCAAAATATATCACACATTAACTCCCTCGCATCACCCCCATCTGCCTTATGCCCAAACCATCATTGCCTTGTTCCCTGCAGCAGCCAAAGGGATTTTTTAAAATAAAACTGACAGCCTTGCAACCCTACTTGAAATTTCCAATGACTTCATCTTACACTGAGCAAAAAACGTCGATCTTAATTTTGTCCTAAAGGATTGAAAGCAAGTCTCCTCACTAACTCTCTTGTCCCTGCCCCTGATTCCCACCACTTCAGCCTCACTGGTTTCCTTGTACTGTGGACATGGCATTCTAAACTGGTCTAAAAATAATCTTTTAATTAAACTTGAGCATCCCACTAAAGACAAAGCATACACTTCTGCTTTCTATATTTTTATTATTTTACTCTTCTTTTTCCCCTTAATAGTGCTTTTTGCTATCTGACAATGCATTCTAATCTAATGTATGTCATTGCTAGTTCTTTCTTCCTCCCACTAGATTGTAAATACCCAGGAACAAGGAACAATTTAATCTTGGCTGGTTTTCCAGAACCTTGGAGAGCACCTACCTCATAGTAGGTATATTGGGTAAACATTCATTGAATGAACAAATTAGAAGAGCTGGATATTCAAACCCAGGTCAGTTTCACTCCAGTGCTCCTGTTCATAACCATTTTTGCACACTACTTTTAGTAGATATATCAAACTAAATAAAATACATTAAATACAGATATTCTCAGATCTAAGGAAGTATGTACCATCTGGTATGATATGGGTGTTGCCTTGTTACAATTTCCATTTATAAACTCATCCAATTAATTACATGACAAGTTGAAGAAATGGAACTAGCCAGCTGTCTCACAAATGTGCTTCTTTCTTGGCATTGATATTCAAAACTAAAATATACCTGTCCTACCTCTATCGCTGAGAGGTTTCTAAAAAGTAATTTGTGTTTAGTTTTTTTCATTATGGAGCTTTTACTTCTTCAATACTATATTAGATAACTTAACATTTTTCATATTGTTAAATAGCAAATACTATTACATAAATTATTAATTAAACTAATTTTGTGCTTCAGAAAGAGATACAGGCGAGCTTTCCTTTATGCATTTTTAAAAGTACATGTGTTGTAATTTTGCCAAAATACTGATATATTGAATATACAGAAATATGTCAAATGTAACTAGGTTGCTGTAACATATGCTTTCATAAAATGATTTTTACATATTATTTTTTCAGACAGCACAATACTTCTTTTAGTTAATTAATGTATGCTCACTCAGTTTAATTAAAGGACAACTGAAAGCAGGTTGGGGCAGGGGAAGAGATTATTGTTTATTTGTCAGTAAAACTGCATACATATGGAGATACTTATTAAATAGCCATTAAGTAATGTGCTTCTCAAATTAATATAGGCCATGATGTCTTACTGTTAGCAATCTCTGGTTTTAATTCAGTAATGTACTTTCCTTTGTCATTATTGACCTTAAGACCCACTACTTGGGTTCAGAGTCAGTGACTATATTTGAAAAAGCAGCTAGAAAATAATGCCTTCTCATTGTAGTGATGCAATTTACCCAGAAGGAAATACACTTATTACTTTCCAAAGATGATCACAATAAAATCTGGAATCTGTACAATATGTATAAAAAAACTGTTGAATACAAGGACACCTCTTCCATTTAGAAATAAATGGGGTTCCCAAAGGCAGTTCATCTATTTCACTGGTTGCTAAATCACATACAACTATGAGGAGTTTAGGCACATCGTCACATATGCTTTTCTTTAAGCATGCCAGTCAATCCTTCAAAATACGTAAACCAAGGTTATTCTTTCTTTGCTTCCATTAAGCATCTTCATTCAATATAGAATTTTGACCAGATTGTTCTATATTGAAAATCTTTTGATGGCACAAACTCTGTTTATTTCCCCAATGATATTACAACTTTGTAGATCTGTCATCATCCACGTTGTCCTTTCAAGATCTGAAAGACCCTTGCATAAAGTGAAATGATAGTTTTTATGTGAAAAGAAAAACAAAACAAACAAAAACATCATCCAGCACTTTTACTACGCACAATATGTGAGTTTTCAGCAAAATATGAGCCTTGTCTGAAATTAATTTGACATAGACAAACATCTAGAATTGACTCTATTTTTCTAGCAAAGACTTGGAAGTTTTTCTACTTCATTAGTTGCATTCCCTCTTCTTTTTGCTGATTATTAATAATTCCAACAGTAGACAAAATTTACATTATTTCATATTTTGCCTTTTGGAATTTCTTGCACTTTGGATTAATTTATACTCTATAGATACCAGTCTCTATAATTAATTTGTGTATTGCTCTTAACTTTTTTATGTTCATTTCCAATGTAACTCACATTTTTGTGGAGTAATGTCAACAAACATCAGTCTACACATTTGGGTGTAAATTAAGTTTAATTTGGTATACACTGATTTAGGAAATTAGATTTGCCAGAAACAATATTCAAGAAAATTTATTTGGAGAAAAACTTGTACAATATGTCATATTGTAGTATAGATTTTGATTATGTTCCAATATATCTAAGATAGACAATTATACATCAAGCAATAAAAGGTCTGTTTGCTGTTTTGCATACAAAACAAATGGCTTATCCAGTTCTCACTGGTTTGACTGA
Source organism: Homo sapiens (assembly GCF_000001405.40). NCBI lineage: Eukaryota > Metazoa > Chordata > Mammalia > Primates > Hominidae > Homo > Homo sapiens. Next base: position 104,686,104 of record NC_000013.11, read on the forward strand.
TAACGAGGTTTCAAGCATTGCCAATCATATCATATGACTGAAATGTCAGGGTATGAAGGAAAAGATGTAAAGTTCTAAAATGTTATTTGTCTTTTTTCTTGTTGCTCTAATAACAATATACAAAAAAAAAAAACCATTTAAATATTTGGGAAAACAAAATTCCCCAAATAAATAGAAAGTGTATATTATTCATAGATTTATCTATATTAAATGCTGTTTTCATATTCCTAGACTTATTAAGAAGCAAATTTTACTGATGTTGCCGAAATTATGTTAAAGCCACTAATTGAATAATGTATTTTCCTATTTGAGTAATAATACTGTGGAGAAGTTTTGACGCATTTCCCGTGAGTCCCATTTTTTTCGTGCTAGCTATTTAGGCCTATACTACTTAGTGCAATAAATCACCTTCTACTAGAATAAAATCATTCTGATTACATTTGCTGATACATCGTTTAAAATAGCATTTTAATGGATAAGAATGGATAAATAATGAAATATGCATTATATTTGATGCTGAGGAAACAACCTTAAAGAGGTCTCATCATGTTATGACTATAGTGTGCGTGTGACTTCATCACTAACAGAGTATAAGAAATCACAAAGCAAACATACCATCTATTTCATATAGAAAAGGTCACAGCTGAGCATTGATCAAATTACTCCTTAGAGATTTACCAGTGATAACTTTGTCTCTAATGCTTTAATATGAAAAATGAAAGAGGCTTCTCTATCTCTCCTCTGTCTTTGCAATTTACGCTTTGCAATTGCAGTCTCATTCTTAACAGTATCTGTTTCACTTGGAAAGCTGTCCATTACAGTCCTCCTAAGGGTGTGTAAGTGAAGCTCCCACTATCAAAACCCTCTGCTAAAGGGAATTCTTTTCCTTTGCAATATGTTCAACCTTTGCCTTTCAGAATATGCTCAATTCCCCTCACAGAACAATTTTTTTAGAACTGCATTTTGTGTTAAATTGAATACTGTTTATGTTTAACATTGATGTATCTAGTACAATGCCACAAATGGCGGCATCTGAAGATAGAGCCCCTGGTTAAGTACAGTTATGCCTGGAAACCATCACTCTTAATGATGTTCCAACATTTGCAAGTCATATTAAGGCTTTATTTGGGAGGTGCATTCACACACGTATGTTGGTTTATGGGCTTGGGACAGGTTGCTATCTGCCTCCCAGTTTCAGGCCTCTCCTTCTTCATGTGATAGGTCTAGATACCACCTGTGTACCTGGAAACTTGCAATTATATTTGTGGTTTTTGGCTCCTTTATAAGGGGACAGGCCTTGAGAATGTTCTGGCCAATGGCATGAAAATGAAAATGGTGTACCCACTTTCAGATGTGTTCTTAAGTGGGAGTCGGGGAGGGGAGGTGCTGTCCTGCTTTAAGTCTTTTATTCTCCCTTTCTCTTCTTTGGAAATTTGGTTTTATATTATTAATATGAATTCACCTTTTTGACATTTCTTAATCTAGCCTTAAGCATGAGGTTCTATTTTATGCATGCACATCTTCTCAGTTCATGCAACGAAGTATTAATTTATATAGGACTAAGAATTTACTATTTATCTGAGATGGCTGAGACACTGCCTGCCTTATTAGCAAAGAAATAAGAATGATCTTGAGTGATCCCTCTCCTTCACCTAACTTTCTAAAAACCCTGAGTCCTCATGCCATCAAATAGAAGAGAATGGTAAAGTAGATTATGGGTTTCCCCCACCCAGGTGCACATGTGGCTGGGGTTGAACCAGGCCCCTGCGGTTCTGATGGCTCTTGCCTTGCAACTTTTTTTTTTTTTTTTTTTTTTTTTTAAGACAGGGATGCCCTCTCTCACCACTCCTATTCAACATAGTGTTGGAAGTTCTGGCCAGGGCAATCAGTCAGGAGAAGGAAATAAAGGTTATTCAATTAGGAAAAGAGGAAGCCAAATTGTCCCTGTTTGCAGATGACATGTTTGTATATCTAGAAAACCCCATCGTCTCAGCCCAAAATCTCCTTAAGCAGATAGGCGACTTCAGCAAAGTCTCAGGATACAAAATCAGTGTGCAAAAATCACAAGCATTCTTATGCACCGATAACAGACAAACAGCCAAATCATGAGTGAACTCCCATTCACAATTGCTTCAAAGAGAATAAAATACCTAGGAATCCAACTTCCAAGGGACGTGAAGGACCTCTTCAAGGAGAACTACAAACCATGGCTCAATGAAATAAAAGAGGATACAAACAAATGGAAGAACATTTCATGCTCATGGGTAGGAAGAATCAATATCATGAAAATGGCCATACTGCCCAAGGTAATTTATAGATTCAATGCTTTGCAACTTTTGCTGTGATTCCTGGATGAGTAAAATCCTGATTCCTCAGGGAAGTCTCCTTTAGGACAACCTCTTCTGAAGTGGATTTGAAAATCAGACCTCTTGGTCCTTCACTGCCCTGGTTCAATGACCCTCCTCAATCTTTCAGGGGACCAAGCCACTGAGGTTTACTGAGTCATTGCTGGTCCCAGGGATTTGTTTCTTGCACACCTAGAAGCATAATCCTCTTCCCTCCTCTTTGAGCAGCACCAGACGTCTAGAAGTTAACATCTCCTTTGAATCCTCAAACCACTAAGAGCTTATTACCCTCTTCCTCTAAAAATCCCTCTAGCTTGCTCACCACCCTGTGAGAGGATATTCTTACAAGCTATGTGGAGCCTACATTTCTGAGGGAGAAACTCTGCAGTGACTTACCTTCTAAGAGCAATTTATTAGGTGCTTCCAAAGTGCGCGAATGTGTGCGTGGAGTGGTTGAGCAGGAGTTATTGAGCTATTCTCGGAGTTTCCATGGTGGTTGTATTAGGCAGGGTTTTCCAGGGAAACAGAATCAATAGTATGGATATATAAAAATAAATATGGTATTTATAGAGGTAAATAATAATAATCTCTACAAATCAATATAAATGTAAAATAAATTAAATATCTTTATTAATAAATATAAACGTAATGTATTAATTCTAATATAAATATAAACTATAAATATAAAAATAGCATATTTATTTTCTATTTATATTTTATATATAAGTATAAAATATTATATATTAACTAATATTATATATTAGACAATGGTACCAGGAAAACCCAATAAGCTGCCTCAAAACAAATGTCTCAGCTTCTTTAGACATTGCCGGGGAAAGCACAATGGAAATATAAAATATTAATGTTTTATATTTAAAATACAAGCATAAAATAATATGATACAATAACTACTTTATAGTGATATTATATTTTAAAATATATAATGAGATATATATTTATTTTACTTGCACATACCAATCCTTTTAAAGACTCAGAGTTTTACAGAAAACTGTTATCCTGAATAAATATCTGGAGGAATGAAGGAGAGATTTTGTTTGTTGATTTGTGTGTTTGCTTATTGTGTTGTTTATCTTTGTTATAAGAAACAGGAATTTCCCACACATTTGATCTTATTGCCATGATTTTTCACAGTATTTTATGTTATTCTTGTGTTCTGTAGTATTATTGGTATCTTGAGTTGAATCCCAGCTGATAGTGATGCTGCTTTGCCTCCATTCACCTTTTCCACCTAATTGTACTTTCCCCAGGAATTTCTTTTTTTTTTTTCTTTTTTTTTTTTTTGAGATGGGAGTCTTGCTCTGTCACCAGGCTGGAGTGCAATGGTGCAACCTCAGCTCACTGCAATCCTTCGCCTCCCAGGTTCAAACAATTTGTCTGCCTCAGCCTCCCAAGTAGCTGGGACTACAGGAGCATGCCACCACGTGCAGCTTATTTTTATATTTTTGATAGAGATGGGGTTTCATCATGTTGGTCAGGATGGTCTTGATCTCTTGACCTCATGATCCGCCCATGTTGGCCTCCCAAAGTACTGGGATTACAGCCATGCATCACCACACCCGGCCTACCCCAGGAATTTCTAAATAAGCAGAGACATTTGTTTTGAGGCAGCTTATTGAGTTTTCCTGGTGCTGTTGTCTAACATATAATATCACCTCCAATTTATTTATAAGAACATCTTATGACAACTTCCCATTCTTATTTTTGACATTTTGTAATGTATATTTTCTAATGTAATTGGCAAATTGTAATTTTGATGACATTTTATTTTCTGAGCACTGTAATATTTTACTTTTGTTTTGTTTATGACAGATTTATTAAGCTTTAGTTAAAAAAAATCCCTCAAGAAATTATGATGTCCTAGAGGTAAAGTTAATTACTTTAATATCCAAACTCTAACTGGAGCTTGATGTGGAGTGTCGGGGTGGAGTTTATAAAACAAGAACAACTTCAGTTTTACTCAAAGGAATGGAGAACGTTTTCCAAAGAAAACAAGAACTGCATAATAAAGCCATTATTTTATGCCCCAGGAATAGCAACATTTTCACACACACACACAAAGCATGTTTTCATGTAATTATCTAAAAAATTTAAGATCATTATTATGGGTTAAATTGTGGTTCCACAAAAGATGTTAGTATCGTAACCCCCAGTACCTCTGATGGGATCTTATTTGGAACTAGGTTTTTTGCTCATAATCAGATAATATGAGGTCACTAGAGTGGCCCTAATCCAATAGAACCCACGTCCTTATAAAAGGAGAAATTTAGACAGGCAGAAAGAATGCCATGAGGAGATCAAGGCAGAGATTTAAGTGATGCGTCTTCAAGCCACAAACACCAAAGATGCCCAGTGACCCCCAGAAGTCAGGAGAGAGACATGGAAGAGATTTTCCTTCAGGTCCAAGGAAGGAACCAGCCCTGCAGAAGCCCGGACCTTGAACTTCTGGTCTCCAGAACTATGAGACAATAAATTTCTGTTGTTTAAGCCACCAATTTGTTGCACCCTGTCATGGCAGCCCTATAAACTAATACAATAATAACATATTTGTTCTCTACATTTGAATTATGAAAGTTCCTTCACTATCTGCTGCTGTCTCTTAGTAACTAAATCTTTGATCAAATGTGGGCACTTCACAATATAGTTGTTTTCTGTACAAGATATCTGCATCCTCTTTAATTAATAAATATTGTGCATATATACCGCCTACTTTTCGAAGATTTCACCACTTTTCAAGTGGATGAAGGCTGAAGATAAATTAATGTGATGAAAAGAAAATAACAAGCATGTTATTAATACTTTTAAAATCTATTAGATACTGGAGTCTCAAAATTAGTATTATTTTAGTAGCCCAGGTTTTAAGCTTTGGTAGAATAATAAAGAAAATATTTTATTTCCATATGCCCTTAGGTGTATTTCATATAGTATATTTTATATAATTATGTTTTACAAGTTTATTATAGGTACAGTATTTTAAAGCAATTCAAACACAAGATGCAAACATATTCTCCTGATAACCGCAAATTATAATTTTATTATAATTTTGCATTACTGTATATGGTTATTAAATATTAAATGATCAATTAAAGAATATGTTAAATACAAATCAAGATATAAGCCAGGAAATCTATTCTGAAGAATTAATTTATCAATGAATAGTGCACCTATGCATTTTGAAATGCATAGAAATTAGCTAATTAGCTATTCCCTAACCACTTGCATTAACATGAGTTCGATGATTAACAAACCACTTTGTGTCAGTGCTTTTAGCCTGTACTATTTTAGTCTTCCAAATACATTTGCTAAGTCTAAAACTAAAGTATATTACTAAAGTAACATTAGAGAAGAAAAGGGTTTAAATATCCTTTTTCTAATATTTTAAAAATATTTAATCAAACTGGCTCAATATCTCTATGTACTGCCAACTCTTAACTGCATATAACTGTCAAGAAAGATAAGATTACATATCAGATATTGTTGTACTTCTGCCCTGCCTGGTGGTGAGATCTTATCAGGGTGAAGTTCTTCAATTTCTCTCTCTCTTTTCCTCTCTTCTTACTGTAAGAGGGAAATGCATTACAAGGTCTTTAGGCCATAAGCAATGTTTTATCAAAAAATTAAAATATAAAAAAGGAGAAAAATCGTTTCTAGGGATTCTTTTTTTTCAGGTTCATCAAACGTCATATCTTTTCTTTAAAACCAAAGCAAAGTAGCCTGAATAATGCATGCTTAAAGACTTTGAGAAGATAGTTTTGTGGTTTTTCAAGGTTGCTGTATATCAAGGATACCCAGTTGAAAGCTCAGCTTTCAGCATAAGCATATTACATCTCATTGTGGACTAAGCAGAATCAGGTGGTACCCCCATCTCACACCTTCACATTATGAAAGTACATCTGGCAATTTATGTTAAATAACTCATTCATTCTGGATCCTTTAGAGGGGTGAGAAGACTTGAAATCAGAGTCACATCAAAGTGTTTGCTGAAGAAACACAATGGTACAATCTTTTAGTTTAAATTTTTTATTTTATCAATAGAATCCAGTATCACGAAGAAGTCTAGAGATGTGGATTTTAAGTATACAAATCCATGCTTCTAAACGCATCCATTTCTTAATTGACAGGAATCAACTTTTTTTGGTTTATTGTGGTGGGGGCTGGGGTACAGTATGATGCTGAAAAAAAGAAGTAGCTTTTATGTCAGGTTAAAAAGCTTGGAGTTAATCATATGAATCCTGAAAAACCATTAAAATGATTTAAGTGGAGGAAGCACTGATCAGATTTGGGTGTCAAATCCTTCTGGTGGCATCATAAAGGATGGATTTAATTTGGGTAAAAGAATGAGGCAGGATACCCTGAATAAAATGATTAAGAATAAATTTCCAAAATTATACCTACATATTATAGTATTAATAATATATCACCCTGGATTCAGACATTTTCAAGTTCCACATGTTGCGTTTTAAAACTTTCTTTATTCCTACTTTCTGAAGGTGTTCCTCCTTCTCTATTCCTGTTGATCTCATACATTTTGTGGGATGTTGTAACTAAAAAAAAAAAATCAATTGTGTCCTAGGTTTCTCCCTCTACTCCACGTCTTGCTTCCAATAAAATTCAGATATCTTGTCCATTCCCTCTCTTCAATCCATATGCATTTCCTATTCTTATACTATTATTCTGTTCTTCTTGGTCTATTGTAATCAAGTCCAAATGTGTAAACCTGTTCCAATCACCTCCAGCTGCTTCAGCTGCTTTCATTCCTGACATTGTTGCTAAGAATCCACTTTTCTCTCCGTTAACTCACATTTAATTATCTCGTTTCCCTGCATGAAAACTTTGAGACTGTCCTATAAGGTCCATTCTCCATCTGTCAACAGCATCCTTTCCAGTGGATGCAGTGATTGTGCAATCTGTCTAATTAAATCACACCTCGGCCACTCCCTGAGCATATTGTGATGCTTCTCATGTCACCATGCCTTCAACACACATTTTCTTGTAGTTGGCTTACACATTCCTTCCTCTTCGACCTTGTAAAATGATCCTACACAAGGAAACTCAAAAGTCATCTTCTATTTAAACTTTTCATGTTTTTTTTTCTAGTATGTGGTCCACAGAATAATGGACTCATCATAGTGTCCAATACTTTCCCCTAAACACATAAAAATGCCAAGTTACGACAAAGGAGAATTAAGATTGCAGATAAAATTAAGGTTGCTAATTAGTTGACCTTGAGATGAGAAGGTTATCCCTGATTATCCCAGGGCAGCCAACCTAATGACAAGTGCCCTTATAGGTGGAAAAGGAAGGCAGAAGGGGAGTCAAAGAGAGCACAGCATGAATAAGTCTTGGCCAGATGTTGCTGGCTTTGAAGATGGAGCAAGGAGACCATGAAGGGAACCATACGGAGGAACCTTTGAAGCTGGAAGTGGCAGAAATTGATTCAAGCCCCCAAAGGCTCCAGAAGGTGCTGACACCTTTTTGTTTTGTTTTGATTTAGCCCAGTGATACACATTTCTGACCTCCAGAAATGTAAGATAAATTTGTATGTGTTTTTTAAAACACTAAGTTTGTGGCAATTCCTTATAAAAAGAATAGGGGACTACTACCCTGTCAAATTAACATCTGTCCCTCTAAGGTGAGAAAGGCATACAGAAATGATAGTACATGCCTGTTACTTTTCTCGACGCTTTCACTTGTCCCTCATTTCATCTTTGCAACCCAACTAAGTAGATACTATTATCACTTTAAAGATAAGAATATTATTGCTTAGAAAGCTTTGGTCATTTGTCAACATTAAGAAGGTTAGGTGATAAAGCCAGTGATGAGGAGAATGGGTACCAATCTAAGTTGGTCTGATGCCACATATAACACGATTTCCTGTTGTGTTATTCCAGGTTTTTTATTTACATTCTCTTATGCACTGATTACAATGACTGGGGCTGAGATAAGTTTACTGACCTGCTTGAGATCACACAGCTGGTTGCTCAGAATCCAAACACCATAGCTTTCCCACCATTTCTATTGCCAGTGTGCAGGACCAATCTCTGAAAACCTGACTTGATATCTATGGCACAGCTGCCTCATTTTGGCAGAACTACATAGGGAAACAGGGAGTGCAGATCTGTTTTACATCATCTTGATGGAAAATGGTTGAAAGAGACACCATTGGCATGAATTCCTCATTTCTCCATCATGAAGCAATCCTGGACTTTGAATTATTTTAAAGTCAGGCAGACTCATTTAATGGTTGCCCAAGTTTATTCTCCTAGCTGTGAAACATTTTAGTGCAGCTGCTAAAATATTTGGGGAATATGCAATTGTGTGTCCTTCCTTTGGGCATAATGTATTACAGATGCATCAGAAGGTCTTGTCTGTTTTCTCTAGCAATTATTTTTCCATTCTCACTTCCACCTGCATTTTGAAAGGAGGCAGGCGACTATAATAATAAAATATTATTTGTATTTTAAAAAGGACACAAAGGTGGGATAATTATCTCTCCTACCCCTGTTTTTCTACCAATAACATTCTTCTACTCAACCTTCTCAATACTGTCAGTCAGTGGATTATTCTTTAGAAACACAAACATTGATAAATCACTACTATTAAATTGGAAACATTTGTGTTAGTTCTAACTACTAAAGAGATATAATAGGTATTATTAGTATTATTAAAAGGAAAGGGTGAGTAGAGCTTTTAGAACTTTCTTGTGTTTGGGAACACCTAGTCTTAGAGAAATCCTTTCATTTCCAAGAATGAGAGAGAGGCATGTGGAGAGGAAATTCCATAATCGTTACTGAGTTAAAAGTGCTAAAAAAATGCTACAATGGAAAAATGGAAGCTTAAAACATGTAATTGCACCAGGAATATGCTCTCTGTATACCAATTTCAGTAGTTACCCTTAGGAGTTTACTGGAAATTTTCCTACACACTGAATAGACAGGTAGATAAAATCAGAATTGATGGACAATGGCTTCATAAGGCAGCCATGTGCATGATGTAATATGAATTTGAAATTTTGACTACTGCCTGGAAGATAATGTTTGTGATGAATTCTCAAGATGAGAGAAAATAAAACTGCAAATAGGAGCTGAGTGGTCTGGTTTATCAATTAAATCCAGTTCAGATTGATATTGAGCCCTGATGGAGAGATGATCACCCTCAATGTCTGATGAAAATGTTTACTTGAGATTATTTATGGAACTCTGAGACAAACAGTGTTATTTAAAGGAATAGATAACACAGGGATTCACAGAATTCTGGAGACGATCATTCTTCTCATTTCCATGCAAAGCACAGCACCACTGGGACCCTCCAAGGTTAAAAATTGTTTTTGGGCCCGCCGCGGTGGCTCACGCCTGTAATCCCAGCACTTTGGGAGGCTGAGGCGGGGGGATCACGAGGTCAGGGGATGGAGACCATCCTGGCTAACATGGTGAAACCCCGTCTCTACTAAAAATACAAAAAATTAGCCGGGCGTGGTGGCGGGCGCCTGTAGTCCCAGCTACTCTGGAGGCTGAGGCAGGAGAATGGCGTGAACCCAGGAGGCAGAGGTTGCAGTGAGCCGAGATCGCGCCACTGCCCTCCAGCCTGGGTGACAGAGCAAGACTCCGTCTCAAAAAAAAAAAAAAAGCTCCCTCAGTTAGGATCTTGTCAAGCTCATAAAGGACTCCAAGAGCCCCGACCATCGTGGGCCTCAGCAGTTGCTCTTTAACCTGAAAAGGCTGAAATGGGGAGCAGAACATGAGAGGAAGAGCAAAGAGTGGAAGGAGTGGCTGTGGCTGAGCCAGGCATTTGGGATCATAAAGAAGAAATTTCTTGGTTACAACTGAAGGGTAGAACTCAGCTTTATAGTAAAAAGTCCAGTTGAACCAAACTAGCCCTTAGAGAATTCAGTCTGAGAATGCTACGAAAATACTGTAAAATGATATTCAGATTTTATAGTAATTCACATAGATTTACTTTTTCTACAGATTATCAGTATTCCATTTCTAAATAACACAGAATAAAGAAAAATTAAAAATACCCCATTAATACATTAGAATTTGTTGTGACTTATTTGTATCTCCATTAATAAAACACATGGAAAAGTCTACAGGCATTGACTTTAAATGGGAGTGATTTATCAGTTGCCACAAAATTTATGCAGAGGAATTAACCGTGGTGGTGATCAACCTGCAATGAGTGTTTGCAGTGTAACAGAACATGACTACATTTGTTATATGTGTTAAGCCTTCTAATCCTCTGTAAGATATATACTGTTACTCTCCCCAAGTTTTCATATGAAGAAAATGAGACAAGAATAACTAAAGTAACTTGTACATAACCCAATAGCCAGTAAGTCACTAAGCTGGGCTTTTAAACATACCAACCTAGCTCCACACAGTTACTTATTTTACTTTATTTTCCCACTTCTAAATATTTTTAGCTGATGATAAAAAAATAAAATCCATAAAATGGACAAGAGTAGTCGTTGACTTTTTATGAATATGCATATGTATGCTATAACTAAAAGTTATATTAAGCTCTGATAATCCCTTTTTAACTTTTTAATTAAAAATGCAGATATTTAAAAGAAGTGACAAAAGTCGGAAAAAACCTATGTAGTGTTCAGCCAACTTCAATAACTATCAAATCATGGCCAATCCCTACCCACCTCCCACCCCCATATTTTTCTGAAGAAATTCCCAGACATTTGATTGTATTTGAAGATGTAGTTAATGGGAAGTTTCTACAGACATCCAGGTGTGAGATATCTGGAAGTAAGAATAAAGTTTGGCAGACACTGTTAAAAAACAAAAGAGAGAGGCAAAGGCTTCCAACAGGATTTGGAAGGCTTGCAGATCAGAGGGCGTATGGCGAAGCCAAAAATAACTGTGGCCAAGTGGGTCTAGTGGAGACTCTGTGGGTAGGAGCAACTTGAACTATGTAAAGTTAAGTCACTCAGTGATGAAAACAGAGGTGTTAACGTTTTTCTAAAAAATGAAAAAGCAACCACTCCTCAAATCAATTTGTGTGTAGATGATCATTAGGCCTCATTTCTCATAAACCACATCTCTTAGCAAGACTGGTTTTCCCATTGGGGATCTTCAGATTAGCAGACAGCACCATGAGGTGAATGTGCAGAACTATAACTGAATTTCAGCGACTGGAACCCGCTAATGGCTAAGAGCATAAAGCGATAGGTGCACACCTTGCATGCAGTGGTAGAAATAAGGTGATAATCATTCTCCCTAAAATTCTCTTTCTGACACTTAGAACTAAAAGAACTTTAGTGTAATGGAAGGTTTACTTTTACTATTTCTGACACAAATTTGAGTGTTATACAACAGGAAGGGTTTGACACCGTACTTTAAAATGACAAAGGGAAGTGAGTGGTGAGATCTGCCTGAATGTGATATTCCCCTTGGACTTTACCATCCCGATATCATCAGAAGCTGCCACATGGTGTGAGTTGCAAAATGGAGATTAAGGTAGAGCAAACATATTTTCACCGCAGGTTAAGAACATAGAGTTCTGGGAATAGAGACCACATATGAACTAAGCCTTGGAAATCTAGTGATCTATTTGGGCACCCATAGTTTCCAGCTTCCTGAGTGTTATGGGTGAAAAACAACTGTGTTATTTAGCTATATTCGAACAGATTGAATAACTAATAGGTATACATTTTAGAAGCTGGGTTTGAAGTATGGACATCGTGTTTAAAGCTAGAATATACTTTAAAAAGTAATGAAAATATAACTGTTTTCCACATAAAATAGATAGTGAAAACAGAAAAGAAAATTTAATTTGAAATGCTAAGCATTTAAACTATGAATTATAAAGAGGGCTAAAGAGTGAAGTGATGAGGATATTAAAGCACGCTAATACAATAGAGATATTTATAATGGCAACATAATATGAATCATCACTATGGTATTTTGACAGATTTTCATGTCAAACCAGTTCCAAAATACAATCACCACTTTAAATTCAATGCTTCTTTTGAATAGAGAAAGGAAGAATACCAATGAGTGGGGAACCAATAGAAAGATTGGATTTTAACTAAGGAAAGTGTTTCTGGGAAATGTTTTACAAAATGGTGCATCATTATATCCAAATGCTAACAATAACACTTCATTTTTTTTTCAAGAAAAGGAAGCAAAATAAAATAACTTAAAATTTAAAATTATGAACAGATTAGATTTACCCGAATGCAGTTTGTGATTGATCACTGATGATGAGGATGACAATGACAACAAGGAGAATTCGGATAATAGAGACAGTGGTGTCCATGGTGGTGGAAGCAATCTGAATTGAGGATTGTACAATTTAACACTTTTATAAATAAATGTGTTGTATTGTAACTACTTTATTATTATTATTATCATTATTATTATTATTATTATTATTTTGAGACTGAGTCTTGCTCTGTCATCCAGGCTGGAGTCCAGTGGCACTATCTTGACTCACTGCAACCTCCGCCTCCCGGAATCAAGCAATTCTGCTGCCTCAGCCTCCCAAGTAACTGGGATTACAGGAACCTACCACCTCACTCGGCAAATTTTTTTTTAAATATATTTTTAATAGAGGTGGGGTTTCACCATGTTGGCCAGGCTGGTCTTGAACTCCTGACCTCAGGTGATCCACACACCTTGGCCTCCCAAAGTGCTGAGATTATAGGCATGAGCCACTGCACCCAGCCTATTATAACTACTTTTAAACTCCAGATCTTGTGATTTATTTATTCATTACTAAACTTAATTACATAATTAATAAGCATTAATGAATTAAATTTATTTTATTGGTTTAAAAATTAAGGCAATGGTGTCATATGATTGCTTGTATCTAATATTATTAACCTTCTTGAAGAAAATCTTATATTGGCAAAATGAGCACTAAACTATACAAATATGGCATAGTGAGAATAGATCATCTTGTACTGTTAACTGAAGAATACGTTCTTTATCCATGCTAAGTCTACTAGTGAAAGGTCTTGGAAATGTAGGCAACACATTGGTTTGTTTCTAGTTGTTATCTCACATGGCCTATATAATCTTTGGGAATTTCCCTGATGCAAAATGCAGTAGTTTATTTTGAAAGCTACTGCTGGGGCTGAGATAAATGAGTTTTCATATAAATACTAAAAGAGCTCTGAAACTTTTATGTTAACAAGAGGAAACTTATCAATAGCTATGTGCATCTACTCCCAAAGCCTAAAGAAGCTGTTATTAGTTGAAGACATGATAGTGTGTTAGAATAAATGATTCTGGTTACAAAAAATAGTTCTAATTTGAAAATACATCATTGTGTAATAAAGCACATTCACATCAAGATGTAAATTTATCTTAATCTTCTAAAACACATCCAATATTTAGTTTACAGGTAACAAAAGAAAAGGAAAAGGAATATTTGGTTTGCTGATCATCTCATTACAGTTGTTCCGTTGTGTGTGCTTTGCTGGTTTCCGTGTGAAAATAGTCTAGAATTTGTGCATGACTGAAGACTTTTCAGCAGCAGAAATTTCATGCCATAGATATTTTTTATCAAAACTGTTTTACACTTCTTGTTCATATTACAAATAGATGACAAGCAGCTGAGACCGTATCTACCCACTCCAATGAGCAATAATTTGCAATCAAGCTGTCTCTAAACTTGCTCTTTCTTAGGTTTATAAATAGTATGTTCTGTGAAAGTATTAGAAGTAAATAATAAAGAAACAAATTTAATTCATTGTGATGGCATCTTCTAAAACATAAGTAATATTGATTTGGGATTTGTGAAGATATTAAGCAGTAATGAAACTTGAATTCTCCATACTGGGCAGTCTTTTGATTAGCAGAAAAATATGGTCATGACTTTAGAGTTTCTCCCCAAAGCTCTTAATCGTATCATTTCCACCCTTCATTGTCTCTTATTCTTTAACACTTACACTTAAGGAAAAAAAAAAAAGGGAAAAAGACTTCCAACACAGATGAAATAAAAGTGTGTTCAAGTTTCAATAGAACAAAGTTCTTCTGGGGCTGAATTTAGTATAAAGCAGATTCACCTCAAAGTCAATTCAAAAAATGGTATTATTGAAAGCACCAGAAAGGCATAATTATAGCATTGTCCTGTGGTCTGGACCCTGAGGCCAATTTCAGAGGGAGACTTCACTGAAATATGAAATCAGATGTAAAATGCACCTTTTCAAGGGCAATTTCATTAATCTTATTGGCACAGAAAAGTTGTTTTTTTTTTCAGCTATTATACTGACTTAATCCAATTAGCAAAAGTGACCTTTCTTATTACAATGAAGATTTCTAATATGAATACTTTATTAAATCAAAGGATAAATGAAAACTATAAGTCCATATCTATTTTGTATATCAAATATGAAAGATAATATGACTGTGGTTTAATAAAATATGTTTTAATATTTAAAAATATTTCTCTTTGATTCTAACATTGCTGGAAGATTAATTAGTTTTATGAGAGGCTGAGTGATGACCGTGTCATTAAGCTATTCCTGTAATCATCATAAGGCTGTGTGGGACCTTCTCTGTGAGGAACGCTGTATTTTAGTCTGGATATGATCTTAGCATATCCCCAGTTCCCTAAAGGAGAGCTGCAGAATTCTATGGCTAATCCCAATCCAGAAAAATATTATGTCACATCACACAGTAATGAACATTATCCAGGAAAAAATTATTAAAATGGGGTGTTTTTCATTACTTCAAACAGAAGATTGTAACTTTGCAAGCAAGTCAGTGTATCCGATTTCTCACACCTCTTTACCTTTGACCTCCTGCATGTGTGTGTGTGTGTGTGTGTGTGTGTGTGTGTGTGTGTACTGCATCTATACTTTGTCACTGCATGGTTTTCTAAACAATTTCTTTGTAGTATCTAAGAGCACTTAGCAGTTTGGCCTTTTTTGTGGCATTTCAGTCTTGCATTGATTATATTTGATTTCAAATAAATGCTGTAGATCAAGGGATAAGTGGGCACAAGAAATCACATATATTGAAGTCCTCACAACATTATTATAACCCTCTGTTTTAAATTAGGAAAGGCACCTTCTTAGAATTGGTGTCTACATTGCCACATCTTCCCTTGCGGTGCCCACTCTTTCTTCAAATTACAATGGCCTGGCCCATGACCAATCCTGCTCAGACACTGTGCAAAGGTGAGGCGTCTTTCTGCTTATGCCTCTGCTGGCTCCACTTGTTGCAGAAGCACTGGAGCACCTGAAGCATGGGACAGAGGGTACTGTGTGGGCAGAGGAGCCCAAGGCATCCCCATCTTCTTCCTGGACAGACCCCTTACCTCACTGTTTGATGAAGCAAGAGGAAGCAGCTCTGCTTCCCTACTTCATGTCTAAATGATTTACTGTGTTCAAAGAGCTCTCAGGACGTTCACAAAAGAGAAGTGGTTCTCCTTCTTTATTTTCACTAAGAGCAAGATAAAACTGCTCCCTAGGTATTAGGTTCATATTGCTTCTACGTGATTTCATGCATGGGCTCCCAAACTATAAATTTAACTCACAGAGATACTAAAATATGGAAACAATAAATAGAAAGCTCTTGGTGAATCAATATCAGTATCATGTTTTAATTTCTCCTATGTGATTCAACACTTGAGGACCCTTTTCATATGGGGTCCATTGCGATACTTTTCCTATAGTAGTCACATAAACACACACTGTTGATGTGTTATGCATGATTTATACAAGAAACATATTCATTATGAAACTTCATAATTCCTCAGAAGTAGCAATGTTGGAACTCTACATGCAACCTCTCAAAGCAGTGTTTTTATGGTTGTTGTTTTGCTTTGTTAACGTTTTTTTTTTTTTTTTTCTTCAGGAATGGGCAGATCTTTTTTGGTGTATTATGTATATAAGCACCTTATTTCATACTGGCTTGCATTTATGGCCCACATTACCAAGAAATATCCATCTTTAAAAGTAGAATCCCATTTGGCCCTGTTATCTAGTCACCTGTGAGAGTAAGGCAGTAACTGAGTGTGACAGAGGACTCACAGAGTCATGCCTGCTGTCATGATGGGTAACCTGGGGACATCCGTGCATCAAGGGAAATGTTTCATTATATTAGCCAGACTGTTTAAATTGTTATTTTCCTTTCTTTCTCCCTTGTTCTTTCTCTTGCCTTCCATCTTATTCCCATTGTAGCCTGCTCTCTTTATCTAAGAGCATTGAATCAATTTAAGTGTTTATGTAATGTAATGTAATGCCACCATTCATATATTTGCACATCAAACGTGATTCCTCTTTACTGGGCAGTCTCTATCTATTAGGTGATAAGTCATAAAAGGCTTCCAAATCACTAGGTATAGATGGTGGTTGGATAAACAATTTTCAAACATTATTTCAAACATAATACTCCAATGTATAAGATATACATAGACCCATTTTCCAGATGAGCAATCAGAGAATACAAGAAATCTTCCAAAATCTGTAAGTGTTAGAGCTAATATACAGATTTAGTTTGGCAGAAAGAAATATGACTTTGTTTTGTCTTGTTTTGCTTTTTACAATTAATAATAGTTTTTTTTAAAAAAAGAAAAGCTAATCATAACTTACTGACAAATTGTTAATTCAAAAGTGATAATGATGGACTAAAAGATACTTTTTATTTTTTTGAGATGGAGTCTTGTTCTGTTGCCCAGGCCGGAGTGTAGCAGTGCAGTCTCTGCTCACTGCAACCTCTGCCTCCTGGGTTCAAGCAATTCTGCCTCAGCCTCCCAAGTAGCCGGGATTACAGATACCTGCCACCATGCCCAGTTAATTTTTTGTATTTTTAGTAGAGATGGGGCTTCACCATGTTGGCCAGGCTGGTCTCGAACTCCTGACCTCGTGATCTGCTGGCCTCAGCTTCCCAAAGAACTAGGATTACAGGTGTGAGCCACCGCGCCTGGCATAAAAATACATTTAATAAGTTCTGACTATATGCCAGACATGTTTTAGATAATATACAGTTAGAAAATAAGCATATATCTACCTTCATATAATTTAAATTTTCCTAGTGGGAGACAAATAAAACACGTAAGTAAAAACATAATACGTTAGATTGTATAAGTGCTAGGACAAAATAAATAAAGAAGGGGGGGTGGGTTCTAAGAGTTGGTGTGTGTGTGTAAGTCAAAGAAAAGAAGAAATATGCTATTTCAATGACACCTGTTATTGAGTTGATAAGACAATGAACCTTTGTTCATGCAAAGAGGTGAGAAAGGAGCCACCTTTGATTGAGTGCAGGCTGTGTGTTTGTAGAACAGTATAAAGAGACAATGGGTGGGAAATTGTGCTCAATTTCAAGAGTGGAAGGAGATGCAATCATAAAGCTATGAAAGGTCATTGTGATGACTTTTATGCTGAATAAGCTGGGAAGCTACTAGAAGGTTATGAGCGAGGAGTGACACAGTCTTCTTATTTTGAAATAATAACTCTGGGTGCATTGTTGAGAATTGACTATTGGGAACTAAGGGGGAAATCAGGGAAAAGAAGTAGGATGCTATTTCAATAACACCTGGCAGGAATGATGGTTTCCTGGACTAAAGCAAGGTTGAAGGACCAATGAAACAGAGAAGCCATTAAAGAACTATGGGGGCAAATGTTGGAAAGATTGTCTACGTGGAATTCAAAGTCATCCAAATTTATAGTAAGAACAATAAAAAAGAATGAGACAATGACCCAGGTAATAAAATATTGAAGGGATGGAGGAAAGCAAGCCAAAGACTTGGATAATTGTGACAAGACAGCAAGTAGTAAAGACTTTGAGATCATGAGCTCATGTTGGGAGCTCCTAGGGAAAATGGAGGTCTCTACCCTTTCCCTCCTTCACTTTTTTGGCTCTGTGACAGGATTTCCTAGACACCCCCAGCTTGTACTTCTCTATTATCTTTTCCCAGGAAACTTTTTGTCCAGATGGCCAGTTCTTATAATCTGATATTCTCTTCACCTGAACTTTATTTTCCATTCATTTTTCTTTCTATTTGGAGACATTTCTACTTCATATCCTCTCTATTTCCTGCAATTTCACTTTCTCTGGTTTCTATTAAAGGGATATGTGTCTCTCCCCAAAATGTCTTCTTTTGGTGTTTGCTTTTTCTGAGCTTCTTTCTCCCCCATATATTATATTTATTTCCATTGTGGTCAACATGCTTTTTTTTCCCTCTGCACAAGCCGTGCTTTCTGCAAAAAGACCTGCCCTTGGTTTCTTAATTATTTATTCAGGTAATAACAAGTTAAAGTACGCACGTGAGGAATAAATTGCTACTGCTGCTATATTAAAAAGGAGATATGTAATTTAGGTTTCTTTGACTATTTTTCCCCAAGACCCTGTCCTTCTTCATTGTCTCAAATAGCACTACTTATATTACAAATCCAGTCAAATCTCAATCAAGTTCATTCCAGGTAGCCTGAATAATCTTACTTTTTTTTTTTTTTCATGCTTTCCTCTACCTTGACTTTTTCCATTACTCTTAGAAAAGATGTGTCATAAACACTTATATTTTCATTTAAAATAAAAATTATAAATTTAAGTCAACTATGGTAATTTGCATTATGGTAAATATAAAATGAATTTTGTTTTATGAGGATAGTACATCACAGAAAATGAAAGGTAACCAAACAATTCTTATTTTCTAGCTTGTTTTGTAATTCGGGGCAAATATCTTCATATCTCTAGGACTCAGTATCTGCATGTATCAAATGTGTTGGCAAAATGTGTCTCCTTTCCCCAGGCTTCCACGTGGCACAGTGAGGACGGAGGGCTGCTGATCACCTCCTAACAGGAGAAGGTCAGGGCATGCTGGGCCCCGCTCACCACCTGTGTACTGGCTGTGCCTCAAAAGATGGGGAGCAGCTTAGCCAGCCACAGACAGCCTGGCATCCAGCATATCTCATTTGCCAGCACCTTGATAGGAGCACCAGGTCCATACTTCATCTTCTTCCTGTGTCCAGGCAGAGATGGTGATCCCCATTCCTGAGTTTATTCCACTCCCTCCTTCCACTCTGCAAGTCTCATGCACCCTCCCAGGCAGGCCCTCCTCCTGGCCCATGGGGATTAGAGGTAGGACCTTGTGTAGAAAATTCAAGTTTTTTTTTTTTCTGCTGACTCTGCTCTTTCCACAGATAGGTTTGCAAGTTCTAGATTCAGGGTGCAAGTAGAAAGTGCCTCTCTGGGGCCAGGCACAGTGGCTCACACCTGTAATCCCAGCACTTTGCGGTCAGGGGTTCGAGACCAGCCTGGCTAATATGGTGAAACCCTATCTCTACTAAAAATACAAAAATTAGCCTTCTGTGGTGGCGGGTGCCTGTAATCCCAGCTACTTGGGAGGCTGAAGCAGGATAATCGCTTGAACGTGGGAGATGGAAGTTGTAGTGAGCCAAGACTGCACCATTTACTGATTTTCTTGGTAACAGAGTCCTGATACTGAGGCAGAGTATTAGCTCCTCATCTGGCCGCTGGGAAAGCTGATATTTTGGAAACAATTTAGTCTGCGATGCTTCAGTGTACAATAGGAGGCCAAAGGCCAAAGTAGATAGATCAATTCAAAGGGCACTGTATTATAGCACTTAGGTTCTATCTCAGGTTTATACCAAGGAGGGGCTTGGCCTGTGTGGCTTGGAAGCTTGCATTGTAGATCTAATCAAGAACTACAAGCTGTCCTGCCCAATTTTTGTTTCATTTCACTTTTTGTTTTTAAAATAAACTTTTTATTCTAGAACAGTTTTAAATTTATAGAAAACTTATAAAGTTTGTACAGAGGGTTGCTATACACTCCCTGGTCCAGGTCCCTTAATAACATTTTTGTTGCTTTGATATAAATATTAAACCAACATAGATACTTTTTTATTGACTAACATTCATTTTTATGGATATTACATGACTTCCTTACTTGCTGTCTATCACAAAAAGGTATAACTTTTTATGTTCCAGGTATACCAGATTATTTTTATTTATCACATTTTAGGTGTACTTCAGATGTAAGAGCTTCTCAGATTTTCCTTCTGTTTTGGTGACCCTGACAATTTCGAGGAGTACAGGTTGGGTGTTTTGTAGAATGTCCTTCAGTTGGGATTTGTCAATTTTTTTTTCTCATGATTAGATTGAGTTTATGTGCTTTTGGGAGGAAGACCACAGAGGTAAAGTGTGATTCCCATCAAATCAAGGGTGCACACTATCAATACGTCATCACTGTTGATGTTGACCTTGATCATCTGTCTGAGATAGTTTTGATCAGGTTTCTCCACTCTCAGATAACTCCTTTTTTCCTTTCTTTACACTATACTGGTTGAAAGGAAGTCACCATACGTAAGCCACCTTTAAGGAGTGGCCTCCACTCGCAAATCACACATTTTTTCCAAAATATCGTCCCCCAAATGTGTATTAACTTTAAAAAAAAAAGAGAGAGAGAAAAACTTATAGTGGAGAAACTGAGCAGACATTACCTTTTCCTCTGAAAATGGGATCATTTACATGCTCCTAAATTTTAAGCTGTCTTTAAAGTTCTGACCCTTAGTCCATGGTAGCTAGCTGTTTTCTAAGATATTAAGAGACAGACAGGAAAATGTGTTAGGAACTGGAGGGACCTGGATTGGTCCTAGGCAATGCCACTCGGAATCTCCAAATATCAGGCAAATTATACCATCTGTAAGAGCCTTGGCTTTTAGTTGTCTTAAGCCTGAATTAGTAAGACTATTCTCAAAGGGGCTTCCTTGTCAGCATTAAATGAGATACTATAAGAGCTCTTATTTTCTTGAGTAATCTTGACAGCACTTATGGAGTGCTTGCTAGGTGCCATGGTGGTCAGCACTTTACATATATTTCGGTATTTAATTTTCACCACAACCATCAGTGATAGATGCTATCCTTGGTACCCACATATACCAAGCAAGGATAGTGAAGATCAGAGAACTTTATAACTTGCCCGAGGTTTGAGAACAGGACATTCAGGAAAACAGACAAATAAAACACCTTCAGATTTCATTCATTGCACTTTGATTCCAGAGCTTGTGCTCTTAATTACATAAAAACATATAAGTGCTCAAAAAATGTTTGTGGTTTGAGGCAGTATAGATGTCATTGAGAAAGGACTCTAAAGAGAGAAAGGTGGATGTGCCTCCCAGCTCTGCACCTTGCTCGCTGTCTCCAGGCATAGATTCCTCATCTACAAAGCAGTATAAGAACGGGTACCAAATTAACAGAGCTGCTGCAGGAATTAGATGAGTTAATATATGTATCAAGAACCACTTAGAACAGCCTAGTGTGTATAATGTAATCAACATATATCACTAATTACTTTTAGTGCTGTTTTTGCATTCTTTTACTTACGTATTCATTCATACTTCTCTTTTGTGATGACTCGATGAAATAAGTCCAATAACAATATGAATTTAATAATTACCTGAGGTATTCTTCAGTGTTTTGGCCACACATCTGTGACTCTCAGCCTTTTAGGTACATTCTCGGATTCCACTTTCTGACCAGCTTTGCAGGGACAGGAGGGAAGCATGATTAATTCTGGCCAATGAGCTGCTGGGAAGGCATTGAACTTTAACATTTAATTGTCAATAAAATATTTTTATTTTTTTTCTGCAGTCTGCTAAGCAACTTCTTAACTTGCCTGGTATCCCGAGTGACTACAATGAATAGGTCTTCCTGCCAATTTGCTCAAGAAACAGGGAGCTGATAAAGTTTGTAGTTTCTTTCAGCATCCTAAACAACTCTCTTGACTGAACCATCACCTGACTGATTGAATTATTAAACAGAGCCAAACCTAGCCTAATCTGAATGATACGTTTAACAAATGTATCATTTGTTACAACAACAAAAAAAATAATTCTCATCATAAGGAAGCAGTGCTAAAAGTTGCTTCAGCACAGATGAAAGCTACAATCTGTGCGTTATGCTTTAAAAGACCACATTCATTTACATTGCAATTGCTCATTTGAAAAACATAAATGTGTAGCAGTATGAGTTTGGGGACAAATATATAAACTAAGCTTTCACAGAGTTTTTACTGAATTTTAAGGAATACAAATTGTGCAAAGTAATGCAAGAATTCAGAGACTCAGGAAGCCAGCGTATGTAAACATAACTGAAAACATACCTGAACCCCAACAATCAGCCCTGGGCCTTTTGAAGTCAGAGTCTTGTGTTGTAGTTGAATTTTTTTCTCTCTTCTTAATATAAAGTCATTGACACTGGGAAGGCAAGATGTACATTTCAAGCAACTTAAATGTTTTAGAATTTGTAAGTGTAAAACTCTATAAATAATAAAGCATATATTTATATTTTCAACTATAGCATATTGTTTAAACTTAGAATATTACTGTAATACAGAGAATCAACATATAACTTTTCTTTCACTACACACACACACACACACACACACACACACATACAAAAAGTGAATCCTTGGTTTTTATGATTTTAGATTAAAATAGAACAATGTTTTTGTCCCATTACTTAATCATATCTTACTCCCAATACAATTTGTTACTGGCTTAAGGACTTAATGAATATTTGTTTTTAATATAAGTTACTCTCCCCTCACTCCAAAAATGCTTCTATTACAAGGCTCTATATGCTGTAATAGGTCAGCTCAATAATACTTTTTAATGAATATGGTGAAATACTAACCTCTGTTAATTAAGGCTATGGACACAGCTGTAAGAAATTATATAGTAACACCTATGAGCTTCCTATCAGGTCAGTTACATAAAACAAAATGAAAGCTACTTTATCACAGGCAAATAAAAGCCATATAAAAACCATATACCAGTAGGGGATTAGAGGTTTGTAAATGAGGAGTCCAACTTCATACAATGTAGGACATAAACCATATTTATTTTTTTGGTACATAATATGAGCCTTGGGAGTTCTTTCTGATTCTAATCCAAACCTTTCTTAGTATTACTTTCCAAAAATTTTACCTGAGCTATTCTTGAAGTTGCTAGTTCTATAAAAGGTAATAGCACCACACTTCAGGTCAGAAAGCTTCAATTCTATTTCTAGACCTACTCGTGATTAGTTGAATGTCCATAAGTTCATTAAAATCTCTTTAATGAACTAAATGAATCTCTTTAAGGAACTAAATCCAGAGAAGGATTTAGTTTCCTTCTCTGTAAAATGAGAATTTTGGATCAGATAATTGCTCACAGCACATCAAACTCCAAGCTGTAAAACTCTGTTCCAGATTCTCCAATTTGATGTATAAGTGGCTTTATCTGAACTCTGATTGTTTTCTTTATCAGTCTTCTCTTTCCACCAGATATAGGTTTGATCCAATGTCCTCTTAATTAGAGTTCTTGCATTAAAACGTGATTTCCAGAAGATATTTTGCCAAACACAACCGAGGAAGATGATCTTTTTATAAGCATACTTACAATGAACTGATCAGCTGCTCAGTAAAGACTGAGACTCTTTGACACATGCAATAGTGTCACCTCCCATCATAGACTTGAGCCA
The DNA here is from genome assembly GCF_000001405.40 of Homo sapiens. Lineage (NCBI taxonomy): Eukaryota > Metazoa > Chordata > Mammalia > Primates > Hominidae > Homo > Homo sapiens. Next base: position 104,709,913 of record NC_000013.11, read on the forward strand.
GCCATTCAGAAGGAGATGAACCGGGCCTGAATAATACAAACAAGGAAACCAAGATGTGACTACAACAATTATTATCTTTGACATATACTTCCCCTAAGGAGAAGAAATCAGAAGTTAATATCAGAAACACACAGTAAATTATTTGTTATACGTTGCACGTATACCTAGTTGTTGTTATTTATGTCATAGAATGCATACAATTCTCAATTTATAGTTTGGTTTTAGTTAATAATTGTATTCTTCATTAGACTTGCACATTTATTATGCCCAATATCTCCTCTCCACTTCCTGCTACCTGAGAATTTAGTCCTTTAGAGCTTCTTGTTCAAACCACAATAAGTCTATTCTATTCTATTCAAATTTGTCTTCTTCCTAACTGTCCTCCGTATTGTTGCATTTCATTTTCCAGAATGAAACATTAAACATTAGAAAAATATTTAGCAATCCCACTACTAGGTATCTACCCAAAGGAGAATAAGTCATTATATCAAAAAGACACCTAAACACATCTGTTTATTGTAGCACAGTTTACAATTGCAAAACCATGGAACCAACCTAACTGCCCATCAACTGATGAGTTGGTAAAGGGAATGTGGTATATGCACAACATGGAATACTACTCAGCCGTGACAAAGAACAAAACAACATCTTTTGCAGCAATGTGGATGGAACTAGAGGCCATTATTCTAAGTGAAGTAATTCAGGGATGGAAAACCAAAGACTGTATGTTCTGATTTACAAGTAGGAGCTAAGCTATGGGTACACAAATGCATTACAGAGTGGTATAGTGAACAGTGAACACTAGAGACTAAAATGTGGGGCAGGTGGGAGGAGGGTGAGGGATAAAAACTACACATTGGGTACAATATACACTACTTGGGTGATGGGGGCACACTAAAATTTCAGACTTCACCACTAACAATTCATCCATGTAACCAAAACCATGGTACCCCTAAAGCTACTGAAAATTTTTTAAAAGACAAAATATTCTCACCTAAAACAGATTAAAACTACTTGTAAAGTGGCTTCTGCAGAGTTTTCCATCTCCATTTTCTTACTTCTCTCATCCCAGCTTGTGGTTGTATAATACTGAATTACATGCATCCCCATTCATCCCATCAACATGCTTGGATGGGTGACTATCCGTGGGTATGGGTTTTAGTGAAGCAGTTCCCTCTGCTTGAAATGGCGTCCCTTCCTGTGCACAGCTATCCCTCAAGGCTAAGCTATGAATATCATCCCTTCTTCTATGAAGTGTCTTCTGTTTATCTGAGTAATGTTTTTTTTACTTTTTCCTTTATAACTAATGTTACAGCAAAACATATGTCTAAACACTTTCTTTTTATGATACATATATGTTTATTATGCCTAACCTATAAGTCTCATATATATATGTATGTATATATATATGTGTGTATGTGTGTGTGTGTATATATATACATATATATATTCTTTTGCATTCTCAGCACCCAGCAAAGCACTTGGCACATATCAGGGTCTCAACAATCTTGCATACATTTAATAAATATATTACCTTCAGGAACTCATAAATAGTTAATTCAGATTGAGAAGACATGAGGATGTAAATTACATTATTTTACATTATTTTGTTGGAGAGGTTGAATTAGAAAAGTGGCATCACACCGAGTGGTTTCTGAGCAGGCATTTATTTCTGGGATGCTCCAGGTTACATTTACTGTAGAAGAGCCACACTGAGCTGCCATTAAAAAGGATGCATATTGCGGTGCTGGGGCACTGAAAATGATACTCAAAATATGGTGCTTTGGTGCTCTGCATGCATTGAATTGAAGAAAACAGAAAGGCCTCAGAAATGAGCCTCAGAGCCAAGCTCCTTCTCTGACCTTCCCCTTTACGGACTCCCTTCTCTGTCTCTCCAATTCTTTCCTGCAGCATCAGGAGGGAGTCTCTCTGGAATTTGTCAGACTAAGGAAGCTTCTTTCCAAAACAAATGAGATTGTCTTAAGATTCCATCCCTAGGAACCTCATCAAATAACCAGGACAGATTAACCATCAAAGATGGGACAAAAGTGGAGTCTCACCACACCCAGACAGACTGTTGATTCCTGAGAGGGCAACTCTGAGAGATTACCTGGGAGGTGTTATCTGGATTACTGGGTAATTATTCTCCTGTCATTCCCCTCTGCTTATGCACATTAAATAACTTTGGTGTGCCTTTTTCTCCTATTAATCTGCCTTTCATCAGTTCATTTTTAGTGAATCTTTAGTGGGCAGAAAGGAAGCTTTCTCTCTGCCACTATAGGAGTAATGATAACACATATGCAATTTGTACTAGAACGGGCCTGAAAGTTGTAATAAGAAATAACATAAAATTATGTTTGTATATTGTATTGGTCCATTCTTCTGCTGCTATAATGAAATACCTGAGGCTGGGTAATTTATGAAGAAAAGATTTTTAATTGGCTCCCAGTTCTGCAGGCTGTACATAAAGCAAATGCCAGCATCTGCTTGGCTTCTGGTGAGGGCCTCAGGAAGCTTTCAGTTATGGTGGAAGATGAAGGTACGATGGGAACACCACATGGAGGAAACGGGAGGAAGAGAGAGGGAGCAAGAAAGAGGGAGGGAAGGGGGAGGTGCCACATTCTTTGAAACAACCGCGTCTTACATGAACTCAGAGCAAGAACTCACTCATTACCATTAGCAGAGCACCAAGCCATTCATGACCAAAATACCTCCCACCAGGCCCCACCTCCAACATTGGGAATCACATTTCAACATGAGATCTGGAGAGAACAAACATCTAAACCATATCATTCCACACCTGGTCCCTGAGATCTCATGTCCTTCTCACATTGCAAAATACAATATTCCCTTCTTAGTAGTCCTCCAAAGTCTTACCTTGTTCTAGCAGTAACTCAAACTCTAAAGTCCAAAGTCTCATCTAAGACTCAAGGCCGTGTTTCTTCCACCTATGAGTCTGTAAAATCAAACAAGTTGTTTACTCCCAAGACACAATGGTGGTACAGGCATTGGGTAGATATTCCCATTCCAAAATGGAGACATAGGCCACAATAAAAGGACAATAGGCCCCACAGGAGTCCAAAACCCAGCAGGGTAGACGTTAAACCCTAAAGCTCCAAAATAATCCTTGGCTCCATGCCTTGCATCCTGGACACACTGGTGTGAGGAGTGGGCTCCCTAGACCTTGGGTAGCTCTGCCTCTGTGGCTTTGCATGGTGAAGTCCCCATGGTGGCTTTCACGGGTCGGAGTTGGGTGCCTGTGGCTTTTCCAGGGTTAGTGTTCAAGCTTCCAGTGGCTCTACCATTCTCAGGTCTGGAGGGTGGCGGCTCCCTTCCCATAACTCTGCCAGAGAGTGCCCTGGTGGGAACTCTGTGTGGGAACTCTAACCCCACATTTCCCCTCATTATTGTCCTAGTGGAGGTGCTCTGTGGGGGCTCTGCCCCTGCATCAGGCCTCTGCCTGGGCACCCAGGCATTCCAATACATCCTCTGAAATCTAGGAGAAAGCTGCCAAGACTCCTTTGCTTTTGTGTTCTGTGTGCCTACAGGCTTAACACCATGTAGAAACTGCCAAGGCTTATGGGTTGCATTCTCCAAAGTGGCATCCTGAGCTTCACCTGGGACCCTCTGAGCCACAGCTGGAGCTGGTGCAGCTGAGATGCAGGGAGCAGTGTCCTGATGCTGAGCAGGCAGGAGTGACCTGGGCCTGGCCCCCAAATTATTCTTTCCCCCTAGGCCTGTAGGCCTGTGATGGTGTTATGGGAGCAGGACAAGGAAGTGCTGGGTAGAGAAGGTCAGGGTTCCTGGTGAGGGCTCCACCCTTGGGCCTGCGTCCATGGACCAAAGTGAGAACAGGCACTCCTGTTTTCATTCACAAATGTTGTATTTTCCAAGACCACTATGGCCCACCACACCCCCATCCTGTGCCCAGAAAATCCCAAGACTGTAGCGGGCACACACACAAGTGGCTGGACATCAAGAGGAGCAGAACACATGGACAGACACCAGCAAGCCATCAATGGTGGGAAGATGTGGAATTCAGCCGAGGGTGGTCAGAGGAGAGTCCAGCTGCTGGGTGGCCGGACTCCAGGGGAAGACCACCTTCCCATTCCATCCCCCTTCTGGCTCCCCATCCATTTCACTGAGAGCTACCTCCACCACTCTATAAAACCTTGCACCCATCCTCCAAGCCCACATGTGATCCGATTTTTCTGATACACTAGGGCAAGAACCTGGGATACAGAAAGCCCTCTGCCCTTGTGATAAGGTAGAGGGTCTAGTTGAGCTGATTAACACAAGCTGCCTGCAGACAGCTAAGCTGAAAAGAGCACACTGTAACACAAGCCCACTGGGGTTTTGGGAGCTGTAAACAACCCTAGATACTGCAGTGGGGTCAGAGCCCCCAAACACTCCCCATGACCTGCCTGTCTGCATGCTCCCCTCTATGGGTTTGAGCAGGGGAGCACTGAAAAAGCCAGCCACACCCCTGCGAGGGGGAGAAGAGAACACTCTCATTTCAACAGGAGGAGCTTTTTAGGAGGTTTCTGAAATACCTTTGAGGCCTTTTTCGACGGTCTTGGGTATTTGCACTTGGCTCCATTTAGTTACACAAATCTCTCCAGCAAGTGATTGCTCTATAGCTTGCTTGAATTCCTCTCCTGAAAATGTTTTTTTTTTCTTCTCTACCACATGGCTAGGCTGCAAATTTTCCAAACTCTTATTTTCCAAACTTCTGTGTGTATTCTCGTTAATGATAAATTCCAAATTTAAGTAATTCCTTTGTTCCTGTATCTTGCCGTAGGTGTTTAGAATCAGCCAGACTTCCTCTTGAATGCTTTGTTGCTTAGAAATTTCTTCCGCTAGGGGAACATCACACACCGGGGACTGTTGTGGGGTGGGGGGAGGGGGGAGGGATAGCATTAGGAGATACACCTAATGCTAAATGACGAGTTAATGGGTGCAGCACACCAACATGGCACATGTATACATATGTAACAAACCTGCACGTTGTGCAAATGTACCCTAAAACTTAAAGTATAATAATAATAAAATTAAAAAAAAATTTCTTCCGCTAGATACCCTAGGTAATCAATTTTAAGTTCAAGCTTTCATAGATCCCTAGAACATTGACACAATGCAGCCAAATTTTTGCTAAGGCATGACACAAGTATCTTTTGCTCCAGTTTCCAATAACATCCTAATTTCCATGTGAGACCTGCTCAGCCTGGACTTCACTGTCCATATTTCTGTCAGCATTTTGGTCACAACCATTTAAACAGTCTATAAGAAGTTCCAACTTTACCTCATCTTCCCATCTTCTTCTGAGCCCTTCAAACTCTTCTGATCTCTGCCTTTTACTCAGCTGCAAAACCACTTCCACATCTTCAGGTGTCTTTATAGTAACACCCTACTCCTCAGTACCAATTTTTCATATTAGTCTGTTTTTGCATTGCTATAAGGAAATACCTGAGGCTGGGTAATTGATAAAGAATAGAGGTTTAATTGGCTTACAGATCTGCAGGCTTTACAAGAAGCATGGCCCCAGCATCTGCTCAGCTTCTGGTGAGGGTCTCAGGAAGCTTCCAGTCATGGGGGAATGTAAAGGGGCAGCAGAGGTGTCACATGATGAATGTGAAAGCAAGAGAGAGGGAGAAAGACAGAGAGAAGGGGGAGGTGCCACACTCTTTCAAACAACCAGGTCTCGTGTAAACTCAGAGTAACAACTCACTCATTATCCTGAGAAGAGCCACAAGCCATTGAGGAGGGATCCAGCCCCATGACCTAAACACCTCCCACCAGGCCCCACCTCCAACATTGGGAATCACGTTTCAACATGAGATTTGGAGGGGAGACAAACATCCGAACCATATCACAGACCATTCATTCTTTCTTCTGCATATTATTTTTTTCTCCTTCTTGTATTCTTTCTGTTAATTCCACAAAAGGCTGATTCATCTGGAAACATACTTGTACTTACCTTCGTAGTTCTGTAAAAAGTAAAGTAGAAGTTCCTCTTCAAAGGCTTTCCTCCCCATCTAATTAGGAATAAATAGTAACTTCTCTTAGAAGCAAAATTTATTCAAAGACCTGTGGTAACATTCTTAAATATCTGCTAGCAGTAATAAAGAAATCAATGTACTTTATGTTCTTAGCTCCCACAATTTAGCCTAAATATTCACCCTGGCATGCTTATACTGGTCGAAGCAGGCATTAGGTCATAGCCTGTTCCTCTTCCTTATTTAAAGGTGTTTTTACCTTTTTCAGCACTCCACAAGTTACTTCCTGCTTCTTTTGTTCTCCTCTGCCTTTGCCTCTTTTAAAAAGTTCTAAGTTGCTAGCCAATCAGGACAAATACAAAATATGAGGTCCCGTTCCAGCCAGTGGAAACGGGACACAGCAGTAGGGTGGATGCGTCAGGTTATAAATGACCCTGTCTCCTTTGTTTGGTGTACTCTCCTGGCAAAACTGCTGGCGAGTGCGCCGTTTCTGCAAAAAGTATAAAAATGGCCTTGCTGAAGAAATTAAATTTATGTTCAAATACTATTTCTTTATGGCACCAGGGAACAAGCATTTCAAACAATTTTGTATCAATTCATGTGAAAAATTATCTAAATAAATATGTGAAGGGGCCCATAAGATGATAAACTCCTTACAAATAGAGAAAGTCACAGATTTTATATGTAAAGTCCACATTTCACAGTCTTTGACAGTTAATAGATATCCAATGTTTATTTACTGTCATAAGTGATTCTAAAATGTCTCCAAGGATTAAAAAACTGTATGAATGTGTTCCTGTATACAAACTAATTTAGCAGTACATAGCTATATTGTATACATTATATCCTCTCAGTGTATAGAGATTATTTATAATTCCTTGATTATATGTTTTCAATGAGACATTTTCGCATTATATAAAGGGATTACTTATTGTTATTGCATAACAAAACCAAATAGCCAGTATTCTATTTCTGCAATTATACATATTAAAAGATATTCATTATTTTGAGTGTATTAAGGTTTAATTAACTTTACATTCCCTAAAGGCCACCAATTTAGAAATTCTTTGTAATTGGAATCTGTGGATTGTAATAAGCTCACTTTCCTTAAGCAAAAAATCAAATCCATAAATGATAAACAAATGTGACACATCCCAAACCACCTACTGCCTTGTTGCATATTTATATCAATAAAAGAGCAAAATTTTATGTTAAGAGATAAATTTAATCGTGACCAACTACATTAAAAAATATCTGAGAGGCAATATTATTTGACCATAATAGAAAATTAAATGCTCAAAATCTGGTTTGGGCTCTGTTATAAATTTATTCAATGACCGTCTAACCTTACTCTGTGTGTCCTTTCATTCGTGAATTGGAACACAAAAGCATGCTACTTATCAGAGCAGTCATTAGAATACATTAACATTTGGAGCACAGTTTTAGATCTCTCTTTTAGCATAATTTTAGTATGCAAAAAAGACAATTATTGCTGAACTATTCATGTCTGTAAATTTTCTCTCTTTATTTTGTATTATACTTTGTATTTCCATGATACATTGATCTAATATATTTAATAATTTCTTGGGGAAAATCTTCCATTTGTCTATTCTTTACTCCGTAAGATGTGTAAACCCATTATGTGATAATGCACAATTCTCTCTTTAGTTTGGGGAGGGCAGAAATCTCAGCTTTGGCACTACTGGCATTTGGGAGTGCATAATTATCTGTAATAAGGGGTGATCCTGTGCACTCTAGAATGTTTAGTAGCATCCCCGGCCTCTACTTCTAGATGCCAGCAGCATCTTCTTCACCCTATTTAATGAGAAATGTCTTCAGATATTGCCAGATGTCCCCTAGAGTATTTGAGAACTACTTCAGTTTTCTTTACATATTTTTCAGATACGGTTTTTATTGAAGTCTCAAAGAAATTTATAAACACATGTAGTGGCCAAGGGAAAACTTTTCCTCCACCCAGTACAATGTACTGACAATGTACAGATTAATAGAAGAAAAGGCATACAAATTTATTTAGCATGCGTAGCACAGGAGAACTGCAGGAGACTGACTACCCTATTACCCAATGAAGGAGAGAGACACTTATATACCCTATTCATAGGGGAGAGGGAAGAGGGGGAAAAGGTGGGACATTCTTTTGAAGAGTAAATGATTATTAGGGAGAATGAATGGACAATGGGAGACAGAAATTAACTTGTAAATGATGCTCTTGGGAATTTGAATGAGCTTAAGAGTCAGGTATTATCTTATGGAAAAGTTTGTCTGGGTTTAGTTGCCTTCTTCAGTCTTCTTTTGCGAGATGTATGATGAGGAGAAAGAAGTTCTAGTTCTTGTTGAGATAGGAAATCTCAGAGAAAAGTCTCATTCTATGCTTTGGGAGAGACAGAGGCTTGAGAGGCAGGGGTAGGTGGAGTAGAGAAGGAGAAGTTAGAGAGATTTTAAGGCTACTTCTTTAGTTTAGCCTTTCTAAGTGCCATCTTTTTGAAACTGCCTTTGCAAAATTATTATCAGCAGGAAGTTTACGGCAGTGAGGGAGATCTGATCTAGGCCCAACCCCCTCATGGCTTTAGCCCCCGAGCTGTCTTTGATTATTCCTGGGCTAGCTTTGGGAGACATTTCATTCACAGTTTAAAGGATAGTAGCCCCTCCCGCAAACTCAGCCACCTTTGTAGAGCTAACAAGAGGTTGCCAGGCTAGAAGGAGCAGAAGAGCCTGAATCCGGCTAAGGTGCAGACATAAACGATTGTCAGCCATCATTCTGGAGATAATAGGATATGAAACTTCTCTAATTGCTCCTGCAAATATCATCACTATTGTAGAAACTAAGATTGGCCTTTTGAGATCCTTTCTGATGTTTTTGCATTGTCTAACACCCATGGCTCCACCAGGACCTGATGGCTTCCCATGGACCTGCCAACCCTCCTTCTGTGGCCTCACCCAGAAGAGATTCAACCTGCAGGAGGACAGCTTTAACCTACTATGATTTCATCTCTGGCCCAACCAATTAGCAGGAAGCACTTGTTACCTGGCTAACCCTACCACTTTGCCCAAACTGCTTTTGAAAAACGCCTAACCAATATCAGGGGGGAGACTGATTTGAGTAATAATAAAACCCTAGTCTCCCATACAGTTGGCTCTTTTTGAATTAAAATATTTCTCTATTTCAATTCCTCTATCTTGATAAATCAGCTCTGTCTGGGCAGCAGGCAAGGAGAACCTGTTGGGTGGTTACATTTTGGCATATCATTTTTTGAGCCCTAACAAATGATAATAAAAGAATAGTTGTCATTCTAAAACACAAAATGGAAGAAAAATGTAATTAGTGTAGGTTTGTTGCCTCAGCATGCAGCAAGTCAATACACTGAGGTGCCAGGTTGTAGCAGAGAAGGAGGTTTAATCGTAGGGCCACTGAAAGAGTAGCTAGGAGGAAAGTTAAAAATCTATCTCCTAGAAGAGTTTGAGACTACGGTTTTTAAGGGTTTTCGAGCAGGCCGAAGTGTGAAGATTGTTGACTGGTTGAAGGGTGCAGGGCGAAGCCATAGGACAAAGAAATAAAGAATCTGTATTCTCATACTGATTTGGTTCCTCTGTGGGGGACTTCAAACTGGTTGTCGTCAGCTCTTCTACAGGAATTCAGGGTTTGTTTAAGCAAGTCTTAAATAAGAACTTTATGATTCTAATGTCAAAAATCTTATCTATACAAATAATGGGGAAACAAATGATCATGCAGATAAGCACAGGGGTCGTGTGTGCATGTGCGTGTGTGTGTGTGTTTATAACATACAATATACAGGATATATTGTAATATATAATGAGTATGTATCTTCACATTGAAAAAATCCTCAAAGAATATACTATCAAATATCAACAATAGCTGTCCCTGTTTGAGGGGATTTCAGGTGAGTTGGAAAAGGGGGATTTCAGGTGACTTGGATCCTTTTCTTCCTTTTGCTTCTCAGTATTTTCTAAATTCGTATGCAATGACTTTGTACACATCACTTTTGGTTATAAGGCAATAGACCAAAGTAAAGCCTGATTAATACTTAAATGTAACTGCATTTCTGTCTACAGTTCTTGAGGTGAGGACTGCTTCAGTTCCCCTTTGTCTTCTTCATCCTCAAACCTGAGGTTTTGTAATCAATAAGGAAGGAGTCAGACAATGACTGATCTGGTTGCTTCCTGTTCACAAGGGATGCAGACAGGAAGACCAGGATCAGAATTTGAGGAATACAATTACTTTGCATTGGCCTATAAATGCTTCTGTGTGTCAGGTCTAGGGTGCCAACTCAGCATGACAAAAATATCAGTGCTTGTGTTAATAGTCCCTGTTATCTGTTGGCAATAGAAAAAATATGCAAAATTAGAATAATGGTAATAGCAATAGTTTATAAGGGGAACCAAAACCAGTTTCCCATTCCCCTGGAAACCACATAAAAGGATCATTAAGGGGATCAGTGGCATGCATGTCTTGTAACCATTTAGCTTGTTTGGAAATTTCTCCTGTTCACAATCAGCAGTATTATCAATTGCAAAGATGACTCTTTGTTTTGGTAGGAGGAAATATAATGCAATATGATTATTCAGAACTAACTGGACCAGAGAGTTTAAATCATTCTGCTAGCAGGTTTCTTCAGTTCAGCAGTTTAATGTTCTGTATTTTGGGGTATAGCTTCATGAGCCCCAACTTCTCCTTGTCTGAAATTTCTTTTGAGGTTTTATACACTGAAGTCTGCATTGGTGGATAAATCGAGTTAATAGCTGAGTGGTGAAGAATCCCAGTAAACCAGTCTCCCATTCCTGGGCATAGGTCAGTTCCATTAAACAGCTACATCTCATTTAAGGAGATGGCATTGCAGACAAGCTTTCAAACAGAAGAAAAACAAATGTCAATGTTTGGAGCAACTTATAAACCAGTTTCCTTAGAGTGGGCAGGGAAGTCGTTTCAAGTTTCTGGATGTTAGACTTCTTCAGTTAAAATGAAAGTAGGAGGTGGCAATCTGACAGATTTTTCTTGACTGTAGTTTGTGTATCACAAGGTATGCTTGCATAGCCTCAGGAAAAGGTTGTAGAAATTTCACTGAGTTCAACTCAGAAAAAATGGAAGAAGAATTTGGAAACATTAGTTTGGAGACAGGTAGCAAGGATAGAATTGACTATTCAGTCCAAAGTGTAGGAAAATATTAATAATATAATAAATTTATTATATTAAAATAATATAATAAATAATATAATAATATAATAAAAAATGATGAATAAGGTTAGAATCTAGTAACAGGTATATTATAGTTTTCTTCTGAAACATATTTTTTGTCTCTCCAGTTTTCCATTTTATGCATGAATAAATCATGGTAAGAACAATTTATTTTAAAAAATTAGCTGTATTATACTTGGCCTGATTATTTGCATAAAATACAGCAAGAATTGTTATTGGACATACAGGCTGTCTTAAAATTGGCTTTGCTGGAACTTTTTAATAAGGAATTTCATATTAGACTTTCAAAAGTGTCAAGGCTAAAACCAAAGTTTTGCCATCAGACTGTCTGTACTCTGTATCAGTTGGGTGAATTTCTCTCTTCTCTAGGTCCAAAAATAACTTGTGGTTCCTGGACTCATCAGAAAATAACACTCTTTTCTTACCACAGGTCAGAAACCTCATAAAGAAACTGCAGAGAGAAGGTAGTAGGCCAATATTTCCAACTGGCTTTTTATTGGCTCTGTAAAGGCAACTTTAATTCCTCAAAGCAGTGTGATCATATCAGAAAATATGTCATTCCTGTTGAAGCCTTAATAAAATGACCAGTGTCTCCAATTGTGTCCTGTTACCAAAGAAAACATCTTCTTACTGAACTTATGCAAATAACTATATGGCCATAAATTAAGAATATTCACAAATAGTTTCTAAATTCTGGTGAAATCAGGTAGAGCAAATATAAATAATTCAAGGTTTCATGCACAAATATATAATTTACCCAATTTATTGTAAGCTATACATAGCTCAAAAGGAAAAAACAAAATACAAAATAACATTTTCTTGACTTCCAAAAGTGGAACATAAAAAGAATCAGCAATATTTCAAACAAAAAAATCAAAAATTTCTCATATAATTAATTCTTGTTCTGCTTCATGATGATTTGCAAATATTTATGAATGTATGTGGTTTTTATTATAGTTCAGAAAGATTCTATCTGCTCCTATGGTATGATTTCCAAAGTTATCAGAAACCTATATTCAAGAGTACTGTCAGAATCTTTAAAAGGCAAATTTTGGGATGTAGCCAATTATAAGTTCCTTTCTAAGAAGAACCAAAATAAAATAACAATTTTCTGTGTGAGATAAAAGTCTTAGAATAATCATAGTTAGAGAGGTGAAATTGACAGGGAAATGTGGTTATTTCTGTGGTTTATGACAATTTAGCCTAATAATATCAGTTATTACTGATAACGCACACAAAGGCATATTACAGTTTCAGAAACCTCATACAATTTTGAAAGATATATTCATAACACTTTTATACAAATACAACCCAAAAAGCTAAACATTATTTCATATTTAACAATGCTTCCTATATTATTTTCACATGCTAAATAAAACTAATATGTCTGTCTCTTGGACTTCCAGGTGCCCTCATATCTAAAAAGTTAATTTAAGGTAAAAAATATGGAATTTAGGATTCAAAATTATGATTTTGAAATGTTTTTCAAATATCAGAGGTTTTAAAACACTTGATATCACAAATAGGATCACAGTTTAGTGTAAAATAAGTTGTTCATTTATCCCAAGTGATAATTCAAAGACTTTAAAAAGCAGAAACCTTACTCTTTAATAGAGAGGAGACTCAGATTTCCAAACAATTAAAATATCTAATAAAGATAGCATGAGCCAAACTGAATTCATCTCTCCCTTTCTCACCTCCCTTTTATTCTTGTAGCTTATTCAAAAGGTGAACAACAATGTTTGCTATCTCTTACTGTAACTACATAAAAATCTTGTTCAAAAGAGAAAACCAAATTTTACTTTTGTTAGTGTATTATCAATACTAAAGCTAATTTTAATAAAATTTTAGGTAGATCTATTCAATCCCAATTATCTTTGACCACACAAAATAATATGATTTCTACAAACTTTTTATAACCCTTAATAATTTTCCCATTTTCTTTCCCAGCTTTTTATATCTATTTAGTTTTATCTATAATTCCTTTTCTGTCAATTTATAACTTTCAAAACCTCTAAACTAGCCAAATTTCTTTCCCTTTAACAAAAAAACACATTTTCACTTCTTTATAAGATAACAGACAAATTAAGCAAGTGTCAAAAATATCAGAAAACAACAGTTTTATGACCTTACGGGATGTAGCAGACAGTATAAACCAGTCTGACAAGTAGACCCCGGGGAAAAAAAAAATGTCTACATTAAATTTTGAATATATGTCTATTTTATTTTACCAATAATCTTCAAACCTTAATGATTAATCAAAGATTACTAAAATCACATAAACTTAGCATTTAGGGTTTGTAACTTAAATTATGAGTGCCATTTATTTACGTCAATTTGATACTCATGTAGATAATACACAGACACACACACACAAATATACATGTAAAAATACAGACAGACACAAAGACTTGATAATTTTTATTTGAAAATTTGAGCCATGAGACAGATAAAACTCACTAGTTTAAAACTGTACAGTTGAATTGAATTATGCCTTTGTTAATGGGAAAGGTTAACATTTATCTTTCTTACATAGCCGATGCCCTCACTGATTTTTGGAGAAAACAATGTAGCAAATTTACATCTCAGATCACACAGAGAGGGTTTAAGGTTTTTTAAGAAAGAGTTTGAGTGTGTTAGAGGAACATTAAAAATGGAGATATACAGATAAGCCTAGAGGGAATTCAGAAATCTTTTAAAAAAAAAAACAACTAGCTAAATATCAGAGTGTTATATTATGAAGACCAATCTAGCTGTATAGCTGACTTTTAAATTGGATCACTGGGCTCAGGAGGAGCCTACACTGAATCCCAGATTCCTAAAAAGAGAAAATTGCTATGGAATCAGGCCATATAATGCTTTCATGGTGCACTTTGTTAGGAAGATATTTCACTAGGTGTTCGAACTGTGCCATTTTCTTTGTAAATATGCAAAAAATAAGCCTCTGTGGTAACGACTATTTACCGTAAACAACTGCCCTCCATCAGGAATTTGCCAGCCATTACAAAAAAAAAAATCTGAAACTTGTCTTTTTCTTTTTGACAATACAGATTGGATATCAGCCTTTAATTCGGCTGACTTCTGGCCATATAGCTTCTTAAAATAAAAATCTTTCAAATCTCTTGTTATTCAAATTTTAGCTGTGACAAGGAGCTGATATTTCTGGCTTTCGAATCTTTTTTTTTTCACCAAAGGTACTCTCCCAAGCGAAATACATAAGCCTTAACCAAGGCTTAAGGTTCTGACTTAACCAAAGATACACAAATCATCTTCAAAGAGGTACAAGGCAGTCCACATGAGATGCAGAACCACCACAAAGTCAACTTAAATAATGGAAAGTTTGGCTAGCTGCAAATGGAGTCCAACTCACATTCTGTCCAGCCATGTTCTCTAGGGTCTCAGCTTCTCAGCTGACCGTCTACATACAGAGGATAAGAAGTCCCATATTTCCCCAAAGATGGAAGAAAAAAGGAAATAAAAATCTGCCCATGGAAAGGAAAAGAATCAGTATTTGGCCTCCCTCAAAAATCAAAAGTCACACAAATACCAAAGTCACACAAATATCAAACCAAAACGACTGGCTTCTTGATCAAGTATTGAACCCAAGCTGCAGTGGTGAATGCACGTAATTATAAACGGACTTCATTATAAATGCCACATAGAATCAAAAAACAGGCAATTCGAGCACACAAATTTTAACTTTGATTTAGGTTAGACTTTTTCATTTTAATTTTGTCAAGACAGTTTCTGAAGCTAGCCATCACCCTATTATGCATCTATTTTAAAATTTAATCTTCCCATCAATTGTTTAGATGAAGAGATCTCTAATTTTTTTTAGATTTGATTAAAAAGGTCCATTTCATGGCCATTGATGATTAGAATTTCTAACGATGTACTTAATTTCTGTAGTGACCCAGTTCAATTGCTTCTTTCAGAAGAAGCAATCCCAAAGATGCCTCCGCCCTCTTAGAAATAGGTTAACGTAGCAAAAGACTTTCATTGTTAAAGCATTAATCAGGCAACAACAGTTGAGATGACAAAAACTCTTTTTCAATGGGGCTTCTTATGACAAACACTCCCAAGAACTTGACACATTCGGAATAAATGTCTTGGGTTCCCAGCCATTTCAGTCTTCATGACTAAGCACATTTGAAATAAATATTTTAAAAAGCAGACATGACCACCTAGCAATCTCCTAGATGTTTTAGTAAATATTGCTTCAAGGTATATCAAGGAATATTTCTAAAAGTTACATCACTATTATGAACTCAACTTTTAAAATATCAGAAAAAGAGAATATTTACAATTTTCTTAGTAATAATTAATCCATAATTTTATAATTGAAAATGATTCAGAAGAACCATTACACTAAAGTCACTTAACAGTCCAATTATGTATCGTAACACACCCACACAAATCAGCACATTGATTACATTATACACAAGCAATGACAACACTATGCATCCAAAATTATAATTGTTCTTGGAAACTCCAGCCACAAGACCACTTTACCCTTTTCCTATAGCCAAATATTTTCTCATTAACTTAGATCTCTCAGTGCTAATAATCATAAATTTACATATTCCATCATAGGAAGTGGCATTCTGTGACTAAATTCTCAGGCTTCTTATTGTTTCAGCACTCTCCATGCTCATTTCTGCCACTGCTTTTTTATGCCTGATGTTCGTCTTCCCTTATATCCTAACAGACTTCCTTGTACCTGTACATATTTTGCAAATCCTTAAGACTGGGACAAAGTCTGAGGTTAGCCTTGTGGGATACCCTACTGGCTATCCCAGTCTTCACTTACCTTCTTGGCCATCTGTGTCTCACTAAAATAGAACTCAATAATATTCTATTCTTTTTGTTTCTGTGGTAAGTTCCGATCTAGATATTTTTCAGTTGCCCTGTTTTATTTTGTACTAAAACACTGAAGCTGATTCTTACTAAATGAATCCTAAAAATTTGCTTATTAGCTAATTGTATTTTATTTTCTGTAAGTTGTCTGTTCATTTCTCTTTTCCTTTATTGAAGTAAAATTTTAAAATGTTGTATATATTTTTGGTGCACAATGATGTTTTGATATATGTATATGTTGTGAAATAATTATTGAATCGAGGTAATTAATATATTCATCATCCTACATAGGTATCATTTTTTTTGTGTGGTAAGAATATTTATGATCTAGTCTCTTGGGAATTTTTAAGATAAGAATTCTGTAGGTTATCCCTTCACTCTGTTGATTGTTTTCCTTGCTTTGCAGAAGCCTTTTAGTTTGATGCAATTCAACCTGTCTATTTTTTGCCTTTGTTGCCTGTGCTTTTGGGGCCATAGCCAAACAATCATTGTCCAGACCAATATGAGGAAGATTTTTCCTATGTTAACATCTAGTAGTTTTACATTTTCAGTTCTTATGTTTAAGTCTTTAATCCACTTTGAGTTCATTTTTGTATATAATGTGAGATAAGGGTCTAATTATATTCTTCTGCATGTGGATATCCAGTTTTCCCAACACCCTTTATGGTGGAGACTGTTCTTTTCTAATTGTGGGTTTTGTTATCCCAGATGAAGATCAATTGGCCATAAATGCATAGATTTTTTTCCAGGCTTTTAATTCAGTTCCATTTGTCTACAGGTCTGCTTTTGTGTCAATACCATGTTGTTTTGATTACTATAACTTTGTAGTATATTTTGAAATCAAGTAGTATGATAATTCCAGTGTGATTCTTTTTTGCTCAAGATTTCTTTAGCTATTTAGGGTATTTTGTGGTTCCACATTAATTTAGATTTTTTTTTTTACTACTGTGAAACATGCCATTGGGATTTTGATAGCAATTGCATTGAATTTATAGTACACTTATGTCATATGGACATTTTAACAATATTAATTATTTCAACCCATGAACATGGGATATCTTTCAGTTTATTTGTGTCTTCAATTTCTTTAATCAATGTCTATTGTTTTTAGTTTATAGATATTTTGCTTCCTTGGTTAAAATTATTTTTAAGTATTTTATTTTTAAGTATTTTATTTTTGAAGCAATTGTAAGTAAGACTTTTCTGGCTGGTTCAACATATGTAAATGATATTAAAATAAAGAATTTTAAAATATATGCTTATCTCAGTAGATGCAGGAAAAACACTTGGGAAAATTTAACATCATTTTATGATAAGAAATCTCAGCAAATTAGGTATATAAGGGATATACCCCAACTGAATGAAGGCCACATATGACAAGACCAACATTAACAACATACAAGATGGTGAGAAGCTGAAAGCTTTTCCTCTAAGATGGGAACCAAGACAAGCCTGCCCTCCTGTTGCCACTTGCCAACTCAAAGTGAATTAAAGACTTAAACATAAGAACTCAACATGCAAACCACTGATATAGTAGGAATTAATATCTCAAATATATAATAATTAAATATAGTCCTAAAAGTCCTATTAATTAGGCAAGAAGACAAAATAAACAGTATCCAAATAGGAAAGAAGATGTAAAATTATCTCTGTTTGCAGATAGCAACGTCATAGATCTATGTATATAAAACCTTAAAGACTCCACCAACAAACGTCAGAAGAAATAAACAAGTTCATTAATGTTTCAGGATACCAACTTGGCACAACAATTAGTAACATGTTTATACATAAACAACAAACTAACTGTAAAAGAAGTCAAGAAAAGAATTCTCTACTAGATTTAAAATGACTTGATAGTAGGCAACTATTTCATAACATTGTAATCTAAGCAATAATCAGCAGAGTGTAATGCATATAAAAATTCCTTCAAGGTATATTTAATTTTGAGAGAAATCTAAAGCCACTCTGAAGAAAAAAAAATACCCACATACACACACACAGTACTATATTGGTTGGTTCTCCTTAATCAGACATTAGAATCCAAGGAAGTAAGAACTCAGTGAGGACCGAAGTAATGCAGTAATGGAGGAAAACTATCAATTAAGACGTCAAGTTGTACTGTTAAAGAATGTTTTGCATTCAGGTGATTAGAGGAAAGCACACATTCTTTATTATTTCATAGAAGAAAAATTAAGAGTGTTTGGGATGCTGAGTAGAAGTTTCTAGAAAAATCCAGAACAAATATATTCTTCAAAGATTAGAGGCCCAGCATGAGGTGTATCCCTCAAGGTGGTTTGCTCTGACCATTTTGAGGAGGGCTGATTTTAAGAATAATTAGAAACGAGCATATGGCAGAAGGCAAGGAAATTGCTAAGGAAGGGTTTACCAGCAGAAGATTTCAGAAACGTCAGAAGAAATTTATCTCCTGAAAGTTAAAGAATTACCTTTTAGTCCATGGGTTGTATGCTCTAGGTGCTGTGGAACCTCAAGTTTATAGATGAGACTTCTGAAACCCTTCTTGATCAAGTTAAGATTGAGAATCAAAAGGCAGAGTGTTGAGCAAAAAAGAAAAAGTAGAGTGGCTTCATTTGTAATTTACGTTTTATGTATTGCATGGCTAAATTCAGCTGGTATGCACTGGTGCCTCCATTAGGTGATTCATGGGCTTGTTGTTTTGTTCTGATAGGGTGCTACTCGTACCATACCAGGTATTAAATATTTTAATAAATATTTAAATATTGCCTTTGCATATAGCTGATGCCCTATCAGCATACAACTCAGGTCCTTTCTTGCTAACATCACAACTCATAAATAATCATTAAAAAATAATGTACACTTTCCTACCACATGTTTTTTAGTGTTATGTAGACAAAAATTGTCAAGATAGTCTCCCTCAGACATATTATTCACATATATTAAATGGTGATTCTTAATGCCTGTTATGATGCAAATTGGTTTTGTTCACCTTTAAATTAAAATCCTTGTTTCCACATATGTGACAGGACCTGCTTTTTGGAGTTGTGTTGCATTGATATTATGCCACTTCCAGCAGCGTCATTTAATAGAGCAATTTTTGTCAATAGCTCCTTTTGATTTCCCTCTGAGCATAATATTTCTGTTAACTTAGCGGCTGACTTTACAAGCTTCCAGATAATGCAGTGCCTGGTACTTATTGTTGGGGGAAGTGTTGATTTGAATGATGCCTGAATGATCCTGCTCTCCCTTCCCTACACTTAGTGGAAAAATAAACAACTTTGTCCTCTAAATCATGTTTTTGGACTTGTTATGAAAGAATATAAAAACAATTGGTTTAGCAAAAAGGACAGTGTATTAAAAAAAGAGATCAATGTATCAATGACATCAGTACACAATTTGGTAAAGCTTAATAACAGAGCACATATTGGGGAATAGGAGTAAATGGATCATGAATTCAATAAAATCAATTTTTTCTCATGTTAATGGTATTTTTATGAATATTTTTTCTGTTCTGCTGCTTATGAGAAATCCTTACCTTTATTTATCACTTGTCAATGCACATATAGATTCATATATCATTTTGCCCAGAATTTGTCCTTTTTATGTTCATGTTTTACAAAGTTGTAGTATTTATGCTAAAATTTTCATCATTAGTTCTATGCAGCAATGATTCCTTTGTGAGCCACTCACAATCTTTGTGACTCAGATGTAGAATGCAACATAATAATAAAAAAAGATATCAATATTAACAAACAATAACATAACACAAAAATCATATGAAAATGTATTTCCTAAGATGAGTAGCATATTGTATGAATGGAACATAACCCAAAACAAAGCAAATACTGCAGAACTTGTAGTATATATTCCAACTTAAGGCAATGGTTATTATAAATACAAACAAAAGAGTATATGAACAACCTTGTTTTAATGTCTTTTCATGTTAATGGTACAAAAGTACCATTATCGTTCTCATGTTTCAAGAATCATTTTCATAGAAGAAAAGATTAGGGAGGAATGAAAATTGGTCCACATAGCATTCATCACAGAGGAAGAACATGAGCAAGGATAGAAGTACTTCTTTTGTTGTTGTTTTTTGGTTTTGCATGTTTGTTTGTTTGTTTTGAAACAGAGTCTAGCTCTGTTGCCCAGGCTGGAGTACAATGGTGCAATCTCAGTTCACTGCAACCTCTGCCTCCCGGGTTCAAGCAATTCTTGTGCCTCAGCCTCCCGAGTAGCTGGGATTACAGACATACGCTACCACGCCTGGCTAATTTTGTATTTTTAGTAGAGACGGGATTTCACCGTGTTTTCCAGGCTGGTCTTGAATGCTTCACCTCGTGATCCACCCATCTCGGCCTCCCAAAATGTTGAGATTACAGGCGTGAGCCATCGCGCCCAGCCCATGCAATTTTATAAAGATGTTTCTTATTCTGTGATTTTTACAGAATTATACTCAATTATATTTGTATTCACTAGCTTATCTGATATTAATGTGTTCAACATAGTCTCACCCGTAGAGAAGCAGACATAGTATTTTTTTAGATGCCTGACTTTTCTGCGAGAGCACTCCAGGTATATTCTCCTGCTCATTTTGAAGTAGATTCTAGATGAGATTGACTATACTAGACTCCAGAAAACTGATGCCCCCAGTCTTTGAGCTGCATAGTTTTTTTGTACCATATTTCTTTCTCATAGAATGTGAAGACATTTCATTTCCCTTTCCTCTGAAGCAGTATTGATAGTAAACTAAGATTCCCTTCAGCAACTTCTGGAGTTGCTTTTTATTTATAGCAGGCAAAGAAATAGGTGGAAACACTATTGGTGACAAATGATAATAATTATGTCCACTTTTCTCCTTTGAGATTTACAATATATATTCTGTTCTGACTTCCTGCATCTTTGGGATGTATGTGAAACTGCCTACATCTACATTTTATTCCAAAATTGTGAACCCCATCATCTCAGTCACTCTCAGGTTGGTTACATGAGTGCCAGGGACCCTTTTCCTAGGAGGAACATTATTCCCTGTACAGCATTCTGATTGCCAAGGTTTCCTGAAACAATTTCATAGAAAAGTTAAGGACTTTATTTTATGCAACTTTGTTGATCCTACTTCTAATGATATGACTCTCTTATGACCTTCAGAAAGAAACAAAAAGACAAAGAAACTCCAATGTAGTATGTATTATATCAATCTGGCAGACAAAAATAAACATTATACTGATAGATATGGGTAAATTATCAGCAAATGTTCATATATTACCTATTTTCTTCAGATTTATTTTATTCTTGTCATGACAAGTCTATCGCATATATGAAAATTTGGTAAATAATAGATATTACACACTAATATCTAGTAGTATCCCTTCTGGGAAAATGCAGCATTATATTATTTATTAAATATCCTATATAAATCTGCAAGGTAGTCATTGCAGCTTAGCAATGCGAATGCCATGATTTACAGAAGTTAAAATAATTTGTCCAACTCACTGTTAGGCTTGAACCCGAGTTTGTTTGTCTCTTTAGTTCCCAAAGTCATTCTCTAATCTCTGTGCATCAGGCTTAGTTGCTGATCCCTTGGCTTGATTATTTAGATGTGTATTACTCTCTATGTCTCTATATCTAAATAATTTGCCCCTTCAATTGAAGCTTCTCAAAAAAAAAAAAAAAAAGACAAGTGTGGTAAGCAGAATTGTAAGATAGTCCCCAAGATTCCGGCCCCTGCTGTGCGAACCCTGTATGATCTCCCCCTTGAGTCTGGGATGGACCTGTGAAAATAATAGAACAGCCATCCACCTGGCTACTTAATTTTTGACAAAGATAAGGAATAGTCATTCCTGTGATGTTTTACATTATATAAGATTCCTTCATAGAAGCCTGGAGTGAGGTTGTCCTGCTGGCTTTTAAGACGTATGATGCCCCATTTTGGAAGAGCCACATGGATAGGACCCAAGAGTGTCTTTCCAAAGGAGACAGTGACATAAAACTTATGAGATAACTGGAACCGCCACTCTGCAACCATAGGAACTGAATTCTGTGACAAAAGCTTGGAAGAGGGTCTTGAGCCACCGAAGAGGTCCGAGTTCCATCAGCATCTTGATTTCAGGATGTCCATTTGTTGAAATGCACAGCAGAACTTTTCTTTTACCCCTGCCCATATTCCTCATTCAAGAATGTACATACTAATTTCTTGTTGTTTAGAGCTTCTATATTTAGGAATTTGTCATACAGCAATAGAAAATGAGTCTAGCAATGTTCATCCCCTGTCTCACTTCTTCCCTTCCTCTTTTTCTTCTTTTCTTTCTTCCTCTAAAAAGTACATATAGTATCTAGAAAATTGACAGGCATAGGAAGAGGCTTTAGATGCTTGATTTGATTTGGATTTGTATCTAAGCCCAAATCTCATGTCAAATTGTAGTTCTCAGTGTTGGAAGAGAGGCCTGGTGGGAGGTGATTGGATCATGAGGGAAGATTTCCCCCTTGCTGCTTGTGCGATACTGAGTGAGTTCTTAGAAGATCTGATTGTTTAAAAGTGTGTAGCACCTCCCCTTTTCTTCTCCTCCTTCTGCTCCAGCCATGGAAGACATGCCTTCTTCCCCTTCCCCTTCTGCCATAATTGTAAGTTTCTTTAGTCCTCCCCAGCCGTGCTTCCTGCACTGCATGTGGAGCCATGAGCCAACTAAACCTCTTTTCTCTATAAGTTACCCAGTTTCAGGTATTTCTTTAAAAATGTGCAAACAGACTAATACATGCTTAACTACTTTTTATCAAGTAAATGCCACTCAGGGTGGACATCTTTTTGTGCAAGTCAAGGAAGCTTTTGATTTTTGCATTTTGATACTAATGTTTGCATTGGAAAATACATTGCAGATCTACTTAAATCCTTCATTTGTCCTTGCATTTGTATTCATATTCAAAAGTTGAAGGGACTCGAGCTACAAGAGAAGGGACAGGAAGACAGCGTGGATATGTGAGTGTCACAGTGCCACCACATCCCCATACAAAGGAATTGCCATTGTCAAGTGGCAGCCACAGGAGGTGGACCCTGTGTCAGGAGAGGCTGGAATAGAGGAAAAGAAGAGAAAAGACAAAAAGAACCAAACAAGTGAAAAACATGAAACATGAATTTGAAAGTTTCAGATTTATTGGTTAAATTATTTTTATGTCTACTACCTTGAAGGGTGGAGGTTTTCTAAGGCTATTGTGTCAATATTAGAAACCTCAGAGTGACATCTGCATCACAGAGATAAAATTACACAGAAGAAATATGCAACCAGGGAGCACTGAACTATTTTGTTTGGAGCTGGTTGAGCTTGAAATGGATTTTAGGAAATGTGGTCCTTACTTTGTAGTTAGACATATCTTATACATAGCTATTAAAAATAAACAAAGCCACATATTTGAATTGCTATATATGTTTTGTAATAAACATAAAATATTCCAACTGAATTGTGCATTCTTGACTTACCCTTCACTATCCTTCCAATATATTTCATGAGTAAATGAGATAATTACTGAAAAGCACCCCTGAGAATATTTTCTGCAACAATTTTATGTTTTGGGCGTCCTGTGTTTTGCTATTGAGGCTCACACCTGCAGATGAAAACAGAAGTAAATTGCTGTCTTGACATTACTTCTGAATGTTTTGAGCAGCTTAGATCAAAGTTTGACATTCTGAGCTGTTTAATTCTCTCAAGGGAAAGAGTTTTCCCAGTTGAGAAGCTTCAAAAGTAAACCTCCACATCCCAAGTCTTTCTGAAAGAAGTTTAGAGTCTTGATAAGATTATTTTCAGATACCTTAGCACTTGTATGAAGATAACAAATAAATTGTTTAAATAAGGACCTCAGGCAAGGATTGTAGCCCAAATCCTATATTGTGTTCTGTGTTTAGAAAACATTGAAAAAGCAGTTATCATACTGTAGAATGTCTGCTTTAACCAATAGAGCTATATTGATTCCTATGAATTGTGATTTTTTTAATGTAAATTTAAGTTTTCTTTCCACAGACACATTCTTATACAGCTTTTTCCCATTTCTTGTACAACAGTCTTACACAATTTTTTGTTGCTTCCTGATCTTTTATTTCCAGAGAGCATGTCGAATGCCACATCATATTTGTATATTCCTTTTGCATACGGTTATAGCTTTACAGATTAGAAAACTTCACAGATTATAACTGTACAGATTAGAAAGCTAAAAGTCAGTGTAGTGAAATGACTCACCATCATATAAAAAGTATGGAAAGATAAGTATTAAATTATTAGTTTCATCTCAGTTAAAATGTAAAGTCAGTACTGCTCATGATTATATCTGTGAAGTAATTAGTCATTTTCAAAGTATTGGAGTACTAATTAATAGAAAAGAAATTGGAAAACCATTTACACTTATAGAGATATCAGGAAATAAGCATTAAAGAGCCTAGATCGATGTGGAAAAGATCCAATTGCAAATTAATTAGTGAAGGCATTTTTGGAGATTTTCTTGAAAATCTTCCTGACATTCTCACAGTTCTTGCTAAATACATTCACACACTATTGTTGATTTAGTGTAAAAATAATGATAGCCTGGGTGACAAGCTTAAGTAATAATAATAGACAGTATTCTATGTTTTTTCATATTTTGTGCATTTATGAGTCTTCACAATTATCATATGAAATAGGTGATATTATTATCTAAATTTAATAGTCAAGACAACTGAGGAAAAGAGAGCTTGGTAGTTTGCCTGTGATCTCACAGCCAGTAAAGGAGAGCAAGATTTCAACTAGACAAGTTGACATCTGGCTTATTGATTGAAACACTAAATGTCTTTTGTAGATTAAGCCATAAGAAATTGCCAATATTCAATGATTTTCACCTATAAAAACAGTAATTTCCTATGGTTTAAATGATGATTATTACCATCATTTTTCTATGTTAAATGCAAAGTTGCTATTTAATCTATCTCTGTAGTGCAGCATTTAAACTTAAGGCTTAAAAAATAATGTATTGTCTATTTAGTTTATCATTAGTTTATTTAATTATAGTAAAGTTGTTATAGATCTTGGATTAGTCAGTTCAAGTGGTAAGTAAGCTGTTAATCATACTTATTATCTTTCTGTCAATCATGCAGCATTGTCTGTTGGTGGAGTATACTTAGGACCCCTAAGTGGAGTTTTCTTCTCTTGCTGTCTGTGCAAGTCAAATAAAGACCATGGCTTCTGCAGATGTAAAACTGAATATAATAGAAAGTCTCAGACTTAGAACTTCAAACTAGGGAGCTTCTTATTCTGAATTTAGAGGATTTGCTTTATTAAATCTGTATTCATAATGTCATCTTAAATGATTTGCCAATGCTTTTCAAGTAGAATTAAGACATTTTCAGAAGAATTACCATCAAAAAACCTTCATTTATAAAAACAAAGAATCAGTCATTAGCCATTAATTTTTATCTATTATGGGCTGAGATTTTGATAGATTTTTCTTAAAACCATATAATATAAGATATTTTCAGAAATCTGGAAGAGAAAGTGGTCTTCAAAATACTTAAAGTAAAACTTAACATTTACGTAATACTTTGCTATATCTAATAGACAGCTTATACTAACTTTAAATGAAGTCATACCAACATCAAATTAAATGATATTTTGAAGTTTATGTTGTTTAATAAAATCTGTATCTTGGCCAGTTTTTGATTGCATGAAAGTAAATATAAATAATACTTTTATTTAAATAGTAAACGTGCTATACTTTTTTTTTTTAACATCACTGAACTTCAGGACCACAGCTTAGTGGTAGAGCTGATTAATGTGTCTGTCATGTGTGAATTGAAGCAGGAAAGTTAAGCAAACAACACTAGTGTGGGGTCCAAAACGTCATTGTGCAATTTTAATATGTGCATTTAAGAAGGAATAACTGTTATTTCAATGACACAATTCAAGGACATCAGTCAGGGCTTGTACCATATTGTAAAAATCATATGCATTAAGTTTGGACCCCATCATTTAATGTTAGACAGGAAACAAACTTATAGTGACCCAATCAGCAATGAATGGAAAGAAAGAATTTGTATTAGTTCAGATAATGGCAATAGAAAATGATGAAAGGGTCAAAGGATGGTGATTATTTATATGGAGAAGACAAAGCTAGGAAATTATTTAACATAATATGGTTTGCAACTGGATAAAATATTTTAAAGGGATTTGTCAAACTGATGTTTATTTTTTTCAGTGAAGTTTTATTTTCATTCACCAAAAAGAGTTTTATGTGTGGAGATATGTAGAGTTTCCTAAATACTAAATTTGGCTTGCTATTTGGTACATATTTAGTCACTGATGGAGTAATGACAAAAAAACTTATTATTAAGACAAATTAAAAATAACCAATATTACAAGGACTTTCAATAAAATATTAGCTTTTTAAAAAATATAAAAACAAATTTTACAATGTTGAAAGTTTCTTCCACATATTTAATAGTTATCAGTTAACTAATGTTAATTATGAGTTAATATAATTTTATCTATTTTTAAACCAGTGCTATTAAATCAAAGCAAATGTGCCTCTAAACAGTACATTGTATTTTATATAACAAAACATGTCTTTCAAGCATCTCCAGCAAAACACAGTATTAACGTGATTATAAAAGTACAGTGTCAATTTATGAAAATTTATAGAAAATGCCAGAATGTTCTCAATATGCTTAAAATCAAATAAAAAGATAAGAATTATGACTGTAAAAGCTAATTAGAAATAGAAGAAAACAAAGAATTATAAAACAGATATGATTGTCTAAAATACTTGCAGATAACATGTAGGTAATGACATTTCAAAATGCTTCCAATTTATATTATTATTATGTAATATGAAAAAATAAATCAGAAGAAGGGTAGTGAATTTTCTATGCCCAAGTGTGGTTGCTTACATTTATTTGCATTTTGTTGAAATACATTTGGTAAAATGGAAGTGAAAGAAGAGCATCTTTAAGGTATTTCCCCCAATAAATTATGTTTTATAAACAAATATTTAAGACTTATCTTTAGAATTATATTCCATTAAGGCCTTCATATAATAATAACCAATGACTCTTTTTGGTTAATAGTATGCTACTGCCACCTCAACACGTAGGACTTGATTGGTTGAATCCACTTCTTCAGAAGCTGGAGCCTCAGATCAAAACCAGTGGTTTATATCGAACTCCAGAAAAAGAGTACTGTGCACCTAAAGACAAAAGCCTGAACTTCAAGTACTTATTAATATTTAGTTGCCTAATATGTTTTCTGAAACCACTTTCTAAATAATATCCTGGAAACAAGTCAACAGAAATGTCAGAAAACTGAGCACAGTGCTTGCAAACTACACAGAAGACGGTTCTGCTGGGATCCCTGCCTCCCTCTCCTGTGAACCAAGCAGCCATCACAGCATCATGGAGCTGGTAAATGCTCACAGCTCAAAACTAAACACTGCAGACAAAACTAAACCACCAGACAAAACTAAACACTGCAGAGCTGGCTTCCAGTTCACAGCTTCTCCTTATCCTGCTCATTTCCCTTGTTTTCAAATCATTCTTCTTGTCTGCAATCCATTTTTACTAGACATTATGAAAGCATTTTAGGATATTCTATTCTGGCAAGCCCATCCTCTCAATTACTCCAGATTTAAAGTGGGTTTTCCAATACATGCACGGTAGAAAGCCATAAACTAACGCCAAATATGAAAAAAATGAGAGAACCTTTCATGTAACAGTTAAAATTATTATTAAAATATTAAGGTACTCAATAAAAAGCAGTGCCTTTTGATGGTGTCTTTTATTTAAATTGTGAAGCATTTTCTCCTTCCTCATTACTACCTCCTTCTTGCTCACCAAATACTTGTGTCATGCTGCCCTTGTTATTAAGAATCCAACTCCCTTCCCACGTAGCAGCTGGACTCACTCTACAGCAAGGCTGTAGCCATTCTGTGTTGAGAAGATATTGTCCAGAGCTGTTTTATTCTCTATGACTCACTTATGAACATTCCAAACTACATCCTTTCAATACTGTGAATATCATCCTTATAGGATATAACCCACACTTGTTGGGTGTGGCGGGGTGTTAAAGCCATCCACGAGCAGAGATCGCCGGTAACACATCTTTAATAGCAGAAGAAAAGCCGTCAACTGACCTAAGGCTTCCATTTAACTTTCTAGCTGCCGTTTCATCGATCTCAATGGAATCTGTCAGAAGTTCTAAGGCAAGTGCTTCTGCTGGTCAGTTTCTAACAGTTCTAAGAAAATAAACTTCTCAGAGATTGAGCTCAATTAGTGATCACATCTAATTTACTCTTTGCTGTGGCAGGCCATGGCTATGCAGTATTGCTCTCTTCGACTGTACCATTCTTTAAAGGCATTCAGTCAGAGGGAAGAAATGGGCCAAGCTGTGTATTAAAACTCCTTCCAATAAAGTGCTATCATGAATGTTACAAAGAAACACACACACACACCCTTAGAGACACACACACCGAGACCTTTCCCCTAGATGTTAAAAACAAATGTTGTAAGGCAGTGGTCCCCACTGACCTGAAAAATCAAAATCAGCTGAAAGTTGATTTTGATAGACACTGTCAGCTGATAAGAACGTCCATTTGCTTGAACAGTAAACAAGTTAGTGGCATGGAATTGAGTGGTTTCACACCTCCAGGGACTCTTGGCTATTTTGATCATCATTCATATTTGGAGAATTTTCTCTTTTATTAGATTTTTTTATTCGTTTTTGGCATCAGGGAATAGTGTTCATGGAAGCTAATTTTTCCAGGGACCTCAGGTTGGGGAATTGTTTCAGGATGAAACTGTCCCACTTCAGATCATCAGGCACTAGTTAGGGTCTCATAAGGAGCACACAACCTGGATCACTCACGTGCACAGTTCGCAGTAAGTTTCCTGCTCCTATGAGAATCTAATGCCGGTGCTGATCTGATAGGAGGCAGAGCTCAGGGTAAGCAATGGGGAGCACGTGTAAATACATATGAAGCCTCACTCACCGGCCTGTCACTCCCCTCCTGCTGCGTGGCCCGGTTCCTAACAGGCCACGGACCAATACTTTTTCACAGCCTGAGGGTTGGGGATCCCTGCGTAAGGCTAGATTAATAATTGTATTCTAACTGGCCAATGCTGTACTGATTTTTTGGGCTAAGATGTCCAGGGTGAAGTTATCCAGAAACCAAGTGTTATCTGGTTATGTCCAAACATAATAAAATATTGGTCGCCATCAAAAAAAAAATAAGTTTATATGGTTAGGAGCAGATATAATGGTGGATATAGTATAATAATCTAGTGATTTTTAAAAATTGGCATGGTATCGACCGCTGGTATCTAGTTTCCTAATTTCTAAAAACAGCTTTAAAAACTGATATGATATATTTTGAGAAAAAGCATATTATAGTAGACAGAAAAAAGAAGAGAAACTAAATTTAAATAATATCATTTAAATAAACATGGTGAAGCTATTATTACCTATCTAGAGCTGCCAAAAAATGTAGTTCCAGATTCATCATCTCTCCATACAGCTGAACCTGGAACTTCGAGCTACCTGTTCTTTCTTTAATTTTCTTTCTTTCTTTTTTTTTTCTTTTTAAATTTTCTTTTTGGAGACAGGGTCTCCTTCTGTTGCCCAGACTGGAGTGCAGTGGCACCACCACAGCTCACTGTAGCCTCAAACTTCTGGGCTCAAGCAATCGGTTTGCCTTGGCTTCCCAAAGTGCTGGAACTACAGGTGTGAGCTATCTCTCCCAGCTGGGTGAGCTACCTATTATTTTATAATACTTACTTTTATCTCCAGAGTATATGGCACATCACCCCTTTTTTATACAAGTGCACTAGGGGTGCAATTTTATAATACTTACGTTGTTTTATATATATATATACACACATTTACATATACACACATATATACATATATATACACATATATACATATATACACACATATGTACATATATACACATATATACACATATACACATATATACATATATACACATATATACATATATACACATATATATACACATATATACATATATACACATATATATACACATATATATATCTCCAAAATATGTTGCACATCACCCCAGTTTTACACAAGTGCTATTCATAAAGAAACTAATAAGTAGTTTCTTTATAAATAGCTGCTACTTTGCGGCTGCTCTCGAACACTGCAACTTGAGGAACTTCTAATGAGAGCAAGGATGTTTGCCCTTACACTAAGTACGACAGAATTGCGGTGCTTTTCCTTGTGTTTCCCTCCATTGTTACATTTTAATTCCCACAGAGACTATCAATGCATATAGAAGTGCTCACTGATGTTAGAAATGTTCAGGCTTTTAATTTCTGAAGCTTCTGCCTGCTCCTTTTCTTATCTTTGTTTACTTCTATTCATTTATTTTCACCCATGATTTTCCAACTAGCTGAAAGTTGATTTTGATAAACATCATCAGCTAATAAGAATGTCCATTTGCTTGAACTAGTACACAAATTAGTGATGTGAAGTTGAGTGGTTTCACACCTCCAGGGATTCTTGGCTATTTTGATCATCATTCATATTTGGAGAATTTTCTCTTTGTATTAGAATTGAGCTATTCTGGAGGTTGTTAGTAGCTATCTATTTGCTTGATAAAACGTATTGTAGTAGAGCCACGCTGGTTAATATCAGCTGCGTTGAAGTTATTCAGGCGTTTGTGTTTTTGAAGGGGAGAAAAAAAAACAAAAGAAACAGCATTTATCTTCTGAGCACTGGTTCAAGGAACCTTCAGCATGGCACCATGGCAGACACCTAGCTAGCGAGTCAGCGAGGCTGGCAGATGGGCAGTCACACACATGCCTGTCTCCCTCTTCAATTCCCTTGGGAGAGAGTGGAGCACAAATCTGGCCGTGGCACAATTGGCTGTTCGTCCCTGGATGTCCTTCAAACAGATGCTGTGCTTGCTGGGACAGGGCTTCTTGCTACACAGTCTCCAGGAAAAATGTCACACAAGTGAAAAAGGGGAGGTTAATGATACGAAGGGGGTGGGGAGTATGTTCAAACTCCTAGAACACATTTTTGCTGAGACATGCAATATTAATTGATCTCTTTTCATTTAATTAATGGGTTTTCATGAAGTATACTAATAATATGGGAATTATATATAATACTCAAGGTGCATAATGTAATATATGTGTAATAATACAACATAATTCACTTATATAGTATCATTTGTTTTCTATCTCATGGAGATGAAAAATATACACTATTATTTTAATCTGAAAAGTATACACTATTGTTTATGTAATAGTATATGTTCTCTACCAATCCATTGCAAATCAGCCTTTGAATTTTACTCATTCCTTTTCCATCATGAATTACTGTCATCCAGTATTATCCTACTACAGTTTCAAGTGTTTTAAATAGTAGATAGACTAGAAAAAAGCCCCACTTTAGAGAAACTTGATGAAGTAGAAAAGGTCGAGTTTAACAAAAATATTCTAGATCATATTGGACCTAGGAAAATGCATCAATGCTAAAGACACCTGAAATGTGGCAGTCATAGCAGGGTCAGTGTAACCAGGAGACATTTTAAAAAATGAGTCCTTTTTTTTTTTTTTTTTGCGTAAAAGTACATTTTAGGAATTGGTAGGAATGGATAGGAATAAAGGTTGAGTCTTTTTGAAATGTGAAGTGTACATTGATTTAGTAGGGGGAGAAGTGCTTCAATTGTTTCTCTTTTAGTTTGTTCTCATATTAAATGGAGTTAAGAAAATCTAATTTTGAAAAAAATTGGCAAGTTTTTATGGCCTTTCTTCAGAGAAACTTAATAATTGATGTCACAATGATGACTACATGCCACAGAAAATGCGGGAAAACAGCAAATAAATGAGAAAATATGTGATAATTTTTGGGATGGGCAATGGTAGTGATGGTAGGGATATTTTAAAGGGCACAGGAAATGGGGAGAAATTAGCAGCTGACAAAATTGTGGAGAAGAAACCTCTGATAAGCCACAGTCTCTCTGAGCTGGATTTCTCTTTCTCTCCCCCTTTTACCATTCACCTTGAGCTTTTTATTTTCCAGTTTAAATAATTCCTTTATTTATGTGTGTGTGTGTGTGTGTGTGTGTGTGTGTGTGTATACATATTTCCAAAGAATTCCTTCATTGGGGTGTGTGTGTGTGTGTGTGTGTGTGTGTGTATGAAATATCTCACATAGCAGAGCCTATTTTTTTTTATATTAGACATTTTGATAGTAGCAAAAAGTTCATAATAATAAATGATTATATAAGATTCATTAAGAAATGAAAGCATCAACAAACCTAATAGTTTAACTACTCTTGAGGCTCAATGCTGATGGCTATCAAGAAAATATGTTTATACTTTTGTTTTTATGCTATCCAGTAGGTTCCAGAATCATTAATATATTATGTAAAACCGTTACTTGTTAAACTTAAATATAGATGAACACATTTTTTATTATTTTAAAAGCATAGTTTATAGTGTTTTTATAGTAGCAGTAAATAATAGCACTTATGGAGCTATTTTAATTAATATTGTAAAAATATCAATATTTTATAAGGGGTGAAAATTTTTCTCTTTATATTTTCTTATCACTTTCAAAAAGGTAAAGTAAATAAAAATGATACATTTTTGACAAAAAGTATAATATTTTTATTTTTAATTATCAACACCAGATAAATCTGCATGGATTTGAAAACAGCATACTATTTATAGACATATATAAATAGTATATAAATATACACTGTATTCATATGTGCCCATGAATTTATATACAAACTTTTTAGGTTAGGTTATTTAAAATTCTGGTAAATAATTCAGCATCTTAATACAGATGTCACCATTCTTTAAGAATTGAGGGATCTGAGGTTGATCATTCATATTGCTAAGAAATTGGAAATTGAAGGCCAATCCTCCCAACTTCCACTTAGTCCCCATATTTATTACCAGTATGAGGAAGGCCCACTCAGTTGAAGATCGCATAGGTAGGAAAGGCATGCAGCAGGGATCCTTCAGCAAGCCTGACACCAAAGTTTATGATTTTCCACAAATACGGGGCTCACGTATTTATTAAAATAGTTTTACCCAACATTTTGCAAAGTAAGCATCCTTTTTAAAAGGCTAATTTTAAAGACTACTTGATATTCTAAATTATAATAGTGATGATATATTCATTTAAATACTCTGCCTACATCTTTTCCTAAAAATCCTAGTAACAGATAGTTTAAGTTTGAAGAAAGAAAGCCAGCTGTGCATGGTGGCCGAAGCCTGTAATCCCAGCACTATGGGAGGCCTAGATGGGAAGATCACTCTAAGTCAGGAGTTTGAGACCAGCCTGGACAACATGGCGAAAACCTGTCTCTACTAAAAATATAAAAATTAGCTGGGCATGGTGGCACATGCCTGTAATCCCAGCTACTTTGGAGGTTAAGACATGAGAATCCCTTGAACCTTGGAGGCAGAGGCTGCATTGAGGCAAAAGTATGCCACTGCACAGAGCAAGACCCTTTCTAAAAAGTAAATAAATAATTTTAAAACAAGTTTTTGATGGAAAAGTTGCAAATAAATTTAAATTTTTTGATTGGATAAAAAATTATCATGGTAATTATCATGACATATACATGATTATCCTACCTAAAATGAATTAATTTAGTTATTATTTAGCGATTTGCCCACTAGACAGGATTATGTAGTTTAAAAAAAAACTACATAAATTTTGCTCATTCAGTGACAAAAATAAAAAGAATAAAGAAAACGAATGAAGAAAAAGTGAAAGTACATCTTTATGACTGGACAAGGAAGTTAAGTAATAACTTTAAAAGCTGTGACTTCCCCTGGATTTGTGTTTCTCCTCTGTGTTTATATAAGACAAGTACTGATGTTTATTATGCCATGGCTGCAATTACCATGTATAGCTGAAGCAACGACAATGGCTTTTATTTTCTAGTCTTTCAAAAGATGATATTCATGATTATTCTATTGGGAGAGGGTTGACATTAGCCTGGGATAACCTCAGTTTTAGATGCTCATAAATCACTTACATATAATTTAAAAAGTCAGTAAAATATTATTTTATCATATTACATATTATGTTATTTAAAACATGTAGACCTTATTATACAAATGCACTAAATATTTAATTATACATTGATTTTTCAAAATTATTTCTGAATTATCTATCTATCTATCTATCTATCTATCTATCTATCTATCTATCTATCTATGGAGAGAATGATATGTACAACAAGCATCCTAAAAGTTTTTTAAATATGTGTCACAAGAACTGGGCCACATCAACATATAATTTGAAACCTAACTGTATGAATTATCTGTTCAAGTTTTGTTTATGCAACATTTTTTTCTCTCCTCGAGATATATGGGATATTAGCTCTTTCATTTCTATGTTTCTAGGCAAAGTTTTAGGATTTTTTAGATTAAATGCACATATAAAGTGCCAGTTACTTTGAAGTCTGTCCTTTACTTTTCATTGTTCTCTCTTTTAAATGCCAGAGAACATTCCAACAGGTAAGATCTTAATATTTATTTCTTTAATGCCATGAAACAGAAAGTGTTTGAAAAGGACTCAGGTTTAAGGTTTTATCTTATGTTTTAAATAACTTATTTTATAACATAGACCCTCCCCTGTCTTCCTCTTTTCCCCAAATAATTGTCATCATTAAATCCTGCTCTGCTGAGAGGTCACTCACTAGATGATAGCATAATTTATCCAATTAACTGACATATTGAGTTAGTATCTCCTGTGGAGTTAACGTTTTTGATGAATTTTTTTCGGCTGCCACTTAGCTTTATTACATGCATGGCACTGGCATTTGCGTCTTTCTCCTGGAAGTGATTCCCCTGAGTCACACCTCAGATATGGGTCTCCCCTTTCAGAGACCTTTAAAACGGGAGCTTTGGCCATTGAGACATTTAAATTGTGCTCACATTGTGACAAAAAATACCACATAAAATCAGAAATTGTTTTTAAAGGATCAGTATTTCTCAATCTTCTTGATATGGACAGGATATTTAAGGTTTTATGTTCCATCTTTTGCTATATCACATGTGTTTTTATTATTCATAAGAAGAGCTTAGCAAAACGTTCATTAAAAACAGTCATGAGGCAACTTAGCCAAAATGTCTTTCTTTTTTCTTCATCTGGGCTGAGTTTTAAGGAAGTCTGGGAAGAATTATGGTTTAAAATTGAAGTTGTATCTAAATTGGTAGTTTATACCAAAATCCTAGGCAAAGCCTATTTAATGTGAATTTTTTTTTATTACCAAAGCCTTCAACTAATACCATTTTTCCTAAAGAGGTGGAGAAAAAATCCTATTTCTCACTTGCACTTAGGTTTCATATATAAAAAAATTAAAACTAAGGGAAAAATTATGGAACAATACATTAAAATCTAAAACATGAATTCCATAAGGTATTGCAAATGATGGTTGGCTTAATAAATGATAAACAAATATTTTTGATTACTCGTAGATGATTGGGAAAAAGGAATGATTTCCATGGAGTGGAAAGTGTAGTATTCTCAGCTGTTTTAAAAAGAATCTCCAAGAAATGTGAAGTGTAAGGAATATATCTACTTCCTTAAATATATGTTAAATTATTTAATATTTTTTCTTGATATTTTCTAAAAAGAAAAAAAACTTAAAGACATACACCATGAGCATCCCAAAAGATTGTTAAATGAATATGTCAAGATAATGTAGGAAAAACTACTTGGCATTTCTTAATAAGAAAGCGAGTGGGAAAATTTACTATGATTAGGTAACAATATAATGATAAGAAAGTACTATTTTATGTATATTCTAGTCATGTTATTTGAAAAAAATTAATAAGAAACTATGTAGTTAGCATAAAATGCCTGTTGAACTAATGCTATTGGGAAGTCAGCTCTCAGGGGATATTCAGTGCAGGGCCAAACTTGCTTTGTGCCTTATGAGAAAGAAATGCCTATAAGCTCATGGTGAGATCTAATTGAAATATACGTAAATGCTTTTATAGCATGTTCTCAAAAAGCTCACATAAATCTGAATGAAATGCCGTTTATAAAAGCAGAGTATTTTGAATAGACACACATAATTCATGTACATACTAAACAATTCATGTACATAATAAAGAATTAGGAGCCAAAACTTCTATTTGAAAGGTCACTTTTCTAGAACTGGTTACTGTTGGGCTGAAAGTAATGTATTCTATATAGAAATTCCAGAATAAAAGCACCTAATTTTCTTTTGCTACGTCTTTTTAAAAATTTATTATTTATTTATATTTTATTTTTTGAGACAGAGTCTCTCCCTGTCACCCAGGCTGGAGTGCAACGGTGGCATGATGATCTCGGCTCATTGCAACGTCCACTTCCCAGGTTCAAGCGAACCTCCTGAGTAGCTGGGATTGTAGGTGCATACCACCATGCCTGGCTAATTTTTTTGTATTTTACTAGAGACACGGTTTCACCATGTTGGCCAGGCTGGTCTCGAACTCCTGGCCTCAGGTGATCTGCCCGTCTTGGCCTCCTACAGTGCTGGGATTACAGGCGTGAGCCACTGTGCTTGACTCTTTTGCTGTTGTCATAACAATGTTAGAAACTATGTAAATGTCTAATTCACAAAACATAAGAGACATTTTTAATGAAGAAATAAATGCCCATCTAAGGTGAAAACAGTGGGCGATATGTAGATATCTTATAAAAACTCATTATAATCAGGGCCACTATTTTACCTCAGGTAAAATACAAGTTAATTTCTCAAGGAGATTTATTATTATTTAATATGATATTGATAAAATAATTTCACAGATAAATTTTTACTTAAAATGTTAACATTACTATTGATAAAATAATTTATTTTTCTTTTTATAAGGTCATAAATCCAAGACTTGGAGAATATGCATACAATTATGAATATACAAAATTAAAAGTGGTTGTGAAATGTATTTTAATATATTCAGATGTGGTGTACAGAGTAGTTTTACCAATTTAGTGATGATATTAGAAATATTGGCAATTCACATGTAATGTTAAGCAAATGACTTCAGTGGAAAGCATAGCACTGTAGATTCAGTTAGTTGTCTCTGTTAGAATAGTTAACGTTCAGTGTATCAATGTGTTGAACATTAGTGTTCAATGTTAACCTCTCTTGGTTTAGTTATTTTGCGTGCATAATGAAGGTATATGTGCAATCATCTAGCAATGAATTATGTCTATAGGAACCAGAAATTCTGAAATTACTGGAGCATATTCAAAACCACTTGGACCTATTGAACAGTTTAAGCAATCTCAGTGCAATAATTTTGCTCACATTATTAATTTGCTCAGCAAGTGATAAGATTTGGCTGTGTCTCCACCCAAATTTTATCTTGAATTGTAGTTCCCATAATCCCCACGTGTTCTGGGAGGAAGCCTGTGGGAGGTAATTAAATCATGGGGGTGGCTACCTCCATGCTGTTCTCATGATAGTGAGTTCTCACAAGATCTGATGGTTTTATAAGGGGTTTTTCTCCTTATTGCTCTGCACTTGTCCTTGCTGCCTCCATGTGAAGAAAGACATGTTTGCTTCCCCTTCTGCCATGATCGTAAGTTTTCTGTAACCTCCCCAGCCCTGCAGAACTGTGTGACAATTAAACCTCTTTCTTTTATAAACTAACCAGTCTCAGGTATGCCTTTATTAGCAGTGTGAGAACAGAATAATACGGCAAGTTTTATGTATAAATATAACCAAGGTGAAAATTTCTACCCTATCATAATGTCTAATTACTGACATTCAACCAAATGGATATATGTAACTGTAATTTTGGTCCCCTTCTGTATGAAAAAAAAAAAAAGGATTATTAAGTTTAAGACTTCTGGGGTCAGAAAACAAGTGGAAGATCATGATGAGAGACACGGATCTCTCCACTGGGTCACAGTGTTTTGAGCCCTCTGTAGATGTTGTGTCTGCTGCAAAGAATCAACCAGCATCATTGCTTGGAGGGCTGGGGAGATATCTGTGTTCCTCAGTGTGAACAGAAAAATGATGTAAATTTTGTGTGTTTTTTAAAGTATTGTCTTTTTAGTATCAGGCATTTGCTTAAAAACATGTATATCTATAATACTTCATGTTGCCCCTTTCTTAGAAGTTTACACTTTAAACTTTCAGTCATTAATAATTACATGAGTGATTGAAGCCAATGAATTAAAAAATATTGCTTTAGATCATCAAAATAACAATTAGTTTTATATAAGGCATAGATTTTCTTCTTAAAGTCCCCCCCCAAAATAAATAAATGCATAGCTAAGTAAACTAAGCACTAGTTATATTCAAAAGTATTTTATAATTTTTTTCAAAAAGTCAGAGCTGAATTAATATTCAATTCAATTGATTCATGTGGTAGGTCGTTGCACTTGTTCAAAGAAATATAGAATGCAAATATTTCAATGCTTTTGAAAGAAATCATGCTATCCAATAAACAGTGACATTGTATATATATTTTACTAATGTCATACAGTTTCAGATCTGTCCTATAAAGCAGAACAAAGTAGAAAGGTGGCCATTGCTTTATATTCATCCATGATTGATCTACTACTGAGCATTTATTTCAAAATCTCCACTAAGAATGGGAAAAGTACAACATCTACATCATTGTTTAAGTGCTAGGCTCAGCTTTGAGGAAGCACAGTAGGTGGCCGAAGTGAGAATTAAAACCGCCCAGTTTCTAAAGCTTACACATTTTTGTATTCCTCTTCAAAGGTTCCAGTGATGGCAGATTCTTTCCAATCTTGTTATGCAATTAGTTGCCTTGATTTTGCAAAGGAAATAAGGCCTTCATATCATACCAATAAGAAAGAGCCTTAACAGAACCTATTTTATTTCTATACCTTTATGAAAAAAAATCAGCACAGACATTGATATATACAGAAATTACTTCTAGCCTAATGTGAAATACAATAAAATAATTAATAGCAACTTTGTGTTAGGCAACTGAAGGTGTTTCAAATATCAATACAATTTTAATTTATACTTTGACAAAAACACACTGGAACAAAAGGGCTCTATGTAATGTCTAATAATTTCAATGAAATCATTGTATAAATTGCCTTATTTCTCTTAGCATAGCCTTGTGATGCCAAAGCTTGCCTCCCAGAGACATTTTTTATGAGTGACATCAAATATAAAATGTAACCACCTGAAAAGATTTATATTATATCACTATAATAAACAGAGATATGTATAATACATTTTGAATGAATTATCCAAATATTGTCAGGAAAATGGCTTTGGTTATGTCAATATGTGTGTGAAGTGATTTTGATCAATATTTAAATGTCTTTCATCTTACCTGATGTACTATTTGTCATGAATCTTAGTGTCTATTTGTTTAAAAAAGTTAAACCACTTATCTTACCCCAATTTTTAATTTTATCCAAGAAGCCTTTCTTTAAAGAGTAAAATTATGGAGACAGATTGAGTGAAAAAAGCGAGAATATGCTCTATGCCGTTCCTTTTACCTGGAAATCCCTCTGTTCTTTTTCTACCTTTTTTCATAACCTTCTTCACAACCACCATATAGTTGATGTCATCTAATTAATTTTTCTTGGCTCATTCCATTTGACTCTATACGCTTCTTTACTTAGATCATCACCCACACTAACATGTTTAACTTCCACTAGTTTAATGTACACTTGATCATTAATTTTAGTTTAATTCTATACTAGAATACATAGTGCAAGATGACAAGAGCTAATGTCATTGGATTCTTTGGCCTTTCGTCTTATCTTCCATTATCTCCTTTTTAATGATGTACCCCTGAATTCTCATCAATCTTTACTGGCATAGTCTCTATGAACATAGAAAACTGCTTACAAATCTGCTATTTATTACAGTGAATATAAGGACTAATAGTAAAACAATATTTTAATATGAATATGTATTCCTTATTAATGATAGTATCACTAAAATTTTTGGACTTGATTTCAAAATACCAATGTCCTCTCTTCAAAGCATTGTATTATCATTTCAAATATTTAAAGTACAAATTGCATTTATGGCTGTCCCTCTAAGTTGATTTGTTTGTACTTTGGGAGCTTAGTATTTACTAATTCTCTCTGAGTGCCTAGTGCTTTGCAAAAAAAAAAAAAAAGTAACAAAAATGAAAGAAAATAAAGTAATTTTTTTTTTTTTTTTTTTTTGAGACAGAGTCTCTCACTGTTACATGGGCTGGAGT
Source organism: Homo sapiens (assembly GCF_000001405.40). Classification (NCBI taxonomy): domain Eukaryota; kingdom Metazoa; phylum Chordata; class Mammalia; order Primates; family Hominidae; genus Homo; species Homo sapiens. The sequence continues at coordinate 104,750,180 of NC_000013.11, forward strand.
GCAGTGGCACGATCTGGGCTCACTGCAACCTCCGCCTCCTGGGTTCACGCGATTCTCCTGCCTCAGCCTCCTGAGTAGCTGGGACTACAGGCACACACCACCACACCCGGCTAATTTTTTGTATTTTTAGTAGAGACAGGGTTTCACTATGTGGGCCAGACTGGTCTCCAACTCCTGACCTAGTGATCCGCCCGCCTCGGCTTCTCAAACTGCTGGGATTACAGGTGTGAGCCACTGTGCCTGGCCAAAATAACTTTTCTTAACATTGTGATAATAGTTTTCCATTTAAGTAAAATATGGGAGTCTCATCCTATTTAGTTCAGCTTAGGACAGCTTGGTGTACTCTGATCAATCCCTAATGTGGGTGTTCTGCATTTCTTCATCACCATGGCAGGCACTGGCGGAGCTAAGATTCTTACTGTGTGAGCACTGCTAGCATGCTTGATCAGTGAGGTCATGTGCAGGAAGTGCAAAGATTAACCTAGAAGGAGTCTGAATCCTACCTGTGAAACAAAATAGTTAGTAATGCTGCTAGCCAATTACACAGTACTCTCAATCCATAACATTATCATGAAATTCTATTTTTCCATCACTGCATATAGGGTACAGTATTCTTAATACACATTTATTTATTTATTTTTCCTGGTTTAAAATGTACTCTTAATATAAATAACTGTTAAAGAAAAATGGGGAACAACTGAAAGTCCATACAAGTCATTTAAAAAATTGAATGTTTAGATATTGCTATTTCTCTAGCTAGTTATCTTATTAGATAACATTATGTGTAGAGTTGGCTAACTTGATTCTTTTCCACCAGACAACACAGTGAGGATTTTGCCCTTTCAATAAAATATATATATCAAGAGTTGAGAGGAGTATATATTGTGAAAAAAAAGTAATAAGAAAAAATATGGTTTGCCTTGGACTCTGATCCTATTGTGGAAACTAGTTAATGTGGGAAACTCAGATCTCTGAGATTAAAGAAAAGAGTAAGTTTTCTTACATAAAATGTTTCTCATAGGAGAGCCCACTTAGAAATAATGTATTGTAGTAGTTTTTTTTGAATTTGCTAAATATTTTGAAAATGTTGCTTAGTATATACACTCTATGGTCTTATTTTTACATGCTTATTCTCATTTCAGAGTAATTTACTTACAATAGTTTTATTTTAGTTAGATGAAACTTTTTATCATAAGATGTTGAATGTTTTGATTATTGGTGTTTTCAGTGATGAGATGCATCAAGTTCAATAAGACACCTTGAGAATGTACTTTTTCTTACTCAATGATCAATCTTCTTTATATTATGATAATTTCTTCAATATCTGTGAACGTGCAGTATTTTATACAATTTATCAGGGAAAAAATCTTCTCCGAATTATGATAATTGACAAGACAGTAGCAAAGCTTTGAGTCAAAATACTGTAAACAGAGACAAAGAAAACAAATGTGCAGATAATTTATTTCTCATTTTTAAAAATATTTGTCAAACATTCTTTGCAGTGTTGTGGATACCTAGTTATTTCCTAATGTTCTAAAGAAAATAATAATATAGACAGGTAAATTTTAAAAGAAAGCCAAACTATATACACATATGAGATAGACATGTAATATAAGCAGAAAAAAACAGTGACAGTACTCATCACCAGAGAAAAAATTGGTAAAAAAGTAACTGATATGTCTACACTTGAAAAATTAACTGCGAGACTGGAAAAGAATATTTGTGTAAAGCTTGCACTGGAGATGTCTAAGAGTCAACGCTATTTCTGGAGTTCTCTCTACTTCCTCTAAAAGATATGGTCTGGTAATTTTTTTTGTTCACAACAGAGAAAATAAAATGTCTGTTTATGTCTGCTTAGAACAATTTATGAAGAGAATGTTTTACTTTAAAAAGGCGTAATTCAGCTGGGTGCAGTGGCTCACGCCTGTAATCCCAGCACTTTGGGAGGCCAAGGCTGGTGGATCACAAGGTTAGGAGCTTGAGACCATCCTGGCTAACACAGTGAAACCCCGTCTCTACTAAAAATACGAAAAATTAGCTGGGCGTGGTGGCACGCACCTGTAGTCCCAGCTACTCTGGAGGCTGAGGCAGAAGAATCGCTTGAACCTGAGAGGTGGAGGTTGCAGTGGGCTGAGATGGCGCCATTGCACTCCAGCCTAGACGACAGAGCAAGACTCCCTCTCAAAAACAGAAACAAAAAAAGGCATAATTCAAAAACTTTACCTATTTTTGAAAAGTGAATTACAGTGACCTAAAATCTCATTATCTCCTGTCTTCCAATGTTACAATATAAATATTTACTGGCATCATTTACAACACATCATATGAGTCAACCATTAACCATTATCACCAATAACCATTCTCACATTAATCATGACGCTGTCTGGGTCATGCATGTTAGCCCCTGCTCCTGCTCATGGAGAAATTACCAACTGATTCTCTTCCATTATATATTGGTGATAGGACATATTTTTCTCTTCATGCCTCTATTCTCAACAGTATCCTATGCCCTGTTCCCAGTTTAGGGTAGTTGATAGGTACAGTGTTTCTAGAACTTAAAATTGGTTCTTCTTACAAAGTGGGTTGGCAGTCCCACACTCAAAGAAAACTCAGTGAAAATGCTGGTAGTAATTTGATTCCAGGCTAACTCAGATGTGGTCTTACTACTGCCATCTGACATTATAAAATCTTCCCACTTTTGTGTAGCACTCCACCTACCTACATCTGCCTCCTCATACAATTTTACGGGAGGGTAGAAGAGACTTACTATCCCATTGTATAATCCATCCTATCCCCCTTTTCTCAGGATATCTCCACTACTGTTTCCCTTTCAGAATTTTTCTTCCAACTGTATCTTTCCCACAAACCTTCAATTTTGTTTATACGTCTTTGTCCTTACATTGCATTCCAAGGATAATCTTGCCACTGGATTCCTCTTTACAGTCAAATATCTGGAAATAAATTTATATTCCTAGTTTCTCTACTTCCTCAGCCCCTGTTCACTTCTCATCGCCCCCCAACTCCACAACTCCAAGACCCTACCAAGAAGCACTTTCTGAGATGAGCAAAGACCTCTCATTCCCTAAATGCAGTGGGAGAGGTCTTGCTAGACTCCTCAACAGCTTTGGAAATTGTGAAGTATTGTGACATCCAGTCAACATTAATTTCAGACCCTTTTCAGACACTGGGAACATGGTGATAAACAGAACAATGTCCCTGCTGTTACAAAGCTTACTTTCTGGCAGGGAAGACAGAAAATAAACAGGAAACAAATAAACATGAAGAAAATATATTGTTCAAAAGTAAGAAAAAAATAAAGGAAATGCAATTGATGAGAGGACAAGAATAATATTTTAGTTGGGATATTCATGGAGTAATTCTTTTGATTCTTGAAGTATTTCTTCTTTGGGCCACTGCAACACACCCTCCTCATTTTTCACTCCTCTGAGACTCCTTTGCACCTCTTTGTTCATCTCAGCACACAATGGTAGCATTCAAGAAGCTTGTGCTGGGCTTTCCTTCCCTGACTCTACACATTAATCCCAGGCAATTAAATATATATGAATAAACCTCAACATTTTCATAGCCAGATATGTATTTATCTCAGAACCTTAGATCATAACGTCCATCTAGGTATCTCTCTAACATCCATCTGGGTTTCTCCTGGCACTGCACCCTTGAAAGATTTCAAGACAAAACTCCTTATTAACGTTGACCTCTATTCATTCTTTGTGTAACCCATGTATCACCAAATCCAATGGTAGAAGTCAGAAATATGGAAGCTTTTTTTGTCCCTTTTCATCCTCATCTTCCATAAGTAACCCATCATTGCCGATTGTACCTCATAAATATCTTTCAAGTTCATCCATTTCTTTCTGTCTTCAAAAACAACTACTTCATGCCAATCTACCATTGTCTCTCAACTGGAGAAAATAATAGCTTTTTTCCCCCAGGATTCAGTCATCATCTGTCTGCCTTTTTTTTTTTTTGGCTTGTTTTATATTATTCTTTATTCTCCAAATTATTTTCAAAGTCATCACTTGACAATTTCAAGCTGTTAAAAATTCTTCTGAGACTTAGTCTGGACACATTGTCCTTCAATTCAGATGTCAGTTCTTGAAGAATGTTTCCTCTAGCTCAAAAGGCACATTCAGGTGCCTTTGTTATATGCTATCGGAGTATGTTGTGTTTTTCTTTAAAATGTTAACCAGGGTTAAAAGTTTATATTTACCTGTGTAATTACTTAAATAATGTTGTGCTCTACTTCCATACCACATGCTTTTGAACAAATTATCTTACATTGCAGTACCTAAAATGGAACTCAACATGTATGAGTGAGTAAATACATGTTGAAGAAAGTTGAAGATTAGTGAAGTGATTATATTGTTATAATTTTCTATTTGGTGGCCACTTTGTAGATTTATCAAGGATCTTTTCATTGCAAGGATGGACATATAAGTTAGGTTACAGAGAGTAGCACTAGGAAGCAGAGTGAATAAAGCATATAATTTTTAAAAAGGCATGGATTACATTCTGGCTAAAGAGAGAAACAAGTAAAATAAAAGGTTTGCTAAATAAAACCATATTTTAAGTTTAAGATGAGAGTTGTAAACAAAGTTTTATAGTGAGGGAAAGGGGCAATTTCTAAAAAAAAAAAAAGAAATTGATTATGTGAATATAATAAAAGGTTAAAAAAGTACATGATGGACCAGAAGACAGGGGTCTAAAGAAAAGAAAGAGGGAGAAGAAGTCATCTGAGTTGGAGAAATGTGAGCAAACATGGAACATATGAGGCATTTGGTGTAGTTACTGAAAAGTTTTTAGCACCACGATACTGCAAGGGAAAGATGCCTTCTGTCCCATGGAATTTCATTCATTGAGAAATAAAGTCCTGGCAATTTTGCTTGGGAAAATACAATGGAGTTCTTCTCTCCAGACGTTTTGCTGCATCATTACATGTAAAATTTTCCACTAACGAACTTCACACATAAAAATATAAATATTCTCACTTTAATATTTATGTCAAAATATGATTTTGCTATCACAGCACTGTAGTTTATAATTTAAATTGTAAACTTTTCATAATGAGAGAGGTAAGGACCATAGTAACATATGATTCAATTTTCTCATGCTATAGATTTAAAAACTGAGCTCACACAGCTAAAGAACAATGCTAGAGTGATAGCCTGACTCAATATTCAATTAAATGTCATTTCAAAATCAATTCCTAGAATCTTGCCTATCTTGTATGCTCCTGTGGTTCTTAGGATAACATATCTCTGTTTTCTAAATTGTAATCATTTTTCCTGGCTAACATCTGCACAGGCTGCTATTTGTGCACTGTACACATCTTTTTATCTTCCACTGAAAGTATATAGGTAATTTTATGCAGTGCAGTTTTTTTTCAAGGGGGTTATCATATAGATAGACCAGATAATAGAATTCTCTAAGGTGGAGATGAAAAAGACCTGTCAGGTCACTTAGTCTAGCTCTTCGACAATGCAGTTTTTTTTCTTAGATTATTCTTTTGAATATTTGAGCAGTCTAATTTGAAAGCAATTCCAGTAATGGCACGGCACACATTTTCACATGGTGTTTCTAGAGACTTCTTACCTCTCAGCAGCAAGTGTTTCCTGAGAAGACATTTGAGTTCCAATTTCCTTTCTGACTAGATTTACCTATTCCCTCAACTGTTACTTCAGTTTAACCCACCCAAATACTGAACCTTTTTCTCCCTCTTACCTCTTCTGGCTGTGGTGATCTTTTCTTTTTAGCAACGCTTGAGTCTGTGTTTGCCATTTAAGCCTTCAAGAATTTGAGGAAAAAGTTTAAGAGGATTAATTGTATAAAATTAATTACTTTATATTGGATGAATAAAAGTTTTATTAACTTTCTGAATTTTTGACACTGACTGTAGCATAATGGATGAATTAACCTATTCATTTTTTATAGTGATAGAACCTGAAATGTGAAATATACATAAGAAATTATGGCCTAGGCCCAACCACATGCAAACTGACAAATCCACAGTCCAGGCCAACTTCTGAGATTTTTTTCTTTAAAAAGTTATAATAATTTATTATATCTGCATATTTTTTATATGCAGATATATGCAATAATTTATTATTATTATTGCATATTATATATGCAATAATTTATTATATCCTGGTAGTCAATGCAACTTTGTTTTATGATGAGAATAGATTCAAGTGAAGAATTTGAACAACGTGTACACATTCACAGATGAGAAACAAATAATAAAACCTCTACCACCTCTGGTGCAAAAGAAGATTCAGAATTCCGGTCATTGCTGTGGAATATACGAACTATTTCTGTGTCAATCCGTCTGCTTCCTAGTAAGCACATGCTGAGGCTGAGGGGTTCTCTTTGAGTTTTATCATGCTTACATGCAGACGTCATTAAGTTAGGAGCAGCCAGGCATTAGGGGATGTTTCTGACCATAGTCATTTATTCAGCAAATATAAAGTGAGGAGATATAATGTGCTATGCAAAGGAGAGAAGAGAAAATAAAAAATTCTCTATATTTGTTTTAAGAATTGAAGTCACAGGCCATACTGCCTAAAGCAGGATGGTTCACTGTTGTAAGACATGTAGCAAGGGGAAAACTGAGTATTCAGTCTAAATTATAGGAAAATCTTAATAATAAAAACTAAAAAATGATGGTCCACTGTTGTGAAACAAAATTAGATTTGTCTTTATATTTACTTTTTTCTCACTGAAAACAAATGCAGTATGAGCTGATTTTTAGAAAGATTCATAAAAGTCATAATAACTTGATTTGGGTGAGGAGAAACTGCTCTGTGCCCTGCAATAATCAATGTCTTGAACTCTCTACTCATGCTCTACTGTGCCCTAAATCCATAAGCTCATAAAACCTTACACATATCCCCTTATCTTCCAGAATCTTGAATGAATTGAGGTCACATTATCCTTGCTCAGGAGCGATGAGAAGACATGAACACGCGCAGACCTGTTGTACTCAACTGACACTCCACTCACCTGATTACATGCAGTAGTTCCCAGGTGCTCCTAAGAAAAAGCTTCCTGAGAAATCTCATAGAAATCCACCCTCGAAGCTTAATTTAGCACTTCAAAAAATGAAACGCCTTTAAACAACTATTCCCTTGCCTGTTCACATAAGTTTCATTGAAAACGTCAAGCTTACGCACTGACAAAGAAACATGATTTTCTTCCTATCCATGTTCATAGTTTAATCAACAGTGTAGAATTAAAACTGTATGCATATACTCCTTAGCAACTGGGAAGGAGTTAAAAAGTTGCTCTTCTTTTCTCTATATATCTGAATTTTTCTACCAGCTTTTGACCTTTACATATATTGACCTTCCTCAAAATACAGTATAATTATTTAAAACAAATTCCAGCTTCATTACAATTCTAGCTGAACTTGGAAAAAAGCAAGACACAGATATCTTTTTCAAATGCCAAAATATTCCAAGTGAAAAGAAATTAAATATGATGCAATTTAAATATTCTGTGCTTATTTATTTGTAGCCTGCTTTTTTCCAGCTGCTAACACAAATTCATATGGTTCATCATTAAAAAGAAGGTGAGCAAATTCAGCCAAATAAAACAAAATTATGAAAGTAAGTTGAAGCCAGGGAAAAATTATTCATAAAGTGCTAGGTGTGGGCTGAAAACTTGGCTCTGTGTTTCTTAGAGATCAAAGCTAAAAGAACAACATAAACACATGATTCACAGTGTCCAATGCGGGGGGAACAAAGAAGTAGGTTGCTCTGGAGAGGAAAGGCTATTGCTGATAATGTTTTCAGTGGAAAAACATTTCACCCATGGTCTTTCCTCATAAAGAGAAAATAGATATGCAAATACGGATGTGGAGATATATGTTTGTCATAAAATGTGTTTGTCATAAAAACAATATGAGTGGCAACGTAAAATGGTACAGCCACTTTGAAAAACGCTATGGTGATTCCTGAACATATCAAATGATTACATAAGGCAGCAATTTGACTTCTGGGTGTACGTCCAAAATAAGTAAAAGCAGGGAATCAAAGAGATATTTATATACCCACATTCACTGAAGCATTATTCGCAGTGGCCAAAAGGTGGAAGCAACCCAAATGCCTATCAGTAGATGACAGTTGATAAACAAAATCTGGTACAAACATGCAATAGAATATTATTCAGCCTTAAACAAGAAATACAATTCTGACACATGCTACAAAGTCAATAAAATTGAGGTTATAGTGCGAAGTGAAATAAGCCGGTTACAAAAGAACAAATGCTATATGAGGTCCCTAGAGACGTCAAATTCATAGAGACAAAAACTAGAATGAAGGTTGCCAGGGGCGAGGGAGGGGCAATGGGGAGTGAGTGTTCAATGGCAACAGAGTTTCAGTTAGGGAAGATAAAGAAGTTCTGGAAATGGATCGTGGTAATACAATGTGAATGTACTTAATGTCGTAGGACTGTATGTTTAAAATGAGTAAAACGGTACATGTTGTTATATATGTTTTCAGACATTACAAAAAATATGTTGTATAACACTATTTTGTATAACACCCATAGATTGAATCTAATATTCAAAAGGCCATTCACTAGATGCATTTCTATAAAGACTGAAACCATATGATCTAGTTCTGTAGCTGTCAGATGTTCTGACTTAATAAAATGGCACAACACAGAGAAGCTAGAGTAATGGTTTTCAAGCTTGGAGTGAGTGAGTGTTTATTCACTGTTTATTGAAGTATCATAATAGAAAATGAGTGTAAGATCTCTGTTGTGTGCACACTTTTGACCAGGTCTCCATGAAACACAGACTGAAAACTGTTATTCTAGAAAGACTGAATAATCATTTTATTTTTCCACATGTCATCTTTCCATTATAAGCGGCCTTTACTATCAAGTATATCACTATGTTTATGCTTTCACAAGTTAGCAGAAATTACGCTGTCGAACCATCATGCACCAAGGGTCATTGGAAATTAACTAAAGTTTTAGGTATCAGATTACTAGCTGAATTACAGAGACACAGCCCTTTAACTTATATCAGAGCTTCCCATGGAGCAAACAGGTTATGCAACAGGTAATGGCTTACATAAACCATTACCCCTTGACTGGGGCAGAGGGGAGTCTTCTCTCTTTCAAAACCACTGACATTTTTTATTATCTGAAATACATGAAAATATCTTCAAAATGGTGGCAATATCTATTAAGTAAGAATCTAAATACCACACCATCTGATAAGAAACAAACAATATTTTACTATGTAAGCTCTTATGTTTCTAAAGCAGAGAAAAATCAGGGAAACATTTTCAAGGACTAATCTATAATGTCAGCCACTTTCTTATGTATATCTGCTAAATCCCATGTGTTGTGAGATTAGTCAAAAATGTCAGGTCAAACACTCCACATACAACAGCACATACTGATACCATTCAGCAACAATAGGATATAATAAGGCTCTGGGTTTAGGGCACTATATTTCACATGACTGGTTTTCTATAGGCCCCTATCTTATTGGCCCAGCATTTCAATGGAAATTGTGTATTTAAAGTATTCTTGTTTTTTAGTAATTTCTTCCCTGATCCCAAAATAAATTTTAAATAGCCCCTTGTTAAATTATCTTAGGATCAGCTTGTAACCCATCCCTCAGGTAAATATATATATATAGCTTAATGAGTATAATTTTTACTCAAGCTGTATATATATGTATATATATATACATATATGTATATATATAGTTACATATATATATGTGTGTATATATATATAGGTTTTAGTGGTTCCAATTCCAATTTTCCTTATATATCTAGAGACCAATTTGTGGTACCTGCCATGAGAGGAAAATTCTTTCAGTCTATTAGGTATGACCAAGTTATTAGAAGTATTGGTGCCCATTCACTTGGTTCCAGGTTTCTAGAGGCATAGGCAAGTGAGACGGAGTGGAGTAGTTCTTTCAGAGGGATAGGAGCCAGCAAGGGTCTCTGGGCTTGGAAATATATTTTACACTTTCCATCAATTCCTGGTGAAATGGTGAGCTGTTCAGACCCTCACAGTGTATTAGCTATCCTTATGGAATTTTACCACTATGTGAGCTGTTCCCTTCATTGCAAAAGGGGATGTGTGAATGCCTTGATTTTGATACTTAGCTGCAGTGTTACTCCTGGACCTGTTCATCCAGGTACAGTGTTTCTTTTGTGCAATTTAACATAGGGTTCTGGAATGAGAGGTATGCCTCCCATATTAGAGAACAATATTATTTCACATAAACAACATTAAGACTGATTAGTCACAGGTGGCCAATAAGCAATGTCAATATTTTTACTGGTGTAAATAGACTCCCTCTTTTGGTGTCTCGAATTATCTGAGAGTGCCACTCCCGGAAAACTAGAATATGGTTGCAATTACTGCTCTAAAGTAGGGCTGGCTTTCTATATTACCATGTTTCTACCATAGGATATATACTGACTGAATAAAAATTTTTACTAAACTCTATTACAATTGAATGATAGATCCCTTTACTCACCACATGTGCCACTAGATTCTCCATTCCTCCACTTGGAAGGTTCTAGTGCTGGAGCCATAAGTTTGTGAAGAGAAGAGAGAAAAGAAAACAGTTCAAGTTTTCTCCAAATTACCTCATAAGATGAGCTTCAAATGTCTACTGCCCATGGTGTTTGTGTGCTTAAAATATTAAGCAATAACTATTCAGGACTCATAGCCTTTAGAGTGACAGGAGAGGCAGCTCTGACTACTCTTTCTGCCTGGACTGTTAACGCCTTGAAGAGTAAGGTGCACTGAATGTCAGTCTTTGAACCAGTCAATCAAATTTCCTAGTCAACACTACCGATGCTCTTGAGTGAGGGGATGATGTCACTCTCCTCTCCTTGGTTTCCTAAGATAATTCTGGAAAGACAAAACAAAATAGCATCTGCCGTTTTGTTTCCGGTGCTACAAGAAGTTAATTAGTGGAAGAGTAAGGTTAGAAGCAGAAGGAAGGTGGCTTCCCTGAGCCAGCCTGATCTCTTCTTGCCCTACTTTCATTTGGGTACTTCTGAGCAACATATTGGGCAGCTAGAGTTATATGTATCCAGATGTTAACTTACCTCAATACACAGATAATACCTGTGTATACCTACATATGCAATCCTAATTCATTGTCCCCAGGGCTGTGTCCTTTAATCTCTCAATTGGGGAGATCAGATCTCTTTTTATTCTTCCTCCTGTGGTTGATTGCAGAGAGGAGTTGCTAATCATGCCAGTTCTTTTTTCCCTGGATTTGGTGGCAAATAAAGCTTTGCTAAATGGCTCCTACACTTCCATTAATATCTCATTGAATCCACTATTGCCTGATACTCTGGATCTAGAACACTCTCCACTGCCACCACCTCTTGTCTCATGGATCACAAATCTGGAGCTCAAATGGACATGTTCACACCTTCACGGGGAAGCACTTTGTTACATTCAACCAATTTATCTAAGTTTCTGTGGGCAAGTTAGAAATATTGTAGTTACTTCCTGTGTGGAAAAGCTGTTTCAGAATACGTAAAACAAATCCAACATAGAGTTCCTTCACCACACCATTCCAGCAGCACCTACTTAATAAAGCTGGGCACGGTAGCTCATGCCTATAATCCCAGCACTTTGGGTGGCCAAGGCTGGCAGATCACCTGAGGTCAGGAGTTGAAGATCAGCCTGGCCAACAGGGCAAAACTCCGTCTCTACTAAAAATACAAAAATTAGCCAGGCGTGGTGCCAGGCTCCTGCAGTCCCAGCTACTCAGGAGGCTGAGGTAGGAGAGTTGCTTGAACCCAGGAGGTGGAGGTTGCAGTGAGCTGAGATCGTGCCACTGCACCCCAGCCTGGGCAACAGAGTGAGACTCCATCTTGCAAAAAAAAAAAAAAAAAAAAAAAAAAAAAAAAAAAAAAAAAAAGTAGAGGCTGATTCTAGCCTTACAATTCCTTTTCCCTGACTCTATCTTTTGAAGGTTTCCTTGGTTGTAAATGCTGATTGCCTGTGCAGTACTTCTAAGAAGCCTAGTCTTTAAAAACCCATAGCTTTGTTGTATCCTTCCTGCTGCACAGGGTAATAAGGACGGTGGAAATGCCACACAATGAGACTACATTTTGCCCAAATCTAAATGTCATGGGCAGAGAAGCATGATTTCTGGTAGGAAGCAATGGTAGCTAGAGTTCTACAAGCTTTATTAAATTATCTGCCTACATTCTTTACTCCTGACTGCCAAGATCCTATAGACAGTAAATAGCTTTTTAAGTCCTGATTGAAAATACGTAACAATGAGCCTGCTCAGATGTCTGAGTGAATTTGCTCATACTTCTGTCAAAGAATGGCATATTCTCATGACAGCTACCCCATTGTTCTCCTTGCCTTACTCCTTTTAAGACAATCAGTACATTTCGTGTAGGGAAGCACGGCCTTTCTAGCTTGCTTATTTAAGGACACGCCTTGTGACCTCTGTGGGGCGTGTCAAGGTATTAGTTGGCAAATTACATGGTAAGCTAAAGGCAAGCCATTTCTGTGAACTTTCGGCCATTCTTTTGTATCTCTAAAATACACCACATCAGATTTTATCAGGTAAGCTTAGACATGCCTCTTAATACCCTAGGTCATGTCTGCTGAAAGTCAGGCAAGTCAGCAAGTTTCAGCCCCGTTTCCCAGGGAGCAGTATAAATAAAGATCCATCTATGCCTTCTTGGGATAGAGATATCCCAGATATCTGGTAACTGGACTACTAAGATTCCAGCCATTGTACTCATGCTCTGGGGTATCTGTTAACATTCCACCTGTCGCAGGAACATGGCTGCTGTGTGTGCCAATGCTACTACCTGTGAGAGTGGTAGACTGTTCTATTTCGGACTACAACTTCTGCTTTTCTTCTTACCGCAAGGCCTTCAGTGGAGTTCAGGAGAACAAATCCCCAAAGGCTGAGTGACAAGTATTCTTTACATTTCCAGCTCTTAACCTGAGTGGGCTAGGATTGTGACTACTCTGGTTGTACTATTGACCACTGATTCCTGAACCCAGCTAAATTTATATTCAGTTACCTGTTGTTACTCGAAGCACAGTTGGATTGGAAAAACATCCTAAACTCCCAGTAAACTGCTTTTCAAATAAACCACTACTCTAAAAGCCAAGTGCTATTGATATGGTTTGGATATTCATCCCCTCCAAACCTCAGGTTGAAATGTAATTCCCAGTGTTGGAGGTGGGGACTGGTGGGAGGTGTTTTAGTCATGGAAGTGGATGCCTCATAGCTTGGTATTCTCCTCACAATAGTGAGTGAGTTCTCGTGAGATCTGGCTCTTTAAGGGTGTTTGGCACCTCCCCTGCCATTGCTCCCGCTCTTGCCATGTGAGATGGCTGCTCCTCTTTCACCTGCCCCCATGATTGGAAGTTTCCTGGGCCCTCACCAAAAGCAGACGCCAGCACGACACTTCCTGTAAAGCCTGAAAAACCATGAGCCAATATAACTCTTTGCTTCATAAATTACTCAGCCACAGGTTTTCTTGCTTGTTTGTTTTTGTTTTTTGTTTTTTGTTTTTTTATTTTTTTATTTTTGAGACAGTCTCGCTCTGTTGCCCAGGCTGTAGTGCAGTGGTGTCATCTCGGCTCACTGCAACCTCTGCCTCCCAGGTTCAAGCAATTCTCCTGCCTCAGCCTCCCGAGTAGCTGGTGTTACAGGCGCCCACCACCACACCCAGCTAATTTTTGTATATTTAGTAGAGATGGGGTTTTGCCATGTTGGCCAGGCTGGCTTTGAACTCCTGACCTTGTGATCCACCCTCCTCGGCCTCCCAAAGTGCTGGGATTACAGGTGTGAGCCACTGCACTCAGCCAGGTATTTCTTTATAGCAATGCAAGAATGGTCTAATACAAACATCAAAGTGTCATTCCTCTCCTTGAGGACTACTGTGAAATCCAAGTCATTAGGTTTCATCAGTCCCAGCTTTAGAAGTTATTGGACTCTGATGGTTGAAGGCCCCAAGGATAAGGTCTATTGCAATGCTCGATTGATCTTTTCTATGTCAGAGTCACCTTTTCCCCCTATTTTTCTACTGTTGTAACTGCCAGATCACTTACAAAGCAGTCTGGCATCTCCTGTATGCTTCCAGAACTTGGATGTAGGGTCACTGGGCTTACACAACCAGGATGGGGTTACTGCTCTTCAGGTCAAATGACTCTTCGTCTATTTGCTGTCATGCTTTTGTCTTTTATCAATACCAATACCAATTACCAATGTATCATTGGCATTCTTGCCCCAATTTCTGCCTTAAGAATAAGTCCCACTATCCTGTAATTTTCATATGAAGCAGGATTAATATCTGAACTCCATTAATCAGATTTCTACTTGTGTATCAGAAATTAGATCTCTCCAACTTAACACAGAGGGTTTCTGTTACGTGTTAAGTTGTATTCCCCCAAAATTTAAATGTTCAAGTCCGAACCTTTAGTACTTTAGAGTGTAAGCTTATTTGGAAACAGGGTGACTGCAGATGTAATTAATTAAAATTAGGTCATGCTTGTGTGGGGTAGGCCCTTGATCCAATATTACTGTTGTCTTTATAAAAATGAGAAATGTGGACATAGACATGCACATGAGGAGAACATCATGTGAAAATGAAGGCAGAGATTAGGCAATGCGACTATAAGCCAAGGAACACAGAAGGTTGCCAACAAACCACCAAAGGCCAGGATGGGGCATGGGACAAATTCTCCTTCACAGCCTTCAGGAAGAACCAACTCTGGTGACACCTTGATCTTGGACGTCTAGTCTCCAGGAATCAGATAGTAAATTTCTCTTGTTTAAGTTTCTCAATTTGGGGTACATTTTTACAACAGCCCTAGCAAACTAATACAGTCTCCATATAGTGTAATCCCAGCTATGCAATTTCCAAACAGCAAGCTTATCTCTGACTTCTCATAAAACGAAGTAATAATTTGAATTTAACTCTAATTTATACTCTTCATTTTCCTTCTTTAATTAGTATTCCCCAAGAACCCTATTCTTGAATGACCTTCTACTCTTCCTTAACATATGCCTAAAGTAAAATTTAAAAATGCATATATTTTAAAGTAAAATTGAAGGAACAATATTTGGGCTTCACTGATAAATGTTTACCTACTTAAAAAAACAATAATGGTATAGTTATTAAATCTTCTTGGAGAATATTTATGAAATCCTACAAAATTTTTGCTTATTGCCTAAGTAATATGAAACACTTACAGGTTTAACAATTGCACTATTCCATGCTTTTTACCCATGATGGATTTATATTTTTATGTTCTTGACATGGTATAAATTTATTTGTGGAAAAACAGGTAAAATTTAGGTTATTTCTGATAATGTGAGCCCCCCATAAATTGCCCAAAGTTTGGTCTTTTGTTGTTTAGTTTCCTGGCTGGCAACCTTGTCCACTTTGCAAAGTATTCTGTAATGTGAGTTGCATAATTTTCCTGTATCCATAAAAGCAAGTAGTCAACACAGAGCCAGGATGTGTCTGTTAATTCATTTCATGAATGATTTCTGTATCTAAATGATATAAAGAAGTTATTAAAATGAATTAAAGTCACAGAATTCATCAATTTAATATTTATTAGAAAAATACAACAATTATTGGTTGAAACCTTCACTAATTAAAAGAAATGCATATAATGTGTGGCTATACATTTATTCATATATCCGTAAAGATTCGTGTTGAAACATTCAAATTATTCAACATCTATATATTTCATTTCCTTTTTCCTATACCAGTTGCTCTGTTGCTCATATATATTAATGGAATATTAATGCTGGAATGAAGTTTTTGAGATACAAAACTCTCTAAGTTAAAATGTATTAAGCGAAATAGGCCTGGGATGTCAATGGAGAATACTCAGACTGTTTATTTCAAACAGAGCAGAGATTCTTTCTTGAAGCTCTCCTTTTTTCTGGTTTTCTGGTTGTTCTGTGACTCAGAAGACTGCCCCTCATGTCCCATAGAACTTGCTGGGGCAAACAAGTTTTCAGGGGCCACTCCAGAAGCAGAAGACAGATGAAGTCCATGAGGCTCTTTACTGCTACATCTGGCAACTGAGCAGCTCTATTTTCATCTTTTCTGTATATATTTTTGTATACTATGAGAGTATAGGAAACTGTGCTATTCCCCTATTAATTATAAATAAGTTATTAAAACACTAGACTTCATCCAGTTTCCCAAACCATCATTTAAATATGAAAAATCCTTTTAAAAAATGTTTAGCTTTCTTCTAAGAGACTCAACTGCTATATCTAATGTAAAATCACCACCCCCACCCACACACACACACAGGCACACTTAAGCTTTTAGCTTGGCATGATTATACTGTTGAGTTCCACATGGTTTAACTGCAGATATGACATGCTCTGGAGATATTTCTAATGGTTTGTGTAATTAAATAATTTACATTGGTATTTGTTCCCAGAAAGATAATATGTTTAATTCATTTATCAAAAAAGTTCAATTAGCTTTTTCCCACAAGAAATTTCTTGTTAATTTTATTTTCATTTCCTAGGAAAAATAATAGTTTTGAGTAAAGCTGATATATACTCAACATAAGGAATTCAAGCAATATGAAAAGCACTAGAAGATAGAGAAAAAAAGTCTTTCCAGCAGAAGTATGTAGATGAAATTTAACTATACCTTGTTCCAAAAGTCCTTGTATAAATATGCACAAATGAGTGTATATAGATAGTAAAGGAGACAGACAGATAAAAGTTTATTTTAATTATCATCATGCAACATATGACATTTTAAAAGAATACCTTGCATTATATTAAAGTATCATGTTAATTTTACTTAAAAACTGAGAGGAAATGGAATTGTCTAACATGAAATATTTATCCAATTAGATTATTTTCTGATGTTAAAAAATTCCTTAAAGACATTGAAAGTTAGGATCATTGTGTGTTATTTATAATCACTTTTCAATATTAGACTCTGGTATGGAAGACAAGGACATGAATATATTCACACTTCATCATAACCCAAGTCTGCCAATTATATTAGCTTTTACATTTTCAAGGTTTGTAACATCGTTATTCAATTCTATAACTATAGTTCCCACCATAATTTCGTACTGTTTTATATTTAAATTGATTGAGTACTTAACAGAATTCATTTTATGATGGTTCCTCAATTCTTGAGTTGTTTTTATTTAACTGTTCTTTGACCAGACTTCACTGACAGAAAATAATTTCTTTTTCTTGATGGTTCATATTTGAGAATGTCAGCCTGTGCATCTATGCACGATTGACGTGGCAGAATATAAAGTCTTTGCTCCAGAATTATTTCCCAAAGATCTCGGTAGGCAACATTATTGCATTGTCTTCCAGCCCTGTCTGAGGCCAGCTCAGTTTCTCTGCCTTTTAAATGGCTTGCCAGTCTCGCTTGCTGAATAAAGAATTATGAAAAATAAAAAGCAAATGTTTACACTTTAGTTTTAAAATAACATCTGGCTAGCTAAAATAATCTTATTTGTGGTGTAGTTTTTATCTGTAGTCTGACAATAGATCAAAAGTCGACTTTAAAAATCTTGTAAGGTGTGCTTTTTAAACCTCAGATTAAGTCTTTTATTTCAATAAGTAAACTTTCTTCATTTGCATGTTTGATATGATTTGGCTTTGTCCCCACCCAAATCTTATCTTGAATTATAGCTCCCATAATTCTCACATGTTGTGGGAGGGACCTGGTGGGAGATAATTGAATCATGGGGGCAGTTTTCCCCATGCTGTTCTCATGGTAGTGAATAAGTCTCACAAGATCTGATGATTTTATAAGGGGAAACCCCCTTAATTGGCTCACATTCTCTCTCATCTGCTGCCAAGTACGACGTGCCTTTCACCTTCTGCCATGATTGTGAGGCTTCCCCAGCCACATGGAAAACTTTTTCTCTATAAATTACCCAGTCTTGGGTGTGTCTTTATCAGCAGTGTGAAAAGAGATTAATACAATGTTATCTTTAATAACTTCTCCCCTCTGTTTTTCTTACCCTTTTCAAGTTACTACTAATTTTTCTCTAGCCCCTATATAAATAGTTTTCAAAACGTGGGCCCCATACAAGCAGCATCAGCATCACCTGGAAACTTGTTCAAAATGCAAATACATTCTCAGTCTGCCTCAAACCCACTAAATCAGAGACAGTGAGAGTGGAACTCAGTATTCTGTTAACAGTAGCTTCAGGCAATTCTGAAGAATGCTAAAGTTTGAGAAACCATACTCTGTGCCATTAATTCAGTAGTTAGGTAAATCTACATAGCTGGTTTCTAATAGTTCAGTCCTCAATTTAGGAACTCAGTATTCTGTTAACAGTAGCTTCAGGCAATTCTGAAGAATGCTAAAGTTTGAGAAACCATACTCTGTGCCATTAATTCAGTAGTTAGGTAAATCTACATAGCTGGTTTCTAATAGTTCAGTCCTCAATTTATCGCCCTCAGTTTGCAACATCCCTTACTGTCTCCTTCTGTGTTTTCTTGCTGCATTGAGTTTAAGTTCTCAGGTAATTCTGCATTATTTAACGTATATTCTTATTTTTATTATTGTACTGTGCCGTTTGCATAGTTGATTTGATTATTTTTTAATCTTCTCCATCCTTACATGGCAATGCTTGGGACCACTATTTGCTCCGACATGAATGGGATCCATTTCTACGTGATTCCCACCATCTGTGAGAAAAGATTAATTTTGTTCTCTGACCTACATTATGGGAGCAGGGTATTTTGTGTGGCCCATCCGGTTATCATAGCCCAAAGAATATTGGATCCCAAAAGCAGGAGTTCTCTCTCATAACAATTCGTGAAGTTTCCTATACCAGGGTTCATAATACCTGTGCCTTTGCAGGGCAGTGGAGAGGAGAACTCATTCTTTTGATCTTGAGATCTTCCTGTATCAGTGTTTTGTACTAAAGTCTTCACTTTTTCAGAAAACATCAGCTTAATTTTTCAATGTCTTGTATCACCTATGTGTCCCAGCAGCCATTTCCACTGATCCCTTGTTGGAGGGAATCTATGAACGATCCCACTCTGAGGGCATGTGCATAGGCATTAGGAATGCTGTGTACTATTGGTATTTCAATACTATAATAGCGTCTCAGTACATCAGCCCTATCATTCACGTGCGTGTGGATGTATCTGAGTATCATGAACTCATCTATTAAAGAGGCTCCCAGGCAATTTCTGAGTCCCTGGCACCTCCAAATATTCCTCATGGGTGGGAATGAGAGGAGCGCTCTAGAGGCCCACACTATGCTTTTCCTGGGAGAGTTACACATGTTTCCATCTTGTCTATCATGATTGTCCACAGTGCTTTATTTGACCTATAGGAAAAAGCCACCTATTCCTGGTCCAGGCTGCTACACAGCAGCAGTTTTTTGTTTGTTGCCATGTACAGGTAAGTGCTGCAGAAGAGGCTGCATTGTTGAATTCAGAACAAGAAAGCTCAGGGTAACTAACCTATGGTGACCACAGCTGACAGCTGTGGTATTCTTGGCAGGTGTCTCTCCCGTGCTTGTCTTTGTTTCTACCTTTGAAGAAGCAAAGCAGAGAACCCCAATTCGCCCTCTGTACCTTCAACACTCACTTCCTCACCACAGCTAGCTGCCTTAGGATAATCGGAATGAACTTCCCTTTGCCCTTGACCTAGATTTATGTCAGTCACCAAAAGAAGCCAAGGCGCTCAGATCAACCCATCACCCTCACATCACCATGTGGCCTTACACAGTCTCTGCCTGCCACCACCCAGAGGGAATTGGCCAGATAAGAAGGAAAGATGCACGATCCAGAAAGGAGCAGGGAGATATTCAATGGCTTCGCCCTCGAGAAGATGCGTAGTCATTTCTTCCACAGTGACAAGTGAGAAGGAAGGCAGGCAGATGGGGCAGCAATGGGAGCTTGTGTGTTGTGAGATCTGTTCTCGTAGCCTTTGGCTTTTTCTGTGATTTAAGTCATCAGCTGAGAACGAAGGTGGGACACTGGAGATTATAGCAGGGACAGGAAAGTTTTGAGGATAAAAAAAGAATAAAATAGTCATATGTGAAATTAGAAGAATGAAAGGCTATAGAATAAAGGATAATTGCCCAAGACCACTAAGGCCCCAGTCGTCTGCCTACAGTCCTGTAGTTTCTCATCTCCAAGTAAATATCAAGGACCTTATTCTGGCTCATAAGGCCTTCCCTTCTGACTCTCCGTATTCTGACTTCATCTCCTGTTCCTTTAACTCTCATTTATCCCACTCCAGTGAAACTTAGCTCTGAAGGTTTTCTGAAATTTCAGAAATGCTCCCACCCCAGGGTTTTTGTACTTTCCTTCTTTCTGCCAGTTTCACCATCTTTCCAGATCTCCCATTAGCTCGCTGCTTCACCTCCTTGCAGTTGTTCTCAAATAAGCCTTCTCAATGGGGCCTCCCCAAGCCACTGGCTAGAAAGATGAAACCTTATCAACAACCTGGCCATCCCTGTGCCTCTCCCCTAATGTATTTTTGCCCAACGTTTTATTAATTTTAAGTTAATTATATTTAACTTTGTTAGTTTATTATTTTTCTCTCCCAATGGCAATGATTCTTGTTCATATCCATCAGTGGTGAAGACTGTGCCTGGCACATAGCAGCACAAATGAGCTTTGTGGAATAAATAAATAGGGAGAATATTAAAGAGCTATGGAGGCCAGGCATGGTGGCTCACGCCTGTAATCCCAGCACCTTAGGAGGCTGAGGCAGGCAGATCACCTGAGGTCAGGAGTTTGAGACCAGCCTGGCCTGGCCAACATAGTGAAACCCCGTGTCTACTAAAAATACAAAAATTAGCCGGGCCTGGTGGCATGCACCTGTAGTCCCAGCTCCTTCGGAGGGTGACGCAGGAGAATCGCTTGAACACCGGAGGTGGAGTTGCACTGAGTTGAGATTACATCACTGCAATCCAGCCTGGGTGACAAAGTGAGACTCTGTGTCAAAAAAAAAAAAAAAAAAAAAAAAAAAAAAGGAATGATTTTGTCGTATTTATTTTATTAATATAAATATTCTTATTTCTTATATTGATGAATGGAAAACATTTACTAAATGCCAAATATATGTAGGCACTGTTCTTATCTTGGTGTAGGTACTTAACTTGTAACTCAATTATATAAGTACATGAGGTCTTTGCAGCTGTTTATACCTACAAATTAAATTTAAAAAAATTAAATATAAAATTGAAAAACTGAAAATATGCAAGCTATGTAAAGAAGAATGTTAGTAGCCTCATCTACGTGGATGCTTGCCTCAGCATTCTATTTGATATTGAAGATATAGACCTAATGTGCCTATGATAAGTTAATTGGTCTAACTCTGAACAGTTAGGTTGGGGTATTTCTGTATTCACTATATTCAAAACCATCTTGAAATATGCTGCTCTGGGAGCACCTAAGAAGCAAGTGTTATGCATTTATGTATTTTTAAATGGTTACCTTTGTTTATGACTTATAATGTATAACATACATTTTACAAATTATTACTATTCCTTTCTATCTGATTTTATTAAATACATTTATACATGAATTGATAAATACTATAAAAACTTTTTACTTATTCAGCCTTGTTATTGTCGGAAAACAATGGGCTTCCCTTTCCATATAGCTGAAGTCAGAAGATACATATCATGTGAAATAGAAGGTTGCTTTTTATGTGCATTGACAATGAAGTCATTACAATCTACAATTAAACTAGTTTTACTATCTAAATGACCAGTTGAAGTCCTCATTAATCAGACTTATTGAGTATTTGTGAAGTTTTCAATTTACACTACATGAAAAGTTTGTTATGTTGTATAAGAATGAAGTACAAAATGTATCAAATTACATAAATAAAGGGAAGTCTCATCTGAAATATATCAGAAAACAATGTGAAATTTTTTACAACTATCTTCAGATTGAAATTTGAATCAGAACGATCAATTCACAAACCACAATAGATTGGCCTATCAACCTTAATCTTAGCACCATACATTTTCTTTAAACAGGCAATTTACAAAATAGTGATAATTATTTAAGTAAACAACTTAGGCAACTTAAGTTTAAGTAAATAACTATCCCTATTTTATTGGAAGAATATTAAGGTACACAATTACTGAAAAGCAGATATCAGGCATATAGGTTTTCTGGGTGACAATATAATGAAGCAGGGAGTCTGGCCATTCAATCAAAATAAACAATTAAAACTTACCCTGTATGTCTAAATTTTAAACATTTTTCCAGAGGTATCCCTAATAAAAATGGAGTCTTTACATTTGACTGAAGTTATTCATTTATGGTGAATTCTCTATACTATTTTATTTTGAAGACAGTCTAAACAGCCCTTTCAAATATTTTGCCCTTATTTGAGCTTGTTTTCATTATTGTTCAAGTCTACTAAGTGTTGCTTTCTACAGTCCTTAATGAAAAGTTCTATTAGTTGTCATCGGTTACCCTACTTCTGGTGTTCACAGAGTCGTCAAATAGGTATGTTCTCCATGTGCGGTAAAACTAATAGAGTAACTTTACTGTGACAAAGATAGGATGCTAAAGATCTATGTGTAGATTTAGATAAATCCATTCATTAACTGTAACTTAAATATATACATCTACACATATATATAATCTATTACTTAAATAATCCATGATTTTTGCAATATAAAGGAAACTGAATAAATCACATGTAAAATAACTTTGACATTTTCACTTTGTAAGACATTTTTCTCCAAATATTATATGTTCATATAAGTTAAATAGCACTTTTTGGATATTCTAATATCAAAAATGGAGTAATCACCTTACATTTGAAGACACAGAGTATGTGGGTATAAATTGCCCCTAATAGCTCTGTGTATTTAAAATAGAATTGGCATAGAAGGTTTCTGATTTCTTTTGGAAACAATTTCAAAATTGCCCAATTTTCAGGGATTCTTGAATTTTTTTACACAATTCAGTTAAAGTTTTCTTATATCATTATGTTATAAAGCATAAAAATGTAATAATCCCTGGGAGGTTCTCATACAAGCTAAAATATTACCAGTAACTGCCTCTGCTCTAACTCTATTTCCACTCACCTTCCCACAAACCAAAGCTCTTATGCTGAATTTCGTATTTATTACTAACATGTTAATATATAACATGGCTTAATTACTAATATGTGTAAGGATAAGCAATATATTGTTTTCTTTTGCTTGCTTTGTATCACAAAAATATTATGCTGTACTTCCTCTTCTAGGGTCATATTAATTGATCAATAAATAGAAAATTAAAATGAAAAGAAAGCAATAAAAAAAACCAAGCACTCAGAAGGCATTTCCATATACATCCTCAATGACTTTCTCTGAAATGTAATACTATTCCAATTCTACCTACAGAGATTATCATCTTTACCTCTTTGTGATATTTATATAAATGAAATTATTAAGCATATACTCTCCTGTGCATGGTTTCCTTTATTCCATTTTAAATTTATAATATTCAAGTCGCTTCATACAGCATCACATCATTCTTAATTATTGCTGTACAGCATATTCCATTGACCCTGTTACCAGTCTATCAATTTTCAGCTCCAAATGGACCCTTCTCTCTGCTTTGTAACACTTTGACTGCTGGGCTCTGTTGAAATTTTTCTTTTACTAACTGATCTATTAGGCTTTGTCAATAGAGGGCACTAGAGAGGCTTCTAATACCATTGCAGGAGGAAAGAGCTTTCTTTCCTGCCTCCAGGGTACTGTTCGTGCAAAAAAACAAAACAAACAAAAAAAAAAAACCAGGAGATGAGGCATAAGTAATTCAGTAGTTCTCATCTAAGCAGCCCTTGTGGATCAACCCTGGCCAGCATTCTGTACCAGCTTTTTAACCACCAGCTGAGTGCGTGTTTCTGTGACAGCCACACACACCTTCTCCAAAGGATTTGAATCTAAGCCTTGGGGAGGTAGGGAACTAGGCATTTCTGGTGTTTTAAGTTCTTCCTTTGTTCACGCTCCTTAAAATAGGTGGTAGCTACTTTCTGCTGTTGCAAATTTTCTACCTGTTAGAGTTCTATTTTGACCCTCTTATGACTTAACCACATTAGTACTTGTGAACATTATTTCTATTAAATTTTTCCTGTTCAAATTACTTGTGTGGGACTTGCACTTCCTGCCAAGATGGAATAAACAGGATAAGATTCATGCCCCCACCAATAACAACAAAAACAAAAATCAGACAAAAATATACAGAAGACTAGTTTCAAAATACTCAAAATTCAGCAATGAAAGGCCTAATTATAATATATTTCCTGAGAGACAGAAAATAAAAAAAAAATGAGGAGGATTCTATTCACTTCCCCACCTTTTTTCCTCAAGAGAATTTCAAGGTGGTGACTTACAGAGGGGAAACTCAGGAACAGCCCAGAAGATTCCCTAAAATGAAGAGACTGGAACTGAGAGTCATGGGGCCCCAAAGTAGGTAGAGTTCTCAGGACACAGTGGAAGAGAGAGAGAGAAATCTGGGGATATGCAGAAATACTTTGAATGTTCATGAAAGTGCTGATTAGCACATTCATGTGAGCAAAGTATGTAGGTCTGAGAAAGAACCACACAAAAAGCTGAAATCAAACATTGCCCAGTATGCACACAAGGGCAGGCGTAGAGCCTCTTCCAGAAACTCCGCTGTAAAACCTCAATCCAAAGCATGTTGAGTATAGTACCCGAGAATTTCTTCCCACTTTAAAGTGCAGAATTAACCCTTGATGTAACTCTACTTCAGAACCATGTAACAAACCATAAAAGCAAGACCCAAATAAGTCACACTGTCTCCACTAACAGCATGGCAGAACAAAGTGCAAGAAGTTCAGCAGGATCTCTTCAGATGCCAGTAAACACAAACATTCAGTACTCAACACAATGAAGTCAAGTGTCAGGCATCCAATCAAAGATGATCACACATGCAACAAAGCAAGAAAATAAAATGAATGGGGGATTCAATCAATTGAATTCACTCAAAACTGACACTGATGTTAGAAACGGCAAACAAAGACATTAGGGCGGTTCTTATAATTGCATTTTGTATATTCACAATGTTAGGCAGACACTTGGAAGACACAAGAGAGGCAAAAGTCAAACTTCTAGAGGTGAAAGCTATAATGTCTGAAAAGTAAAATTGACTGGTTGTAACTAACAGCAGATTGGATATTACAGAAGAGAATATTAGTAAATTTAAAGACATAACAAAAATTACTATAAAAAAATAAGCAACAGGCAGAGAGCAGTGGCTCACGCCTGTAATCCCAGCACTTTGGGAGCCGAGGCAGGCAGATCGTCTGAGGTCAGGAGTTCAAGACCAGCCTGGCCAACATGGTAAAACCCCATCTCTAATAAATATACAAAAAAGTAGCCGGGCATGGTGGTGCGTGCCTGTAATCCCAGCTACTGGGGAGGCTGAGGCACGAGAATTGCTTGAATCCGGGAGGCAGAGGTTGCAGTGAGCCGAGATCATGCCACTGTACTCCAGCCTGGGTGACAGAGTGAGACTCTATCTAAAAAAAAAAAAGCCCAGAAGAAAATGATCGTAAAAAGGAGTGTCAATGAACTGTGGGTGAACTTCAAGCAATCTATTGATATCATATGCACAATTGGATTTTCACAAGGCAGGGGGGAAGCCAGGCCCAACAAATATTTGAAGAAATGATGGTTAAAAAGGTTTCAAACTTGGTGCAAACTACAAACCCAGAGATGCAAGAGTCTTGAGAATCCCCAAGCACAAGAAGCAGAAGAAAACTGTATATCACAATCAAATTACTGAAAACAAGTTGTACAGAATCTTAAAAAGCAGAAGAGAAAAAGACATGCTATATACAGAGAAACAAAGATAGGGATTAGAGTAGATCATAAACAATGCGAGTGGGCAAATAGTGGAACAACATTTTTAATGTTTTAAATGAAACCTAAAACCCAGAAGCCCATGAACAGCAGAAATAGATTTCAAACATGAGGTGAAATAAAGACATTTTCAGACATATAAACCTGAAAAATTAGTGTCATCACACCTGCTCTATAAGAAATGTTGTCTTTGTTTTTTATTTCTTTTTTCTGTTTTTGTTTTGTTTTGTTTTGTTTTGTTTGAGACAGGTTCTCACTCTGTTGCCCAGGCTGGAGTCCAGTGGCACAATCATGGCTCACTGCAGCCTTGACGCCCCCTAGACTCAGGTGTTCCTCCCACCTTAGTCTCCCGAGTAGCTAGGACCACAGGTGTGCACCACCACACCTGGCAAATATTTTCACTTTTTGTAGAGACATAATTTCGCCATGTTGCTCGGGCTGGTCTCAAACTCCTGGGCTCAAGCAATCTGCCCTCCCCTATCTCCCAAAGTGCTGGAATTACAGGTGTGAGCCACCGCACCAGGCCAAGAAAAATGTCTTTAAATATGTGAAGGAAGTCCTTCACACAGAATGGAAATAATTCTAGATGGTAATGTAGATTTACACAAAGTAATAGAGAACATCAGAAACAGTAATTACATGGTTCAATATGTATGAGCTTTTCTGTTATTACTTAAATATCCTTCTGGAAGTCTGAATATTGGTGGTTTACCTTGGTCCTCTCAAGGTTTGTCTTTTAGGGTTGTCTGTTACCACAAATTAATCTAGCATATCCTCAATGATACCAACTTATTTTGTTTCCTGTATCTAATGATTCCAAACGTGTTTTTCAGTCATATGATTATACAATTATTTTGAAATTATCTTTTTAGCTTTTCTCATGCTGGATGGTTTTTTCAAGTATGTAGTGACCTTTTATTACACGTTTACATTCATTGAAACTTTACGAATGGGATTTTAGAATGTCTTAGGGCTGATCTACTTAGGTTTTACTCTTACTTTTAGGACATAGTTTATTCCTGCCTGTAGCTTTTCTCTCTAGGTCCCAGCCCTTCTGGGGCTTCAGTAGAAAACCTGGAGTATTGACCCAAGATCTTTTCACCTTGGCTGGTTGTAACCTGCAGGAGTGAATGCTGAAATGGCCTTCAGATGCTTATTCTCTTGACTGCTGTAGTCTCCTAGGTGTCCTGGTGACTTCGTCTGCACCTTTACAGCTTAAGGGTAAGCTAGCAATTTGGAGAAAATACACATACAGATTTTTTGGCTACTTCTCCTGTATTTCCTATTCTTTGGGTTCAAGACATTTTGTCAGACCTGAACTTCTATTTTAGCCTCATGGCCCAGTAAGACAGCACCTTTCACTTAGATTTTCCTCTCGCATGCCTCGATTTGGAAAATCCCTTATGAAAAAAGTAGCTAAATGTGCCAGTCAAGGAACTTAAGCCTTTGTTCATTGCTCCGTGATGGAGCCAGAGACAAAAGCCTTCTTTCAGTAACTTAGAGTCGATGCTTTAAAATACAGCAATGTACTTCTCCTAAACCAGCCTCTGCAAACAGAAACCTTGCACTGGGCTCCACAGACCATAGCTCCAATGCTCCACCCTATCATTCCTTTCTCTGTCCCACTGAGACTTTTATATTTTATTTTACTTTTTTTATTTTATTTTTTTGATACAGGGTCTCACTCTGTCACCAAGGCTAGAGTGCAGTGGCGTGATCTGGGCTCACTGCAAGTTCCACCTCCCAGGTTCAAGTGATTCTCCCACCTCAGCCTCCCAAGTAACTGGCACTTACAGGTGCCTGCCACCATGCACAGCTAACTTTTGTATTGTTTGGTAGAGATGGGGTTTCACCATGTTGGCCAGGCTAGTCTCGAACTCCTGACCTCAAGTGATCTGCCCATTTCGGCTTCCCAAAGTACTGTGATTACAGGTGTGAGCCACCACACCTGGCCAGGACTTTTATATTTTAAATTTGCTTTTTTCTGTACAGTGAATGGAGCATCACGAAGCTCAATGTGTATCATGTTGAGTAAAACGGAGATGAGGAGAATTAGGCGGATCTACTCAATATCTCTTGGTACCTTTCTGTATAAGAACACATCCCCAGGCAACTACTTGAGTACATTTTCCAAATGTTCTGGTAGCTATGAGTGGTATAAGTAGTCTGAACAATAGGGATAAACCAAGAGAATGTACACTTCTCACTATTTGCTACTGTGTAGTCAGATTACTCAAAGCTTCATGTGCCATGTCCAATCATGAGATGATCTTGGGAGTGGAAATTATGCATTAAAAAACTGACATGGTTGGAGAAGCCGAGGTCTCTGCCACTCCACACTGCATCCATACCTCTGGTATGGCAACTTCAGAACTAGGTTCATTTGATAAAGGAAACTTCTGTCTTGTTCAAAATAGTGGGTATTTTTTTAATTATTATTATTTTTATGCTACTCATAGCCACATCAAAATCTAAATTTTACATTCTTTAATTCAGATGCTATATGATGATTTCTTTGTAATCCTACATTATTCAACTGTTATATTTACGAGGACCTAGATACAGAGCAACTGGGAAAAAAAAAGTTTATAATCATGACTTTATTTTTGATTCTTTCTCTGAAAGCAATGGGTATTCATACCAGGGATCCCAGAAGCCTATGTAGTAGAGATTTTTAATAATGTCAGTGTTTTAATGAGAGAAAAGGCAATGTTAAAATGAGTGAGGCAATGTTAAAAGTCTAGGTGACATGCTTATGTTAGAAGACATGTTAAAAAATGAGCACATAAAGTTGCAAGTCAGATAATGATTATTTTAGGCACCTTTGTAAGCCTGTAAAAATGTAGTGTGATTGATATTTAGCTCATTTAAAAAATCAAGTAAATATATGCTCCTTTTGTTTCAATGTACTGTTTCAGTACATATTTTTTCTTATATTGAAGCCATTTAATTACATCCCTTCTAAAACACTTTAAGTGATTATATTTGAAATAATTTGCCTGATCTCCAAATGGCTGAAACACCTTGGTGAATTGGCAATGCAACAGATTATTTGGTCACACTGCAAATTGATTAGATTTGAGGACACTCCATTTACATAGTTAAAACGACTTTCCCCTATTTCAGTTGAAAAAAAAAAAAACAGGTTTTACTATGAAGGACATCAGGTAAATGCAATTAAATTCTCACTAAGCATTTGCTTTTAGGTGAAATCGCCCTGGTTTCTACAATCACTTGTATATGTATTTTTAGTTTGGTTTATAAAAAAGTTATGTAAATTTCCTATTTTTTTAAATCTTATTGAGATACATACTTTTCAGTTGACTCATGTTGCAGCACAGTTAGCATCTGCTCAAATTACTAGGAGGACATTAAATAAAAAGTGAGCATGTGTGCATCTTTAAGACATTAGAAATGACCAGCTGTTTTATATTCTCAGAGCCCTTTCAATAACAAAAAGCTCCCAAGTAGCTTCCAGTTAAGGGGTTTTGGAGAAATAGGTGGGGGGGCGGGGGACTGGCAGGCTGGGCTTGCAAACAAGAAGCTATAATAGTATCACTCAGCAGTCCCACATTTCCTGTGTCAAGCTGATGACTGTGGCCCTAGCAGGTGGGCATGCCAAAGGCCAAAATCCATGTCTAGGAAGGCAGAAACAATCTACAGACCCCGTTCAAATATCCCTTTACAATATAAAAGAAATTACATGTTCACTCTAATGCAATATAGAAAACTGTGGTTCCTCTTGTCCATTCAGGCTATATTATGAATCATCTTGAATACACATAGAAAAAATCCTGTTGTGTAGCAAAAGAAAGCTTTTACACTTTTCTTCTCCAACAGCTGGTAATGAGAATACTTAATTAAACTCTTGTAATATGATACCCCTGCCAACATCACTTGCTAAAGCACACTCTAAAAACGTCATTTATTCGTTCAATCCCAAAGTGCACAAGACCAATGCTGCGCAGTTCTTGTTCTCAACACAAATTTTCGACAAATATTGACTCATGTGATAGACCCAATCAGGGTATTTCTCGATGCAAGTGAGTCCTCTGAAGATGGCTCAGTTACAAATGAGTATGAAGGTGCCAGTGTCCATGTCTCTGCCCTAAGGCACTGTCAAATGGACTTCGCTGTTTCACCCAGGGGCACACACTTGCTCCCAGCTATGACAATCAAGTTCTCATCCCCAGATTTAAGAGATGTGGAATGGAGAGAGAGAAAGCCTGGTGTCTCTTATGAGGAGTCTCAGAAACGGCAGAATTTCCAAGGCAAAATCCACACATTCCTACTGCTGATTTTCTAGTGTTTTTTTGGTTTCTTCAGTAGCTTTCTGCTTCACTGAGTTCTTATTTTCATTCCATGAGCTACTGCTGTGCCACTCCCGCCAAAATATTAGTAAGAGTTATTTTTCTGTTTTTTGCAATCAAGAAAGCATTACTAATATGTAAATTAGTATATACTATACCTCTTGCCATTATTGTGAGCCACTATCCCTATCTCTAATGCTTAGGTTCTTATGAATCTCCACATTTTTAAAAAATAATCTATACCACCTCGGGCGACAACACATATTACCTAGATAAATCTTTAAATTGTTTAAAATCAACCTCCTTTAAACTTCAAGATAATATCTTCTTCAAATAAGAAGAATGGAAGGGAATGCAGAATTGATAGGATATAGATTATAAGAGGTTGGCAAAAAAAGGAGATGTGCATCAAATGTAATCATATAAGGCATTTAAGCACAGAAATATTAAAATGGAATCAAAATACTTGAAGATGAAATTATACATAATCAGATTTATATTTCTCAGTGGCAAACAGTCATCAGGGGAGCAGTGGTCAATGTGAAACAGGGTAGGAATATGTTGCGGTAACCCAGACGAGATAGTGGGTGGCTGGAATGGCTGGGTGGGTGGAATGGCTGGGTGGCTGGAATGGCTGAGTGGGTGGCTGAAATGGCTGGGTGGCTGAAATGGCTGGGTGGGTGGAATGGCTGGGTGGCTGGAATGGCTGGGTTGCTGGAATGGCTGGGTTGGTGGCTGGAATGGCTGAGTGGGTGGCTGAAATGGCTGACTGGCTGGAATGGCTGGGTGGTGGAAATGGCTGTGTGGGGGAAATGGCTGACTGGGTGAAATGGCTGACTGGGTGGAATGGCTGGGTGGCTGGAATAGCTGGGTGGCTGGAATGGCTGGGTGGCGGAAATGGCTGGGTGGGTAGCTGAAATGGCTGACTGGGTGGAATGGCTGGGTGGCTGGAATGGCTGGGTGGCTGGAATGGCTGGCTGGGTGGCTGGAATGGCTGACTGGGTGGAATGGCTGGGTGGCTGGAATGGCTGTGTGGGTGGAATGGCTGGGTGGAGGAAATGGCTGGGTGGCTGGAATGGCTGGGTGGGTGGCTGAAATGGCTGACTGGGTGGAAATGGCGGGGTGGCTGGAATGGCTGAGTGGTGGAAATGGCTGGGTGGCTGGAATGGCTGGGTGGCGGAAATGGCTGGGTGGAGGAAATGGCTGGGTGGCTGGAATGGCGGGGTGGGTGGAATGGCTGGGTGGAGGAAATGGCTGGGTGGAGGAAATGGCTGGGTGGAGGAAATGGCTGGGTGGCTGGAATGGCTGGGTGGCGGAAATGACTGGGTGGCTGGTAGTGTGAACTGTGAGGGGTGGTCGGATTTGAGAGGGATGTTCAGGTCAACATTAAAGGACCCCTCAGTGGGAGCTAAATAGTGAGTATGTTAACAAAGACCCAAGAGAGGGTTCTGGGACCTCATGCAAGAAAAAATTCGGGGCCAGTCCATAGAGTAAAGTGAAAGTAAGTTTATTAAGAAAGCAACAAAATCAAAGAATGGCTACTCTAGAAGCAGAGCAGTGTCCTGGGCCGCTTGACTGAGTATACTTACAGTTGTTTCTTAATTATGTGGCAAACAAGAGGTAGATTATTCATGAATTTTATGGAAAAGAGGTGGGCAAGTCTTCAAACTAAGGGTTTCTCCCCTTTTTAGACCATATAGGGTAACTTCTTGACATTGCCATGACATTTGTAAACTGCCATGGCACTGGTGGGAGTGTCTTTTAGTATGCTAATACATTATAATGAGCAGTGAGGACAAGCAGAGGTCACTTTCATCGCCATCTTGGTTTTAATGGGTTTGAGCCGGCTTCTTTACTGCATCCTATTTTATCAGCAAGGTCTTTGTGACCCGTATCTTGTGCTGACTTCCTATTTCATCTCATGACTAAGAATCCCTAACTTGCTAGGAATGTAGCAGCCCAGTAGGTCTCAGCCTTACTTTACCCAGCCTCTATTCAAGATGGAGTTGCTCTGGTTCAGAAACCTCTGACAAGTACACATTGATATACAGATGGGAGAAATGAATGTTGGGGACTACTAGAAGATGGGGGGAGTTGAGGGTACTACCTACCAGTACTATCCACCAGTACTACCTACCAGTACTACCTACCAGGTACTATGCTCACTAGCTGGGTGACAAGACTCAGTTGTACTCCAACCTCAGCAATGTGCCATTTACCCATGTAACAGACCTGCACATGTACCCCTGAACCTAAAAGTAAAAAAAGAAAAGTTAAAAAAAAAAAAAAAAAGACGCAATGCTTTATTATTTATCAGCCATGGGGGCATGGTGAGGATATGAGGATTTTTCTTGCACAGGAACAAATGATGATGATCAGGAATGGACAGAACAGTAATTAGGGAATGAGGGGGAGGAGCTGAGATGATAAATTCAATTGTAGACATTTTCAATTTGAAGGACTTGCAAGGCCCATGAGTGAAGGTGTTCAGAGTGCTGCTGGAAGATTAGGACTAAAAACTGTTGGGTTGAAGATACCAGTTTGCAAGTGAGTCACACAGAGATGACAGCTGAAGACTTGAGAGTGGATGCAGCTGCCAATGAAGAAAATGCAGACGCTGAGAAGAGGTGACCTTAAACAGAACACTGGGACATGTAAGATCATAGGAATAGAAACAGGAAGATGATAGTATTTGTCTGCAAGGGCTACCATAACAAAATACGACATTCTGGGTGGCTTACAAAACAGAAATGTATTTTCTCACAATTCTGGAGGCTGGAAGTCTGAGATTGAGGAATGGGCAGGTTTTATTTCTCCTGAGGACTCTCTCTTTCGCTTGCAGATGGCGACTTTCTCACTGTGTCCTCACATGGTCTTTTCTCTGTGCACTTGAATCTCTGCTATCTCTTTCTCTTCTGAAAAGGTCATAGGTCCTATTGGATTAAGGCCCCACACTTATGGCCTCAGAGGAGGCACATGTCAGTCCCTAACAATGACAGAGACAAAAGCACCTATGTACAGGCGTCTGAAGGCAAAGAGAAAAACTCAGGGCAGCCCTGAGCGTGGAGGCCCAGGGAACCAAAAGTGAAGGGTGCAGGCCAACAGCGTCAAGTTCATGCTAGAAAAACTATCAACCGAGCTGAGGAGAGCTGAGAAACTAGAGAAACGAAGTTTAGAACATTACTTTTTTGAGACAGGGTCTCATTCTGTTACCCAAGTTGGAGTGCAATGACATGGTCATGGCTCACTGCAGTATTGACCTCCCAGGCTCAAGCAATTCTCCCACGTCAACCCCCAAAAGTAGTTGGAACTATGGGTGTGGCCACCATGCCAGGCTATTGTTTATTTTTTATTTATTTATTTTTTTTTGTATTTTTGTATGTCTTGTAGAGACATGGCCCCACTCTGTTGCTCAGGCTAGTCTCAAACGCCTGAGTTCAAGAGATCCGCCCGCCGCCTTGGCCTCCCAAAGTATTGAGATTACAGGCATGCGCCACTGCTCCCAGCCAGAAAATTCTTTTTTTTTTTTTTTTTTGACGGAGTCGTGCTCTGTCACCTAGGCTGGAGTGCAGTGGCACGATCTTGGCTCACTGCAACCTCCACCTCCCAGGTTCAAGCAATTCTCCTGCCTCAGCCTCCCAAGTAGCTAGGATTACAGGCATATGCCACCAAACCCGGCTAATTTTGTATTTTTAGCAGAGACAGGGTTTTGCCATGTTGGTCAGGCTGGTCTTGAACTCCTTACCTCAGGTGATCTACCCACCCCGGCCTCCCAAAGAGCTGGAATTACAGGCATGAGCCACCGTGCCAGGCCCAGAAAATTCTTTCTCAAAGTTTGTCTCTGAAAGGGAGGAAAAGTGAGAGTTTGTTGAAAGAGAATTTAATGTTGATCAAAGCATTTGTTTTGTTAGGGGAAAGTAGAGCATATTTTAATGCTGCTGAAAAAGGGGCGTTAGAGTGGAAGTGTGAGGATTGAAGACCCTTCATAATATCTCCACACATTGTGAGAGAATCCGGGGTGAAGTGGAGGGTTTAAGGATTCCCATGTGGCTGCCCACTGTCCACCTAGTTCCGTGAATTTTCCCAGGAATGTCTATTAGCCCTGTTTCAGATAGAGAGGTGTCAGTGATTTTTCTTTTTTTTAAATTTTAAACTCTAGACCTTTTTCAAGGGAGTGTGATAGAATAAAATTGAGAAAATGAGCTTAGGGATTAAGCAAAGGAGTTGTCAAGGTTCATGGACCATGCACTCCAAGTTGCCTGGGGAAGACAGTTTTTATTTATTTAACAACATTTACGTAATAAAGCTCATGAGGTTCCAGGCTGTGTTCTAAAAACTTTACAAAAATTAACTAATGTAAGCAATGACTGAAGCAGAATGAGAAATATGAGAATTTAGAGTGTCAAATGGAGGACCTAAAAAATTAAAAAAATCATTACTGGGACCAAATTAGATGCTAAACACTAATACACTGCCTCGTGTTTTGTTCTTCAGATTCTTAGGAACACCATGTAAACCTATAATCATAAGTAAGTTGATATTAAAGTTCTTTTCTGACTCAAGGATTATGTGTTTAGATCTAAAACTAAAGATTTTATGTAGCTCAAAGTTCTGATCATAAAAAATTCACAGTCTTCTTATTTGACAGCTTATTAAGTACAAGAGCCTTGGGTCCCTTTCTTATCCTGTTGGGGAAACTTCAAACAGACATTTTGGTAGACATGGTAAGCCTGATTGGATTTGCAGTCTTGTCTATAAATTATTCAGTCCATCCTCTGAATGTAGGCAAGACAGTCTGCTCTTAACTCATGCTAATCTCTATTAGAATTTTGTTCTAATTCTCAGGCTTATGGGTTTTCAATATGTGTTTATTTTTTTTTTCAGCCACAAAGAAAAAGAGGACATTAGATCAGCCTGAATACATTTGAAGTTGCTACTTCTGGTGCTTAATTGTTTATGTGTGTGTGTGTGTGTGTGTGTGTGTGTGTGTGCATATATATATGCAAATGCATATATTGTTTTATTTACATGTAAATATATATGTTTTAATTATCAGTACTATTATTACTATTTTTGAGACAAGGTCTCACTGTATAACCCAGGCACAGTCATGGCTCACTGCATCACCCAGGCACAATCATGGCTCACTGCAGCCTCAATATCCCAGTTCAAGTAATCCTCCCATTTCACCATCCCAAGTAGCTGGGTCTACAGGCATGCACTACCATGCTTGGCTGATGTTCTCTACATTTTGTTTTTTGTTTTCGTTTTGTAGAGACAGGGTCTCACTGCTTCATTTTTTCTTCTTATCTGTATCAGTTGTCCCTCGAGCCATCTCTCTGCTCATTTTGAACTGATTAAAGTAAAATTCTGAACTGCATATCTAGGCTGATTCTAAACTCCATCTGAAGTTTGAGTTTACTACTGATAGCTTTCTCTGTTTCCTGGCCATTGCTTTTTCTCTGCTTCAATATGTTCCCAATAGTGAAATTAGTCATAACAGCAACGTAGTAGAAAGGGGAGGGGAGGGAAAGCCACTGTTTTTGTTTTGTTTGTTTTGTTGCAGGGCAGGAACAATGATATGTGGACCCAACTAATCAAAATGGCCTTTGTCTACCTCACGTGAAATACCTGAGTAGCAGTGGGCAATTTGGGAATGGGGAGGGGGAAGAAAAAACATACACAGAGACATAAAATCGCTTGTTTCTGTCAACTGCCTTTCCTTTCTTACATTATGGGATTAGATCAAGCAGGCGGACATCCAGACTCCAGTCCCTGGGAGAATTATGGTTCACACTTCGAACAGGCACTGCTGTCAGATGTTAAGACTACTGGCCTTTCCACTGCTCCTTTTTTCTTTGCTGTTGCCTAACACAATATCCCTAAGTGAAAATAATGTGCGGTCTTGGAATTTCAATTCCCATACCAACTCTGCCCCTAAATAAAATCTGTTTTTTTATTAGTAATTTAGAGCTAATGTACTTTGCAGAGAGTCTCCCTGTTCTGAGGTTATTCATACCTGGAATGAAACTCTGAAATATCCAAAGAGAGGGACTAACTTTATCCAGCCACAAAACTCCCAGACTTCGATATTTGACTTCTAATGATATTCAAAAGTTCTTTCTTGCTTTCTCACCTTCCCGCCCTTCCTTCCTCCCTCCCTTCCTTTCTTCCTTCTTTTTTTATTTGAACATCTAAATATTTGATTTGGTTAAGTGCACTGCCCTGGATATTTGTACATTGTTCCGTGAAATTTTATTGATCAATAAATTCTAAACTGGGCAAAGAGCTAGTGTATATATACATATATATATATATACACATATATATATATGTGTATATATATATATATACATATATATGTATATATATATACATATATATGTATATATATATATATACATATATATGTATATATATTTACTCTTGGAAGAATTAAACTGACATAAAAATAGTTGCAGAAAATAATTGCAAGAGAAAATTGCCTTCTGGTAATATTTCTCCTCTAGGATACTTCAAGAGGGTAAAATGTGTGCTAAAATTGAAATTCCAGAACATGTCTCTGAATATTATTCGTTAGTAGATAAATGTATAACCCAAATCCAGGATGCTAGAGTCATTGTACTCCTTTCTTTACACAGGATGAGTATCCCTTATCTGGCATGCTTGGATCCAGAAGTGTTTCAGATTTGGGATTTATATACATGTAATGAGATATCTTGGGGATGGAACCCTAGTCTAAACACAAAATTCATTTATGTTTGATACATATGTTATACACATAGCCTGAAGGTAATTTTATGTAATATTATAAATAAAATATATGACCCCTCACATGAGGTTAGGTGTGGAATTTTCCACTTGTGGCATTATGTGGTCACTCAAAAACTTAAGGATTTTAGATTTTCAAATCAGGGATGCTCAACCTGTATATGTATCTTGAATGATGCACTGGTTAGAATAAGGTACAAAGGGGTATTGAAGAATATACCTATTTGGTTTGTTCTTGAGCAATTTACCAAAACGTTCAGCCTAGGGCCTCATTAGCAAGGTCATATATATTAGCTTTGGAGAAAAATAGGCTTGGTATATATATCCAGGTTCACCAAATTAGCAGCTGTGTGACCTCAGGCAAATTAAGCCACCTCTCTGGGTTGTGATCCTCTAATATCTAAATTTGTGAGAGTGATAGGCCACTTTTGAAATTATTTTGTATAGATTTTATAAGATAATGGATGCAGAGTTCAAATGAATAATAAAACATAACTTTGCTTAAAGAATAAAATTTTAGTACACATGTATACAAAAAAACAGAATGTAGAATCTGTCCTTAAAACTTGCATGTTTAATACTACCTCATTTTATCTTATACGTTTGGAATTTCCCCTAACATCCATAGAAATTATGGCTAAATTATCAAACAGCCCTGAGGGTTTTTCTAATTAAAGAAATTAAGAAAAAAGCCTAACAGTTTTTCTTTGTAAATTTATTTTAAACAACAAGGACTAATGATATCTATTTATGATACACAACATGCTGTTTTGATATATACTTTACACTCCATGTTCTTGGGTTTGGCTTTTGGCAGAATGAACCAATTATTACAGATAAAAAATATTTGAAGAAAAATTTTAAAAAAGTACAACAGTAAAAATAATACAAATAAAAATAATATAGTATAACAGCTATTTACATAGCATCTACATTGTATTAGTTATTATAAGTAACATTGAGATTAATGTGTACAGGAGGACATAGGTTACATGCAAATATCACACCATTTTATATAAGGGACTTGAACATTCCAGAATTTTGGTGTTCAGCGGGTGTTGGAACCAATCTCCCATGGCTGTCAAAGAATTACATTATGCATACATGTTAGAATGTTTAAATCAAACTGGTTAACCACTTTTCTAAGAAAAACTTTTAGGGCTCAATCTTACAGCTTATTTTTTCAACACAGGGAGATCTAACTTGGGCTCAATACGTGAAGTTCATCCTTCTTGCCTTGATAATTCATTTGGAAGTAAGACTGTGGAAGCCACTTTACCAGCTCCACGGAGAATGGGGTAAGTCTCCACTACCCCTCTCCACCAAGACCCCTTACTTTCCTTCTCCTTGGTCTTAAATAAACAGACACACACAAAAACAGACATAAACAGAGATAGACAGATGGCTAGGATGGATAGATAGATAGATAGGTAGTTAAATTTAAATGTTTCAAATAATTTAAATTCAATATTTGGACAGGTATTTATTATGAATAAATTCTGTTGGCTTATAATCAAGTCAATTAAAAACTTGAAGCTATTTTTAATTTATAGCACTAACATATTGACAGAAATTAAATCCTGAGGCATTAGAAATATCTGAGGCAATATTCTAATTTCTCTTTCTCTATGTCTTATTTATTTGCTTTAAGATTTGTATGAATTTATTTAATCACTTTATCGCTTATCCAAGAAGTTGAAATTTTTTTACCTCTAAAAAATGCTGAAGTGAAATTTTTCTCCATTTGTAATCTCAAGAGGTGCTTAGAAGGCACATAAGAAATATATAAAGCACTCAGGCTTTACATTAGAAAACTTACCTAAACCCATTATAATTTATTTTTTTTATTTTTATTTTTTCTTTTGAGACGGAGTCTCGCTGTGTCACTCAGGCTGGAGTGCAGTGGCGCGATCTCGGTTCACTGCAAGCTCCACCTCCCGGGTTCACGCCATTCTCCTGCCTCAGCTTCCCGAGTAGCTGGGACTACAGGCGCCGGCAACCACGCCCGGATAATTGTTTTGTATTTTTAGTAGAGACGGGGTTTCACCGTGTTAGCCAGGATGGTCTCGATCTCCTGACCTCGTAATCCGCCCGCCTCGGCTTCCCAATATCATTTCTAAATGGTAAGAAAAAAACAACACATTTATACCCATCCAGTTAGTTATGCTGTGAATTTGCTCTATAGAAATAATATATGGGAATGAAAAAATTTCACCGAACTATTCATAATTCTTTACTTCTTGTGTCAAAAATAAGGGTTCGAGTTCATTGTTTTTTATGAAACATTATCGAAAGTTGATGTCTGAGACTTTTGATTGTCCCCAATCATTTAATTGGGGCAATAAACCCCAGGAAATGGAATCTGTCTACCAAGAAGGCAATACAAATTCTGCCACTTCATAAGAAACTACAACTTTTTGGGCATGTAGCATAAAAATTAGAGATAATTTATTAGAACATTATATGAACTTTGCTTCTGGAGATCATAAAACATTTAGGGCAGTTTTCTTCACTTTTTCATCTTCAAAACATGAAAAACATTTTTTACTGAATAAAAATGCAGTATGTTCAAGTGTCATAGAATGTTTGCTCATTAAATATTTGCTTGTAAGTTTGGAAAGTGCATCTTGTAGGTGTCATATGCTTGGATGTTCCAGGAAGCGCTATAATTACTGAGAGGCTCAATACTTCAAAAGACCATGCCCTCTATTATATAGTAAATGCACTGAATCTTCGAAAAGAGTTGACAAGTTCGTCAATAAATAAGTCTTTGTATCCTGTAGCGTATAAATAAAATGCCAGTTAGAAAGTAGATGTTATTTAACAATGGCAAACAGATGATTTTTGATAAGAAACCTGAGTTTTGCTCTTTGCCAAACCAAAATTTGTGAAAAACAATAGAATAGTATATTGCACTATTTAGATATCAATCATCAGATGTTGTCTGCAAGACTGTCATTTCTATGAATTGGAAACCCCACTTGAAATTTATAAATAAAAACAATTTACATTTTCTGCAACTCTTGCCCTTTAGAAACAAAACTTATGAGGGAAGCATTTCAAGTTATCTTTTGACTTTACAAAAATGTTATTTTATAACACTAAACCTTTTTTTTTCTTTTCTTATTTTGTCACTACAGCCCAAACTAAGAATCCTGGTTTTGAAAGATTTTTGTGCCTCTGCTTAATCCCTGGTCATTTGCTTTTCTTTATTTCACATTTTGCTCTGGTTTCACCTTCTTAGCCCAATCATCCTTTATTTTTAGCCCATACTTCACTGGCTATGCCATCTGGAAATATTATTAGATGAGTAAAAATTACATTTCTGCTGAAAGACTAAGGATTATCCGAAACATTATTTGATGATGTATCATCCTACAGAATGTAATACTAAAACTGTCACATACTATGTCACACTAGCACCAACTATCATATCACACCTGCGTAGGCCTCTCCATCAAGTTCTGATTACTGTCAACAAGAGGTTAGCGATGGAGGGAGAGAGTCAAATTTGTAGAATAATGGCATCTGACATGTCTCTGCAGCTGGCAGAGACATGCAACAGATGAAAAGGTAGCACATAATATAACTTTCATTTCTCAGCAAAGGCATATACTCTACTGTGGAACATTTCAACAACTGCTTATGACTTCTGTTAGATTTTCCTTTTTCTCCTAAAATGCAATTAAATACAGGAAGGCTGTTCTATATTCTGTATAAATATTTGTGACAATTCAAAATGAGCACTTCCTAACTATTCACAGTGCAGTGAATTTTTTCCTTCTTGGGCAAAATCCCCATTGCTTTTGCATGGTCTGAATTTCTATGTTCAAGGTTGAAACCTCTTTGCCAAAACATCTCATCTCAATCTCCTAACCTCCTCTGTCTCATCTTTGAACTTAGAAAACGAGATATTTCTGCTTAAGTGTGAGCTAAACAAATGAAAACAAAATCCTTTTGTATGAGCCCCCAAAGTGGAAAAGTCCTACTTGCTGGCTGCCTGCTGATTTCTGATTGTACTGCTGTTAATAAGCACAGAACCTCTCCTTATGTACTTTGCACTTAAATCCCCCTTTGGGATTTAGTAGTAGAGTGGGATGGAGGAATGTAAACTTCCTTTATTTTTGAACTCTCATTTTCGGTCTTTCCCTAGTCCATAGAGAAGATGATGAATCAGAATGAATTGATGAAAAATATAAGACACTCTTGTAACCCCGTTTCCAGAGAATATCTTATGACTATGTACATTTAATGTACACATAGATCTGTAATACAAGCTCTTCATATCTGCCATAACTTTCTGATTGCCCAACTATGGTTTGGAAGCATAGATCACGAATAGCATTTTATCTTTATAATTATTCATAAAGGTAAAGAGTTTCTGCAAATGGGTTCCCTTTGGATTTATAAATGTGAAACATTGTTTCCTTCCTAACTGGCAGGTTTTTGGGAAGAAAAATTTAGAATATATCAGATTAAAATAGGATGCTGAATACTATTTTAATCAAGGACTGTATCAAGGACTTTAAAGTATCAAGGACTTTATCAAGGACTTCAAAGTATCCCTGTTGTATAAAGGACTCATACGTGCTTACTCATATCCTATGTGTTAAACATTTGGCAGTGGGGCTTTCAGTCAACAATTGAACCTATAAAACGACCTAAGATTTTGTTCTTTACGACATCCAGTAGTCAGACAAGAATCTGTAGATACTGAGCTTTAAATTTTAGCTTAGTCAAGTTTGATGTATTTTGAGATGCATAATAGAAGTGTAAAGAGTTTTACTAATTTCCAATCACAAAAAAGTGAAGATTTTTGCTAAAGAATATTAAAGTTGCAAATTTAATATTCTGGCAGGCTTATACCTGCTGCAATATTTTGTGCTGGGTAGGCGTGCAATAAATGTTGGCAGGCTGCATTCATAAAGTAAGACAATCACTTCATTATTTTAAACATGGTTTATATCAAAGCCTTAAATGTACAATTTAATGTTAGGAAGCACTGGTTAAGATTCTAAATATGCTATTCATATGTTGGTCATTTTTTTTTGCATGTGATTTTATGCTTTTAAAAAACAAAAGAAAAAAAAGCCAGACCTCTACCTCAAAGAAGGGCTTCAAACATTACTGGAAGCGTTTATGACAAAAGCTTTGATCCCTCTGCACATCCAGTAAATACAAAACATTACTATGTTTTAAGGATGTGCTTATATGCCCACATTATGACTCTAACAAATGTTTTAAACTACATTTTGAAAGTTATTGGTTTGGTAAAGTTCCAAATACATTTCTTCTTAAGTTACCAACACTAACCCTATGAGCTTCAAAGTATGATGATTTTACATATTGCAAGGGGTTATGCATGCAAAACTTGACTCTGTTTCACAGACATATTGTGTCGTGTTTCAAATAATGAAAGTGCAAGGTGAATAGCTATAAAAATTAATGCACACACCCAGCAACTTTGATATAAGCACTGTTATAGACTAGCTTTGCACGTGAAGTCTGAAATTAGCTTAGAATACAATGGGAAATGCCTTATAATATTTATAATATTTTAGTGATACTGTAATTTCTGTTTAGTTCCAGTATGGCTAAATATTTTATACAAGGATGAGATAATGTTTTAGGACATACTCTAGAATATCATTTTACTTCTTTCACAAATTTTATCTATTCTTGGAAGCTGTTAGTGGGTGATTAGCTGTACAATGTTACAGCTCTGGTCTGACAGGTAGACTTGTGTGGTCATAGATAAACTAAGAAAAATGGATTTACTACTTACATAGTTACCAGTATTATTGCAATAAAATCCCCTAAACTATTTAGAACATTGGAAATACAGATCAGGTAATGGTATATACCAAAAAGTGAACATTTGCCTATTTTTTTAAAAAAAACTTCTCAGTTTTATTGACTAAAAGCAGTGTAGAACCAGTAAAGACCTTAGGGATCATCAGATGGTTATTTCCAAATTGTGCTATGCAGAGTCTTTGTCCTCTACTGTATGGTGTCAAGGACCTCCGAAGGGCAGGACATGAGAAGAACAAGTATATAGGATACCAACTATGTTTATTACCCTTTACTGTATATTGGGGACTCTGTGCAAACTTTGTTTAAGAGAAAGAGAGAGAGAGAGAGAGAGAAACAGAGAGAGAATTTCCACTGCTTAAACAAATGAAACCAATTTAAGGCAATTTTCTCTGTTTAGAGATAAAACATACCAGTGCTTTACAGGGAGGCAAAATGATTTCTTTTTGCTTAATTGTGCTTGTTTATTGACATTTTACAATTCGGTTGCCCTCTACAGCTTCTGTGGTTTTGAACCTATATGGACTTAAAACAACACTGGTTGTTGTTACATATACATATATTACAACACATCGGTTCAATTTTAAGATATACAACACTTTTAACTTGTTTGTTATTAGGAGTCAGAATATTAGAAAATGGTATACTGTGTTTTCGATTTGTTAGTTCATTTTATGTGTTTATTCAATCAGTAAACTTTCAAGGAGGGCTTCCTTTTGACAGGTGCTTGGAAATTAACTATAAATTGGAAAAACCTACAGGTAAGTATATGATTATTATAAATCCTTCAAGGATCATGACAGAGGTGTCTGCAAAAAAATATGAGGAAAAGGAAAGGAAAAACCATACGTAGGGGCAAGTGAGGGTGGGGGAGGGTGTATGAAAAGCTGATTCTTGGTTCGGGAATTTTCCTTAGAGAGACATTGGTTAGAAATATGAACAGAAATTGGAATGGTCCAGGTATTTAAGGCCAAGGACTTTTTCTCAGATGCCCTTTGGTGAAGACACTCCATGCTGGAACATAAAAGTAAGGGAAGTACGCGACAGGGAGTGGAGGGCTGAAGCCCACCTTCCTGAGAAACTGCCTTCTGCAGCTTCAACTCCACCTTCGTCTTTATCCTTTCTTTCTCTTTTTATCTTGGATCTTTCTCGCGTATCAGAGGCCGGGGGATTT
The DNA here is from genome assembly GCF_000001405.40 of Homo sapiens. Classification (NCBI taxonomy): domain Eukaryota; kingdom Metazoa; phylum Chordata; class Mammalia; order Primates; family Hominidae; genus Homo; species Homo sapiens. The sequence continues at coordinate 104,794,124 of NC_000013.11, forward strand.
TGAACAAGGTTGCTAGCTGCATTTTTTTGCAATAAAATGCTGCTGGATATTGATGACCAAACTTTATAACATATGCTTACATAATACTGCAATGTATGTAATATGAAATGCCATTATATGAGTGTATATTATAGTAGTAGATAGTAATAAGTTTTATATAGTTTTTGATAATTTAATGAAATGTGTCCACTCATCAAAAGAGCTGATGAATCCAGTGTGAAGGAGAAACTGGTAAGCAATAAGGATTGGCTAAATTTGTGGTACAGGGAGCCACTAGCAGAACAAAGCTGAACAGGAGGGTTCAGTCAAGGAGCAGAGGCTGGCTGGCCAAAGAATCAGGCAGGAACACAGCTGTCTTACCAAACAGAAGGAAATGGAAGGGCCACATCTTCATTCAGACAATTGACTAACCAGGAGACAGAAAGGATTACCGTAAAAGGGTCTGATTTGTAGGTGTCAGGTAGCATTCTTAGCTAACATTATTATGATTTGGTTTATGAACCACAGTGGGAGAATCATCTCATCCAGAGACAGGAGCTCTTGTGCAATTAAACTGGAATGAAACATCTTGTGTGTCCTTTTTACCTACCTCTCCCTAACCTGTTCCCACTTACATACATTTGTTTTCTCTTTTTCTTGGCTTATTTCTGCTTAACTTGTCACAGCTCCTATCTGAAGTCCTGGTATTTCGCTTTGCCTCATCTCCTACTTCTGTCATTTGCATGATGTGCTGATTTAAATATCCATCTGCTGACTTTTATCACCACCCATTCTCAACACAATTCTGTGCCTCAGAAATTGTAGGCTTGCCATGTTCTTGTTCCAGAAACCACTGGGACAATAAAGTGAGCAGATTAGATGAACTACAGAAGGGATGGGCCTGAGGCACAGCGGCCTGCTCCTCTCCCGGATCTTGCTAAGGCAGGGCCCACCTTCCTCCCTCTTGCTTGTTATTCCTTGGACAATGCTTGTATTTATGTGGAATTGCAGAGGACTTAATGTTGCCTTTCATATTGTAAATATGTGGCATTGTGGCATCCCACCTTAGCTGCTGGTATTTTCCACAGTTCTAGTAAATTTGACTTTTTATTCCCCTGAAAGCAAATTGTTTCACAATAAATCTAAATCCAAATTGAGGGATTCTAGCACACATCACATTTAGGTAAATGAGTTTCCCATGATATTAACTGATTTGGGTTCAGTGAAGTGGAAAGCACGATAGTGGTAGGAAAACCGTTTTCATGTAGCAGAAAGAGAATGAACGTGGAAAGAGCACCTTTGAGTTTGATTCCAGGCTTGGGTGAATTTCTTACAATTGGACCTCAGGTTAAGTAAGGATAAGTAAGTTGGCTCTTGAAGCTTAAGTTTCCCTACCTGTTAAAGGGGATTATTTACAGCCCCCATCTCACTGAGTTTAAGTAATAATTAAATGCTAGAAACAATATAAAAGTGTCTAGTTAAACACACAGCATATTCAAGCACCCAATGCCCACTTATTAAGAAAACAAAGTGTTTATAATCACCTAGGAAGCAACACTGGGGAAGTGGAGTGTTTTGCAAAATGATCTCAAATCATGGGTGCCTCTAACTAAACCCAATAGTGTATATAGTGAGCTTTGAGATCCCAGGTTGTAAAGTTAAAAATATAAATGAAAGACTTTGTGAGCTTATTGGATCCTAACATCTCAAGTGTCATAGAGATATCTGAGTATAGCCGACTGTATCATTGGAGAGAAGGGATGAAGTTTGAAAATATAAACACAGGAGAGATTTTGCTATATGCTAATGCATCTGCTGTATAATTTTTGCCCTTCAGATCATCACCCTTTCAGAATTTTATAGCATATCTTAATTCTTTGTGAACTTATCAATAAAATCTGTACTTAAATCTTTGGTATTGTATCTTTAGGAAGTAATTCTCACAACTTTGATTAAAAAGTAATGTTTACTTAAAAATTAGATGTATCATTGCAGAATAACATTTGGCAAGTGTAGTTATTAAAACAAATTAAAATTTTAGTGATCTCCATAATTTTATTATACAAGGTTTAAAATACGTATATCTTTGAAAATTAGAAGGCTCATAATCTGAGAGAGAGGGAAAAATTGTTTCTAGAAGTGATGCTTGGAAATTTTCACCAAATTAGATGTGTTTATAAAACAAACGTGAATAATTTCCATACATATTTCCCCGTAGTTTTTGTGTCTAATTCTTACATTTTCATAGGTGGATGAGAGCACCTTACCAGTCTATAGATGATAGATTCAGACACTCTGCTTGGGATGATTTTATAGCTCCCTTTCTAAAGAAGCTCATGTTAAGTAGGTTAAAGAACATGTTTAATAAACACTCTTTGATGAACTCAGATGCCATTTTATAGAAGCCTTCAGTTATTTCACTAATATTTAAGACAATGATTTTTTAGAACTATTTTAATCAAATGTTTAAAATGTTGAAGTCATGTGCTTAAGAAAGGAGATATTTTATGGAATAATTCATGTCGATCTTCTTTATCAGGAGACTATTCCATTGACCTCAGGCAATACAGCATGTCTTGTGATTGTTCTCTAGTAAAAGCTATAACAGAACACTTAGCCCTCAACTCTCACTGACCTTACTTAAGGTCAATGACACATGAGTGAGGTGGTTAGCTGAAGCCAAGAATTCAGAAAATGTCTTGCTAAATATAAAGGTATTTTCTCAGAATTAGTGAGCATACAACAGGATCAACATGTGGACAATGGTGTCATTAGCTTTCTTTAGGAGCTAAAGAAGGGATATTTTGTTCTGTGCTTAGTTTCTCTATGAAGACATCGTAGAACCACTGTGTTTTGTTTCAGTGTAAGATATTTCTTATCTATGGTTGTTTTTCTCTTTAGTGAGCTCATAAACTTTTGAGCAATAAATTTTGCTTTTGTGATCCTCTCCTTTGAACTATAAGAGATTTAGTACCACTATTTTGTTAGGGCAGCCCAATAGACTAACATAAGTTTTGGTACTGAAAGGTGGGGTGTGGCTATACTTAAAAATGTGAAAGTGGCTTTGGAACTGAGTCATGGGCAGAGGCTGGAAGTGTTTTAAGGCTCATGCTAGAAAAAGCCATGGTTGCCATGAAGGAACAGTGACGGAAGCATGGATGTGCAGCACTGTTCACTATAGCAAAGACATGGAACCAGCCCAAATGCCCATCAATGATAGATGGGATAAAGAAAACGTGGTACATATACACAACGGAATACTATGCAACCATAAAAAGAAATGAGATCATGTCCTTTGCAGGTACATGGATGAAGCTGGAAGCCATTATCCTCAGCAGACTAGCACAGGAATAGAAAACCAAATACCGCATGTTCTCACTCATAAGTAGGGGCTGAATAATGAGAACACACGGACACAGAGAAGGCAACAACACACACTGGGGCCTTTTGGGAGGTGGGGGAGGTGAGGAGAGGAAGAGTATCAGGACAAATGGCTGATGCATGCAGGGCTTAATACCTAGGCAATGGGGTGGTAGGCGCAGCAAACCAGCATGGCACACATTACCTATGTAAGAAATCTGCACATTCTGCACATGTATCCCAGAACATAAAATAAAATTTTAAAAAATGGCATGTGAAAGGTCATTCTGGTGAGGTCCTAGACAGAAATGAGGTTATAGGAAACAGGAGAAAAGGCAACTCTTGTTACAAAGTGGCAAAGATCTTGGCTAAATTGTGTTCTGCTATGTGGTGAAAGGTAGAACTTACAAATGATAAAATTATATATTTAGCAGATGAGATTTCTAAATAAGCTATTGGAAGTTTGTCTTAGTGCCTCCTTACTGCTTATAGTAAAATGCAAAGGAGAGAGGTGACTTGAAGAGGCAATTGTTAAGCATAAAGGAGCCAGAACTTGGACATTTGGAAAATCCTTAGGCAGCCATAGAGCAAAAAATGGGAAAGTTTGTTCAGAAGAGAACACTGAGAGTGTAGCAAACAGCTATCTGATGGTGAGACTCTTGGCAGCCTGAGCAGACTAATATGGTTATAAACACATTTATGCACCTTATAATTTAACTTCTTATAATCTCTTGGAATCCATGCTCTTCCATTTTCTGAACTGTGATGTTATCATTGCCTCTAGTATTTTTCTTTTTGGAAATATCCCCTTAGTCCTTCAATGGTGATTCAGATATCTCTAGTATGAAGATTGTTGTTAATGACAAGCTATATATTAATCAATAAACTAATTATTCATTCATTGATTCAAGTGTATATTTCATCCTTTTATTGTCAGCCACTGAGATAGACATTTTACCTTCAGTCTTCACAGCAACCCATGAAGGTATTCTGTAGTTGTGAGAAGACACATAGCTATTCAGACATAAAAGACAAGGATCTAATTCATGATCATTGGAAAATGAAAATTTCTCCTCTTTCTACTTATGAAGACAGATGAAGGAAGAAGAAAAGTAAGGCTGACACTTCTATGTTTCAGCCAGTGCTTCTGTCTGCTCTGTGTGAAACTTGTGGATTTTTATTAATGCAAAGCCAGGCCCGAGTGGAATGTCAAATGTTCTGCCTAATAAAATGCAGGGAATGCAGGTTCTTGGAAAGATCTAAAGGGAAATAACTTAGGAGAATGAAAATCTGAGATTTTTTTTTTTTTTTTTTTTTTTTATGGTGGAGAGTTTGGGGAAGGACTCAACTATCACAGTAAGTAGGAGTCTGGAACCTACAAAAAATGTGACAAGTGAGGAATTTTCATAGTAAATGAAGGACTTGCAATGAGAGAGGTGTATACTTTTCAATTTTGAGTTGTTTGTGTTGCTATCATTTTAAACCCTTGAATCACTTCGAACACTGTATGAATGGTTTATCGGGAGACCAAGGAATAAGGACTTTTTCCTTTTGAGAGTTAATACAAAGCAGAAAATGGAGAAAAGGGTTGTCTGTCATCTTGGCTCCATGTGACATTTTCATGAAGACAGGTGATATACTTTATCGGAATCAGGGCATTGGAACCAGAAGTGACCGTTGCATGTGGAAGCTTTGGGACTATAGCAGCTTGTTAAGGCTGAGGTAGCAAAGTACCACAGAATAGGGGATGCAAACAACAGGAATTTATTGTCTCAGAGTTCTGGAGGCTACAGAAGTCCAAGACCAAGGTGTTGGCAGGGTGGGTTCCTTCCAAGGACTGAGAGAGAAAGATTGGTTCCAGGCCTCTTTCCCTGAATTGCAGATGGCTATCTTCTCCGTGTTTTCCATTAACCTCTGCTCTCTATGTGTCTGTGTGCAAATATGCTCTTCTATCAGGACACAAGTCCCATTAGATTAGGGACCCAGCCATAATGACCTCGCTTTAACTTAATTATCTCTTTAAAAAGTTATGTTTTAAAATAAGGTTGCATCTTGAGGTACCAGGGATTAGGATGTCAGCATATAAACTTTGCAGGTACCCAACTCAGCTTATAATAGAGATTTACAAAAATATTGGGATTGCTTTTCCTCTAGGAGATCAGAGAAAAATATTGATCCAATGTCTAGTCACAACAGATAAAGTGGCTTCCACACATATCTTGTTGCACAACCATTTTAAAGATTTACAAAATGACATTTAGTGAAATTAATTATATATGACCTAAGACTCACAGCTTATAACCTAAGACTACACATACACCAAGTTTATACACAAACTAAGACTTAGCTTTGACACAGGATTAGGCAAAGTCTGATGCCCAACTTTGTCTAATCTTGAGGCAAAGCTAGATTCAAACCCAGGTCTCTGATTCCAAAACTCTTGCACTGTCAAATCTATCATTCTTCCTCTAAGTCACATTCAGAAAGAAACATCCAATGTATGCATTTTAATATGTTTAAGCAACATTTACAACCATTATTAGAAGCTAATATATCCTCCAGTTACTTAAAGTTTTTGAATCAAGAACAAATTATAATAAGAAGCAATTTCATCCGGAGTAGTTTCTAGCAATAGTTTTGATCTCATAAAAAGTAAAGAGATTTTACAAAAAAGAAAGGGAGCACTCTGTGAGTAGATACATGTCTTTAATTTTTATTCATTGCTAAAAGTATGACAGCACTTTGAATGTATGGCTTAAGACACATTTTAAAAATTTCAAAGAAGCAATGCTCTTATTATGTTCATTTTCATCTTAGCACTGACATTTATTATTGAAAATTTATAACAAAACTTAGTCATGATAATATGAAGAGAACTGGTGCATTTCCAAATCACATTTATTCTCTCATAGCATTGTAAAGTTCTGTTACCTCAATCACAAATAACAGAAGATCCTGATTTAAGCCATGGATTAAAATTATAATCCATTAAGAGACAAATGAATGTAAATAAAGTAATATCAGGAACTTTATTTTCAGGGAATTTAATTCTTAAACAACAGTTCTTATACCGAGTTACCTGGAATTCTAGTTCTAGTAAACTTTAAGATCTGAAGACTTTAAGAGATTCTGTGTTCATTTATGCTTGGGAAATAAATGAATAGAATTAAAAGGATTTCTTTACTGTAGTACTTATCAGAGGCCAAATTAAGTCACATTTTAAAAGTCTCCAAAAGGGTAATATGATATAGCACATGCTGCAAATAGATACAGTTATAAAACTCATAGAGTGAGGGTCATGCTACAGGGAGAAGATTTTTTTAGAATACTCTTTCAAAAACGATTCCAAACACATCACAAAGTAGTTTCAGAATCAATTCACTTCACGAAGTGTTTATTAAGGGCTCTTTGCATTCAAAATATCAGGCTTGGTGTTTGAAGTTTTAGTTTGAGAATAGGGTAGAAGTATTATGCATACACACGTAAATAAGATGGTGTATTTTTAGAGGTTTACTGGTGTTTGAAGGTGTTTAAAAGTTTGAGAAAAGGGCAGAATAATTATGCATACAAACATAAATAAGATAGCTTATCAATAGAGGTTTATTCCCCAGTGGATTCATTTACTCCTGTACATAACATTATTAAGCAATATTTATGAGCAGTTAAATGTCTTATACCTGCTATACTCATAGTGTAGTACATTGAAAATTATTGTTCACAATGATTGTCTTCAATCAAGGAAGAATCATAATAGAGAGAGAAAACTATTTCCTCTGCAGTTTTAACATTCAATGAACATTATTTTATGCTATTTGTTTTGTTTTGATTAAAGGAATAGAAAAAGCCAGCTAAAATGTTTATTGTTTACTAACCTATAATTGCATGCATTCATAAAAATAATGTGATATGCAAACATTTATTCATAGAAAATATTAAAAGAAATATATATGGAGATTATGATGTGTTAATTCAAATATTTAATAATGTTGAGCACAAATTTTCTACATATTTTGGCAACATCATAGCTTACTGCAGAAAATTCATTTTAGAGTTATCAAATAAAATGCTGATAGGTAATTTGCTCCAAAAAATGTTCTCAGGACAGCCTAATAACAAATTTTGCATAGCATTTAGCTAATGAAGCATTAACTATGTTCCATCGCTTTGCATTATTTTGAAAGTCAGAAGTATTTATGAACATTTATAAGGATGCCTTTTACATCTAGAAATTGATGTAGTAATGTAGTCATTGTAATTAGAGCTGTACTTTAACTTGGTGAAACGAAGAGGAACTAAAATATAGGAAATCAAACCTGAAAGGCACAAAGCAGCCACACAGAGCAAAAAGCAGTGGCCGGTAAACCCTTCAAGCAAGAGCACTCCCTCAAGAAATGAAACCGATGGTTTTTACCTTGACTGAAAAGACTTCAGGAGGCACCATGATACCCCGGCAAAGATCAAGAGTTTGAGATCCAAACAGCTTGGGTTTGTGTCCTTTGTCTACCAACCACTACATTTATGGACTTGGTCCAGTCATTTCATTTGTCTAAGTATAAAGGTCCTCATCTGAAAAATGAGAGCAATGATCTTTACTCTGTAGGGTTGGACAGATAAGCAAGGACTAATGTGTGCTTGGTACTCAGTGCAGAGACCAGTACACTAGACTCTGCACTTGTATGCCTACCATGGTATCTCTAAAAATGACCCAAATCTTGGTTCCGAATTAAAATATTATGCATTTTCCTACAAAAGAGGCAGTTTTTATTGCCAATAAAATAGTTTTAAATATCCCAAAAGAAGGTTGGAGAGAAGCATTTTCCCCCTAAAAGTTAGAATGAGTTTTTACCTCTAAATCAGAATAGAGATTACTTGAACTTACTGGGAAATTGTCTACATATTTCCTACTTTAAATTTCACTTTGTATGTGCTATTTCCTATACATGTGGACATTGTCTTTATATTTTCGTTGTTTGCAGAGGTTATTCATTGTCCTGGCTACCCACTGTCCTGTTTATAGTTAACAGAACTAAAATTTTGTAAAGGGGGAGTAAATCATGTTCTCTACACAAGCAATCCAAAAACTGAATGCCTGGATGTAAAATATGTGTAGTGTAAATATGCTCTATTGGTTAGTGGCAGAAACAGATAAGATCTAGCCAAGATTTTTATTAAGTAGCTTCATTAATTCGTGCATTCCTTGGAGAGCAGTATAGACAGCAAACCAAGAGTCAATTAAAGTCTACTCAAGCCACCTGAAATGATCTGTCAGTCTGGGATCACCTCTTCATTTCTGTGCATTTCTCAGGCCATGTAAGCAGCTTGTGAAAATCTGGTGTGATTGACAACTATGAACTGTCAAAGATATTAATGAGTATACTATCACGCAGCTGCCAACAGACCCTGTGTAAAAGAGAGCTGGAAAACACAGTTTTGCATCTACGAATTAGAGGGCATATTTGGTTTTAAAATTATCTTTGGCTAAAAGCATGTAAAGTATTTTAAACTAGCAAGGCATGAGAGGTGAGTCCGTTCTTCATATCATGCCAATACGTGATATGCAATTTAGCAGTAAACATCCTAGGAAACTCTGCCCTTTATAAACCCACAAAAATTTGAAGTTCACACAGTCAGCTCAGTTTGAAAATATATCTATTATTCAAAAGTTTCAAGCAGAATACAGTTTTTTTCGTATCTACAGATATCAGGGCAAATATGCATTTAGTGCCTGAATTGCTTGAATAAAATACCTACTATTTTCTATTTTTCTGTGAGTACGTAGGCATGGATTTAGAGGGTCATCTCGGACATCACATTTTTACATACCTGCGCACACACGCACACACTATTGTCTGAATCAGTTTTCAGGAATTCTACTGAGAAAACAACCACGGGCATGGAGCCCCTGTAATATATATTTGAATGAAGCTCATAAGAAATAAGGATTTGGGTCTCACTCCTATGGGAGATATAAAGAGAACAGTACACTGACAGCATCCTTGTACTTAGCAGAGTGGATAAAAATGTGCATAAATTTACAACAAAACTATTTTCAGTTTGCACTGTAATATTTTCTCAGATTATTTATTTTTATTGCACTATGTATTAGACTTACAATAGGGTTCTGTGACCAACACGAGGTAATGGACAATGTCTGAGGAAATGGATAATGAGGATGAAGGTAACACACAGGTGCACTCATGCAATTGAACCATTTATTAAGTTTATTACCTTTTTTATTGCATTCACCCATACAAAAGCTACATTGAAATGAGGGAAAAGTTCTAGTGCAGGCCAAAAGCAAAGAAATGCAGTGTTAAGGATGCACTTTTATTTTTGAATTGCCCCATTGGAGAGTGTATATAGACATAAAACACAAATTTTATTTCTCCAAAATGAAAGAGGGGACTGGGAAATTGAATGAAATTACCTACACAAAAGATGAAGTATATTCTTGAATTCTACAAAACTGAGCTACAGCATATGTCATTTAAAAATAAATAATGCGATCTACTTATGCTTGATGTGTGAGATCTATTACAAGGAACCCTATTTTATGTATTTTATTAATTTAAAACAAAATGTCAGGAATAATTTCCTAAATGGCCTCCTGGCCTAAGTCAGGGTTCTGCAATGTACCACAAACGCCAAAATGACAGAAAAGGTGATTTTGAATGGCAGGGCCAGGGTGGCCTTAGGCAAAATATTGAAAAAAGGTGGATATCATTGTCCTCCCTCAAGCAACCCCATTAGCACAACACTTCTCCGTTCACGAAGCTGCCTGACCTCAACCCCAGGCCCTCATCCCAGATTCCAGGCAAGCCTCTGTAAAACTTCAGAAGTTCTTGAACCAGTACAGGTTGAACTGAAGGCTTTTATTAGCAAGAAGTTGCCCACATCACAAATCTTCCTCACCTAAGGGCACCTTCCTGATGCCCATTTCAAATCCTGACCTGAATATTGAACCCTTTACCTAAATCTGAATAAATGAAAACTAAGCATGGTATCTTTAAAAATGAGCCAACTCTTGGTTCAGAATTAAAATATGATGCATTTTCCTAAGGTTCTGTTTCAAGTACTGTGGTCCGAGCATGGCCCAATGGACAAATTGAAAAGTCAGTCCCCTCCTCTGGGAGGAACTATAGAGTGACTTCTACACAGAAGCTGTTCTATGAATTCAGCCTCTTTAAGTTCTGTGATCATCTCTGGGAGAAGTTACATTGAGCTCCTCCTCATGTCAATCTGCAATTGATTTCAGGTACTCAATAACAGTATCATGCTATTTACAACTACTGTGGGTTCTTGATACATTTTTTTCATGTAATTTTTTCAGTTTTTTTCTGTTTTTCCTTTTTCCTGTAACAACCAGTTGCATGTACACATCATTTAGTACATATATAATACACACAAATTCACCTTGACATAATTGTTTTTATATGAGGGACCTTTTCTATGTACTTGTAGCTGATCCCGTGCCTTGGAAAACCAGCTCGTCCATGTCTACAGTTTTACCAATCACCTCTTCTAATTCTTAAAATGCAAGAGGCATCCCTCACACAAATTTTATTCTTTATTTCTAAACATCTATCCTTCTCACATGAATATGAAAGAAAGTTCTCTTTTATTACTTTTTTAACATTTGTCTTTTTTTTCTGTAGAATATTGTTTTTATCGTCTTTACTTTCTTAATTTTGAGTAGACAAAGGGTGAAAAATAACCAACTGTTTGTTACAGACCCTAGCTAGGTGGCTGGCTGAGTTAAACATCCCTGACTTTAAGAATTGAGGTACAAAGTTTGTGATCGGTGAAAAGGGACCAATTTCCATTTCTATATTCATGCATTCTTTAATGTTTCATAGTAAACATAAAATGAAAAGCCTAAAATGTAAGGCTTTTGTGGGTGGTTTCACAGTGGTTTGCTAATGGCAGTTTGAAAACTGGCACTCTTGACAGGTCAGGACAAGTTTATAGGTCTATATGGGATTGTGAAAACAAATTTCATTCCCCTTTAATCAGGACACAGTTGTCAGTTGGGTTCAGTAAGGGTCTGGCCAATCGGGTCACTCACAGTCTCTCAATCATCACAGAATTAGTTGGTTAGGATGGCTGCTGTGAAACCCGGCTTCCTGTTATCTCCTAGGCAGTGCTGCTCACTGATGCTAGAAAGGCATGGTAAGAAAAAAAAATTTAGTGAAAGAGAATTTAATACCAAATTGTTGAACCTAAAATATCTTATAACATTTAAGTTCTTTTCCTGATTTCTGAAAAAAAAAAAAAGCATTGCAAGAGCTTGAAAAATATAAAAAAAATAGAGAAAATGCATCAACTTCACCTGTTATTCTACCTCCATTGATGACTATTGTTATCAGTGCATTGTATATCTTCCAGTTTATATAAATAGAAACATACTAATCTGTTATTTATATTATATTATAAATATTTTTCTTTCATAAAATTGGAAAAATAGTGCATACCGTTTTATCTGGTTTTTTTTTTTTTTTTTTTTTTTTTTTTTTTTTAATGGAGTCTCTCTCTGTCATCCAGGCAGTCTGGGGTGCAATGATGCAATCTCAGTTCACTACAACCTCTGCCTCCCAGATTCAAGCGATTTTCCTGCTTTAGCCTCCTATGTAGCTGGGACTACAGGAGCCTGCCACCACGCCCAGCTAACTTTTGTATTTTTAGTAGAGACAGGGTTTTGCAATGTTGGCCAGGCTGGTCTCAAAACTCCTGACCTCAAGTGATCTGCCTGCCTTGGCCTCCCAAAGTGCTAGGATTACAGGCGTGAGCCATCATGCCCAGCCTTGTTTTATCATCTATTTTAGTTTATCTACATAGTTTAGACATTTCAGAATATGTTTAAATACTCAGCAACAAGACTTTCAATAGCTACACAATATCCCAGATCATGGGTTCATAAACTAAAGCCCATGAGCCTACCCAGCCTGCCACCTGTTTTAGTAAGGCCTATAGAGTAAGAGTGATTCTTAGAGATGAATATTTGCAATTGATCTGATGAGGAGGAACACTACATTTGGACCTTAATTGAAGAAAATGCTATCCCACAAAAAACAAACAAACAAACAAACAACAACAACAACAAAAACACTCCATTCTTTTCATTGGTAGACCTGTGATATTAACAGTAAGAATTCCAAAGGCATTCCCAGTTTTGGGTTATTCCATCAAACACTGTTGTAGGTACTACCAGCAAGGAACTTTGCACATAGAATTAAAGATACTAAGCTGACCTTAGGACAGGGACATTACCACTGGGTTATTCAAGTGGTGCAGATGTCATCATGAGAGCTTTTCAAAGCAGAGGGGTCATTTATACACAGTCACGGAAGAGGAGATGGGAAATGAGCAGAAGGGGAGGAAAGAGAGATTTGAAAGCACGAGAGGGACTCAGCTTCCATTGCTGACTTTAAGGATGGAGGAAGAGGCTTGTGAGTCTCTAAAAGCTAAAATGACCCCAGGCTGGCCTGCAGCTGGCAGGAGAATGGGGACTTCAGTCCTACAATCGCAATGAAGTAAATCCTGTCAAAAACCATGATGACATGAAAGCAAATTCCCCACTAGAGGTTCAGGAAGAGAACACAGCCATGCTGACCCCTTGAGGTCTTGATGTCTGCCTTGTAAAACCTAGTGCAAAGAAACAGCTGAGAAACATGGTACCCTCTGGACCTACATGATGGTAAAAAATTAAACAGGTATTGTGGTAAGGCATTAATTCAAGGTAACTTCTTACAGCAGCAATAGAAAACTAATACAAAACCCATACTATTTCAAAAAATGCTTGATTATTATTATATTTTCAATTTTATTAAATATATGTGCAAAATTGCTTTCTGTTTTGTTATATAATAGAATTGTCTACAGAACTAATTATAGTTTCCTCTTGGCACACAAAGCCTAAACAATTTGTGATTTGTTATCTGGTTCTTTATAGAAAAAGTTTGCCAACTCCTGCTCTAGGCTATATTTTTACAACAATATATGTAATGGTTCTGTTATTCCTAAAACATTGATTTCCCAGTCTTCCATGTCTCATTCTAGCTTGTTGCACTTGGATTTCTCCTATGACAGAAACATAGAAATTCCCGTGAAGCCAAACTCAGGTGATGTTTCAGGGACACACTGACTCATAAAAATAATCTACCATTGTGGGGCCATTGTTGCTGTTTTTGTGAAACACGTAGGCTTATCAAGATTACCAAGATAAGGCATATTATCAGGTTAACTAGTATTAACTTCAAAGTTGAGATGATCTATGGATAACTGGTTGGGTTAACACCAATGACAGCTTTCCTAGTTACATAGTCTCAGATCAGCGCTTCAGTCAGACATTGTGGACGCTTTAAGGTGTCTAAGAGTAATCATATAACTTTGGGGAAAATGTGTCTTAGATAGGAATTTATTCTGCTTTTTAAAACAATAGAACAATTCATATGACATATAGCTGAGTATTTTAATTAATATAGATTTGAGACAGTAAAAGCAGTTGAATCAAAATCAAAGATGAGTAACTAAAAATACAAAAGAAACAGCAAGTAAAGGAAAAACTCAAGAAATATTAAATTTTAAATATGTTTAGCCAATTAGAAAAATATCAGTTACACATGCAAGTTGAAAAATCTAATTTTTAGAATTATGTATTTATAATTTTTCAAGTATAATATCATATGATTGTATGTTTGTTCTTGCTAGCAAAGAAACATAACATGACTTTTGGAAACTTTTAATTAATTTGCTAAGTTAACAAATAGGCAAACACATACATTGTCAGAGGAAATAACGAAGGTTTTCGGTGCAGAAATGCAGCTGGTGGTGTACTCATGCACTTAGACATGTAATATAGCATAAAAAATTCACTATTTGTAAAACAGTGTTGCAGTATATATCAATAACCACAAAAATATCCATAATAACAATGACTCAGTTATATCATATTTAAGAAATATTCATACATTATTTTGTAGAAATCAGTCAAAAAGAAAAGTTAGAGAATAGTCGGTAAATGTGATATCAAGCAATATCTTTGACTGAAGATAGCCATATATCTAGGCTGAAGGATGAAGTGTTCCTCATACAAATTTTGGCTAAATAACAAATTTTGTGTTGAAATTATACTGGTTCAGATATGAAATCATCTTAATCAAACATTCTTTAGATCCAACAATGAATCTAAAATCTTATCAAGAAAATTTAATAGTAACACAATTTTATTATTATAACTTCACTTCTAAAATGTTTAGAAACTTCTTGAATAATCAACACCGTTGGCCATTAATTTCTTCTTGAATTCAATATATTAAATTTTTTTCATTAATGTTGATATTCGCTTTTAGTCAAGGTCAATGGTAAAGGAAAATTAGGGCTGGTTGGGTGAGCTGATACTTTTTCTACAGATTTTTTAATACACAGACTAAAGATAATTTATTATGGATTTTATTATTTTATTTTGCAGTTTTTCATTGTTATAAATTTTCAGATATCAAATACAGTTTATTGACTAACCCACAACGTGAAAATTACACAAAAGTTGTTTTTTCATGACTCGTACGCTAAGTGGAATTTAATAAATAAAAATTCAATGCGGTTCTTAAAATTTTTCAATGTAATATTATAAATGTTACTACCCCAAATAATTTTACAATAATAAAAATTATGATAGAAACTAAGGTCTATCAAACTACTTTGTATTGTAATTTAATTTTTTTGCAAACACCTCTTGCCTCAAAAATTCCTAAACTTATCTTTCTAACATATCTTCGCAACTTTCATATTACCTGCCAATCTTTACCTATTTATTTAATTAGTTGAAATCCTTAAAATTTGTTTGTGTGTATAAAATTAACAGCTTTCACAATAAGCACTAATTGCTGCAACATTTTAAACTTGCAAAAATAATTACACATTTAAACTGCTAAGCTGAAAGTCTTTCAACTTATAAAGCCCATTAGGAGGTATTCACTCCAAGCCAGTAGAACCTTTACCTCTATTGATGTAACTGTGTTGCTATTAACACTAAATCTAGTGGGATACCTTAGTCTTACTACGGACATTGAGAGCCTCACTGGATATGATGGTGCCAGAGAGGACAAAGCAGCAGGTATTTGGCAACTGGAATTTCCCAGGCTGAGGCTAAGGAGAGGCTAGCCAGCAGCCAGCAGATGAAGGCAGATGTTGAAATCTCTAGCACTCTCAGGGCACCAGAAACCACAGCTGCCTATTTTAAATAAAAATAAGGTTACTCACAGCACTTACAGAAGACATGTGACCAGTCTTGGGAAATGATCATAACCAAGTTAACTCCGAAGTCGAGGTAAGAACAATCCCAATGACTGTCGTGGAGCAGGAAAGGTCCTTTCCCATGTGACACCAAATCCTCAATGAATTATGCATATCTCACTGTCATTCCTGACTTTGCATAACTAGCTTAAAGTCCAAAGCCCAAAGACATAGTGATTAATAAGGTCTCAGAGTTGAAAGAACAAGGCTCTTACACTTGGTCCTTTCAACTCCTAGAATCTTCTAGAAATTGTCCTAGAATACTTCCTATAGTGACCGAAAGGAAATTTCCCACAGGGATATTGGGAAACTGTTAATAACTATTAGATTATTCTATGATCCATTTGTTTTGTTGTTCTATCTAACCTGCTGCAGATAGGGCAATCAATAAAAAGACCGAATTTCTGCCATGATTGAATTAACATTGGAGTGGAAGATAAAATCAATAAACTTAGATCGGCATTATAATATCCCATATAGATAAATGATAGGAAGAATAATGAAGCACAATATGGAGATTGAAAATATGGGATGCAAAGTCAGTTTAGACAAAGTGGTCCTGAAGTTCTCACTGTTATGGCGAACCAGGAGCAGAGACCTCGGTGAGGGGAGAAGTTCAGCCGCTAGATGGCTGGAGGAAGAGCATGCTGGGCACAGGAAATGGCAGGTGCAGAGGCAGGGTGCTTGATGCGGTTGAAGAATAACAAGGAGCCTCTGTGACTGAGGCACAATAAGCAAAAGGGAAGTGCATTGGAGGTAGAGTCAGAACCCACATCACTTAGGGGCTGGGGCCAGGGAGAGAACGTTGAGTTTTCTTCTAAAAGCAGCAGGAAACAATTGTAAGTTTTTCAGTTAGAAAAGATATGATCTTACTTTCCCAGGAATTGCATGTGGTAAGGCATTATGCTTCCAACTATAACTTCCCATGGAACAACTTCAGAGACAACACGAATGTCAAAAAGCAGAAATAGTCATGCAAATTTGTGGCAGAGAAGCATAAGTAGAAATTACATGGCAATTATAGGAGAATTAAAGGACATGGAATTATATAGAAAACTGTGTAATATTAAGTGAAAAGATGATCAAATGGTAAGTAAAATATATATGTATTAGGATAAGGTACAAAATTAGGGTAGTTATGTTAAAAATACTATGATTATATGTGATTAAAATTATTTAACTGTGTTTGTTGCTTTTTCAATGTTGTTGATGCTTATAATCTTTGCTAACTCAAATTCTCCCAACCAGTATGTATGGTGCACACAGATGTACTGAGAAGACCTAAGGGCAAGCTGCCCTATTTCCAATCTCTTCACCTCCCATTTTCATAGATTGTCCCATTGCCAGCCAAACTCACTTCTTCTGTTTAACTGTTCTTACTAAGTATATCCCTACTTCTAGCCTGCCAAATAGAAAGTATCCTTGGGCTTCTTGTCTTCATTATATGATCAACTAACTCCAACTCATCTTTCTGCAACATATTTTTTGTAATCCTTACAGTAACTTTTGGCATGGTAAATGGGACCTTCACTGTACTAAAACAATTTAGAAGTATCCCACAGAAATTAGAAACAATGTTTGGTGTGCATAGTTTATCAATACACATCTATAATTTTATAAGCTAATCTGATTAGTTGTGAATGCAGTGGTTATATTTAAAATAAAATTTTAATTGGACGAGTAGCCTCATCTGAGCTCTATGGATATTTCAGCGGAAGTCAGAAATGGAAATTGACCTAAATTGGCATGGTACCTTAGGTTATGGTGATCTTCAGTAAAATAATTAACTAGCTTAGTGTTTATGGGCCAATAAGCATTATGTTGATGTCATCATATGCCTTCAGAAAAGCAGAGATGAGCAAGTTGTCATTATTGTCAGACCTCCTGAGGGGAATCCTACCTTTGTAATGCATTGCCTTTGTGACTATAGGCAAGTTACCTAACCACTCTCAGAGTTAGTTTCCTTGCCTGAAAAATATAGATAGTAATGTTCTTTAGCTCATAAAGTACGAAGATAAACATATACTACATGAAATATAATTAGCTTATCTCCTAATTCAGAAAGGAATTTTTGTTTGTTTAATACCACTATCATCACAACCATAACTACAAACAAAGCCACCAACATCACACAACCAACTTTTCAACCCCCGTCCCCTCCCTTCTCAATGAAGTTTAATATATGGTTTATAAGTGTAAGCCCTAAGTCCCACTGGGTTCAAATCCCAGCTCTGCCATTCACCAACTATCAATTTATTTGTCTTTTCTTTCATTTAGTCACCTATTAAATAGAAAATAATGCCTACATTATAGCATCACTGGTAAGATTCAAAAGGTTGATATAATGTGCTTAGAACAGTGTCTTAAACAAAATACGAAAATGTTAGCTTTTACTCACTCTAATAAATTCCTTCTTTGCACAGGTAAAATTTCAGATTTTGCATTTCTACATGTGTCTGTTTTTTATAAACTTTATGTGTCATTATCATTGCATATTTTCTGCAATTTAATGTGGTTACTAATAATCTGAAACTTTCTAAAGAAAAATTAAGAAGAGTAAAAAAAAAAAAGTTATCATTCTTTCCCTAAAATGTAAAGAAAATAGCAGCACCTGAAGTTGTTTTAAGCTCTTTGACTTAAGAAAAAACGAGAAACTGGTAACATAATGTTATTGGGAAAAATTGCTAAAAATGTCAAATGCTATGGACATTTTTCTACTTACAGGAAACTGTATAAGTTATATTGGGGGAAAGTGAGTTCCACTCTTAAGGATTTTTGACAACTAAGCTGTAAATAATATTTTACATACTGGGTTCTCTATGGACTGTCTAGATAAATGTCTGGCCTACTGTCATCTATGGGACTTTCCTGTCCATCTCGACTTTTTCAGGTATAAACCATACCTTAGAAAAGGCTGTGCACAGCAACCCTTGGGAATGGTGCAGACCTGTGAATTTACTGGTGGCGGTGAGGGAACAGTTGTCTGCATGTCTGCCGACCAGAAGACTGTTGATTTAACTACAGCACACAGCAGACCCAACTTTTTAAAGCTATGAAAGATGGGGATTTTTCACACTCTTTTTTTTTTTTATAACCTGCCACCTTAACCTGCCTAAATAAATCATTTGAAGTTCTAATATAATTAGTTTTACCATCACTATGGTCTTCTGACTGATCATTTCTTTAACTAATGTAAGCCTGTAGTAAGAAAAATAGTTAAGTATCTCTAGCTCACTTTAGAAATTTGTAAAGCCTCATCGCTTCTGTAACAAATTCCTGAGCATAGAGCCATGAAAAATTGATATATTCACAGGAAAAATAAGAAAATTAATGGTAAACATGTGTTGCCAAATGCATTTAAATTCTAATTTGGCTAAGTCATTGGCTACATTTAACAGGAAAATTTGATGTACCTCACTCTTGACAACCATCAGTAAATTTATTCAAAATTTAAAGCAAGATTTGGGGCAAATTTTGTCAGGATCAAAACCATTTGACCACCCACAAGTATAAGAGACAGATGAAAATATTATTTAAACAACTGTATCCAAATAGAGTTACTGATGGACAA
This sequence comes from Homo sapiens, assembly GCF_000001405.40. NCBI lineage: Eukaryota > Metazoa > Chordata > Mammalia > Primates > Hominidae > Homo > Homo sapiens. The sequence continues at coordinate 104,813,325 of NC_000013.11, forward strand.
GGAATGAAAAAAGATATGTCTCATACTGACTCCCAACACGTCTATACCAGAATTCCTCTCTGATAATTTAAATAATATCTCAAATAGATTCCACAACTTATCTAGTTACTCTGAACTATTAAAACTCATTCTAATGTCTGGGCATTAAGAATCCTGTTTGGTCTAATGTAGAACTGTCAATCATACATCCACTTCAAAAGTCAGCGATTTATGATTTACATCTCTGTACCTGCCATTTCCCGTACACAGCATGCTCTTCCTCCAGCCACCTCATGGCTGAATTTCTCCCCTCTCTGAGGTATCTGCTCCTGGTTTGCCACAACAGTGAGATCTTCAGGACAACCTTGTCTAAACTGACTTTGCATCCCACGTTTTTATCTCCATATTCTGTTTCATTGTTCTTCCTATCATTTATCTACATGGGATCTTATAATGTAGATCTAGTTTATTGATTTTATCTTCCACTCTGATGTTAATTCCATCATGGCAGAAATTCGGTCTTTTCATTCATTGCCCTATCTGCAGCAGGTTAGATAGAACAACAACAAAATGAATGGATCATAAATAGATACGGTTTATGATCTAAATAATATCTCAAATAGATTCCATAACTTTTCTAGTTACTCAGAACAATTAACACTCATTCTAATGTGCAGGCATTCAGAATCCTGTTTGTTCTAATGTAGAATCGTTGGTCAAACCTCGACACATCTACTTCTCAGGTTCTGTTCTGACTCATGACAGGCTTTGGAGAAGAAGAGGAGGTGCTGGCTTTCTCCATGTTTCTTGTTGCAGCCTGCCTTGACTTATCTGCTATTGTCAGATGCCAGCATTGGGGCAGGCATGGGGGGGCAGACAAACGAAATCAGATGGGAGCTACAGTCATTATGAGACAGATACCCCAATTACGGCCTTAAGCTGGAATTAAATACCAGTACGATGATCTTTCAAGAAAAAAAAGCAAACATAAAAAAATGAAGACGCTCTTTTCCAACTGGAATCGTGGAGGGTGTTGAAAAGAAGAGGAAGTTGCCTGCTGTACCAGAAACCCTTTAGAGAAAGTAAAGGAATTTTGCAGAGCTGAAGATAAGTGCCTGAGAAAGAAGTTTGCCCATAAGATGCTTCAAAAGGCAAGGAGGAAGCTCATCTATGAAAAAGTGAAACACTGTCACAAGGAATATAGGCAGATGTACAGAACTGAAATTCAAATGGCGACGATGGCAAGAAAAGCTGGCAACTTCTTCGTACATCCAAAACCCAAATTGGCGTTTGTCATCAGGATCAGTGCTATCAGTGGTGTGAGCCCCAAGGTCTGAAAGGTGTTGCAGCTTCTTTGCCTTTGTCAGGTCTTCAGTGGAACCTTTGTGAAGCTCAACAAGGCTTTAATGAACATACTGAGAATTGTAGAAACGTATATTGCATGTAGGTACCCAAATCTGAAGTCAATAAAGGAACTAATCTAGAAGCATGGTTATGGCAAAATCAATGAGAAGCGAATTGCACTGACAGATAACACTTAGATTGCTCGATCTCTTGGTAAATATGGCATCATCTGCATGGAGGATCTGATTCATGAGATCTATACTGTTGGAAAACGCTTCAAAGAAGCAAATAACTTCCTGTGACCTTTCAGATTATCTTCCTCACTAGGCAGAATGAAGAAAAAGATCACCCATTTCATAGAAGGTGGAACTGCTGGCAACAGGGAGGAGCAGATCAACAGGCTTCTTAGGAGACTGAATTAAGTGTCTACCATGATTATTTTTCTAAGCTGGCCAGTTAATAAACAGCACCTGCTCTCAAATTGAAATTAAAAAAAGACAAAAAGAAGGAAAGAATAAACTAGCAAATATGTATATGTATACACATAAGAACAGAACCCAAAGATAACCAACATTATCCAATAAAGAATTTCTAAAATAGAAGGAATACTGAATGATAAGAATCGCAAAATAATGTCATATAATGTAAACAAATATTTAATGTTTAAAACATTCTTGTTTTATCATTAGACAGAAATCTTGATATTAAATACCAAGGGGAAAAGGAAGAATAGATACATGTTAAAACACTCTATGGTTTTACCTCTGGTGTAATGCAAAAGTATTGATTTGATTTTGACATAATTACTTTTAATATGAGTGTTAAAAGTTTCTGTTGTAACCACTAAAATAATAGAAAGATTGTCCAATTCTCATATTAGAGGAGAAAAAACAAGTCAATTCCCAGCTTGGGCCTCTGTCTGTGTGGAGTTTGCACATTCTCTTTGTGTCTGCATAGGTCCTCTCTGACTTCCTTTCCCTTCCCAAACATGTGCATGTTAGGTGAATTGACATGTCTACATGGTCCCAGTCTGAATGAGTGATGACGTGTGTGTGAGTGTGCCCTGGGAGGGAATGGCATCCTATCCAAGGCTGTTTCCCAGCTTCTGCCCTAAGCTGCAGGGACGAAGCTCTGACCCCTCGCCACTATGAATTGGAATAACCAGGTTGGAAAATGAGTGAAGGAATAAATACAGATTATTGTACAATAAAAATATATATTGCTATTGATTTGACTGCATTTTATTGACTTTCTGTATTTCCTTTGATTCAAAATGTAAATTTAAAAAATACATTTCATGCAATTGAAAAGAAAAACACTTGGTGGAAGTGTGCAAGATTCTCTATCAGGGTCATTTTCAGTGACATAAGTAAAATGACTTGAGGTCACTATCCTGAAATGACAAGAGTAGATGTCTCTGATTTAAGCACAGAAAGAAACAGATGCTGCAACATTTTATGTTTGTCTTGCACAGGCTTCAGTCCACATGCTCCTTTAAAGGCTGGGTGCAGTGGTTCACGCCTGTAATCCCAGCACTTTGGGAGGCTGAGACGTGTGGATCACGAGGTCAGGAGATCAAGACCATCCTGGCTAACACGGTGAAACCCCATCTCTACTAAAAAAAAAAAAAAAAAAAAAAAGAATAGCCAGGCATGGTGGCGGGTGTCTGTAGTCCCAGCTACTCAGGAGGCTGAGGCAGGAGAATGGTGTGAACCCAGGAGTTGGAGCTTGCAGTGAGCAGAGATCATGCCATGCACTCCAGCCTGGGCAACAGAGCAAGACTCTGTCTCAAAAAAAAAAAAAAAAAAAAATCCAATGACAAAATCATTTTTTTTCTGCCAAAGTGTTCACAAAACTGCAATCTGGTTTTAAGGTTTCCAAATTGTACCAAAGATAATTTAAAGCATTACGATGCATAAAAACCTTCTAATTAAGAAAACCCTGGGTGCTAGGTCATTTACTTTCACTAATTGAACATGTTCATTATATTAAATTCCATTTGCAATTTATCGATGTAAGTAGTATGACAAGTATTCATAGGAAACCCTTGTACTGTATCTCAGTATTGTTGAGGGGATTGTTTTATTTCATTTTTCTTTTATTTGGGTACAAATATTGCTCATTAATTTCACATAAATAGCTTATGTCATTTCTTTTAGTTGGTTTAAGACACTGACTCTTGGTGTAACACTAGTCCTGTTTCTATTGCTACCAAAAACAAATGACTAATAGCCAGGGTTTTGTTCCTCTTGTCCTTCTGCCAAATTCTTGACATAATTTGGCTAAATGTAATTTTCTCTGACACCTGTTCTAGTCGCCTTCTCATTTTTTCCATTTACATCTGATTTCCTCGTCACCCTCCCTCTCCTTTTCACTCATTCCTCAATTGATTTGGTTCCCTAGCACAGTCAAGAATGCGTTATACTTGTTTTTAAAAATCCCCTAAAATTATTTATCTGTAGATTTTGATGTACGTTCCAGAAGGTTGAATGCCCGAGTCATATACATGTAGTCCAATAGAATTAACAGCTGTAAAACCTATTAGAGTTAGTACCTTATCTATTTCTTGGCATTGGCAAAGTAGTAGTTGGTCAGGAATAATCTGATTTGATAGAAGTCAAAAGTGTGGAAAGAGAACCAAACACAGGCTAATTGCTGGGGAGAGTGCATCCAGTATGAAGAGCCATGGAAACCAGAGTCAAGACTCGGGTTCTGACTACTGCCTAGGCAATCAGCGCAGCATGCACAGCAGGGGAAGGGTGGACACCTGTGCAGAAGTTTGCTGATGCATTGGACCACAATGGCTATGGCGATGCCAACATGTCCCTTCTATCAGCCACGTAGTGTGGTCACTAAGCTGTGATTGTAGAAACTGCTCACAGCTGGATGTTGCCCAAATACTCATTTTCCATAATGTAAACAATTTATTTAAAACTACTATAATTCATGAGACTCATAAACATATATACTCTTACTCCTTTACAGCCCAGAAAAATACAAACACACATTCATACAGCTTCTGGTTGAAATTGAGACACATCTATACATATATGTGTTTTAATTTCCCCATATATATATATATATATATATATATATATATATATACACACACACACACATATGGGGGAAATCAAGCAAATTTATACTACCAATATAACAACAGCAAAAAGAAACATTAACCTTTGAGTAAGTTGTAGTGAAGCCTGTGCATGTTCCTTTTCCACAACAAGACATACTTTAGCAAAAATCTGGATCCTGCATTAGAGTTGGTCTTGGCATAGAAGTATACATTTTGTAATCCCACTTTAAGCCTTGGGTGTTCTGTATCCCTAATTGAGGGAAGGAACTTTAGCATATTTTTTAACTTAGTCCAGTTGAATGTGTTTGCTGCTACTCAACCATTAGTCTGCTAAGTCTTCAATTTCAGACAGGAATTTTATTAATGGCTCCTTATTAACACCTCTGACAACTTCATAAATAAAAATTATAACCTGAAAAAAATTCAACTTTAGACCATAAGAAATAACTAGCTATTGGAAATGGAAAACAAGTTTCACTGTTTTAACTAACAGAAGCTTCTCAGTACACAGGAATAGCATGCCTCAAATCTAAGACAAATTTTGAAATGAGCATTTATTCTTTATCTGAATGGTATTTTCCTTAAGTGTCATTTTTCAGTAGCCCAAACAGAAATAGCTCATTCTCTGAACTGTTTATCTATAAAGTTTTCCATATTTGTGTCTGTAAAATTAACTCGGTTTTTCTTATAACAATGAAAACACGGTCTAATTTACCATGCCAAAAGTTACTGTAAAGATTACAAAAAAACATGTTGCAGAAAGATGACTTAGGGTTAGTTTATCATGTAATGAAGATAAGAAGACCAAGGACAGTTTCTATTTGGCAGGCTGTAAGTAGAGACATATTTAGCAAAAACAGTTAAACAGAAGAAGTAAGTTAGAACCAGGAAGGTAAGTTCTATACCTCTAAAAGCTTTTTATCCAGATGAGTTAGATGCATTTAATAATTATATTTCTGAAAAACAGTTACAACATTTATTAAGATACATTAGGTTGGTTATTATTTTGTATCCTTGTCTGAGACTTCCCATTTTAATAAATATTAAGATGGTGTGTCTCTATAAATTTAGAAAAATCATAATTATAATAATAAATGCATTCTAGGTGAGCAATGTGCCCTCCTTTCTCATACAGTATGGGTCTGGATACAAAGTCCTTTGCAACAACCTGGCTGGGAATCGACGAAAACGGCCATAGGGCAGAGGAGTAAGATGAGCGTACCAGCCTCTCCAGGATGCCTGTAGCCCATCTTCCTTCTCTCCCAAGAAAACAGCTCCACGTCCTATTGCTAAGCTGTAGCATATGCACGCTGGGGCCCAGGGATTCTCAGAATCGCAGAAGATACAAAAATTTAACCTCCTAATTTAGGTTAGGAATGAGGAATGAAGGACATTTTACTTATCTTACTTCTCAGGAGAAGATAATGAAAAATCATCTCTACATTCTGAACTTTTTAAAATTTATTTTACTGCCCCATGAAATTATCAGAGGACGTTACATTCTTTGCGAGCTTTTCCAATTCATATCACGTTTTCTTTCCTATTTTTCTGTCATTTATGAGAACAAGTATGGTGTCAGCACACTCATGCATGCATGCATTCTTGGATTTATTCAATTATTTATTCAGAATAATTTAGTTGTCACCACTGTGCCCCAAGCCGAGTGATTGATCTTAGAAATCAGTGGTGAAAAATGTCCCTTTTCCACTCAATTGATAGAACAAGAAAGATAATTATATAACTAACTAGATGATAATAGACATGAGAGTGAAGCATCCTAGGAACAGAGAGATGATGGCAATTAAATCAGCCTGACAGTGGGCTTCTTGAGACTTGCTATTGCTTCCAGTAAGGTTTGGTTTCATCAGAGTGAACAGGCAACCTACAGAATGGGAGAAAATTTTTGCAATCTACCCATCTGACAAGGGGCTAATATCCAGAATCTACAAAGAACTTAAACAAATTTACAAGAAAAAAACAAACAACTCCATCAAAAAGTGGGCAAAGGACATGAACAGACACTTCTCAAAAGAAGACATTTATGCAGCCAAAAAACACATGAAAAAATGCTCACCATCACTGGCCATCAGAGAAATGCAAACCAAAACCACAATGAGATACCATCTCACACCAGTTAGAATGGCAATCATTAAAAAGTCAGGAAACAACAGGTGCTGGAGAGGATGTGGAGAAATAGGAACACTTTTACACTGTTGGTGGGACTGTAAACTAGTTCAACCATTGTGGAAGTCAGTGTGGCAATTCCTCAGGGATCTAGAACTAGAAATACCATTTGAGCCAGCCATCCCATTACTGGGTATATAGCCAAAGGACTATAAATCATGCTGCTATAAAGACACATGCACACGTATGTTTATTGCGGCTCTATTCACAATAGCAAAGACTTGGAACCAACCCAAATGTCCATCAATGATAGGCTGGATTAAGACAATGTGGCACATATACACCATGGAATACTACGTAGCCATAAAAAATGATGAGTTCATGTCCTTTGCAGGGACATGGATGAAACTGGAAACCATCATTCTCAGCAAACTATCACAAGGACAGAAAATGAAACACTGCATGTTCTCACTCATAGGTGGGAATTGAACAATGAGAACACTTGGACACAGGGCGGGGAACATGACACACTGGGGCCTGTCGGGGGGTGGGGGGCTGGGGGAGGGATAGCATTAGGAGAAATACCTAATATAAATGTCGAGTTGATGGGTGCAGCAAACCAACATGGCACATGTATACCTATGTAACAAACCTGCACGTTGTGCACATGTACCCTAGAACTTAAAGTATAATAATAATAAACAAAGAATATGAATGGAAAACTATTAAACCCATTTATGCCTAGTTTCCATTATTGGAACACTAAGTTTGTGGGAGTTATTTATGTCCTACTGCTCAAGGTCATCGTCAAAATTGCATACATACATACAAAAATTGCAAACTCTGGCATAAATGGGTTAATCAAGGAAAGGAGTTGCAGCAAGCTAAACTGTGAAAATACTTAAATTGGTTACAAAGAGAGAAGCAAGAAAGAAGCAGAAACTTCTTCTTGCTTTATGTGAGTAAAGAAAACATAAATATAAGATACATAGTAAGGAGTTATAAAATGAACTAATACAGGAAGAAGCAGATGCAAGAGCAAGACTGAATACTCCAATCTCCGCAGGATTGATCTGCGTCCTGTTCCAGTTGCTGTGAAGTTTGTCTGAATAATTTGTGAGAACTGTAATCCTACAAGATCTGTTTTCCTATTCCAAAAGAATGCATTCTATACACTAGGTTTACTTGAATAAGATCCTTGTTAATAAGAGAGTTCACATAAAATGTTAGTCTTATCTGAAAACATTTCTCTTCTTGTACTTCAGGCTCTGTTGTTTAATGTGCCCCCTAATGCATATCAAAGAGCACCAATGTAATTGGAAATACTAAGCATACAAAACAAGCAACGCCTGGTAGGCACCATTATTTCCTTTGGGAGTGCTCAATGGAGATGATGATACCCAGTAAACAGGGACAGATTCAGAGGAAACAAAAATGCCCACTGTATTAGTCCGTTCTCACACTGCTATAAAGACATACATGAGACTGGGTCATTTATAAAGGAAAGAAGTTTATTTGATTCACAGTTCCACATGACTAGGGAGGCCTCAGGAAACTTACAATCATGACAGAAGGCCAGAAAGAAGCAAAGAACGTCTTACATGGTGGCAGGGGAGAGAGAGTGAAGGAGCAAAGGGAGAAAAGCCCATTATAAAACCATCAGATCACTATCCCGAGAACAGCACAGGGGAAACGGCCTCCATGATTCAATCACCTCCCACCAGGTCCCGCCCTCGACATGTGGGGATTATGGGGATTAGAGTTTGAGATGAGATTTAGGTGGGGACACAGAGCCAAGCCATATCACCCATGAATGGTAACTGGCCAGAAATATAAGTGCATTTCAACTATCTTGGGACATCAAAAACTAATTTGGGGAATTGAAAGAAAGCTTAAATATACCTATAAATCATTGAATTCCATGGCTCTTAAAGCACTAATTCTTTTAGTTAATAAATAAATATTGTTATTGTGAATATGGAACCTTCTTTTTGTGTGACTTTAGTAAAAAAAATCCTGAACTAGAATTTGATTGGTACAGTTCATCTTTTGAGTCAAACCCTATGACAAAGACTTGATTGAGATGTCTGCCTTTGATTTAATAAGCTGTTTCAGGGTGGAGGTTGGGATACTCATCCAGAACATGTATGTTTAATGCAGTCAAAAACAAAAAATGGGAATTATCCAAGGCTGCCTTAGAACATCATATAGACAGGTAAGGAGAAACCCACCCACTGTTAATTACTGAGTTTGATCAGTGCAATATTAGGGTTAGACAATGTTGCAATGGGACAAAAAGAAGGCTTTTTGGAAAACATAGCTCAGTAGGGATCTGGGCTGGGGATACAGATCGTGGATTCCTTCAGCTTATGAACAGCAAGTGAAAACATAATATTATTTGTAATCATTGAGGAAGACTCTAAATTGAAAAGAAGAAATGGACTAGAGGAAAAAACACGAGAACCACCATTCTACTGTCTTTTTTATGTGAAAATTGAAAATTCATCCAGAACAACAAACTCTATTAGTTCCACTGGGGGAAAGAGAAAGAAACATGATGAAAATTGTCATTTAAAACAGAGAAAGAGGGAAGGCACATGAACAAGTGGTCACAGAGCAAAGAGAAAAGCCAGAAAGGGACCAGAAAAAAGAAATTCCTTAAAGAAAAAGCCAAAAGTATCAAAAGCCCGACAAGACAAATTTGATTATTTGAAAAAGATGTTGACAATGGCTTCATAAAAGTTGTGTTAATTTTTTTAAAGAAGATTTAATGAGAATGGTGCAATGAGAATCCTGAAAAGGTAATAATTTGAGTAGTACATGGAAGGCATGTGAATATATTGTTAGTGTAGACAACACTTTGGAAATATTTGGTTGTAAAGAGTTAGAAAGAAGTTAGAAAGGTTGAGGGAGATCTAGGGTCCTAATAGAGATTTTTTTGTGAGTGATTTTTGTTTTGGTTTGAAAATGGAAAAATGTGATTATAAAAAATGTGTAAGGTATGATTATATTAGAAAGAATTATTTCAAGAGAGAGGGGCTAGGTATAAAAAGAGATAAATTATAGAGAAAGAACTACCAAGAAGGTAAGAAAACATAAGACCTGGAACACAGGGAGCTGGTCTTAGGTGGGAGGAGGTGCACATTTTCTATTCCTCTCATTACAGGAAAGAAGTATCATAAGAATATAGGTATAGCTGACTATTTTAATAAAAAGAATACGAGGAAATTTTTTTTCTTTGGTGAAACTGATATATTTCCCAAAGATGGCCATGATAATGTATCCCATAGCATATGCTGTTCTTTGAAAGAGTTGTTGACTTTTCTCTATTGAGACACAGGGTCCTGTTCCTTTTCCTTGAACTACATGGACTTGTGAGAACAGCAGAAGTGATACTGTGATGTAAGAGGCTAGGTCATAAAAAGCAACACAACAGCTGTCTCCCTCTCCCTTTCTCTCTCTCTCTCTCTCTCTCAACACGTGCACATTTGGAGACCTAAGCTTCTGTGTAAAATTACAGCATAATTGAAGCTCAGTGTCCATGGCAGGTACTGGAAAGAGAGAGATTTCCAAGGAGCCACGATCCAGCTCTCAGATATTCAAGTCTTTTCAGACCAGGCACCAGATAGGTAAGCAAACCTTCAGATAATTCTGTTCATTGGCCTTCAATCCACATCACCTTACACAGAGTGGAGTAAAAATGAGCTGTCACCATCAAATCTTTGCCCTAACTACATATTCATGAGCAAAATAAATATTGTTATTCTAAGCCACGAAGTTTTGGGGGTGGTTTATCATGCAGCCTTACTTACTGTAACATTTGGTGAGAAGGAGGTAAAATGATCCTTGATAGGATAAGAGATCATTCTCATTGATTTCTCTGGGAAGCAGATGCTGAGACGGAAGCCAGCACTAAAAGTTCACTGTGGTGTAACACCTGGAAAAGAAAAAGAAAGGGAGAAAGATTGGAAAGGACAGTCAGCAAGACAACAGCAGGTGTGCAGACATAACAAAGTATGATAGACCAGGAGGGAGCTCTGATTCAGAGAGAAAATATGCATGAGGTGGAAATAGCTAGAACCTTGTATTCTCACCTTGCTCAGATGTTGACTAAAGTCTGCCCTGAGATGAGTGTAGCCTTGACTAGAAAGCTGAGAAAAACCTTAAAGAAGGAAACAGCTACCCATGCTCCTCAAAGTGGGGCAAAGTCTTTTTTGGGGGAGGGGGAATATAAGTAGTGAACATACATGGATTCCACACTCCTTTCCTTGGGGTATTTTATCCACTTCCCTGTAGAATTTGGGGAGCAACTCCTCCAGGGCCATGATGAGCCTTTCTTCCTGCTAGAAGAATGGGACTTGAAAGAGGGAGGTATTCACTTTGCTCTTAGGGACATAACTATTTCTCATTGATCTCCCCCTCTACTATTCATTCTAAATTTCCTTTGCTCAAAGATATCAACCCTCTTAATCCAGGTGGCTTACATTATGGTGCAACCCAATACCTCATTCCTAAAACATCTGAGTCTATTCAAGAGGGTTCCCTGAGTTTCGTACATATTTTTATCCATCTACACTATCTAATAGCAACCAAACCTTCTCCTGCTGACCATGGTCAATTGCCACTGACAAGATCATGACTCCTCTTCTTGCCCACTGGCACCTAGACACCAGGTGTCAACATTCCCAGGTAACATCTGTAGGTATACTTCAATGAAAACTTTGCTCTATTACTCAGAGACAGAATCACCTCCTGCAATCTGGGGATAGTATCTCCAACACTACAGAGCTCACAGCTAAAGTAACAAGGACAAATCAAAGTGCTTGTAAGTAGGGCCACTTTTGCTTCTATTCCATGGTTCTCAGGCCCAGCTACTCTTCTTAGTGGGAATATACCTGCATAAAAATTACTTTGATCTAATGCATGTTGGAGAATGGTGTCCCCATCATAGGATATTGCCTCTGACTGAATGTTTTAGTGCTACCTTCAGCAGGTCATTCCAATCTCTATCATGGTGTACAGGCGATGTAACCAGTGTATCTCATGCCTAGAGTTATTTTGTGTATAAATAGCAAACGAAAACATGATCTGTTGTATGTGATGTCATGACTATGGATCAGGCATTCTACAATCTTCTGAACAGTGGCTGAGGTCCTGTGGACTGAAAAGGGGATCCCATACCCAGAACAGATGTCAATTCCTATGAGAACAAATTTCTGTTTATTCCAGACATGAAGGAACCCAGTGGAGTTGATTTGTTACCCAGTGGCCCAGATCTCCCCATGCAATAGTGTGTTGGTCTCTGCTGCTGGCACGTTGGATGTAAAGAAGCAGTAGTAGCTAGATCAGCCTTCATATGTGGGAGCCCATGTGGTTGAGCCCATGCAGAACTCTTATATCTACCCCTGTGGCCACTTTGTGTATGTGCCCCTTATGCCAGCACTGGGGTGGCTGTGAACAAAAGCTGATTAACATCAACTGGATAAGTCACTTTGTCTATCTGGTTATTTGTTGCCACTTTCATGCCACATGCTTTCTTAGAGGTCTTAACATGAGATACAATGTTTTTCACACTTCCTCTCAATGCATATATTCTTTCACATGCCTTTAACTCATGTAATTTTGACTTATATCTTCCAGCCTTTTTCCTTTTTGGCACCTATCAGCCAGAGAGACCACTGGTCAATTCTCATGAATCAATACATACCCTAACCTACGGTTTCTTTTCATTCCCTATGATGAGCAAGTACACTGTCCACAACATTGTGCACTGAGAATTTTTTTCCTTGCTACTGTATTTCAAGTTCTTCCATAAATGTAGCTGAAATGCATTTGCCATCCATTTTCTGAGTTTACGTTACACCAACTCAACCTTTCCATTATGTGAGGCTGGATTTTCCCTCCTTCTTCAGTTGGTATAGAAACATCCCTTATGATGACAGGTATGATTTCAAGGTAAGGTACTGGTCAAAACAGATGGGAGAAATGAAGGTCTAGGCTATCATCTCATGCATTTGTGTATGTCCTCTCGGCCCACTTAATTCTAGATGTTCCATTTCTATCTTGCAAATAAACTGCCGCTATGCCTACCATCTTTGTTACCTGCATGGCCAGAGAAGGCTGCAGTGCCAGAATTGCTCAGGATAAGCTTTTCTGGATGCCTGGTCACTTGGTATCCATGGCTGAGTGTCCAGTCTTTACTAAGTTTCAGTAGCATACTTTTTTTTTCCAAAATCATGTAGTTTTCTGCTGTAGGTTGCTTAGCCTTGCTCCAGAAAACTAGCGTCTACATTGAGGTTCTCCTCTTCAGACTTGCCACAAACTCCAGACTGCATTTTTGTTCAACATTGTCACATTCATTACCATAGAGTCTGTAGATCATACAGCCCATGAAGCAGGTCATAAAGCCACCCCTTTTTTTTCCTCAGGAACCTGCTCAGGACAATCAGACTTCGAATTTCACCTGGCTTATCATCTTAACCAGCATTCTTAGATGTTGACTTAATTGCTTCTAGGACCCTAGAAGTAATACAGTCTTTTCTTCTATGTGGAAGTAGATTAAAAATACAACAATCCATCTTTACCTTTAATGGCAATGTCCTTGCATGCCCCTGACCTTGGGATCTAGAAAATTTTTACTTTCCAGGCTCTACAAAACATATTTTTTAGCAAGGCTTCCATCATACGTGCCAACTCATACACATCTTGCCTGATTGGCATCATATAATCAGTACTTGGTGTTCTGCAATGGTGTTCATGTCGTCCAGATCTTTTCAGACTATAAAAGGTGCTAACATAGTGTTAAGGCATTATATTAAGCATGGATTGTTTTTTGTTCCATACAAATGAGACATTTTTCAGATCCTCTTTCTTGATTAGGATGGAAAGTAACTCATTTGTCAAATCAAGGACCTCTTGGTTGAGCTCTAGCCATTCCACTGTCACTCTCCAGCATCCATCAGGTTGTTCAGGAGCCAGAGAGGAAAATTAAATGGAGACATGGTAGACATCATCATCCATGCATTTTTTAGATCTTTAACATGAGCTTATATTCACCATTTTCCCCAGGAAGTGATGTCATTTCTAATTTACTATCTTGGCCAGGAGAGGAGGGAGAGCATTCAGTGTTTTCTTGGGGCCTCGCTTAGAATTAGAGAGGAGAAATTAATAATATATTAATACATGATTTTTCACAGAAAATTAGTATCTAAAGTATAAGCAAAAAAGAAGCTGAACAATTGGTTTGATTCAGAGATGGTATTTTTCTCAAGATCGAGTTCTAGAGAGAAACTAAAGCTGTTTCAAGTGAGGGATAATAAAATATTTGATATATATGGGAAGAAATAAAGACAGGAAGTGTTTAGATATTTCATAAAAATGTAGAATCATCAAGAGACTGAAGTTTTTAAGATGTTTAAGGGTTAATATGGTCATAATTGAAAGATTTGGAAGGAAAAGTGTTTTTGGTCAGAGGGTGGAAAAATTAGATTTAATATGGAGCATTTTCAGCCCGAATAAATTGATGTGAACATGCAGGGAATGGTATCCCAGAACACCACCGTGAGGAGTGGAGTCCGGGAATTATTTATAGATAAGGTGGCTTGGTGTCTGTGCTGTAGGGGAAGAGATGGAGAAAGAGGGAGGAAATTTCAGCTGTGGGTTTAGGGGGCATGAATGTGCTTCTGCAGTTGGGGTGACAGGGACATGGTATTTTTGGTAGTGTGAAGAGCCATGTACTTTCCATGTATGCAGAACATAGGAAACCACTGACTTATGGCAGAATCTGCACTTCTCAGAGTGAGGTTCCATGTGACTGTACTTCAGGGACATGGTTGTTGAGAGTAGAAATACTGAAGAAACCGGCTGGGCGCGGTGGCTCACGCTTGTAATCCCAGCACTTTGGGAGGCCGAGGCGGGCGGATCAGGAGGTCAGGAGATCGAGACCATCCTGGCTAACACGGTGAAACCCCCGTCTCTAATAAAATACAAAAAACTTAGCCGGGCGTGGTGGCGGGCGCCTGTAGTCTCAGCTACTCGGGAGGCTGAGGCAGGAGAATGGCATGAACCCGGGAGGTGGAGTTTGCAGTGAGCCGAGATCGCACCACTGCACTCCAGCCTGGGGGACAGAGCGAGAATCCGTCTCAAAAAAAAAAAAAAAAAAAAAAAAAAAAAGAAATATTGAAGAAACCAAACTGCATTTGTCAAACTAAGAAAGATGGCTTCATATTATTATTGTTTCTCTCAAATGAAACAGTATTTCTAGAATGTTTTCATAGAACTTTGCATCCTTTAATGGCTACCAATTTATAACCTAGCAGTTATTCTATGAATAAGTGTCTAGGAGACATATTCACACTTAATAGCAGTACTAGCAAAATTCCATGACATGTCCAAATGAGAGAGGACAAAAAGGTCCTATTTATTATATTAAGAGTATAATATTTTCACTCTGTCATGCAATGCATCTTTTTAAAAATGAATATGGAACTATAACTAAAATTTAAAAACCCCTTTAGTAAGAACCTCTTTATTAAGAAGCAAAATTATGTTTAAAAATGTACTCGTTGTCATTCACTATGGACTCATCATTAAGGTAATAGCAAAACAAACCTTTTCAGACAAGCATTAAATAGTCTATTTCATAATGACTTCACTTTTTCCCGTTTGACAAATTCTGTCCATTCAAAATACAAATACTTAGTATAGAGTGGACATATTCTACTAACCCTACATCTTCCTTTTTTGCTGAAAAAGTGATCTGAATGAACTAATTCACGCAGTAAACAGTGTCCTAAAAATGTGCTGTTGTCCAAAAATGTGAACATCTTCAGGAAATTTGAAGTGTAAGATCCATCAGACTCTAAGTCAAGTGAATATCATATTTAGAAATGTGCAGCTGAAAGAAATAATTTGAAGAGATTTAGTGACCAATAGAGCAAAATTTGACTTGAATTTGATTTAATCTCAGAAACATTTAAGGTTAGGAAATGAAAGATTTGAACTGCTCCAGTCTACATGCAGAAAAAGAAAAAAAAAAGAGATGGCTAATAATGTAGCTTCTAATTAAAAACGCATTCTTCTCATTTTGCCCCTGCGCCGTTGAAGTGTTAGGGTTCGGGCGTATTTCCTGGCTCTGTCTCTACCTGGAAAGGGCAAATACTGGTATATCTCAGCCAACTCTGTCAATGTATGTAATTCGTTTAGGAACGGGCATATCACACAACTCTGATCAGCGGGCTATAAGAGAATTCTCCTGGGATCTTCTGAAGACGATCCCACACAGTTAATAAAGTGAACATGAAGGAAGATGGATCTTTCTTCTTGTGACGCCCAGAACTGTGAGGCTACCTTTACTACCTGATAAAGAGACCTGCTTTAAATACCTCTTTCTAATTGCTAAGGACCTTGCCAACATGTGAGAAGGATGCTGAGGGAAGAGCTTTTGTTCTTGATGCTGCCATGGAGACTGAATTAGCCAACTCTGGAATCGTCTCCGTCCAGGTTTCTTGTTATAAAAGGTAATAAAGCTTAGAATAAAAGTAAGACCATTCCACTCAGGTTTTCTGTATTTGAAGCCAAAAGCTTATATATGGTTACTGAATTAGTACAGTTTGAGTTATGAGGGGATTTAGGAACTGACAACCTTCAATCTGGAACTGAAAGAACTGACAAAACACCGAAGAAAATATTATGTGGAGCTGAGAGGAAGATGCGTGCATCACAAAGAATTAGCAAGACAGTAAATAACTTTGATTTCTCACTTTGCCATATAAGCATTTTGGCACTCACTAGATGGTTTATGGAAATGATTATTTAGCACAGATGTTATCTTTTTCCTTCCTTTACAACCTGAGGTCGTGCTATGTAAAATAATCATATTGCAATTTCAGAAGCAATTTTAATACATTGTTTCCTCAGCAGCATATGGGTGCATGTGAATCAATCTTTAATATAATATTGTATCACCTAAAGCAATTATTCCCTTTAAACGTATATACCTTGAGTTGATTGTTTTTCTTAAATTATAATTTATAAGAAAATTCATGTTGAATAATTTTAGCTGGGACCATTCCTAACCTCCAGTTATATTATGGACATAAATAGACAATCTTAAGTTTAGAATAAATGTCTAGCATTTTTGGTAAGACAAAAATGTAGGACTAGAACATAATCAAAGAGACAGAATTTCCATATTGGAATAGAGCTGCAAAAATAGCTTTTTTTTTTCCCCCTACCTTTCCTTTACTGCCTAACACCGTTTTGTCTACTTGTGCATAAATCTTGGAGTTTCACAGGATTCCTAGGCCTTCCTTCTTCTTTAAACCCAGAGTCTTCCTGGGTTATCTCATCCACCTGCCCGGCTTCAGCAATCTCCCGTGTCTTTTTGTTTTTTCTTTTAGAGACAGGGTCTGTATACGTTGCCCAGGCTGGAGTGCAGTAAGTGTGATCATGGCTCACTGCAGCCTCAAATTCCTGGGGTCAAGTGATCCTCTCACCTCAGCCTTCTAATTAGCTGAAATTACAATTGCACACCACCACACCTGGCTTTTTTTTTTTTTTAATGAGGTCTCAGTATATTGCCCAAGCTGGTCTCAAACACCTGTCCCCAAGTAATCCTCCTGCCTCCTGAACCCTTATCTAGCACAGATATCTCTCTAAAAAAACTATTTTCAGCTATATTCAGATAGATTCTTCACAGAAACAGAATCAGTAGGGTATAGGGGTGTGTGTGTGTGTGTGTGTGTGAATACGCATCTCACTAATGTTAATGTTGGATATTCCTTTTAAGCAGCAATGCACACTACACTCTGAATTACCTCAGATCTACCTCTTTCTTCCTTCTGGTCCTCGTACACACTGGCCTACTACAAAGCTGTCTCAGCCCATCCATCTCACATGACATATGTCAAACATTGCACATCAACACTGAGAAGAGTCGTGATGTCTTTCAAGAAGCCATTCCTGACCCTCCATCTTCTCAAAAATCTGAGGAAAAATCCAACTTATGTGTTCCTAGAATATTTCACTTCCAGCCCTTGCAAATGTTATTTGTAAATTTTGATTATTTTTCTTTGTCCCTTAAGCAACTTGTTAAATGTTTGGCATATACTCTATACTTAAATTGTAATGAATGAGTCTCAAGCAATTTTAATGATGTATGATTTTGGACTTTGGGATATTTGACTGCTATCTAAGACTGTTTTTATAGCAGATATTGAGTACTTTCTATCTCCTAGGAGCCAAATTAGACATTAAAGGGACAAAGGTAGTGGTTATTTTTTTTTAACTATACTTTAAGTTCTAGGTTATTTTATCCTAATATATGTGACTGACAGAAATTGTTCTATGGAAATTCACTCTGAATTTTAGCATTTGTGCTAAAGAATATATTAGTCACATTGAGTTAGCATGTTAGTGACATTTATGTAATGATTTTATGTTTTAATTTATTTCTACACACACCAAGCCTTGTAAATAAACCTGGGCAAATATTTATTATTATTTCTGTTTAACTGGTAAAGAAATAAAGATTCATAGGGTTAAAACATTGCACCCAAAGCTTCATGACTAGTAAATAGTAAACCCAGGCCTTACAACCACATGCTTTCAATTATATCACACTCTCTCAGAACTGATAAATCCAATTCAATGATCTATAATCCATGCTTTAGTTTGCAGACACTTTTAAAAAATGCACTGTTCTTTGTATTTATAGAGAGAAGAAACAACTGAGTCATCCTCAAGTAAGCTCCCCCAGGATACTAAGGTGCCTCAGTGGAAAAATACATGTAGTCTTACAGAACAGTACAACTTAACTCATCAGTCAATACCGGACCTTAGATTTTGGCCTTACAGGGACTCAAAAACTTGTGACCAGGCTATGACTAGGTTTATTAATCCCAAATCATTTACAGAATTGTATGACCAGCACAGTTCTCCACATGATTTGAATGTTACATTGGATTTAATATATCCAACACACTAGCTACTTCTCAGCCTCTGTAGTAGGGCTCACATGGAGAAGCACTGGAACAAGTTTTTTAATCTTTTATTTAGAAACTGATCTGCGGAACCTTCAGGAGATTGGTCTCAAGAGACGCATCTGCCTTCTCGATGGGATTGTTGGCCTCTCGTGTTGAAAGGATCGCATTTCAGGAGCCAGCAGGTCATTTCATCTCATCCTCTAGTATCATCTTACAGGCTCCTAAGCCACATGAAAGTCACACATGCCAACTGATGGCTTACTTTGGTTTTGTCAAATGGTGGATACTTAGTCACAGTTTGAAATGAAAATACACCTGGTATGTGCCACCTTAGAAGGTTTAATTTTTCTCAGGGGTTACAGAAAAAAAAATATGTGATAAGCCATGGTCAACCGATGTGTATTTAAAGTTCACATTTTAATGTACTTTAATTTTTGATGAAGACTACTGAGAGGAAGGAGCAGCGAAGAATGAAACAACAAGGTAGGGGCAGAGGAAAGAAAACAGGGCAACAGAATGAGATGGATTGAAAAGAAAACAACCCGCATGAAACTAGGATGGGATTAGCTGAAGTACAGCAGGAGGAGGCTGAAGCAGTGACAAGGGAAAATGTCTCAGGCAGGCCTGCCACTGCCATTTCCTCAGGCGAGAGGACAGAGAGGCCCACATTCCACTCTACATGTCAATATCTAAAGGGGATACATGAGACCAGCACACCACAAAGTCAATTACGGTTTGCCCTCCTCCCTTGACAAATACATTCTTATGACAACAAAACTGAAAAAAAAAAAAATAAGTAAAGCCATCACATCTGAATTTTGCTATATTTTCTCATATCTGGGGTTTCTGTTGATAACCTAGCAGTGTTTGGATGAGAAGGAAAATAGAGATGTGGATATAAAAATTATTAATACTTACTCAATATGATTTATTTTGTGCTTCTACTTCAGGAATATTACTAATTCTATTATTAAGATTTTTATTTAATTTGATAAAAATAATTGGCAGAATCAAATGAAATGCAAAAAGTGCACAAAACAATAACATATTTTCGTAAAAATAAAAACAAATGAAATAATAAAAAAGTAAAATAAGTATATTTTGCAAACTCTTTATCTTTAAATATTCACAATTATTTATAAGCATAAATATTTTAAATCAATGAATATAAACATTTAAAGCTACATTTATTATTATTTCAGAAATTTAGTTCTATTTTAGTTAATAATTCTAAAAATTAGAAGCATATTATTCTAGTATTTAATGGTTTATTTGGTTGTCAAAATTGTCAAAGTCAGGAATTGGTAGCAACTTAACTGTAATATTTATATAAACTTAATAAAACCACAAATTGTTCATCCCTGTGTACAAGTGTTGTGAATAACGACCTAACTCCTGAATTCCTATAAATCCACAACTTGGAACAAGAAGAGAAGTGAGAAAATGGCAGTACTAGGAACAGATTAGTATCTGTTATCTGAGATAAAGGATTTGCCAAGTAATGAATTTGTCTTGTCCTTGCATAAGTTGCTCAAACCCTCCAAAGGCTCCAAAGCATTGGCCATCTCTCACATTAGCTGCAGCACTCACAACTCTCCTTGTAATCCCTGTGAGGCTGCCTTTCCTCAAAGACAGAGTTAAGACCCATGGGGACAATTGCTTTTACCCTAGGGCTTGAACAGGTTTGCAGGTAGAAGATGAGAATTCATGTTCAGAATGTTTTTTAAAATCGAACTTTATAAAAGAAACATTCAATTTAACACCTGGTTAATTATCAACAAAAATTAACATTAATCAATTAAATAATTGACGTATCTGTGATATCTATGGTATTGATAAGCAAATTAATAACTGTTAGAATTTTGAAACAAATGGCATTTGTACGAAGTTGCAATAAAACTGTAAACTCTTTTCAAATGTAAAAAGTAACCTCTAAAAAATTGAGAAAGTAATTATATTCTGGACAGTAAGTCCAGGCATGACAGAATAAAGTAAAAAATCTGGCATATTTGAAACCAAAGCATTAAAGGCTCATTTGAGGGGGAAAAAAGTATGTTATTATAATTTTACTGCATTTAAAATTAATGAAATGTCTTTGTTTTATCAAGAACTTAGTGGTGGGGAACACAGTTCACGTGAGTAAATATACCCAGGTCTGTTCTGTAACTGAGGTCTGATATTTACAAGACCTCAAACTTGGAGGAACTTAATGTAAGCTCTTTCATTGCCCACGGTTACCTCTGGGTAAAAGGAGGGGCACATCCTGACAGGTTTCTTCCAATAAAAGGCAATTGGAGACTGAGGAGGTACAGACTGCACTCATTAGCCTTAAGAAGTTAAATTGCAGGGACTGAAAATATGGATATGACTCTTGAATCTTAAAACAACTAGATAGTATTCCATTCACATCAGCCTTCAAAATTCCTAAACAAAAGTCAAAATTTATTGACCGTTTTTACAGGTGCCTGAAGTAACCGAGCTGAGTTCAGTCAGATGGCTGTGGGCACCATCTATGTATAGATGCAGGCTTCATACAAATATACCCCTCTATCTCTATATACTTTAGATGGCCCATTATGGGGAGAAAATCTGAAAGTCTGAACTCTGAAAGTCTGTAGAATTTTATTTTTTGCATATACAACTGCCTCATCGAAATATTCTCTTGTATGCAAAATAAGCATTTCAAATATAGAACAAAAATAATAAAACTCTGCACTATTCCTCTCTTTATCTCATAACCTGCATCCAATACGTTGCAATTTTGGTTAGTTCTACCTTCAAACAGAGCCTTATTCTAACCATTGTTTTCATCTTTCCAGCTCAAACATTGGCCAAAGCTATCATCACTTGTGACCTATATTACTGCAAAATCCTAACTTTTCTGTTCCTGCGTACAGCCTAATGAAGTTGACTATCTGTCCAGGAAGCAGAGAGATTTTTATAGCATAAATTAGGTTTATTTCTCCCTTGCTTACCACCTACCAGTGAGTTCCAAATATAAGTAAAATAATATTAAAATCACCTACTGACACTCTAAAGGTCCTGTATGAAATGAAGGTGGGTAGTAAGATTTTATATATTGGTTATAAATGAAAGCAATCCATCTATGAAGGATTCTTCTAATTACAACTCATAGATACAAGTCTTGAGGTAGGTAACTGAGATACTTTGATTGATTTGTTTATTTCAGATTATTAAAATCTGAAAAGGGAGGCAGGCAGCGGGAAGCAGAGAATCAAGACTTTCTTATGATCAAGACTTTCCCAGACTCTCATTGCTGTTTATTAATTTTCTTGTCCTTCTTAAATGTATGTTTTATTTTCTTTTTAAAAATATTGATTAAAGTTATGCACTATCATTAAATTAATAAATAGTACCAAAGGGCTTAGAGTTAAATATAAGAATTTTTTTGCCATTCTCCATCCTGTCTTGATCCCCAGAGGTAACAATTTTAAGAACTGTATTAGTTTCTTTAGGTACTCATGTATGTGTTTATAAATAGTAACTTATATTATTGATCCTGGAATTCTCATTGTTATGATTTTGGGTCAAGATAGTATTCCACAAATTTTTTTAAATATGTTAGCTTGTGAAAAAAAATAGAGAAAAATGTAAAATTATGAGACCCCAGAAATACACAATGCTGAGAACCCAGAAATGTGTGATTCTAGTATAACTATTTATTTATCAAATTAATATTTATTAAAATCCAATTATGCGCAAGCTATATCTTAGCATTTTATATACAAGTGGATATAATTAGAATTTTAAAATATCAGTATTATTCTTCACTGAGAAAATACATGAATATTGTATAGAGATTATATCATTTAAAATATAATGCAACAATGTAACAACATAACAAAGCAATAACTAATGAAAATCAACTTTGTTATCATAGAAATAGAAAAACAAAGTTCTTAATTGTTTTTAAATTCCAATTTCTAAACTATAACCGTGACGTAAATCTATTTTCAATTATAAATAGGTGTAGCAATCACAACAGAATGAGTAAGCATATCTTGCAATTCTTTTCTTTTGAAAAATACTGATTAAAGTTCTGAACTATTCTTAAAAATAATATATAGTACCAAAAAAGAACCACGGTGCTTTTTTATTATTAAAAAGTAATGTGTAATCTTTACTAAAAAGTATACAATTAAGAAAGAGAATAACTAAAAATCTGCCGAAATGGAGAAGTCTTTTTAACAATGCAATTAACAAAACGTGAAGAATATTATTTTTCTATATTAACTAGTATTATAATATTTAAAGAAAATGAAAAAAATCAACTACATTTTATAGACTATTTCCTCTTTCTAGGTATTATAAGTAAAATGATGCATTTAATTAATCGTAGAAATTGTAAGAATGCCAATAACTTCATGCAGAATATATTTTATGCACTTATGGTCTTTCGTCCCTTACATACTAAACATTTTGCACACATTATTTCATTGATCCTTGTTTTTAAATTAAATTTTAATAAGCCTTAAACTCTCACAAAATACATTTTCTATGTTATTTCCTACTTAATACATAGATTTTATTTCTTATTCATAGTAGTTGTTCAGATATCCTTTGCATTACCTGAAGAAAACAACATAGAATAAAATAGCAAACAGGTAAAAAACAAATTATACAAAGCATGTGCTAGGAGTTGACCATGTAAGACTAGCCTGAAAACTTGGGAGCAGTCATTTGATATGAGATTGTTTATAAAAGTCTTAGTGGCACAGTGTTGATTTTCTCTAGAATTTTGGAGTGGATAAATTAATATGACATTGTGTCTTTTTTATTTTCTGGCACTGAATTTTACCATATTCATGTATTGCCAAATCTAGACAAGTAAAATATTCTTTACAGTTTTCTTTTTCATCACCGAGAGCAAATTCCTTGCAAAATCTAATTGCTTTTAATTCTAAACACAATTGATTCTCATTATTTATGGCTGTTATGTTTAATTAAGTTGCCATGAACCCTAAATTAGCAAATACAGAACAATTGTCCCTAGAGGAAATACAAGGTTAGGTTCCTGTGAGTCTCTGGTCACAACATCTTCACCAACCAGTCAATAAATATCTTTGTTTTATGTATGTTTATATTTAAAGACCTCTTTTTAAATGTGTATTATTGAGTCATTAATATGTAACTCACGCCCAGCAGCATTAGAACTCATGCCTGAATGAAGCTCATTTTGTGTGTATTTTCTCCAGAAAGCTCACTGCAGCCTTCTTGTGCTTAGGGATGCTAGACAGCCCTTTTGCACTATGCTTTGGGCCATTTTAAGCACCAAAATCACTAACAAAAAGCACACAAATTTGACAAATATGGTGCTAAATAGACCACAAAAATCACATTTGCTTACCTTATGAGTGCTGAAACAAGAAGACAGACTGCCCCAGTTCAGTCTCTGTGGGAAATGTTTATGCCTGGCGACCGAAATTTTTTGCTACTCTTTGCACATCTGAGAATGATTATGAAAGCATTGTGAGTACGAATTTTGGTGTTACAAATAAATGTTATCAAATAGGCAAATTTGCAAATAGAGAACTGCAGAAATGAGGGTCAATTGCAACTTTTGAATCTGTCTGTTTCTCTCCATTCTCCCCCAAGTAGCATAGTTTGCATTAGCTTAATAACTAGTGAATCATCCTCCCCATCCACCCATCACAAGTCTCCGGACTCTCCCAAAATGACTCTTTAAAACATAGATATAGTCCTGCAACCCTTCGTTTAAATCAAATTAATGGCTTTCCACTTTAAATTATGGGGAAAGGCACACACAGCTTAAAGACCCTACCTGGACTGGCTCTCCAAACCTCTCTCACCACATCACCCTTCTTTTATTCTCTTCTTGTTACAATCATTCCTTGTATGGGATATGCCCTCCACCTAGATACCTGGTCCTCCTCCCTCCTCTTAGCTAACTCCTCCTCATCCCACAGATTTTACCTTGGATGACCTTCCTTTATCAGGGAAGCCTTCTCTGACCTTTGCATAAGACAGATCCTCTGGTCATGAGCTCACTAAACTGTCAAGAGATTGCTACATTTCAGCACCACCAACAGTAGCCTTGAACATCTGCTTGTGTGATTATGTAACCAATGTCTTCTCTTTCCTAGTCTGTCGATTTCAGGAGGTTAAGACAGGAAGCTCATCTCGTTTTACTCCCTTTTATATTGCCAGACTGGCACAGTGCCTGGTCCCCAGTACATGATTAATAGGTATTTTTGTGCATAAAAGAAGACAGGGAGGGAAGGAAGAGAATTGAAGAAGGCAATCGAACTAAACTAGGACTTGAGAATGGCATTTTAAGAACAGGTGAAGGAACAAGACAAGAACAATGAAACGAGACAGAGGGAGATTTTGTCAGAAGCTGAGCCCTGACTTCAGGACACATGAGGTGCAGGACCAGAGTCGCCCCTAATCAGCTAGGCAGATTGTGCTGTGTTATTCCACTTATGAAACAGCAATTGCAGATCCTATTGTGGCCTTCTCGGGAGAATAACTGCTTCAGGCTTTGGGGATAGTTAATTTTATTGTAAAATTTACACGGATTGGGCATAAGGTTGCCCCATGAACAAAGAGAGATCTGGTGAATCAATACAAAGGAGTTATATGGTGCCATTTAAAAAAGCAAACAAGATATGACATTCCCTGAATTCAGGGATGTTTTCTGATATGTTCTCATCTCTATTTCTAGCTCGTAGCTTCGAAATGTCTCTGACTGCATCTCGGCTGCTTCCCTTCACCCCTGTAAGTAACACGTGTGCATATCTATATCTTTCAAATAAATGTATGAATAACGAATCCTATGATGCATAACAAATCATATCCCATGAAGAAACAAAGTATTGTTACCTCAACATCAAATTTAGCAAGGTCTTTCATGCTGTTCTCCATTTTCTTTAAGACTTAATATTGTAATATAAATGAAATATGGAAAATACAGAAAAAGTCAAAAGAATTACAAATGCTTTACAATCTAGACTAATCCTATGAGGTGAAGCTAAATGAGTTAACACTTCTAGTTCACTAACAAATTCTACAAGGACTTTTTAAATAGTATTTTTATAAAGTGAGATATTTTGCATAACTAGAACAAATTCATGTTAATAGACCTACTGATAGGGTTGAAACTGATTAAAAGTTGAGGTCCTTTTAAAGTCATATATCTCTAAGCGTCCACATTTCATTGCAAACTATTCTCTTTCCACTTAATAAATGTCTGTGATAAAGAATCAGTTGAGTATAAAATGAGGACCAAGCTAGATGATTTAGACTAAACTGGATTTTTAAGCACACACACCTGGTATGTTTTGGGGATGAGGTTTGGCATGTGGAATATCAAAATGTGCAGTAGTTTAGCTGAGAATTCAGGAGTAAGAAGAACTTTAGTAATCATTCATATATATTACAGATGCTCTTTTTCATGTTTTGGAATTAAAAACTCATTTCTCATTTCCTCCAAAGCTATAATCTTCTCTGCATCAAAGTGTCTCTTTGCTTCATTCATTCCTCTCTTTTATCTATCTAAGAAGCTGTTCTAGGAGATAAATAACTCTTACGAATATGTTCTTGGAGATAAATACCTTTTGTAAAATTTTTCCTTCCAGTGGGTATTTCTGGCCCCAAGACCCCTCTCCTTCTTCTTACAGCTGTAGCCTGTCTCCAAGTCCACAGCTCCTGTGACGGTGACCAAATGTCACTAGATTTTATTTTTTTAGGTATTCTTTTAATTCTTGTTAAAATTAGCTTCAGCTGTTCTTTCTGTTTTAATTAATGTCTCCTAGCACCAAATTCAAAGCAGTGATAACTTAGACATTCTTTGAAATACAAAGTAAATTAAGTGTGTTTTCCCTGTATTAAGAATCTATAAATAGTGATTAATTTATTATAGTTCAATAAACTCTGTTTCATACTTTCTTTGCTCTGGATTGGTAGAAAGATGAATGAGATTATTCTAAAACTCCTGTAGGGTCTCCAAATACACTCTATAGGTAGGTGAATCCACCACCCTGCTGGCAAGGAGCTTGAAAGCATTTCCATATGTAGTCATTCTGTCACTTGTAAATCAAGACACACTGAGTATTGACTCAGTGTTGAGTTGAGCATCTTGCAAACAGCCTTGTAGTATGGCGGTGGAAGTGGGATTTGTGAGGAGGGTCAAATAAAGAAAGCTAAAAGGCCAATTCCATTAACAAGCACTGGCCTGAGTTCCTGCTTTCCCTCCAATGAGTACACTGCACTAAAAATACGATGAATATGTCACTGGAATGCACACATACATGTTATATATCCATAGTTTTATATATATTATAAATGTAATATCATCTTGGTAAGACAATTGTTTAACCCTGATCATTCCATAGTTTAGCTAAAAAATCGATTTTTCATATCACATGATACTTCATCCTAAAAACTTTTTAGTTATATCAAAGTTATCAGGAATAAATTGAATTAGCTTATGATCTGGCTACATGAATATCGGGTGATGGGGGAATACTTTACCATTTTTGTTTGTTTTAAGTTCAGAGTAGAACTTATAGTTGCTAAAATCACAACACTGCTCCAATGACCCTTCCTACCAAAAGCTGTATTTCCAGTCAGATATGTGAGATCAGAAATAATATTTCTTTTGTTTCCTGAGAAGATTATCCAGAAAAGATCTATTGTAGTATATTTCTTTAGTATAAAATATTTACCTAATCAAAATTTTTTATTTTTAAATAATTTCAAACTTATGATGAAGTTTCAAAAATAGTTCCAAAAGGTTTCCTATCCCCTAGTTGTTAACCTTTCATTTTCACAGTTGTCTTTTCCTTTTTGTTATGTCTTCTAATATTTTTGAACCATTTGAAAATAATTTGGCCGGGCACGATGGCTCACGCCTGTAATCCCAGGACTTTGGAAGGCCGAGGCAGGTGGATCACGAGGTCAGGAGTTCGAGACAAGCCTGGCCAATAAGTTGAAACCCCGTATCTACTAAAAATACAAAAATTAGCCGGGTGTGGGGGTGGGCACAAGTAGCAAGCATGAAAACAACTCCCAGCTACTCGGGAGGCTGAGGCAAGAGAATCACTTGAAACTGGAAGGTGCAGGTTGCAGTGAGCTGAGATTGTACCATTGCACTCTAGCCTAGGTGGCAGAATGAAACACCATCTCTCAAAAAAATAAATAAATAAATAAATAAATAAAATAATTTTTACACAATACTTCATTAACTTTAGATACCACAGTGTACATTTCCTTTAAAAAAAAAAAAGTGTTCAGCATCATAAGTCATTAGCAAATTGCAAGTTAAAATAACAATGAGATACTACCACATACCTAATGGAATGGCAAAAATCCAAAACAATGAGAATGCCAAATGCTGGTGAGGATGTAGAGCAGTGGTCCCTAAATCCCTGGCTGTGGACCAGTTCTGGTCTGTGGCCTGTTAGGAATGGGGCCACACAGCAGGAAGTGAGTGGCGCGGCGAGTGAGCATTATCATCTGAGCTCTGCCTCCTGTCATATCAGCGGTGGCATTACATTCTCACAGGAGCATGAACCCTATTGTGAACTGTGCATGTGAGGGATCTAGGTCACATGCTTCTTATGAGATTCTAACTAATGCCTAATGATCTAAGGTGAAACAGTTTCATCCCGAAACCGTCCCCAAACCTGCATTGTCCATGGAAAAATTATCTTTCACGATCTGGTCTTTGGTGCCAAAAAGGTTGGGGACCGCTGATATAGAGCAACAAGAATTCTCATTCATTGCTGATAACAATGCAAAATGGTACAGCTACTTTGCAAGGCACTTTGGTAATTTTTTACAAAACTAAACATACTTTTACCATACGATCGAGTAATTGTGCTCCTTGGTATAAATTTAAATAAGTTGAAAATGTATGCCCACAAAAAAAAAAAAAAAAATCTTAGACAAGGATGTTTATTGAGGCTTTATTCATAATTGCCAAAACTCAGAAGTAACGTCCTTCAACAGGAAAACAGATAAATAAATGGTGGTATATGTAGACCATGGATGACAGACATATCTCAAAGGTATTGTGGGTTTGGTTACAAATCACCACAATAAAACAAAGATCACAATAAATTGAAGCACTTGAGTTTTTTGGTTTCCCAGTACCCATAAAGGTTACACTTACACTACAAGGTACTCTGTTAAGTGTGCAATTGCATTATGTCTTAAAATGTGATGTACATATATTAATTAAAAACACTTTTTTGCTAAAAATTTCTAATGATCATCTCAGCCTTCAGTGAGTCCTAATCATTTTGCTGCTGGAGGATCTTGCCTCAACATTGATGTCTGCTGACAGCTCAGGGTGGTGGTTGCTGAAAGTTGGGGTGGCTGTGGGAGGTTTTTTCTTTTTCCTTTTCAGATGGTGTCTCTCACTCTGTCACCCAGTGAAGTGGCACAATTATAGCTCACTGCAACCTCTAACTCCTGGGATCAGGCAATCCTTCCACCTTAGCCTCCTAAGTAGCTGGGACTACAAGCAGGCACCACTAAGCCTGGCTAATTTTTACAGTTTTTGTAGAAGCTGGGTCTCGCTTTGTTGCCCAGGCTGGTCTTGAACTCCTGGCCTCAAACTATCCTTCAGCCTTGCCCTCCCAAAGTGCTGGAATTATAGGCATGAGCCACTACACCTGGTTGAAAATTTCATAAAATAAGACAACAGTGAAGTGTGTCACATCGATTGACTCTTCCTTTCCCCAAAGACTTCTCTGTAGCATGTGACACTGTTTGATAGCATTTTACCGATAGTAAAATTTCTTTTAAAATTGGATTCTATCCTCTCAAATTCTGATGCAAATTTATCAACTAATTTTATATAATATTCTAAATCCTTTCTTGTCATTTAAATAATGCTCATAGCATCTTCACTACGAGTAGATTCTATCTAAAGAAAGCACATTCTTTGTTCATTTATAAGAAGCAACTCCTCATCAAGTTCTATCATGGGATTGTAGCAATTGAGTCATATGTTCAGGTTCCACTTTTAATTTTAAATACTCTGCCATTTCTACCACACTTGCAGTTACTTTGTCTAGTGAAGTCATGCCCCTCTCCAAGTCATCCGTGAGGGTTGCAATCAACTTCTTTCAAACTCCTGTTAATGTTGATATTTTGACCTTCCATGAATCACAAAAGTTATTAATGGCATCTGGAATGACGAATCCTTGCAGGTGATTTTTCAATTTACTTTGCCAAGTTCCATCAGAAAACTCACTATCAATGGCAGCTATAGCCTTATGAAATATAGTTCTTAAATAATAAGACCTGATATTTCAAATTACTCCTTGATCCCCAGAGTTCAGAGTGGATGCTGTGTTAGTAGGCATGAAAGCAACATCTCCTTGTACATCTCCATGACAGATCTCTTGAGTAACGAGGTACATTGTTATATAAGTAGTGATATTTGAAAGAATTTTCTTTTTCTTAGCATTAGGTCTCAACAGTGTGTTCAAAATATTCAGTTAACTATGTTATAAACAAATGTGCTGTCATCCGGGCTCTGTTGTTCCATTTCTAGAGCACAGGCAGAGTAGATTTAGCATAATTCTCAACAGCCCTAGGATTTTCAGGGAGGTACATGAACACTGGCCTCAACTGAAAGTCACCAGCTGCATTAACCCCTAACAAGAGAGTCAGCCTGTTGTCTGAAGCTTTGAAGCCAGGCATTGGGTTCTCCTCTCTAGCTATGAATGTCCTAGATAGGATCCTCTTTTAAAAAAGGCAGCTGTGTGCACATCACAAATCTGTTGTTTAGTGTAGCCACCTTCATCCTTTATCTTAGCAAGATCTTCTGGGTAACTTGCTACTACTTTTCCATCAGCACTTGCTGCTTCACTTTGCTTCTTTCTTTAAACCTCATATCTGCCTCTGCTAGCCTCAAACCTTTCTTCTGCAGCTTGCTCACCTCTCTCAGCCTTCATAGAATTAAAGAGCTTTGGCAACTTGCTCTGGATTAGGCTTTGGCTTAAGGGGATGTTGTGACTGGTTTGATCTTCTATTCAAACCATTCAAACTTTCTCCATATCAGCAATAAGGCTGTTGTGTTTTCTTATCATTCATGTGTTCACTGGAGCAGCACTTTTAACTTTCTTCAAGAATTTTTCTTTTGCATTCATGACTTGGCTAACTTTTTGGTGCAAGAAGCCTTGCTTTCAGCCTATCTCAGCTTTTGACATACCTTCCTCTCTAAGCTTATTTCTAGCCTTTGTTTTAACCTAAGAGACGTGTGACTCTTCCTTTCGCTTGAACACTTAGAGGCCATTGCAAGTTTATTAATTGACCTAATTTCAATATTATTGTGTCTCAGGGAATAGTGAGACTTGAAGGGAGGGAGAGAGGACTGAGGAACAGCTAGCTGGTGGAACAGTCAGGATATATACAACATTTATTGTTTAAGTTTGCCATCTTATATGAGTGTGATTTGTGGCGCCTTAAACAATTACAATAGTTACAGAAAAGACCACTAGTCACAGATCACCAAACAGATATAGTAATTTAAAAAGTTTTAAATTTTACACAGAGACATGAAGTAAGCACATGTTGTTGGAAAAATGGTGCCAACAGACTTACTTAATACAGCGTTGTCACTAACCTTCAATTCGTAAAGAACACAGTATCTGCAAAGCACAAAAAATTAGGTCTGCCTATATTACTGAGTGCTAAGAAGAAATGAACTATCATGGCATGAAGGGACATAAGGAATTCTTAGGTGCATATTATTAAGTGAAAGAAGCTAATCTGCAAAGTGCACATAAAGTATAATCCCAACCGTATGACCTTCCGGGAAAGGCAAAACTGAAAACAGTGAAAGGATCAGTGGTTTCCAGGAGTTTGTGGGATGTGAGGTGTGAATTAGTGGGACACACAGCATGTTCAGGGCTGCAAAACTTCTCTGTATGATATTCAAAGGGTGGCTATATGTCATTATACATTTGTCCAAACCCACAGTTTGTACAACATTAAGAGTTAACCCTCACGGAAATCTTGGACTTTGGGTGATGACGATGTGCCAATGTAGATTCATTGGGACCCATATAACACTCTGGTGTGAGATGTTGATAGTGGGGGAGGTTCTGGAGGTGTGTGGTCAGAGGTTGTAAGGAAACCCCCTGTACTTTCTGCCCAATTCTCTTTTTTTTTTTAAGATGGAATCTCACTGTCACCCAGGCTGGAGTGCAATGGCATGGTCTTGGCTCACTGAAACCTCCTCCTCCTGGGTTCAAGCAATTCTCCCGCCTCAGCCTCCCTAGTAGCTGGGACTACAGGCGTGTGCCACCACACCCGGCTAATTTTTCTATTTTTTCTTTTAATAGAGACGGAGTTTCACTATGTTGGCCAGGCTGGTCTTGAACTCCTGACCTTGTGATCCTGCCACCTAGGCCTCCCAAAATGCTGGGATTACAGGTGTGAGCCACCACACCCAGCCCTTTCTGCCCAATTTTTTATGAACACGAAACTGCTTCAAAAAATAAAGTCTATTAAAAATGTTGAAAGTGTCCTACATAATCAAAGTTCAATGAGCATAAGTAGGAAATTAACATTGCTGCATTATTGACATCTCATCTGCAGATTCCAATCTCATTTGGCCTACTGTCCAAATAGTGCCCTTTATTTGTCCAGGATCCAATCAGAATCACACATTGCATTTAGTTATTATGTGGCATTAGTCTCTTTAGTTCCTTTCAATTGGAAAGAGGTCTTCCCATACCTGATGGCTGATCAGCCCTGGTTCCATCCCCTCAGCCCCTCATTCACCCATGATGGGCTCTGATCAAGTTTGAGGGAAAGGAGGAAGAGAAAAGAAGCAAGGTGAAAGTGAAAACTTTAGTTTTTAAAATTATTTGTATGTGTCTCATATCCTCAAAGTATCTTTATAGGTAGAAAAAGCATATACTCTATCCACATTTAGAAGACAGAAAAATAATGCTTAGAAAATTTAACTGAGAAGCTGAAGCCAAATAGAAAGAATTAAAATTAATCTTTATAGTATTAAAAGACAATTCTTGATTAAACATAGAAAAGCAAAATTTCTTTATACTATATTTGAGGAAGTTAAAGCACAAATTTTGAAATGCAAATAATTTCTAGGGGGAAAATGATCTAATTCAATTCAACATACACAGCCTTTCTGATTGCTATCTATGCACATATGTATATATGTACATACACATACATAAATACTAATACTTATATGTGTGCAAAATACATCTATCTATATATCCATCCATCCATACATATGTGCGCATAACTATATATGTACATGACAAATGCTGAATGTTGCAGAATGATTAGAGACAAGTAAAATATCATAGTCTTTTTTTTACTAAGAGCTTATACTCATTTGAAATCCGGTTTGGCAATCTATGACATAGATTTTTACTTTTATTTTTCTTATAAGAGGAATATACCCCAGAAACACTCTTTCTCCTTTAGGGGAGTAAAACAAAAAAGTAAATTTGAATGCCATAGTAATTCATCGGGAATTCTGATTTCTAAAACATACTTGTATGTGCAACTGTTATGAGGCATAGCCTTTGTTACATTGACTTGGTTTTATGAAAGATACTGCTAAAGCAGTGCTGGATATGTTTATAGAAAAATACTTCTGCATGCAGATTGGCTGCCTCAAATACAATGGTAAGAAATGCATGGAAATGGGGGAAGTGAAATTGCTCCGCAAAGAAGGAACCTCTGAGATTATCACTACCTTGTTAGAACTGAACACTTAAAGGAAGATATGACATTTACATATCCTGCACTCAGGTGCAGAGAGACTAAGAGGTATTCTAATTTCCTGTTTCTGGGATACTTTTGATATATTTTACTTAGTCCTTTACATGACTCTTCCTTGAACACAAACCAAATATGAAGAAGCTATTTGTTTTATTTAAATGTATGTTATTTCTCAAAGAAAGAAATGTTTGACCTTCATAAAACATTTTCACCACCTTGTTATTTTCTGTACATCAAAAATCTTAGGAAAATGGATGGATACGAATGATCTATGGTTACTAAAATTTGTTTTATTGAATCTCAGTACCAAGATATATACATGCATAGAAAAGAAGATTTCTGTATACTTGCAATGTCTCTCAAACATTTGTGTATGTGAATCACAGGAGAGCTTGTTAAAATATGGATTTGGCTTCAGTACCTCTGGGGTGGAGCCTAAGTTTCTGTATTTCCAATAAGTTCCCAGGTGTTACATATACTGCTTGTCTTTACATCAAATTTTTTCATGACAAGGAAGTAGAGAACACATAGAAATATAGCAATTCTATTTTGATTTTCACTTTCTTTATGAAGGAAAAAAATACACACCCCATTAAATTACTACTTATACTGTAAATGTATCTTCAAATATCCTGTGTATTTTTTTCTCAGTCTTTGCTGGATTGATTTTGCTGTTTTAATATCTGAAAGTTTTTTCACACATTTTTTCTAATATATAGTTTTCTTGGCTCAAACAGTACACAGTAAGTAGGAGATTAAATTGTGCTATTCTCATGGGAATATGAAAAACCAACACGTCCTCTGGTTTCCAGTCTGGCATGTAAGAAACCTGGAAGTCATCACTTCATCCTATTAACAAGTAAAAAGCTGCACAGACTGAAAATCAATAACCTTTCCTTAGATCAGGGGAAGAAATGAGGTCACAGGACAAACCTCAAATACGGAGAATCAAAACTCACATGAGCAAAAACCCAGCAGCTAAAACCTCCATGGAAACCCATGCGGGGATAGGAAACCTGTAACTGTAACTGATGAATCACTGGGGGCTCAGTGTGGATGAGTCTGAGAGACAAAACCCCCAAAAGGACCTGGTCATTAGAGACCCACGACTTTTGTGAGTTCTACATCCTGGAGTTCTACCAGGTTCTCACAGTGAATATCAAAGGGAAAAAAATCAATCCCGTTGTGCTTCCACAGGGAGAAGGAAAAAGGAAATATCTTAAAATACACCAGAGAATTCTGTTATTATTAACAAGGTCTGCCCTTAGGACAAGCTGCTTAACCAGAGTCTAACCTACTGGGAAATTATCAGAGCCTAACTTGCCTGGGAGAAGGGAAATACACAATTCCAGCCCTTTCTAACTTTCCTCGTGGAGGAAGAGAAGTAAATACCCAATTTTAGCCATCCAGTCCCACTCAGGGGCGAGGGGGCAGGGATCCTGAGAAGAACCAGCCAATCTCACAATCCAGAGGCAGAGGCTCTGCCAAAGACTGAAATCTGATCATGAGACTCCAGGTCACTCCCCCAACATACACACCTTGCCACTGCATTGCTACAGGGCTATTTATAGCATTTCCTTTTACTAAGTACAGCGTGCCTGCTTATCAAGCAAAAATTCCAATGAATTTTTGAATGTCTGAATGTCTCCCCAAATTCATGTGCTAAAATTTGATACCCATTATGGTGATATGAAAAGGTGGGGTCTTTGGGGAAGTGATTAAGTCATGATGGCTGCACCTTCACAAATGGATGAGGCCCGTATAAAAGACCTGGAGGGTATCAGCTTAGACTTTTCTGATCCTTTTGCCCTTCTTTCCATTTCACCATGTTAGGACAGCTACAAGGCGCCATCTCAGAAATAGACCGCTGCCCTCACCATTCATCAATCCTGCTGGCGGCTTCACCTTGGACTTCTTAGCCTCTAGCACCATGATAAATACATTCATACTGTATATAAATTACCCAGCATATGGTATTTTGTTATAGAAGCACAAACAGATTGAGATACAAGGCAGGCCAGGCGTGGTGGCTCATGTCTCTAATCCCAGCATTTTGGGAGGCCAAGGCAAGCAGATTCCTTGAGCCTAGGAGTTCGAGACCGTCCTGGGCAACATGGCAAAATCCCATCTCTACAAAAAATGAGAAGTGTTAACCAAGTGTGGTGGCACATGCCTGTAGTCCCAACTATTCAGGAGGCTTAGGTGGGAGGATAGTTTGATCCCAGGAGGCAGAGGTTGCATCACTATACTCTAGCATAGGTGCCAGAGAGAGACTCTGTCTCAACAAAAAAAAAAAAAAAAAAAAAAAAAAAAAAAGCAACAACAACAAAAGCAACAAGAAACAAGGCACATTAAAAGGCAAAATACACAATTTGAAGACAGAGCAAGCATCAAAACCAGACTCAGGTAAGTCAGGGATATTGAAAGTATCAAACTTGGTCATTTAAAACAGCTGTGATTGGCAAACTAAGGCCTCTAATGGGTAAACATAGATAGCATGCAATTTAAGCAGAGAGGTGAAAATTCTAACATAGAACTGAAAAAAATGCTAAAGATCTAAAACACGGTCACAGAAATGAAGAATGCCTTTGATGAGCTTATTAGTAGACTGGACGCAGCTGAGCAAAGAATATATGCGCTGCCCGTATCTCCACAGAATCCTTCAAAACTGAAGCACATTTTGCAACTAATGGAACTCACAACTGCAAACATTAAATACCAACTTTTCTTCAAAAGATTTATTTTTCTGCATATAAATATTATTTACTTTCATTCTTATTTTGCTACTTATTTTAAAAAAATGACATATTTCTGAAGCCCTTGTGAAAGGTGCAACAGACATTATCAAGAATGAGGGTGAAAATACACATGTATTGCAGCAGAGAAAGTATGTTTCCCCCCAAATATCCATACACTTGAAGATAAATCAATAATATTCCAATATTAGAGCTGTGAGTGGCAGAAAAATGCTTTGGGGACAATGAAAGATCAAGGCTGATGTACATGGAGAGATTGCTAAAGTATTCAAACAAACAAACATATTCTGGTGCACAGATACTCTCATCATGTTGCACAGATATGGGAAGTTCCTATAAATTCTATATCTATAATTAAAACTATATCTTTTACTCATTTACTTTTAAGTCCACCACTAATTCCATTATTTTCCAAGGTGATTGAAGCATTAGATTACTAGCAGATAGGACAACTTATGTTAAGGAACTTCTGAAGAAAATTTTGCCCTTGAAATATCATCTGTACTTCTCTATTTTACCATCTAAGCAAAGAAAATATTGAACCAAAAATCCCGGTAGCTAGAGTCCTCATATGTCTTCTGCTCCTAAACCATGGATAACATGGCCCCCTGCTGTGACTTGTTTATTTTCTTACTATGCCCAAACACACCCAAATCTTACAGATGTCTCCAAGCTTCCAGGGAGATAAGGGAAGCAGAAGATTTGACAAGGATTCTAGGTGAATTTTTGCACAGAGAACACGAAACCCAGCATGAGTACCTCAGTCTAGGTGAATTTTTGCACAGAGAACATGAAACCCAGCATGAGTACCTCAGTAGGAAAAAACAATCTCGGACAAAGAACAAGGGAAAGGAAGTAAGATGCCAAGGGGATGCCTCTATATCTAGTCAAGTCTTGGGAGGAGAGGATTAAACATTTCAGGAAATAGCAAGGAAGATAAAGGGTATTTCCCACTATATGATTTTCATCGTGTTTTCTAACCCAGAATCTGTTATACTCCTTAAATTTTTTTAAAAGATGCATATTAAAATATTTCTAGCAAGGCTTAGACAAAATATGTAGTTATATGTAAAGAAGGGACACGTGTTATAAAATGTAGCTTCCCTTCCTGATCCAATGTAATTAAAAAATGAAAAATTTAATACTCTCAATACAGACATTTGTATCAAGAAATTAAATGACATAATGCCACCAAATTGCAAAACTATATGCTAAAAAGTTATTAATTCAAATTTGCAGGCAGAACTTAAGAAAATATAAAAGAAATAGATGAAAACGACATAAACGTGATATAAAACCAAACTGCCAAAACACAACAGCAAGATCTAATTTTTTTTAATTTAGTTGAATAATATAATCTTTTAACGAAGTTAGAAATTAGTAAAGCACTGTAATTCTAAAGCTAGCGATGGGAAAACTAAATCGGATGTAGAAGCTAGACAATCTAGTAAAGCTCACAGGCTTCAGTTGTGCATTCAGCAGCTGTATTGCAGAGGCTTCCCACCATTCCTGTGTCATGAGCCTGGAAATAACTAACTAACTTAGAAACAAAAGCCTACTCAGAGAACATGGCTGCCTCTGAAAGTCATTGCTATTGTACTGCACATTTCTTAGGTGCAATATCCAGAGCATTGTAAATTTTCCATTGTGCTTTAGATATTAGTCTACCTGTGGATGAAGAAAAGCTCAGGTAAATATCATGGAAGATTACAACTTTGCACATTGATATTGAGGATGCTTTGCCAGATATAAAAATGTTACGGATACAGCTTAGCAAATAACAAAAAATATATAAGGACTTTAAGTTTGAATATATTTATACTTAAAATATATTTCCAAGAGGGAATGAACTCCCAAGAGGGACAAATTAGTATTAGAAAATAAGTAAACTCTTTGAAAAATAATTTTGGGTGTCAACTCATTTCATAAGAGACATAAAATAATTACAAAATAATCCCTAAGTTAACATTAATGTGACTAGACTGTAAGTAGTTTGAAAATGTAGCTCAATTTTAGGCATTCTTTCTTAATCATTGTTAAGCCAAACAGAAGTAGTATCAAAATTACACTCTTTTCTTAACATACTAATTACGTATTAAAAAGCACATGAGAAGTGCCCCAAAAATAAGATAAAATAAGTCATTCAAAGAATTGTGGGCGAAATCATTTACCTAGACTTCCAAACTAGAAAACACTTAGGCAATAACAGAAACAGAAGTAGTTGTTTTTTTGCTTCCCATGGAAATAATTTCCTCAGGCTATAAAATTGCAAATTGCTTTGAACTGCCTTTTATACTCAGTAGGAATAATGGAAATAATATTGCTTGAACTGTGTTATCATTCACAAAGCATGCCCTTAATACTAATACTTTTGTACTTTGATAGAATTTAGGTCCCAAGGATTCATGATCATTAAACACTGATTCATCTTGAAAGAATCTACAAAATATGCAGGTAACCGACACCACGTTAGCTTAAAAAACAGGAAGAGAAAACAAACTCTAAGAAACAACAAAAATCAAGTACGCCCATTTTTATGTTGATTTGATGGCACACAAAGTATTTTTCTTATTTAAGGTAGTACCTGTGATTTCTGAGAGTGTTTACCATTCAGTATTTGATAAGTCACACAATAATACAGTGGCAGAATGGGATGATCAGAGACTCAGGTAATGGCAAAAAGAGTAAAAAGGTGGAGAATAGGATCATAGTTTAACTGATAAATACATGAAACTTCATGATGTATTGGCAGAGTCAGGTAAGGGACAAGAATGTACGCAGAAGTGATTTGAGTATATTTCTTCATTTTCAGCATTCTTAAACCACCTACCTTCCTAAATACGATGGGTTTATGAAGAGCAGTATTAACATTATTTTCATGAATTTCTGTACCCTCTCCCCTCTAATCCCCACATGATGGAAACCTCGGTCACTGCATGTGGCTTTAGTCACTCCTGTACCAATTAAGAGACAGTCTAATGAAGCCTATGTTAGTGATTTATGCAGCTTGGACCCTCTATAAAATTGTGGTTCATTTCCAAGTATCCCATAAATATAATGCCTGTAGGAATTGAATTTCACACTTGCTTTTATATGGCAGAAATGCAAATTTGATAACCTTATCTCTAAACTACTTTAGCTTATTCTTAGGAATCCTGATTCTAATTGTAGCCAAATACAAAGGACTACATATATTTTCAAACCTCCCTGAAGGCGCATCTTTTTATGAGATGAGATTGCTACACATTTTGTTTTTAAAAAGTCCTTAGTAAATGAAGGTATATACCATGTTCATGAACTGGAAGACCTAATATTATAAAGATGTGCATTCTCCCCAAATAGATCTCTAGATTCTATGCAATTTTAATACAAATGTGAATAGAAATTTTGTTTTGGGTAGAACTAAACAAACTCACTCTAAAATTTGTTAATAGATTCCAAGACAATCTTAAGAAAGAACAAAATAAGAAGGCTTTCCATACCAGATGCCATGACTTATTATAAAGCAATAGAGATGAGGAAAGTGTGGTATTGTCACTCAATAATATGTTTATTAAATATAGAACCTAATTGAGAGGCCCAACACAGACATGACATGTAGAAACTTGATTTAGAAAAAGGTTTGATGCTGAGGGTCAGTGGAAAAAAAAATGGTATTTTTAATCAATAAATCTGGGACCACTTAGTATGCATGTTTTTATAAAAGAATTTTACTATATCCAAAAATAAATTCTAGAGAAATAAATTTAAAAGAAAAAACAGCTGGGCGCGGTGGGTCTTGCCTGTAGTCCCAGCACTTTGGGAGGCTGAGGCGGGTGGATCACAAGGTCAGGAGATCGACACCATCCTGGTTAACACGGTGAAACCGCATCTCTACCGAAAATACAAAAAAAATTAGCCAGGCATGGTGGCGGGTGCCAGTAGTCCCAGCTACTCAGGAGGCTGAGGCAGGAGAATGGCGTGAACCTGGGAGGCAGAGCTTGCAGTGAGCTCAGGTTGCGCCACTGCACTCCAGCCTGGGCGACAGAGCGAGACTCCGTCTCAAAAAAAAAAAACAACAAAAAAAAACATTTTTAAGAAAGTCATTTAGGAAAATATCTCAAGGAAAATTCTCAACAGGATACAGAAAGATCTACCCATAAAGTAAGTTAATGAAATGTTTTATTACATTGAGATTGAGAGTCTCTGTTCATCTGAAAACACCACAGTAGTTGTTCAAAATAATGTATATAGAATAGGAGAAAGGCTTTACCTTTTAATAAATTCAAATATAAATTTATAAATAAAAGCAAACAATAAACATAAAAATCCCTATAAATCAATAAGAAAAAGTCTGACAACCAATAAAAATGAGGAAGTGACTGTATAACAGGCATAGCATAATACAATGATTCCAAATGGTCTCTAAACATATGACAAAATGAACTACTTCATTAGTTATCAGGGAAATGCAAATTAAAACCAAAGAGAACTACTAGCCGCCACTCACCCACCAGAATTGTTAAAATATAAAAAGAAACAGACGAGGGTAGAGCGAGATGGCCAAATAGAACACTTCAGTCATCGTCCCACTGGCAGAAACAGCAAATTGAATTAAAGTCCACACAAAATAGCACCTTTATAAGAATCATAAATCAGGTGATTGATCAGAGTACCTTGTTATAATAATATATCAAGAAAAGAAACACAGAAGAGGGAAGGGATTACAGTCTTAAACTGCTGACATCACCCTTCCGCCATTCCCAGGCAGTGACTGCATGGTGCAGAGAGAGAATTTGTGCACTTGGGGGAGAGAGAGCGCAGTGATTGTGAGACTTCTCTTTGAACTCAGCACTGCCCCATCACGGTGGAAAGCAACACACAGCCGACCTCAGCTGGTGCTCATCCAGGCAGCATTTAGACCAGCTCTAGCCAATGGTGAATTTTCCATCTCAGTGGTCAGAAGTTGAGTCCTGGCAAGCCCTGCCATTATGGGCTAAAGTGCTGTGAGGTTCTAAATAAACGTTAACGCAGCCTAGGCCGTAAGGAATGCGATTTCTGGGTAAGTCCTTGTGCTGTGCTGAGCTTGGAGCCATTGGATTTGTAGTGCACGTTACCCGGTGAGACACCAACCAGTGTTGCCAAGGGAGTGCTTGCAGCACCCCTCCCCGCAACCCCAGGCCACGCAGCTGTCAGCTCTTCCCTCCACTTGAGGAGAGGTGAGGGAAGCGTAAAGAGGACTTGGTTCTGCGACTTGAATACCAGCTCAGCCACAGTACGATAGGGCACTGGGCGAAGTACTCATTCTAGACCCTAGCTCCCAGACAACATTTTTAATCACATTGGGTCAAAAGGAACCCCAATGCCCTGTTGGGAAGGATCCAGTCCTGGAAAGATTTATTCTCTCCTAACTAAAGAGCCCTTGGGCCATGAATAATTAGTAGTGGTGTCCAGGCAGTACTCGCCGCAGGCCTTGGGTGAGGCTCAGAGCCCTGCTGGCTTCATATGCAGCACATACCCAGATGTGATGGCTACGGAAACTGACTCCTGATTGATGAAAGGACAGGTAAGAGAAAAGAGGACTTTGTCTTACAGCTGGGGACCAGCGCCGCCACAGTGGGGTAGAGCCCCAAGGGGCTGTTTGGGTCCCTGCTTCCAGGCCTTGGCTTCTGGACAGGTATTTCTGAACCTTCTCTGGACAAGAGGGGAGCCCACTTCTCTTGAAAAAAAAAAAGAGAGTCAGGCCTGTGAACATTCACTGCAAGCCAGCTGAAGAGTGAACCTTGAGTCAGCCACAGATCTTGAGTGAATACTGGCAGTAACAAGGCAGTACTTGCCATGGGCCTCAGGTGGTAGTAGCCACAGGGAGAGACTCCTATTATTTTTGTTTATTTGCTTGTTAATTATTTTCAGACAGGTCTTGCTCTGTCACTCAGGCAAGATTGCAATGGCAGGATCATGGCTCACTGCAGCCTCGATATCCTGGGCTCAAGCAATCCTCCCACCTCAGCTTCCCATGTAGCTGGGACTACAGGTACAAGTCACCATGCTCAGCTGATTTCTTTTCTTTTTGAGTATTTTTTGTTGTTGTTGTTTTTGTCTTTGTTTTTGGACTCAAGCAATTCCCCTGCCTTGGCATCCCAAAGTGCTGGAATTACAGGTTTAAGCCACTGCACCTGGCTTAAGACTCCTGTTCTTGAGGGATAGGGAGGGAAGAGTGAGGAAGACTTTGTTTTGCAACTTGGGTACCTAGATCAGTCACAGTAGAATAGAACACCAGATAGATTCCTCCCAGACAAGCATCTTTGGACCTGCCCGGGGCCAGGGTGAACTTACCACCCTAAAGTGAAGGACACAAGCCTGGCTGAGTTTATCACCTGGTGATATTAGAGGCCATGGGCCCTGAGGGAACATAGGCAGTAGCCAGGCAGTGGTCACTGCAGGCCTTGGGAGAGACCCAGTGCTGTGAGAGAGAGAGAGAGATGATCTTTTAGATAGAGAATTCAAAACAGCTGTTTTCAGTAAGCCAAATGAAATTCAAAATAACACAAAGAAGGAATTCAGGATTCTATCAGACAAATTTTTTCAAAGATTGAAATAATTATTAGATTGTTGCAAACATAACTGCAGTTTTGGGCTGTGAATTTTAAAGTATTGTAACTAGGCTAAAACACATCTTTATTAATCAAAATAGGAACCATTACAATCAACACTTTTTGCCAGCAAGAAACAAGTTTGTTTATTCCTGTAGTGTAAAAATCTGTGCTTCAGGATTCGACAAAGTCTTGGAAAGCATTTTCTGCATCCTGCTGGTTATGAAAGTGTTTCCCCTGCAAAAAGTTGTCAAGATGTTCGAAGAAGTGGTAGTCGGTTGGCTGCAAGTCAGGTGAATATGGCAGTTGAGGCATAACTTTGTAGCTCAATTTGTTCAACTTTTGAAGCATTGGCTGAATGATGTGCAGTCAGGCATTGCTGTGAGGAATTGGGCCCTTCCTGTTGACCAATGTCGGCTGCAGGTGTTGCAGTTTTTGGTGCATCCCATTGATTTGCTGAGCATACTTCTCAGTTGTAATGGTTTTGCTGGGATTCAAAAAGCTGTAGTGGATCAGACAGACCATTGAACAGTGACTATGACCTTTCTTTTGGTGCAAGTTTGGCTTTGGGAAATGCTTTGGAGCTTCTTATCGGTCCAACCAATCTGAGCTGGCCATTGCCAGTTGCAGAATGATACAGTTTTCGTTGGAAGTTGATAGCAAAAATAAGACCATTAGTAAGAGAAGTTCACTAGGAAGTGTAAAGCTTAAAGGAAAGGGCTATTAGTAATTGGTGTTAAATGCATTGTTCGTAGTAGGACCCTCAACAAAATGAGGATATACTAAATTTAATAAATGTATGAAAGAATGAAGAAATATCTAGTGATTGACAAATAATGGGAAGGAGAAGAAATGCTCTCAAGTTAACAAAATAGTATAAATTAATACATTTAGTAAAAGTTAACAAAAGCATTCCTCTTCTTTTCTGAGTAAATGTTCACAAAAATAGAAAATACTAAATTATAGTCTTCAACATAACATATCTGATTGGAGAGTATTCCCATGTAGCCTAAAATCCTAGGCTTCAAATGCAACATTTCACCCTTCATTGGAAAAAAATATGTAAGATATAAGAACATAAAACCCAATCAAGGGTATATGATGCAAACTTTAAAAAAATATTTCACCCATGTTGGTAGTTGCCCCGCAACCTTTTATTTGGATCCTGAGTGTTTTGATACTTTGCTGCAATGTACTGTAGAAAGGAAATAAAGATTCCTGTTGCCCCACTATAAGAAAACCTCCCTTCCTGCGTCCAGGTGTTCTCATTGTTTTAGGAGATATACCTAATGTAAATGACGAGTTAATGGGTGCAGCACACCAACATGGCGTATGTACACATATGTAACCTGCACGTTGTGCACATGTACCCTAGAACTTAAAGTATAATAAAAAAATTAATGGAGAAAAAAAGAAGAAAACCTCAGGGCAAACACTTTAAGGGAAGAATATATGTGGAAGTTAGCAATCTAGAATTCTCTTAAAACTGTCTCATTTGTGACTCTCTTGAAAAATGTTTGGGGACTCTTAGAATTTACATGCCTTAATGCACAGGCCACTGCTCTAGGCCATTGCATTGACTCTATGGTTTCAAAGTAGCACTGTTTTAGATCGTTTCAAATTGAACCATCAAAAAAATAATTATTAAACATCTACCGTGTGACAGTCACTATTCTAGGAATTGAAAAGTAAAAGCACATCAAGTACTAATTACAAGACTATCTGATATAGATATCTATATTTTAAATCAAGAGGTTATTTCTGATTCCAGGCA
This sequence comes from Homo sapiens, assembly GCF_000001405.40. Taxonomy (NCBI): domain Eukaryota; kingdom Metazoa; phylum Chordata; class Mammalia; order Primates; family Hominidae; genus Homo; species Homo sapiens. The sequence continues at coordinate 104,857,700 of NC_000013.11, forward strand.
TAGATTTCCATTGCTTTTGTTTAACTGAAAGTGCCTTTATTTCTCACTCACTCAAATAATATTTTAATCTGGTGTACATAATCTTGACTGTGTTTTTCCCCAGCATTTGGAAATTAATGTAACTATTTTCAGACTTCCATTCTTTTGGCAAACTATTTTTCTCTTTGCAAAGCCTGCAAATAATTTCTCTCTTTTGTAAATAATCCCATTTTTCTTTGTAAATGTTGTGATTTTCTTTATTTTTTATTCTGTAGCTTCACTGTGAAAGTGTGAATTGTTAATTTTTAAAATTGCTAGTTTATTTTGCTGAATGGTCGTCATGTTTTTCCAGCTAAGAATTTATTTTTTCAATTCTGGAAAAATTTTCATCCAGTATCTTTGAATTTTGCCTCTTTTTTTGCTGCTCTGTCTCTTCAACACACATTAGTCATATTATCAAAAGGTTATTAGTCATGGCCTTTTCATTTTATCTTCTATGAGCTCTTGATTGCTCTTTCAGATTTTATATATGTATCATATTTTTATTGTGTGCTACATGGAGGTGATTTCTCCAATTCATATGTTATTTGGTTAATTTTCACTCTGCATATCTACAAATGCATTCTTATAATATAAATAAAAACTCTATTACATATAAGAATATGTTGAAAAAGTTACACTTTATCTTTAAAAATTCCCCATTTTATAGTTTTTATAAAAATCCCTAATCATTGTATAAATTTCAAATTTCCATAAGGTAAGTAATTATGGTGTATATGCAAACTGACTTTCATTTATATTTCAATGTTTGAAAAATAAAGAAGCATATTAGTGGCATGTGTTTAATAACCACTTGAAAATGTAGAGTTTAAATAAAGTATCAAGTATTTTGTAATATATGTCTAATCTACATAAAAGTTATGCTACAGGTAGAGGAAAATAATTATACCAAGTAAAAGGGAAACATTAACAATATTCAGATGCCAAGTTCAGTAGATCAGGGCCCATAATCCCAGTGCTTTGGGAGGCCGTGGCAGGAGGACTGCTTGTGGCCAGGAGTTTGAGGCTGCAGTGGGCTATGATCATGCCACTGTACTCCAGCCTGGGCAACAAAGTGAGACCCTGTCTCTAAACATACATATAGATAGAACTTTTTTTCAGAATTTATATATTTTTGAGAGCTCTCTCTCTTGCTCTCTCTATATATATGCATGTATCTATAATATATACTAGATCTATATATCCATTATATATACTTACATACGCTTGATGTATTTATCCATTATATATGCTTTTATATACTAGATATATTTATTATATGTATGTTTGTATGTGTATATATATACACATACACATGTATATATACACATACAAACATATATATATAGAGAGAGAGAGAGAAAGGGAGCTCTGAACTGAATTTTCAATTGAAAGTTTCCCTCAGGGCATAAACAGGCAAATGTTTACTTCTCAAATGCATGAGTAATGAGGAAAAATACAATGAAAGAAATAAGCTCATCCAAAAAATTCATGCAGGATGAGACATTTCTGTAAACAACATTGTGTAAATTATAATTTTATATTTTACTTGTCAAATATATTTCCCATTTACTATAAAATACAGTACCTAAATGATTTCAATAATGTTTTTGAGAAACTAATATGCACAATTTTATGATTGAACTTTGGTATTGAATAGAAATATGCTTTATTATATTTTCTTCAATTAACACAGAAAAATGAAATAATTCAATAATATATCATGTTTCTAAAGAAAATCTTATATGGACATTTGAAGACAGTAAGGACCTCAACAACAACAAAAAATATTTATAAGTAAATAATAATATGTGCCAACTTCTAAAATACTATGTTTGTTAAAGATCAGAAATAGTCTTGGTCTTCTGGGAATTTTTAACTTACTAGGGAGACAGAGTAGACAAATGACCATATAATTACAGATAAGATTTTAACCATGGCAAATGCTAGAAGAGAGAGGATGAATATTAGGGAATAGTGGGCAGGGCTCTGGGAGGTTAAAAATGGATATATATATATATATATATATATATATATATATATATATATATATTTTTTTTTTTTTTTTATTATACTTTGAGTTCTAGGGTACATGTGCACAACGTGTGGGTTTCTTACATATGTATACATGTGCCATGTTGGTGTGCTGCACCCATCAACTCATCATTTACATTAGGTATATCTCCTAATGCTGTCCCTCCCCCTCTCTCCCCACCCCACAACAGGCCCCCGTGTGTGATGTTCCCCTTCCTGTGTCCATGTGTTCTCATTGTTCAATTCCCACCTATGAGTGAGAACATGCAGTGTTTGGTTTTTTGTCCTTGTGATAGTTTGCTGAGAATGATGGTTTCCAGCTTCATCCATGTCCCTACAAAGGACATGAACTCATCATTTTTTATGGCTGCATAGTATTCCATGGTGTATATGTGCCACAAAAATGGATTCTTAAATGGCATTGAGTTGAGATCTATGGGATAGGTGTGAATATTCAGAGCAACAGCGAGGATAAGCCTCTCAGGGAAAAAAAATCCTGTATTTAGTGCCAATGCAGAAGAAAGCAAGGTTGGTTCAAGGCAGGGAATGGAGTTCGAGTTTGGGACAAAATGATGATGAGAATGTGAAATGGGGCTGGAGAGGCAGAAGTGGATTGCAATACCTTGGTGCTACTGCAACAACCACCCAGCCTCCAACTCAACAACAACAAGGCAGAGTTTGGAATTCAATTAGATGTACTTTGGCTTTGCTTTTCTTTTTGTTGTTGTTGTTTTTTTTTTTTTGGAAAGGGGCTTCGTAGTAAAAGTTAAGTATCTTTACTAATTTGTGAGTTCAAAATTCATCAGAGTATTTCTCTATTCATGTGTATTGTATCAGCAATCAAAAAATTTATGAGAGCAAATGGTTGCAATTTATTAAGGAATTTTTTAAAAAATTTTAAGAGAGCTCAACATTAAGCGCACACGGACAAAAATATGAGAATAACAGACACCATGGACTACTAGAGGGGGTGAAGGGAGAAGGGCATGGGTTTAAGATCTACCTATGGGGCACTATACTCACTACCTGGGTGATGGGATCTGCACCCCTAACCTCAGCATCATGCAATATCCCCATGTAACAAACCTTCACATGTACCTCTTGTATCTGAAATAAAATTTGAAATTGAAAAAAAGTCTCAAAGCATAGAAGCATATTAATGGAAGCAATCATACTTCTGTCACCATGGGTGTTAATACAGTTGTCCCAAGTTGTTGTTATTTTGCTGTCTACCCCACTCTCCTTTTGATGTATATGGATAATCTTCTTGCCAACCCAAGGGATGATCATTTCTTGGTCAGCCATGCCTTGGGTTCATGAGCATCACTGAATGTTGTGGAAAGGTGTCAACATGAAAAAACCCTGATAGACATAGAGCAAAGTGTTTCAGCACTATGAGGGTCATCTCTGTTTAGCTAATCAGTTATTAAAGTGCTAAAGGGGCAACATTCTCTACCACCCCAAAATAAGAGCTGCAAAAGGAGAACCTGGGAGTAGGTAAAGCAAAGTTCTTAATTCTGTGAAGACGAGGTCATTTTTCTGGTAATGCTTCAGTTTGGGTAACATTAAAAGCTCTAGAAGAATTGGCCAGGTGCAGTGGTTCAGGCCTGTAATCCTAACACTTTGGGAGGCCAAGGTGGGTGGATTGCCTGAGCTCAGGAGTTCAAGACCAGCCTGGGCAACAACGGTGATACCCCATCTCTACTAAGATACAATAAATTAGCTGGGCATAGTGGCATGCACCTGTAGTCCCATAGTCTCAGCTACTTGGGAGACTGAGGCAGGAGAATCGCTTGAACCTGGGAGGTGGAGGTTTCAGTGAGCCGAGATCACACCACTGCACTCCAGCCTGGGAAAACAGAGAGAGACCTCATCTACAAAAAAAAAAAAAAAAAAAGGCTCTCAAAGAATAATCTCCACACTGGTCCCTCTCTGGAAGCCTAGAAGCTCCCTTATACATTTACCTTCTTCTAAGACAAGGCCCTTTTTATGGTTTCCCAGGTCTCTAGAACTTCATATATAATTCTCTACAGGTTTTCCTCCATTGTCTCTTGATACAAATACATGACTTTCAGCACATGTGTGTGCACACGCACACCACACATACACACACACACTATTTTTCTTTGTCACCAATAGAGCTGAAAGAAACACTTTTAAAAGTCCAAATAGTTTATCAAACTACAGACTAATTTTGTTCACCTCAAGGTAGTGAAGGCTGGTTTTAAACAATTCTTAGAAGTGAAGGAACTTTATTTCTGTCTAGGAAAAGATATTTTTCTTCCTTTAGTTGGTTGAGTCCCTCTAATGAATCAGATCAGTGCCGGATGGGCAGATGATGGCTGGGGAGGTAGAACACAGTGACGTTTCCATATTGAAGCTGGTTGAATATTCACGTTCAACTTCCTTTCCATAATGTATTTGCTTTTGGTAATTTATGTCTGAACAATATTGATGCTTGTATTTGATGGAGTGAGGATTTTTTGGCAGAAAAAGCAAGTGATTTGTCTCAAAAATAAAATTCCATGCAGAAAACACATTTTTTGGTAAGTTAATGAGGAAAAAATCTGCTTGAAATTTTTGGCTTTAATTTAGAGCTGTATCAATCAGTATTTGATCAAGAAAGAGGAACCACTATTGGTATTTATAAATAAGAGATTTATTGTTGGAATTTGACTTTACTCAGTAGTAGAAGGAGGTGGGATGGTGAAGTCAGGAAAGAGAATGTGAAGGATCAGAGAGGTCCTAAGCAATCTCTGTGAAGCACTGTGATATGGTGAGTGGACAAGATGAGCTTGCAGAGAAAGATGTGAAGCCAGGCATGTGCAGCAGCTTCAATATAATCATGAAAGTGAATGGATGCCTAGGTGTGTATCAGGCTTTGCATCAGGTGGTGGCCTTGCTGTTGCTGTTGATTAGCACAGCAGGGGTCAGAGAAAGAGCTGGTCATGGAGGAACGTAGAGCAATGAAAAGCTGGACTTGGCCAGCACCTCTGTGTCTCATCAAAGAAACTCTCAGAGTATCATGATTTGCTGATTTGCTTCTACCTTGCAAACACTGAACAAACATTCATTTCTGAAATCTGTGCATATTGGTTTCTTCATTAACTTTAACATAGAACATGGGATAATTAAGAGCCTCCACAGGGAATCATCTGTATTCCAGACATACTTCTCCCTCTTTCATGTTTTAGTAACAACCTTATTTATTTATTTATATTTATGAAGCCAGTCACTTTGTCCTGTATAATCACCCCTTTCTATGCCTACCATCTTGGGAGTCCAAGGAGACCAAAGTGGCCAAGTGCAGTCTAAGCTTATAGTTTAATGGAATCATTACTCAGTTCACTAAGGGGAGGATTCTGCCCTTAGAAGCTAAGACCTCTAAACTAACAAAGACCCTAATATTCATGAAAAGGAATTTTTTTCTAATAAATAAGCAGGTGTAATATGAAGAGGACCTACTCATATTTTCCTCCCTTGATTACCAGACCCTTAAATCCTGGCTATGGGAGAAATATAAAGGATGTTCCTTTATGTCTACAAAATGTTATAATCCAGTTGTCACTATTATCAACTGATTGAAAGGTCAGCCCTCCATTCCATCAAGCCAGCTGCTTCAAGGTAACATGAAACGTTGGGTCCAGTGAATTCCATATCCCCAAATCCATTGTCATGCTTTTTATATGCAGTAAAGTGAATTATCCGATCAGAAGCAATGCTATGATAAATAACATGACAATGAATAATGCTGTTGTAAATCTTTGAATAGTGATTTCAGCAGGTGCATTAGAAACAGGAAGACAAATCTGTATCCAGAGTGTCTATTCCCATGTGAACAAAGTCTTGCACTTCTCTTGATGAAAATGATCCAATGCAATCAACAAGACCAATGCAATCAACCTAGCTGCATATTTCCTCAGAGAATGGTGCTGTAGCATAGGGTACTCCCCAGAATTTTTCGTCACCAGTTTTCCAATTGTGTTTCTTCTAAGCACATATTCATATAAATTGATAGCCACTGCCCATGTATTGAAGTAGATCTGTTCTTAAATGATGTCTCTTTCTCTTTCCAGGCAAAACAATAGGTTCACTGCTGCAAGTAATGCCAACTGGGAGGATTTCCTTTCAGCAGTGTTCTTTAGGGCCTCCCATGAGTAGGACTATCATGCTGAAACAGTCCTCTTCTGAGTAGTGCCCATATATCATGCAGAACCACCTGTGCACCAGGTCTAATTCTTCATTCTCAAAGTCTTCATTGGGACTACACAACTAACACGTTGCTAATATAATTAGCATGTGTGTGCCTTCTGGGCCTACTCACATCATATTCTTTTTCTATGGAGTACTACCGTTCACACCTAAATTGACTCTGCAATTGTGTCATTTAAAAAAACAAAAACAAAAACAAACAAAAGTGAGTCTTCAGACATATTTTCTGGAGACTTCTTGACCAGCATTTCCTTCTGTACTCCTCATTTAGGTTTCTCTACTATTTGATTAAATTTGCTTCATCGAAGAACAGTCTCAAATTTTGAGTAAAAATTTAGTTCTGCCAGTGATAGACTTGCTCATGGCAAAAATGTTGTGGTTTTCGTTACATTGCATCTAATCACTTCTTTTCATGGTCACTGTCTAAACCAGGTGGAAGAATGGCTTCAATTTTCCTTCTAAGAGGAAGGTCAGGTTATTAACCTGACCATTGTTTCCAGAGGGTGAAATTCAGCCAACATCTGTCTTATATTTGTCTATTCACTTAGATCTGTAGAGAAAGAGAATATCAAAAATAAAATTCTCATGTTGCAGGTGGATACTCTTCAAAAAAGTTTTACCATAATCTTTCAGCTAAGAATTTTATTTTCTCATTTTATTTTCTAATATTGCATAATTTTAAGGTTTTATAATCAACTATTATGAGTGATTGGCAAAAGTTCAGTGTGTATATTATATTTGGGATTGAATAGGTATCTTTTTTATACAGATATAGAACAATAAGACCAACATAAGTACATGATCCTTTGCTTATATTAATTTAACTAATATTTAAAATGATATTTACTTATTCTTGATTATGTTTTTTACAAATGCTAGGCAAGCTCTCTAAAATTATTAATTTAAGATGCATTAAACCTGCTTAATTTCCTATCTATAAATATGGTAAAACTAATTTCACTAGCATGCTATAATCATATAAAAGTTTACATATGGTTATATAAATAGATGCAAATATAATTGGTATGTGTATATATTCACATGGGTGCATATATGTACATATACATTTTTAATATCAACATTTAAATTAAGCATTTTCTATTTGCAAAACAAAGTAATTTGTAATATAAAATGTTAAATATATATTTTTGAAACATATAAATACTTGAAGTGTTAGTTTCATGAATATTCTTGAAGTGTAAGTGTAGTTTAGTTTTTGGCAGATAATTTTTAGAGCAATTTTAAAATTAAAAGCTGCCAAATATCATTTATTCCTTTTTACTAGGAAAATAAATGCAATGGATAATGGAAAACTTGCTTCAATTTTTAAAGTATTTAAATTATTTCTTCATCAAATAGAAAAACTGGCCCATTGAATTTTATTATTTTTATTTCCTTTTAAGATGGAGATAACAATGAATTCCGAATAGTAAAATGATAGGTGATAGAGAAAAGGCAAAAAAAAAAAAAAAGATTAAATCATTAAATAATAAGATAGCTGAATATCTATAAATTAATATCAGAAGTAGAACTGGAATAAAACTTCACACTATGTCCATGTAAGTGTTTACAAAATGCCTCACTAAAAGAACAGACCTGATTTCTGAAGGATTTATTGTGCAAAGTAACTTTGTTAACAAGTACAATAAATTAAGTCTAATTTTCCCCTTGAGTTTTTATCCATTTAAATCTACCAACATAATTGCTCCTAGTCCTATTATATATTTGAATATAATTTATTTCTAAAATATCTGAAAAATATTTTAAATAAAGAATTGGGCTTTTATATGGTTATCTGGCTAGTAATAATCACAAGTATTTATGTAAAGAACAATGCAGAAAGCTTATAGCAACTGCGTGCAGTGAGCTTATGGACCTGGAACCTGGGGGTGTATTAGTTTATGTCCACGATTCTGCTAACTCACTTTGAACCTAAGGCTGACATGGAAGATGCAGGATACCTAGAGAAATCTAAATTTCATATAAACAACAAATCATGTTGTATTAGTTTGTTCTCACACTACTATAAAGAACTACCTGAGACTGGATAATTTATCAAGGAAACAGGTTTAATTGACTCATAGTTGTGCAGGGCTGGGGAGGCATCAGGAAACTTACAATCATGGTGGAAGGGAAAGCAAACACGTTCTTCTTCACGCGGCGTGATAGAGGAGGCGGGCAGGGAAGTGCTGGGAAGGGAAGGACTTGGTCCCTGGTGAGGGCTCCTCCCCAGCCTATGCCCACGGACCTAGGTGAGGACAGTCACTCGTGCCTTCATGCCCAAATGTTGCATTTCCCAAGACTACCCTGGCCCACCATGCTCCCATCCTGTGCCTATAAAAACCTCAAGAACCTAGCAGGCAGCCACACAAGCGGCTGGACGTGGGGAGGAGTGGATCAGTGGAAGAAGACACAAGTGGCTGGACGTCAGGAGAATGTCCAGGGGAGCACGCTGGCAGAAGAGCCCACTGACAGACGCCAGCACATAGGCAGGCCATTTACTGGTGGAATTATGCAGTTGTTGGGGGGCAGGTGTCAGAGAAGTGTCAGGCGCTTGGCTGCCTGACTCCATGGGAAAACCATCTCCCTTCTGGGTTTCCCATCTTCTGAGAGCTACTTCCACTTAATAAAACCTTGCACTCATCCCCCAAGCCCACCCGTGTTCTGATTCTTCCAGTACACCAAGGCAAGAACCCCGGGATACAGAAAGCCGTCTGTCCTTGCAACAAAGTAGAGGGTCTAATTAAGCTGGTAAACACAAGCTGCCTACGGACGGCTGAACTAAAAGAGCACCCTGTAGCACACACCCACTGGGGCCTCAGCTATCAACATTCACCTGTAGACACTGCTGTGGGGTCAGAGCCCCACAGTCTGCCCATCTGTATGCTCCCCTGGAGGTTTGAGCAGCGGGGCACTGAAGAAGCAAGCCACACACACACTGTGAGGGAGACAAAGGAACTTTTCCTGTTGCAGCAGCAGGAAAGAGAAGCACCAAGCAAAGTGGGAAAAGCCCCTTATAAGACCAAGACCATCAGATCTTGTGAGAACTCACTCACTATCATGAGAACAGCATGGTGGTGACTACCCCCATGATTCAATTACTTCCCACCAGATCCCTCCCATGACATATGGGGAGTATCAGAACTACAATTCAAGGTGCGATTTGGGTGGGGACACAGCCAAACCATATCACATGTTTTACTATAAATATGCCATATGTAAGATTTAGGACATCACTCCAAAACATGATTAACTAAACATTCTATATTTTTGTTGGTTAAATCTGATCTATGGAAGCCTTATTCTTTTTTGGTTAGTCCATCAGAGATGTTCTTGAGAATAAAGACATTATAGCCTTATCTTCTATATAGCCTTGTCTTGTCCAATTAATCTTAAATCATGCATGCCTAGATTCTCTGAGCATTAAAATTTACGTGGTCCCTGTTACACAAATTCTTCTAAATGAATCATAGCAGCATCACCATAACAAGAGTTTTCATCATACGTAACATTCAAAATTATGCAGTTTTGGAATAGTTGTTCTTATTAGAAAGAGATACTCTTATCTGTACATGTGAGTTTTTTTTTCTACAAGATATCATTTCCAATGTCTTTCCATTTTAACTCAGTGTTCAAGGAGGCAAAACAGAATTAGAGACAAGACAGAAGCATGTTCTCATGTCATGTTCTCATGGAGAGTGGCTATCTTTCTGAATTGGAATCACCTGATAACCCACTCAACTAGCTCATTGACTAGACGATTAACAGCTGACAGGTTAGTGATGTTTAGTAAATGCAGTAAATGTGATTGGAAGTGATGAGGTAGGAGTTACTCTATAAAACAGAATGACAGAGGTTTTGTCTATAAAACATTAGACTATGTAGACTATTAACTCTATGGAAATCTAATAAGCCATGTTTACTTTATTTAACCTATCCCAAGTAATTTTAGGCTGCTTTAGCCATTATGTGGTTTCTCCAAGAATCATTGTGAAAAGTGATCGCATTTTATTTCTACTGACTTTGATGGTTTTGTTCTGCATTTCTTACTTAAAATGCTGCCTAAAGATAGGAAAAGATACCTTCTACAGTATAATTATCTGGGATGTCTTACATAAATGGTCTTAAAATAGATCTCTGGTGTGACAATCTTCTAATGCTCTCTTTTCAGGTTCTCATAGAACATGCTATACGGAAATTTTCTTTTTATAGTTAATTATGCTTTCATGACAAAAGCCAAAGAGATAGCTAAAAACAAGCAGAATTCCTTATGAATTCTATGAATTATGCAGAATAAGTTTCTCTCTGTTAAAGTAAAATTTGCTTTAGCAAATATACTTGTGCTAAAATATCTTTTACTTATGTCTTATTTTCTAAGTATGATCTGAAATTTTCTCTGTAGATTTGAGAAATTATCAGCTCTAATTTTTCTAGTCATGCTTATTCAATGGTCACTCTGTTTTTAACCATTACCATACAGTATTTGGCACATAATCTAGTCATTTCTGAATTTAATTTCCAGAGAGGGGATGCACATAGTGTGAAGGACATCTTTCTTTTTATGAAGGTGTATTTAAGGAGCAAACAGCAAACTGTACTTAGAGTCTGATAATACTGGGTTTCAACCATAGCTTTCACATTTATAATCCTAAGGGATTTACCTAACCTTTCTGAGGTTCAGTTTTCTCATTCATAAAATGAAACAAAATAGATAATTCAAATATTTAATTTAAAGATTAAAGTCTTTAAAATATCAACGGGAGTGACTGATACTCAGTGAGTGCAGCAGTGATTATATCTGAGCCTCAAGTCCCCTGTGGGACAGGCTTTTTTATGGGTATCTCTCTAATTTTTCAGAAAACAAATGAAAATGAATCAAATGGAAATAATTTTAAAAAACTAAAAATTCAGCAATCACATATGGAACTGTTACTGAATGTTCTATAATATGCCAGATTTCAGATGATTTGTGTCCTTTTCTCTCTGAGTGAGTGGGTGTTGAGAAGCTTGGGGACTATCCTACAGCAGAACACCCAGCTTCGCTGAATTGAGAGGCCCTGTCCAATGCGAATGATTCATTCCACTTTCTCTTTCTAGAAACATCTACCATTTGGGGGGCTGCCCATATTTTCAGCCAATTTTCTCTCTCAGCCATACACCTGGAAGACTTGATACACCTATCAGCTCAGCACAGATATTAGAGCAGGTGATTTTAATATTTCTTCTACTTTAGAGCAAGTGACTTAAAAGGTAAGCCATTCTGGAATCCCGTTTAACTCTCGGCTACCATAAGTCAAGCAACATAGATGTGATTTCAGGGAGTTAGAACTAAAATTGCACATTGTTTCTGGTGTTTTTCTCATTTTAATAATTTAGATATTCTCCAAGGTGGCTACTCCTTGATTATACAGAACGAACAGATATTCCCAGCTTCATCCAATTTACTGTCAGTAGAAACTGACGATTGGTTTATTCTGAAATAACTTTTCAATCATTTTACTTCCAGTTCAGTTAACTTCCCAATGTACCCTTTAATTTCAACATACTGTCAGACTTTTGACTTTACAACATTTTTTTTAAAAAATAACTTTTTAAATTGATATATGCTTCTCATAACAATACACACCATTTTAGAATGAAAATCTTCATGGTTTTTAGCATGTTTACTGTTGTGCAACCATAACCACTAGCTATTTCTACAACATTTTCATCACCCACAAAGGAAACTCTGTATCTATGATCAGATAGCTGTAAATTTCCCCTCCATACATACCCAGACAACCACAATTCACATCCTCTATCTGTGGTTATGCATATTCTGGATGTTTTGAACAAATGAAATCATACAATAAGTGGCCTTTTGTGTCTGACTTTTATTACATAGCATAATGTTTGAAAAGTTCATTCCATGTTGTAGCATGTAAGAGGGGTTTAATCTTTCTGTGACTGAAATCATTTCATTATATATCACACTTTTTACCTATTAATTATTGTTTTTAAATGTTTCTCTTGCCTGCTCACAGCAGCTCTGCAGCCTTTCTACTGAATTTTTCATTTTAGTTATTGTAGTTTTCAACTCCATAATTTTATATTTTATAATACCTGTCTTTTTATTAATATTCTCAGTCTCATGAAACATCAGTCTCACACTTTCCTTTAGTTCTTTGGACATGATTTTCTTTAGCTTGTTGAATACATTTAAAATAGCTGATTTGAAATTTTTGAGGCATGCCCTCAGTACTCAGGCAGGCGGTTTGCAACAGGGAGGATATAGCCGTTTTGCTCCCAGATGGAGTCTGATAATGTAATTAACAAGGAAAAGAGCAGAGAGAATGAAAGAAGCCAGGTTCTGATGATGCCTATTGAGTCAGATAAACCTTGATAAACCCTGTTTTTCTCAATTACACAAGCCAAAAAAGTAAACCTACTTGTGTTGTATTTTCTGATATTTGCATCCAAAACAGGCCAAAATGATAACCATACCTTTGACAACATCTAAACAGAATAGATTAATGATATCTTTGTTAATGTCATCAAATCTGATTCACATACTCATATGTATCAAATTGCTTTTCTCAGGAAGATCCTATTTATTCTGTTGATGACTAAAATATCTGATAATTTTTTCTAGACATATACTTCATTTTAGTAAGTTATTCACATAATTGATTAGGATTGATTAGATGATGATTCATGAAGTCTCAATGGATTCAAACCATTATTGACTGTAAAAAAACGTGATTATTTCATATACTCCTAGAAAGAGTTATAAACATGGGCCATTTTCAGGGAAAAAGCCGGCGATGTTAAAATGCATTTCACATTCAGAAATGTTAAAAATGATGGAGACATTCAACGATGGACTTATTCCTGGAAAATCCACCTTTTTCTTCTAACTAATCATATACATACTTTATTAGGGGTTTAGAGAAATATAAACTGATGCTGTTTATCAGTAACAGGAGTGTTCAATTTTGACCTTTTTTGCATAATTATGACATAAAATTCCAAGGAGAACAAGAATATATTAATATTTTTTCTTGCCAACGATTTTCTTTCATAAGGTTAGTATGTCATATATAAGCAAAGTTAATAATCCAAGGCAAATTAAACATTGGCTTGGTATCAAGACTTGAGCCTTTTGTCTTGACCTAACTTTATAATTTAGTAACTTAGGTGGAAAGGAGTAGAGGGATTCTTTTGTCCAAGCATGGATTCGTCTACAAATATAGGCCTTCCCATAAGTAACATTGAGTTCTGTTGATTTACATGTATTCAGATTTTTGTTGTTGTTGTTCTTGCTAATAAAATTGAGGAACAGTCTTCAGTTAGTCCTTAGATTTTGATCAAGATCTGAATTTTAGAGTACAAAAACCAAAACACATGACAACTGTTTGATCTAATATATCAGGAATTTTGTGAGAAATATCTGTATTTTTTTTATTTACATGATGTGAGATATTTCAGCTTCCACTTCACAACCATACATTGCATAAACATCACCTATTTAAAGTGGAACTTTAGTTCCTGAGCTGAATATGTATCTCCATATATATACTTACTTGATTAAAGTCTACACTCACAGTAGAGTGTTATGTGCGGTAACTTCTCAAGTTAAGTAGGAGCTAAGTCGGGAGATAGCTTTGACTCTTCCTAATTGTCCTTTGAAAATCTCACTAGTGATCAGTTTTATTTCACAAGACACAGGATTTCTTCATCATCCACTGCGACTACCAAGAGAGCCTCATCAGATGTAACTGACATATGCCTATATTTTAACTAACTGTGTTTGTGGAATTAAAAATAAATTTCCCAGGGCCCATGCTTCTGACATTTTTCATACAATTTCTCAGTGTTCCCAGTGTATCTGTTTCTCTTTATGCCTTGAGTAGATCTTGTAATAAAAGTTTGAACATCATAAATATAATGTTTTACTGAAAAGAGTAAGTATTTTGAAAGAAACTTAGAATGCTTTTTTTTATTTAGGATAATTGTCTACATATTTAGAACTTTAAAAAAAGTAAATTTTTAAAATATCCATGTACAATATTTTTAAGATAATAGCTCCTACTGCTTAATGTTGGTAAACATACAAGCCTGTCATTGACATACTGTTTTGCATGAACTATTTTCTTTCTTTTCTCCCAACATTTTATAATTTTTTTTTTTCCTGAGATACAGGATCGATGAAGAAATGGTACAATACGCGTTGAGAAAGTCTCTACCCAGATTCAATTTCAATATTTTCTAACATTTTACCTTGTCCCCTGCCACGTCCCCCATTCCTGTCTGTTTCTCTGCTTTTTAGAGCACCCCTGGAGCTTGTCTGAGCTGGGACAATTGGCACTTGCTAGGATAGAAGGGATGGGATGTGAACAGGCGGCTGAATACCCAAGCTTCCCTATGCCTTCAGGGGAAATTCAACTTGGTTTCTCAAAGCTTTCCCAGTAGGACTGTACCTTAGTTGCCTGCAGCAGTAAGCTGACAGGTAACATAAATTTTATTGGCTTTTCTCTGTTTCCTCTCTTCTTCCTTTCTCCTACTTGTGCTTTCTGAGATCTTCTTCCACTGAAACTGCATGCACCCAAGTCCTGTTTCAGGATCTGCTTTGAGAGAGACTTCAAATTAAGATGGATTTTTTTTCGTGTGCCCTTTAACTTATCCCTTATTCCTTTTATTTGATAAAAACAAGAAGTCCTGAGGCTAGCTTAAATTGGGCAAAATAAAAATGTGAATTTCATACTACATCACATCTGGAGACTAATATCAGTTTTCTCAATACTTGTTATGAAACTTTGACCCTTAGTTACTAGATAAAATTCTGCAGAAAACTAAATAACTCCGTCTGCGTATAAACAAGGTGGACGTAAAACAGGCATTTGGTGGCTCTCCATCATGAAGTGATAATTATTTGTTTACATGCAAGTTTTCTAAGAGAGGTTTACTGAGGATCTGGTCAACAAATTTGTTAAAATTTACGCAATCAAAGGAAACATTAAATTTGCCTTTGGCTAGTGGAAAAAAAGTTATTATTATTTTTTCATTACTTTTAGAAACTGTGAAAGGTAGAGAAAACCAGAAAGTAAAAATCTGAAAGTAATTAATACCCATACAGTCTGTTTTCAGGGTAATATCATTTTAGTAAAGATTTAGGAAGAGAAGTGAAAATAGGACTTGGAAATAATACTTTGTGTGTGTGTATGCAAAAGATAATCCTATTTGTTTACTTTTTTTTTTTCTTGGCTCACAGAAAGATTATATTCTGCGGCCTCCCTGTGGAATAATGAGGTTAAATGACTGTGTTCTAAGCCTAAAAAAGGACAGGAAATTAGGTCTGTCCCTTTCAGAGCTGGTCCTCTCCCTCCACATTGCCTGCTTGATGCTTGTAGAGGCTGCAAAGGAGGATTCTAAGGTGCAGAAGGCTGTGGAGTTACTAGATTAGAGGGATTTGAATCTGTCCCAAAGCTCCACCCCACTCAGCCATCGGCCCTTATTGGAATTAGAAGTAAATGATGAGTAAAATTGTGTTTGTTTAGCCACTGAGATTTTAAGGGTATTATTATAGCAATTAGCACTCCCTGACCAATTCCATTAGGAAGGTGAAGAAGAAAAGTGTATGATAAGATGTGGTTTGGTAGATCACTTCCTAGCTAGAAAAGGGATTTAAAAAAATGAAAACCCAACAGTGCTAAGGAAAACACTCTTGGCTATATGAATTCCAGCATAGAAGGTGACAAATAGAGTCACTTATGAAAAAGTGAAGTTGCATTCCAAAGTGAAGGATGAACAACGAGATTGACATTTATACCCACATACTATTTCACACTTGGAAACTTCTGAGAATGGCTTTTCAGTAGTCAATGCCTCTATGCCATTCCAAAGCATAGCACTTACCATTTATCCATTGGTTAGTATCATTGATCAGTGTTATTGAACTGTCAATGTATCTCTGTCATTATAATAAATCATTTTCCTGGAAATTTTTGCAATCAGACTTATGAGAAATAAATCAATTCAACCCTGCAGTAGCCAATTAGAAAGTATGTCAGATGCACAAATCACCTATACAGATACAGATTTTGATTCTATATCAATGTATCTATATTTCTATCTATACATTTCAACATCTCGATAGGTGGAATGTTGGTAGACTGCTTTCAAAATAAATATCTTGTCACTTGTGACCAATTTTTATGTTATAGGGTACAAAAAGGATCATTAATCTGAATCTGATTAACTGGGCCATGAAATAAGGCTGACGTGAGAGTTAGAAGAGTGTATTGAGAACTCCCCCAGAGACTCACAGTTTAAAGTCTGAAGACAAAATTAAAGTGTTTCTAGGGCTTAAAAATCCTGTAATTAATAGTGTATAACTAACCACAGTGGCTTGCAGTTTTACATTTCTAACACTTTTTTTTAAATTTTCAGTACTATTGATATAAGATGACACTGCCCGTTAATTAATCCTCAAGTTATTTTTAAAATCCGCAAGTATCTAAATGGCATTCACCACAAATTTATTCAATTAATAATTGATTATCATTACTTAATAAGATTCTCTATAATTTATTGTATGTGTCCCAGGTAGTTACAGTTTTATTGTAGATAACTTTGGAGAGTTTTAATTACATGGCAGGTAACATATATTTTGTAGGAAGATAAATTAAAGTGATATAGATTACTGCTTGGTGTACAATGTTACACATGATCTAAAATGGTTTGCTAGTTCTTCCCCAGAGATGACTGGTTCTGTTTTATATGTTCCCCTGAATAGCAGCAGAAACAACAGGGAAATT
Organism: Homo sapiens; assembly: GCF_000001405.40. Classification (NCBI taxonomy): domain Eukaryota; kingdom Metazoa; phylum Chordata; class Mammalia; order Primates; family Hominidae; genus Homo; species Homo sapiens. The sequence continues at coordinate 104,874,760 of NC_000013.11, forward strand.
TGTTTGGATGAGATCAAATTGCAAATAGGTACAGAGTGTCGCATGGAGAAATGTTTCTGTCCTTGTTGTGGTTCTTAGTCACTGAATCTCTGACGAGCAGCTGAATGTTGAAGCAAATGACAAAACATTAATGAAAAGGCACCCTGGCACATTTACAGTGGGGGAAACGATCATTTTACTTCTTATGAAACAGAATGATCTAGGCACCCTCCACAAACATAAGCAAGAATAGGGCCTACTTACTGATGTCTTTCCCAACTCATTGAGGAATCATGCAGTTCAGTGGTAGGGGATACTTCCTGAAGTGGATCTCCATTTGACCCAAATATGAGAGGAGGGCCTCCTCAGGTCCCCCTGTCTGGGCTGTGATTTGCAGCTTCCTGTTCCTTCAGTTCCTCAGTGGAGGTGATGGGGGCCAGGCAGAGTATGTAACCCGCTGGAGACCAGTCAAGTAAGCCACAGGAGCTGGGGGGAGAAAGGGGAGAAGCACAGCCAGTGGGCTTGGCTGAGGTGTGTGATTTCCTTTCTGCTGTAATCAGAGGGTGGAATCTGTCACACCAAAATGGTTTAGGCTGTGAGAAACTAATGACACAAGGTGGCAAAAAATTCCTCAGCTAGGATAATTATGTTTTCTCAAAAAAAATCAATAGAAAATAGATACAAACAACTGGTTTCATTATTAAAAGTCTATCTTTGGGCCAGATACAATCATTTTCTTTAACTAGCAGAGAAGATTGTCATTTCCTGTAAAGCAGCCTTGCAGATGGGTTCAAAAAAAAATCTATCAGACTGAAAAACTTCACGTGTCCTTCCCACATCTATCAATGTCACACTAGCAGCATTTCTTAGGCTTTTCCCACACTCATCAATGCCATAATGACATTGCAGTGAACTAGAGTAGCCTTAAGATATTGAGTGCCAATTCAGCCATTTATATTTCAGTTCATCTTTAATGATTCCTACTAGTTTCTTTTGTGTTGTCTTTTATTCTAGATATAGCAGTGTCTTCTGATTTTTTTAAACTGTATATGCTGGACCCAATTATTGCCCTGTAACAAAATTTGTTTCTCAGAGACCACTTTTGCAGAAAGAAATTAATAAGATAGGCTTTCTGTTTATTATTTCTGATTCAATTGAAAATTCAAGCTAAATGGGGTTGTGGGAAAGTGTGTTTACCTAGGGTTTCCTTTCACCTCTGCCGCCGTTCTGTGTGATCTTAGACATGGAATTTAATCCAAAGAACTTTGGATTTAAAGATAAAGATATTTAAAATAGAGACTCTTGTAGTTACATTCATTTGTAAAGTTCCAGGATAATTTGGCCTAACCCATTTAATTAAATGCTCGGATACACATAAAGAAAAATAATCTCTCGACATTAATCTTCAGTTCTTCTCACTAGATAATTGGGCGTATATTATAGATTCTCAATTACAAGAGAGTTAACAATGGGTTCTGTTTGAATAAGTTAAAGTTACCTTTTTGAATTAGAATTTAAATTTTATACTATGTTAGTTTTAGGATTCAGGTAATTTGAGGAAGTTTTAACAGTCTTTGTCATATAGTGCTGGCACGTTTTTGAAATGGAATCACAAATGGTAAAGTTCCTTTACATTGGCTGTTTGCCAAAGTTATGTGAGTTTCTATATCCATATAAGCCTTTAAGTATCTGTTTGCTTTGAAAGTAATTAAATTAATTAATGTAAAGTTTAAGAAGATAGATCTTAAGTCAAATCAAAGATCAAAGAGCCCTAAAGTGCTGCTAAGCATTAAAAATTATATATGTGCTCCAAAGGAACAATTTCAATAAGTTTTATGTGGAATGGTAGAGACATTTTCCCAATGGTGATAAATGGGTTTTCTAGGATTTTCTAAATCTTAATAATGTACTGTTTCTGATTTTTATTTTCCTGTTTGTAAGCTGATACAACATTGTATTAAAGTCAGGACCTTTGGTTTTTTTGGGGACTACAAATCCTATGGTCATAGATCAATGTTTTCCATCTTTACTTGCAGCCTTTAACAATCCCAGAAAATGTATTCGTTTTTAAATTTTAAAAAAGGAAAAAAATGTTTTTGTAAAAAGGTGTGCAGCACAAAAATGGAGGAGACCGCAGCATGAGCCAGTCCTTCAGACTCTCCATGGGTTGGGCCCACGGTAGCATTACACTTTTCCCCTCACTTGAACTCAGTCCTGTCTGTATAACTTGGATTGTTTTGCCCATTCAACAATTGTATAATGAGTACAATGATGGCAAGTAATGCTTTTTATTCTAGATGCCTCTGGATTAAGAGTCATGTCTAATGAGACATATCCGAATCTGATGAAGAGCACAAGAACCTGGCTTCTAAGCCTGCCTTTGCAAGTGGAGGAGATTTGAGGGGTTACTGTGATAGGGATAAAAACATGGGAATGAAGTGAATAATTATGGCCAGAGGTTGAACTGTAGTATTATCAAAATCTTGCTAAGTTGAAGTATCAGAACTCTGCATAACAGATTAGCCATAAAGTTATTAAATGGAGCAGAGCAACTTTAAAAGTAGATTAGGCCAAGTAGATTAGCTATTCTTACACTGACCCTAGATTTGAGAATTAATATACTGTGTCCAGTACCTGAGAGTGTCCAGTACCTGAGAGTCTGTGTCCAGTACCTGAGAGGCTGGTTAATTGAAACCTGAAGTATGTGGTTCTCTAAAGAGACAGGTTTGAAATACCAGAAGTTTCCTGGCTCAGAATTTTGGAATGGGTAGATTATGTGGAACCAGCCCAGCTACTTTATTACCACATTATCCTACTCTGTGTAGATGGGAGATCATGGACGAGAAGCACTGTGGAATTTGGCTGTTTGATTTCAATGGAAGAAGAGTAATAAAGATCAAATGGTGATTCCTAACAGTGAAAGACAGAGCACTATTACTGTGAAAAGTAATGGAGACATAGAAATAATAAAAGCATTGTGAAATTCAGTGATCACTTGTGACTAAATAACCCCTATGAATGAACCCAGAGGAATGAAACATATTGCAGTTTACTAAGATAACTCCTGCCTATACAAGCAAAAAGGTCCATGTTTGACGGGGAGAAATCCAAGCGGAAGAATTACAGTGGGGAATCTCAGCCTCTTACCTAGGTGTCAGACAATGCCTGTTTACAGACACAGAGCTCCTTGATTGAAGGAGAGTTTGTCTTTTTGGAAAAAAAAAAAAAGGAAACAAAGCCACATATGTACGCACTGAATCTTCAGTAAAACATTATTAGTGGATGTGGTGGCCATTGATGAAGGTGTCAGTATTTTGGTAGGAGAAATAAACAATCTAGAGATCAGTAGATGTTAAATCTGAACTAACATTAATACCTAAAGATAAAAATCTTCATCAATAAAGACACAAAGTGGCCACTCTGTAATTTATAGAGATTGAGTGAGTCTTGACCTGAGTCCATTCTACGGTTATTTTCTTAATCTCAGAATATGTAAAGGAGATATAAATACACTTACTTATGTACAGCTACTCACAGGCTTCCTTGATCATGGAGTGAGGGCTATTAAGGTAGAAATAATTGTTTCCTAACCCTTCATTAAAACATTATATTAAAAACAATATTGCACTGGGGAGGGATTGTAGATGTTAGTGCCACTAACGAAGACTTGCAAGCTAGGAGTGTAGAGATTCCTATTGCATCCTCATTTTTTAACTCTGTATTTGGCCACTGTAGAAGATAGAGAGGTCTTGTAAAGTGAAATTGGATATTTGTCCACTTAATCAGATGCTGATAAATTACAGTTGTTATTTTGATCTTATATCTTTGCTCTGCTTGCCGAGACTCTGTATGCATCTATTCACCTAACGAATCTGTTTTCTACCAAAATTCAGGGAGATAATCAGAAGCAATTTGTCTTTATTTCACAGGGCAGCCGTACACCTTCAGTATTTTATTGCAGGTCTACTTAAACTTTTTTGCTCTCAATCGTGATGCAGCCTGCAGGAACTTTAAAAATGTTCATACTCTACCAAACATTACAGCATTTCAGGGATGATATTATGCTTATGCTTATTGGACCTGGTGAGAAGGGAGTAGCAAACAACTCAAGTGCTTCAGCTGATGGCAAGTATGCTGGAAGGTAGCTTTTCACTGCAGGCATTTCATTTGATGGCAAGTATGCTGGAAGGTAGCTTTTCACTGCAGGCATTTCATTTGATGGCAAGTATGCTGGAAGGTAGCTTTTCACTGCAGGCATTTCATTTGATGGCAAGTATGCTGGAAGGTAGCTTTTCACTGCAGGCATTTCATTTGATGGCAAGTATGCTGGAAGGTAGCTTTTCCCTGGAGGCATTTCAGTTGATGGCAAGTATGCTGGAAGGTAGCTTTTCCCTGGAGGCATTTCAGTTGATGGCAAGTATGCTGGAAGGTAGCTTTTCACTGCAGGCATCACTATGAACTTGTGATATATATGGCCACTGTAAGGGCCTAGTGCAAGATTCCAGGAGTACAGAGCATACCTAGTGCCCAGATCTTGATTTCCCAATGTTCATTTCTACTAAATGAACCAGAGCCTGCTACTCGGAGAAATACATGATTCCAGGTCTAATATTTCCATTTTCAAGTGAAAATGCAAGCTTCATTTATTTGTTTATGGAAATGAATAACATGGTAATGTGTTAAACATATTTAATATGAAAAATAATGACTATAGGGATAACTTAAAAGTTTTAGACATATAAGAAGAAAAGAAAGAAGGAAAATTTTACAGAAAATGCTGGGTAATAAATAAAGAAGACATGATACAGTTGGAATCTCTTCATTTTAGAACTAACTTTCAGTGTGAAATTGCTTCAGGCAACGATCTTCAGTTGGGTGACAGGTGGTTGGAGAACAGAGTACTCAAATTGTCTCAAAGTGTTCCACCAAAATATAAGTATCAATTTCAAAGTAAAATAGGTTCCTTTACTATGAAACAATCTGATGGTGACCACCTTCATGCAATTTATTACCTCCTAAAATGTGAACACATGGAATGCCTCCTGACAATATGTGGTGAGCGGTGCCACAAGACTTATGGTATGTTACTATGAAATGTGTAACATGAGCTGGTCTCCAGGAAACACATCAACATATGATTGCTGTGTATTTAACAACAAAACTGGAACAGGAATCATCCAAACTTCCCCTATTATAGAGAGAAGAGCTAAAGAGGCTGTTGAGATTAAAAAATTTTTAAAAAAGGAACTAAAGATAAGCAACCCAGATAAGTGTGTAAACATTTATTGAATTCTAGATAAAAAACAAACCAACAAAAAGACATGAAAGACTCAGGACAAAAGAAAAAAACTAGAATTATCCAGCATATATTAGATTATGTTGTAGAAATAATGTTAATTTTCTTCAACGTGGTAATGGTATTGTGTTATAAAAACAATGTCCTATTTGTAGGATATTCATGTCAAAAATTTTGGAGATATGTATCATGTGTGTGCCATACTTTTAATGGTTCAGAAGAAAAAGAAAAAATAGTCTGCAGCAGAGCTGATCTGAGAGCTACTTTATCTGAATGAGGTACACATCGTTCTTGAGTCGAGAAAAGAAGGGGATTTTATTCTTTGTAACATCTTAAGCAAGATTATTATTTTTATTGTGATATTCATAAAAATTTACTCATCTTACAATGTAAGCATATAGTGTGTAAAAGGCAATTTAGTGTTCAGTTTTGCCAGCTTCTAAAAGTGTACAATCACGTGTTTCTTAACAACAGGGATACCTTCTGAGAAGTGTGTCGTTAGGCAATTTTGCAACCATCATAGAGTGTACTTACACAAACCTAAATGGGATAGCATAGTACACCTAGGCTATAGGGTATGGCCTATTACTCCTAGGCTACAAACTTGTACAGCATGTTACTGTACTGAGTCTAGGAGGCAATTGTAAAAGAATGGCCACTGTATATGTATCTCAACATATGTAAACATAGAAAAGTAACAAACAATATATGGTAGAAAAGGTTAAAAATGGCACACCTGTGTAGGACACTTATCATGAATGGAGCTTGCAGGATGGGAAGTTGCTCTGGGTGAGTGAGTGAGTGAGCAGTGGGTGAATGTGAAGGGCTAGGACAGTACTGTATACTACTGCAGACTTTGTAAATACTGTACACTTAATTTATACAAAATAATTTATCTTCAATAATAAATTAACCTTAGCTTCTATAACTTTTACTTTATAAATTTTTTAATTTTTTTAACGTTTTGGCCCTTGTAATGACGCAGCTTAAAATGCAAGCATATTGTACAACTGTATAAAAATATTTTCTTTGTTTATACTCTTATTCTATAAAGCTTTCTATATTTTAATTTTTTATCTTACTTTATAAACATTTTTTGTTAAAAGCTAAGACACAAACACACACATTAGCCTAGGCCTACACAGGGTCAGGATCATCAATGTCACGGTCTTCCACCTCCACATCTTGTCCTACTGGAAGGTCTTCAGGGTCAGAAACACACATGGAGCTGTCCTCTCCTATAACAGTATCTTCTTCTGGAATACCTCCTGAGGAACCAGTCTGAGGCTGTTTTACAGTTTTTTTTTTTATATAAATAAAAGGAATACACTCTAAAAGGTAAACAGTATAATACTGTTAATATATAAATCCTTAATATAATTGTCTATTATCAGTATCAAATATTACATACTGTGCATAATTATACGTACTAGACTTTTAAGTGCAATAGATTTGTTTATACCAGTGCCACCATGAAACATGAGTAATTCATTGTCCTATGACCTTAAAATGGCTACAATATCACTAGGCAATAGGAATTTTCAGCTTCGTTATATTCTATGAGACTACTGTTGTGTACATGGTCTGTTGACTGAAATATCGTTACGTGGTGTGGGCCTGTGTTACTAACTATTCTGCTATAAATTTCTAATAATATAAAATATTTCTCATCTGTTAACATTTCTACTGGGCTTCAAATATTGGTTTATCGCACTAAACTAATTTACTGTTATTCTCAATAAACATATATCAAATTCTGTTTTTTCTTTTTCTTTTGACATGGTATTTCTGTGTTTTAGGTTAAATGATTGAGCCCCTATCAGTTACTCAACACTAAAATTTGGTGTCTGGATAAAAATACAATTTTTGGAACGTGGACTTCCTGAATATAACTTGAATTTATAATTAAACAACATTAGATAAAGGAAACACATGAGTTTAGAGACATGACAAAGTCAATGAACTGATTTCACAGAATGGTCAGCTAGATGATTAGCATGTTAAAATAGCATATTTATCATAAATGATATAGTATCAAATGACTTATACTGAAATGATAGTAGTGAAATATGTGGCAGCCATTAGGATTTGAATATATTAACGTAAAAATAATGTATTCATATGATATTATATTACTATGAATTTTGATTAGCAATTTATTTTCAACATTGATAAAGGGAATTTGAAACATGGATTTATTATTATTCAGTTTAAGCATTTATATTTTTCTCCCTTCTGAATATTTTTCCTTTTTTGATTCATCTTAATTTTCTTTATAACTTAATGACTGTTCCCTGGATATTAGATGCCTTCAGCAATAATATTTTACTTTCATGTTTTCAGCAGATGCAAAGACTGTTGATTTCTTCTAAGTACAATTAAGTTGAATTTTATCGTGTCCTTAATGTAGTTATATAATCACCCAACAACTTTACTTAGAAGTAAATAAATCATGCTTGTTTAAGATTAAACCATAAAAATTATATTTTTATTAAAGATTTTTAAGTTTTTGTCAAGAAGTTCTTCTTTAAATTCTTGCTTGCTCCAAAAAAAATACTTAGAATGCTATGGAATGATACTACAAGCTACAAAATCTTCAAGTGTTTTTAAAATGCAATGCATTAGACCTTTTAAAGTGTCCTCAAAGTTATGATGAAAATTGCCATAGAACTTCTCTAATTTCTCTAGCAGGGACCCTCTCTTTCTCATAAAATATGTAATTTGTGGACACTAAAATGAAAATAATACTAATTCTCAATATCTTGTTAATACAGTGAAACAATCACATCCATAGTCCAGAGTGGGTCATTTCAGTTGGCCAGAGTTGGTCATTTCAATTGAAATGGTTGATCCTGATTTTGAGCAAAGGAGATTATGTGATCCCTGGTCAATCCTTAAAACCTGAAACTGCAAACCACATAACTTACCCTTTTTGTATTGCATTAGACTTTCATAGACAATGGAGACAATTGATGGTAATGTTATTATTTCAACTGGATGTTATTACACCAGTGATTTCCAAAAATCCCAGACAACACTGAGAGGCCTAATAAAACCAATGAAAATAAACTCAAATATATGTCAAAAGCGGGATCACTAGTATTAAATCAAATTGCATTTGTTATTTATTCTAAATGTTCAGAAACTAGTATTGTTGAGTAGTTGAAGGAAGAAAGAAACTTTTTTTTTTTTTCTGGAAGATTAAAGAGAGGTGATTTGGGAATTTTATTTTTTTTCCTGTAAACTGCATGTTAGAATTAAGTCTGTTTTTTTCTCCTATTTTTTTTTTCTTCAACTTTTATTTTAAGTTCAGGGGTACATGTGTAGGATGTGCAGATTTGTTACATAAGTAAACATATGCCATGGTGGTTTGCTGCCTAGATCATTGCATCACCTAGGTGTTAAGCCCAGCATCCATTAGCTATTCTTCTTGATGCTCTCCCTCCCCACTTCCCTCTCCAACAGGCCCCAGTGTGTGTTGTTCCCCTCCATATGTCCGTGTGTTCTGATCATTCAGCTCCCACTTATAACTGAGAACATGTGGTGTTTGGTTTTCTGTTCCTGCATTAGTTTGCTAAGGACAATGGCTTCCAACTCCATCTATGTCCTTGCAAAGGACATGATCTCATTCCTTTTTATGTCTGCATAGTATTCTATGATGTATATGTACCACATTTTATTTATTCAGTCTATAATTGATGGGGATTTAGGTTGATTCCATGTCTTTGCTATTGTGAATATTGCTGCAATGAATATATGTGTGCATGTATCCTTATAATAGAATGATTTATATTCCTTTGGTTATATATCCAGTAATGAGATTGCTGGGTCAAATGGTATTTGTGCCTCTAGGTCTTTGAGGAATCGCCACACGGTCTTCCACAATGGTTGATTTATACTCCCAAAATGGTTTAATTTATACTCCCAACAACAGTGTAAAAGGTCTCCTTTCTCTCTGCAGCCTCACCAGCACCTGTGGTTTTTTGATTTTCTAATAGTAGCCATTCTGACACACAGGACATGGTATCTTATTGTGGTTTGGATTTGCATTTCTCTAATGATCATTGATGTTGAGCTTTTTATTTTCACATGCTTGTTGGCTGCATGTATGCCTTCTTTTGAGAAGTGTCTGTTCAAGTCATTTGGTACTTTTTAATGTTTTTTTTTTTCTTGTAAATTTGTTTAACTTCTTTTTAGACTCTTCGTATTAGACCTCTGTCAGATGGATATATTGCAAAAATTTTCTCCCATTTTTAGATTGTCTGTTCACTCTGATGATAGTTTATTTTGCTGTGCAGAAGTTCATTAGTTTAATTAGATCCCATTTGTCAATTTTTGCTTTCTTTGCAATAGCTTTTGGTATTTTTGTCATGAAATTTTTACCCGTGCCTATGTCTTGAATGGTATTGCCTAGATTTTCTTCTAGGGCTTTTATAGTTTTGGGTTTTACATTTAAGTCTTTAATTCATCTTGAATTAATTTTTGTAATATAGTATAAGGAAGGGGTCCAGTTTCAATTTTCTGCTTATGGCTAGCCAGCTTTTCCAGCAGCATTTATTAAATAGGGAGTCCTTTCCCCATTGCTTTTGTTAGGTTTGTCCATAGATGCAGAAAAGTCCTTGGATAAAATTCAACATCCTTTCATGTTAAAAACTGTCAATGAACTAGGTATTGAGGGACTATACCTCAAAATAAGAGCCATATATGATAAAACCACAGCCAATATCATTCTAAATGGGCAAAATCTGGAAGCATTTCCCTTGAAAATTATCACAAGACAAGGATGTCCTCTCTCACCACTTTTATTCAACATAGAATTGGAAGTTCTGGCCAGGGTAATCAGGCAAGAGAAATGAATAAAGGGTATTAAAATAGGAAGACAGGAAGTCAAATTATCTTTGTTTCCAGATGACATGATCCTATATCTAGAAAAACCCATCGTCTCAGCCCACAAGCTTCTTAAGCTGACAAGCAACTTCAGCAAATCTTAGAATACAAAACCAATGTGCAAAAAAATCCCTAGCATTTCTATACACCAACAACAGGTAAGCAAAAAGCCAGATCATTAATGACCTCGCATTCACAATTGCTACAAAAAGAATAAAATACCTAGGAATACAGCTAAAAAGAGATGTGAAAGACCTCTTCAAGGAGAACTACACACCACTGCTTGAAGAAATCAGAAAGGACACTAACTAACAAATGGAGAAACAGTCCATGCTCATAGATATAGGAAGAATCATTATTGTGAAAATGGCCATACTGTACAAAGTAATTTATAGATTCAATGCTATTCACATTAAGCTACTGTTGAATTTGCTCACAGAATTAGAAAAATACTCTTTTAAAATTCATATAAAACCAAAAAAAAGAGCCCAAATAGCTGAGACAATCCTAAACAAAAAGAACAAAGCTGGAGATATCATGCTACCCACGTTCAGATTACACAACAAGGCTACAGTAACCAAAACAGTATTATACGATATAAGAACAGACACATAGACCAATGCAACAGAATAGAGAACTCAGAAATAAGACCACACACCCAGAACCATCTGATCTTCTACAAACCTGACATAATTAAGTTTTTAATTTAAAATATCTGTTGCCTTGATATTTTATTACTTTTTTTTTTTTGACAGAGTCTTATTCTGTCACCCAGGCTGTAGTGCAGTGGTGCGATCTTGGCTCACTGTAACCTCTGCCTCCCGGGTTCAAGTGATTCTTCTGCCAAGACTCCTGAGTAACTGGGACTAGAGGTGCCCACCCCTACATCTGGCTAATTTTTGTATTTTTAGTAGAGACGGGGTTTCACCATATTGGCCAGGCTGGTCTCGAACTCCTTACCTCGTGATCTGCCCGCCTCTGCCTCTCAAAGTGCTGGGATTACAGGTGTAAGCCACCGCACCCGGCCTGATTTCTTTTTTTTTTTTTAAAACACTCATAAAACATCAATCCTTCTTCACACTCTCTTCTGCTTACAAAATTTTGGTTTGGTGGAAGTCAGCCCAATGTCACAGATTTTTGCATGCTGATAAGAATGCAGATGTGTCTATAAAATTGTATTTTCTCAAATTTTTTCACTTACTGTGCAAACATTTGGCAAATTATAAATATGAGTTTCTATTTAAGTGTGACACAGTTTTTAGTTAGTTTTATTGAATGTGATAATTAAATACAATTGCCTGAGCATAAGTGTGAGTAATGTACATACGATTTTGATGTGTATGTACAATAAAATATGAATTGAAAATACATGCAATAATAAATATTTCTATGATGAGGATAAGCTACCTCAAAGGACTGTTAAGGGGATCAAATGTAAAAATGAGGGATACTTTGTAAATTGTAAATTGATATCTAAGTGGTAGTTATGTTTTTCATTTGTGATCTAATAATAAAAGTAGGTGGTATTTAGCTTCACTTTAGTGGCATCTTTTTAGATTGTCCTTTTAACGTTTATCAATATCAGTTATAATGGATATTACAAATGATGGTATGAATACATTCTAATTAGTTGAATATTTTAATTATTAAAAATATTCTTTATTTTTTACCTATAGCTGAAATTTTCATATATGCAAAAATAATATCTTTTCTTAAAAATGAATTTTAATGACTATCTCTTTAGTAGAATTTGGTTATCAAAAAGAAGACAAGGTTTCTGCAGGTTGTGGCCTAAGAGGAAGTGCAGGTTTTGTTTGGTTTTGTGTTGTTGCAAGCAAAGCAGTTTTTATCATCAAACCATCATGACTGCTTTGATATCATGTTAGTTTGAATAATGGACTTTGACAATTTGTTTCACCACAACTATAGAATATGTGTTATAGATCTATGGTGGGTGATTTATATTAGATTCACTTTGCATACTGTCTTATTCCTAATACACATTTCTAGGTAATTTCAACAATTTATTGGAAAAATTAAAATATTAAACTCTATAACCCAAGTTAACATGTGTATTATTTATAAGTCAAAGAAAACTAATGATATAATTAAGAAATGACTATGCTATCCTTAATATCTTCTTTAAACATTCATTTTAATATATATTTATTTTTTCATTGTGAAAGTAATTTACATTTAAAATGTAAAATTTGAAAACGTTTTAAAAAGAAAATAAATATCACTAAAGTTGGCCAATGTTAATATTTGTATAGCTGGAATTTTAGTCATTTTCTTTATGGAATTCATACATAATCTCCAAATTGGTATTTCATTACATATCTCCATCTTTGTTTCCCTTTGTCTACTCACCTACATATGGTTTTGTGTTCTTTAAATTCTTTATTAAGAATATTTAAATGTATTAACACATGTTATATCATAGTACATGTATCAAAATTTCAACTGAACTTATATTAACATTTAAAATTTTTAATTAAAATGTATCAAATCAATATATGAAATTTGTTTCTAAATTTTGTTTCCATGTTTTATTCTTTGATAATAATGTGCTTCTGGGAGTAAAGTTATTAAGTTCAACTTTATATGATATCTTAAAAGAACTTTAAAGAAATACCCAACTATCTTTTCACAAAATTTGCAATACTTATATAAACAATATCACTTAATAAGAGTGCATATGTTATTGAACCTTAATGCATTTGATACAACAATGTTATCTCTTATTTTAATTATGCAGTTTGATTAAAAAAGCTATTATATAAATTGGCATATGTTCAGTCAATAATTTTGTTCTTTTTTGAAAAAAGTAGTCTTAAGCTGTGTATTTTTTTCTTTTAGTATGTTAATATTAATGCTATTTTTAAAAGATAGGTTAATTGTACTAATGCTTAGTTTATGAGTTTTGTTCCTTGCAAAAACTTTTGCTTTATTTTCCAGGTAATCAATTACATTGTTTTTTATTTGTGTTATATTACCTTGCATTTTACTTAAAAATGTTTTTATGATAGGTCGGTGACATATTCTTCTATATTTTTCTAGTATTCTATGTTTTACTCAGCCTAAGCAGAATTTTATCTTTTTTCTCTTTATTTATCATAAATAATTTTTCTCATAAGATGAATTTCTAACTCCTTAATCTATGTCTTACTTATCTCAAATTACCAGTTATCCCAAGATTTCTTCTCCACTCATTTGTGATGTCTTCTTTATTGTCTACAACTCTCCCTGGACAAGGATTTGTTTAAGGTCTACTATCTTTCCTTTCTTTCTTCCTTCTTTCCTTTTTTCTCCCTTCCTTTACTTCCTCTCTCTTTTTTTCCTCCTTTTCTCCCTCTTTCCCTGATATGATTTGGCTGTGTCCCCACTCAAAATCTCATCCTGAATTCTAATCTCCATAATCTCCATAACCCCCATGTGTCAAGGGAGAAACCAGGGGATGGTAACTGAATAATGGGGCAGTTTCCCCCATGCTGTTCTTGTGATAGTGAGTGAGTTCTCACAAGATATGATGGTTTTATAAGTGTTAGTTATTTCCTCCTAGTTCATTCTCCTTCCTGCTGGCCGGTGGAGAAGGTGCCTTGCTTCCCCTTTGCCTTCCCCCATGATTGTAAATTTCCTGAGGCCTCCCTAATCATGCTGAACTATGAGTCAATTAAACCTCTTTCCTTTTTAAATTACCCAATCTCGGGCAGTTCTTTATGGCAGTGTGAAAAAAGGATGAATATATTCCCTCTGTTTCTTCCTTTTTGTTTCTTTTATGCCTTTCAACTGTCTATTGATATTTGTACAAGTATCACTTTGCTTTATTACTTCAAATTATATTGAAATATATGAATAAGCAAATACATAAGGAAAGTCCAAAGCATTGCTCTAGACAATAACAAAATTTTCTGTTGATTCTTCTGGATGCACTTTAGAAAAATTGTACCATGCTGTCCTAAAATAAAAGAAAACAATAATGGAATAATTTTATTTTTTGGATAATCATTAATTTAGAAAGAAATTTAACTTTGTTATTATAACATTTAGTCTCCTTATTAGGATATATGTCATCTCTACACTGGATTTCATAAATAGTGTGTATGTCTTTCAATAATGTTTTGCAGTTTTTGCTCATATGGGCTTTTATATTTTTAATAATTAACTTTCTATGACTTTCTATATCAAAAATATTATTGTAAACAAAATATATTTCTTTATTATTGTTCAAACTAGTTATTGCCATATTTTCCATATGTATTAATCTTTAATTTTTCTTCATCTGAACATTTTATTGCACTCGCTAATTTTACGGTTTATTTTCTGATATAGAATCTACTTGATTATTAACACAAGAAAAATTTGCTCCCATCATTTTTACTAGTTTTGTTCCATACTTCTTTTTTATTCTTTGTGATCTTCCCAGAAATCCAGGAAGTATATTAAATAATGGTGACAGCAGATATTTTTATGGAAACATCTCTAGTATTTTACTGCATATATGAGAGGAGTGTTTGACTAGGTGGACCATACTCTTGATTCTAGTTATATGTTATTGAATACCTTTCTTCAGTTATTGAAATTACTTTTCAAAAATTGATGTATTAATAGATTTTCTAGTACTTTCTTTTATAACTGGATAATTATTTTCTTAGAGTAGTGCCATCATAGGTGAGCTCAGGTTGTGACATTCTATTTTATTCTCAACTTACCTTGAGTTTATTGGACATTCTATTTTATACTCAACTTACTTTGAGTTTACAGAAAGAAAGGCCTGAGACGGGTATAGTGTGTAAGAGATTTATAGAGGTAGTAATTTCAAAGAACAAAAACAGGAAAATAACTGCAGGCAGATCTCCCAGGAAGCTCTGGAGTACAAATTGCAACACAGAACTTGTTCTGCTCAGATAGTGTTCTGTGACCAGCATCCGTAAGTCATGGAATATGAGGAAGCCCTGGGAGTCGGGAGTGGGGACAGAAACTTTCAAGCATCTCAGGGATAGGAAGCTTCTGTCAGGCAAGGGTAATCCTCCAGAGAAGGACATAGCTGTAGGTGATTAGCATCCAATCTGTAGAGCAGGTTGGGCATGGGTGCACCTATTCTGGGATCGCATCTGGTTTAGGTACCAACAGCAAACCTTATAATCCCCTCTTTCCTATCTCAGAAATGCTTATTTTTCACATTCCTATCTCAGAAATGCTTATTTTTCACATTCACTTTATGTGGTCACAATTTCTTCAGCGTTCTGGTTGCTTACAATTTCTGGGGAAATTTCCAAAAAGAGGATTTGTGAAAGAAGCTATAGCTCCCACTGATGTCGTTCATCCTGAAGTCATAACTGAAACACATTTCCCTCCTTTCTCATTCATTCTAGGATCTCCTCACACTCATCCACCTAGATCCTGAAACTGGAGGGACCTGCACTACTTCGTAGTCTGTTTGTTCTGCTTATCCGGGTGAAGATGGAACTGGACAAAAGAATACCTAGGGGTGGACCACTTGGTGCCACACTTCTTCTTCTGTGTCTCCATCATATAGCAATGGCTGTGACTCATCCCGATGATTGGGATCAATTACGCCTGCAACAGTGCCCTTTTTTGTTTCTTCATCCACTGGTCTACAGACTTGCAGAGCCCAGGATGAACTAATAGCAACCATGGCTTTACATTTAGTGAGAATTAGGTGGAACACAGGCCTTCAAGAAGAGTCTTCCCACAAAGAAGAAGAACATCTAGACACACAGAGCCTAAATATTCATGCAGAACTTCACCAGCACAAACACCCTGCTGGAATTGGTGGTAAGTGGAACCACTTCTACTGTACTTTTTGTCAGTTTGTAGTATCAGAGTTTTGCTAAATGTGTAAGACCATGAATTAACCTTTCATTCCAAATTTAGCCATACACTTTGTTTTGATATACAGCATTTCCTGTTTTTATTCTGTAACATGCATAAATTTTCTATAGACACAGTTTTATTTTTTGTCCCAATTTGTATCTTAACAGTTTTCAGAAATTATAAATGGTTATTTAAAAAAATACATTTATTAATTCTTAGTCTTATTTGCATTATAGGCAAAGACTATTCTGCACAGTTTTTGTCTTGAGAAAATTGAGGTTGCATAGAATATGGCAAACTGGACAAGTGCTTCACTGATTGTTGCAAAAAAGATATGTTAACTATTCTGCAAGTATATACTTTATATATATGATTTCAGTATGATCAGTTACTCAAATTCTCATTATTTTTGTTTACTTGATTTTTGAAAGAGCACTGTGTAAAAGGCCCTCCTAATACATATTTCTGTCAATTTCTCCTTTTATGTATGATACATTTTTAAAATATATATATAAATTGCTACATACACTCATGAATATTTATTCTGTGTGGATTGTATCTTTTACAAAATGCCCTCTAGATCTCATTTAATACCTTTCCTTTTAAATTTCTATATTCTAATATGAATATAGCCAATCTTTCCTTTGCCTGGCATATATTTGCACAACCCTTTACTTTTAAAAATATCATGGATGGAGTTGGAAGCCATTATCCTCAGCAAACTAATGCAAGAACAGAAAACCAAACACCACATATTCTTACTTACAAGTGGGAGCTGAGTGATGAGAACACGTGGACACATGAAGGGGGAAACAACACACACTGGGGCATGTCAGCTTTGGGGCAGGGGGAGGGAGACCAGCAGGAAAAATAGCTAATGGATGCTGAGCTTAATAACTAGACAACGAGATAATCTGTGCCACAAACCACCATGGCACACGTTTACCTATGTAACAAACCCACATATCCTGCACAGGTACCCGGAACTTAAAATAAAAGTTAAAGGAAAAAGAAAAAAAAAATCTCTTGTGTTTAATGTGTCTACTATATGTTATATACACTTGTCTTAAAAAAGAGCTTTATTAAAATAGATATAGATAAAAATAGATTAAGAGCCCAAATCACAAGTGTGCAGCTCAAGTAAATGTGCCCATGTAATTACCAGTCAGAACAATAAATAAGACATTTCTAACACACAAAAAGCATGGCTGCCTCATGAAATCCCCTGCTTCTTATTAAAAATAACCCATTTCTGTTGTAATTCATATGAAAGTTTTATGTTATCTTATTTTTAAATTACTTTGTTTATTATTTTTTTGCTTATATATAATATTTAATTTTCTTTTCTCCAACAAAAAAAGATCCATCCTGTTTTTATTACATTGTACAAAAATCACTTTTATATTCCCCAAAGTATTACCTTTACCCCAATTTCCAAACAGAACCAAATTTAAGGTATATATAATAACTTTTGACTCCTTCCTAAAAATAAGATCAGGAATTTAGCATGCATTCCCATTCCTCATTCCCCCACTTCCTGACATTACAAATATAAAGATCATTCCCTCAGGAGCTCTGAGGATGAGGACACTCTGTAATAGAATGTACAGTATCCTCAAGGAAACACCATTACAGCAGAAACTGATAAGTGTGTAACGTTGCTGTTTCTTCTATTATCCTTGAAAAAAGTCAAGCCAAAGAGAAATTCAAAATAATATAACTCTTAAACAGGCAATTGATATAGAGCTCCAAAAAGCCATCATAACTGATCAACACCCAGGGATAGTTGGATGTGGGGTTGCCGGATCTTATCTTAATGATCTCTGTTTGTTTGTTTGTTTTAATGTTTTTATGGTCTACAAAATGAAAAAAGTCATTAAATGTAATGTAGTTACAGTGTTCTAGTGAATAAGCAAGAGATCATAATCAGAAAAATATTAAGGTCAACAATAGATTATTTAGCAGGATAAATAAATTTTATACCACCGGGGGGATACAGAAGTATTGTTTCACTCTGGTAAGAATTTGAGAGATATTGAGTGGCAGTGAGATTTTACTACCTGGAAAGTTCTGAGCACATGGTTTTCCTGAATTATCATGTTAGTGCAAGATATCATTCTTCAATTCAGAGTTGAGCATGGCAGAGAAAGTGGAATTCTCTTGGGAAAACTGAGAATTTCATGGAAATATTTGTGAATGAAAAGCTACTTCTGTAGTTGATGGTGAGCTGAGGAAATAACTATTTATTTTTATAAATTTCTACATTTTTACAAGTATTACTGTTTGCTACGGACATATTTATACCTGTTTGCATTTATTGGAATTTCATATACAATTTTTTTTTCTTTTTTTCTTTTTTTTTTTTTTTTTTGAGACGGAGTCTTGCTCTGTCGCCCAGGCTGGAGTGCGGTGGCGGGATCTGGGCTCACTGCCAGCTCCGCCTCCCGGGTTCACGCCATTCTCCTGCCTCAGCCTCCCGAGTAGCTGGGAATATAGGCGCCCGCCACCACGCCCGGCTAAGTTTTTGTATTTTTAGTAGAGACGGGGTTTGACCATTTTAGCCAGGATGGTCTTGATCTCCTGACCTCATGATCCGCCCGCCTCGGCCTCCCAAAGTGCTGGGATTAAAGGCATCGGCCACCGCACCCAGCCACAATTTTTTAAAATTTTATGTTTTAAAAAATCTTAAATGCATAGAAAAATTATGAAGATAGTAGGGTTTCCACATACCTCACATGGTTTACCCTATTATTAGCTTACTGTATTAGAATGGTTTATTTGTTGCAATTGATGAATTAAAAATGAGACATTATTATTAAGTAACAACCATACTTTATTCAGATTTTTATAGTTATCATCTAACGTTCTTTTTCTATTCTAGGAAGAATCCTATTCATGACACTTTAACTGTACTGTTTTCTTAGGCAACTCTTAGCTGTGGGAGTTTCTTAGACTTTGCTTGTTTTCAATGACCATGAGAGTTTGAGGAGTGCTCATCTGGCATTGTGTAGAGTGTCCCTCAACTAGGATGTGTCTGATGTTTGTCTAATGGTTAGAATGAAATTACATGTTCTTTGGAAGAAGACCATTGAGTTAAAGTCTCACATCATGTCATGTGTTTTCAACATATCATATTAAAGATGTTTACTATCAAAAAGTCTTATCACTGTAGATGTTAAACTCTGTTTGGCTGAAGTGGTGTTTGCCAAGTTTTTCCACTGTCACGCCACCCCTTTTCCCTTTCCATACTGTATCCCTTGGAAGAAATTCACTATATGCAGCCCACTTTTTTTTTTTTTTTTTTTTTTTTTTGACATTCTTGCTCTCTGGCCAGGCTGGAGTGCAGTGGCGCGATCTCGGTTCACTGCAACCTCTGCCTCCTGGGTTCAAGCGATTCTCCTGCTTCAGCCTCCTGAGTACCTGTGACTACAGGCACGTGCCACCAGGCACGTGCCACCATGCCCAGCTAATTGTTTTATTTTTAATAAAGACAGGGTTTCACCATGTTGGCCAGGATGGTCTCGATCTCTTGATCTCGTGATCTGCCCGCCTCGGCCTCCCAAAGTGCTGGGATTAGAGACGCAGCCCTCGTTTTAAAAATGGAAATTTATATTTGACCTCCTATATGCTCCACCCTTGTAACATCTGTATAAAATATTTGGAGATCTTCTGCATAAAGTATTTACTTTTTACCACTTATGTAGTTACTTAATAATGTATTTAGAGGAGTTCGTGCTCATGGATATTTATTTCATATTTTGCATTATAATGCAGTGCTACGTCATTTATTTTGTTGTCTCAAATTGTTGCAGATTTGGCCTTTAGGTGCTCCTTCATTGGGTTCCTGTGTCCTGTTGATTTATTCTCATCAGCGTGTGTGGGGTTTTATTGGTTTGGTTTTTTGCTTTCTTATCTTCAGATATTACAAGATACTTCAGGATCATCTTGTATGTTTGCTGCCTCTGTCCAAAAATGTGTCATTTCTGCAAGGATCCCTGACTCCTTTTATAGGAAAATGATATTAGAAACCAATATATTAGGTATGCTCATTGCTATGGTGATATGATTGCTTCTAGAGCTTCTCAGCTGACAGGGCAAGGAAAAATATGTGTGCATCCTAACTGTGCATATACACATATGTATAAATATTTCTGTATGTAACCATCTGTATCTATATTTAACTAAACATGAGAGTTCATGCTGATGTCTCTAACTCTAGTCCATACCACTTGGATTATTTTAACCTCCACTTTTTGCTTGTCTGTAAATAACCACCCCAACAGTGAGAAACCAGGCCCTCACCATCTGCCATCCATTTATATAATTGTTCAGTTCTGGTATACACTTAGAGTCTACACATTTGATTAATTTAAAAGTTTACTAAAGAGGATTTTTGGTAAGGTTGTGTTCAGGAAAATTCATGAGACTTTCAGCCCCACTTCTGCCATATAAAGAATTTGGAAGTCATTACTTTGGTTTTTACACAAGCAAAACTGGTTAATCGGAAAATCAGTGACTTTTTTTTTTCTCAACAAAGAACTGAAGTCACAGAGCAAACTGGCACCCTGAAATCTGGAGAGATGGGTACAGCCCAAGAGAGAGACATAGCTTAGATCTGCTTGCCTGTTGCAAAAACTGCTGAGGCTGAAGCTGGAATATTTAATGGCAGTGTTGAGTAATTACTGGAAACTAAATGTAGAAAAACATGAGACTGAGAACGTCCTGGTGGCTGAAGTCTTTGCACAGGGCCGGGGGTAGGCGACATTGATAAACACACATTCCTAGGTTTTACTATCCAGAACCCTAGTAGATTCTCAGGATAAAAATTCTAGAAAGAGCTCATTAAAGCTCTGGGAAAAGCAGAGGAATATCAATCTGTGTGAAATATACTGAGAACCTTCTCCATAACATAGACCTTCTCTCCAGGGAAAAGGACTTTGTGAGAGCCTTATCCCAGCTGTGGAAAGGGAATCCAGCCAGAGGAAACATGAGAAAAAGTTTATATTAAGAACAGCAACAGGAACTTGAATTAGGAGATACATGCATAATTTAAAACTCGTGGAAATTAAATCTATATTGTGTGGCTATAGAAAAAGACAAATAGATTTGAACTGAATAGAAAATCCAGAAAATAGATTCCAGGTTACATAAGAATGTAATACATGATAACGTTGCTATTTCAATTTAGTAGGGTAAGAGAGGATGATTTAAAGCTTGGAGATAGCACAAGTTAGTACTTACTATTGTTTTAAAAAATAAAATTGGAAACATATTTTTCCAAAAAGCGGGGAGGAGTTCAGTTGGAATAAATACTTAAAGGGTAAGAAATAAAACCATAGATACTCATTAAGGAAATCTTGAATAAATTAAAAACTAAGACAAGGAAAGAGTTAAGTAACTAAGTCTTCTATCTAGATGCAATAAAATAAAGGAATGATATGCTTGACTATATACAAATAAAACTTTTCATGGGAAACACTCTATAAACAAAGTCAACAGACATTCAGTAGATTTGGGAAAACATAAATTTAATATAGAGTTTAGCCAGAAGGAAAAATTCATAATGAACAGAGGTTTTAAAAGAAGGAAAAAGTCACCCAATAATAAAATTGAAAACGGCCATGATAAGACAGTTCATAGAAGAGAAAATCCAAATGTTTCGCCAGTGATATAAAAACCTGCTCTAACACATTTGTGCTTAATAGATTAATAGGTTGATAATTTGATGTTATTATATTATGATCTTGTTTGTAGTAAAGTTGTTGAAAATACCAGATAAATAGAAGGGTCTAATTATAAAGGATTTTGTGTGCTGTTAAATAGTTTTAACAGAACTCTACAATCAATATGGGCACAGCGCTGGGTATGGTGCCTTGCACCTGTAATTCCAGCTGCAAGCATGAGGTGGAAGGATTGCTTGAGGCCAGAATTTAGAGACCAGCCCGGGCAATATAGGGAGGCCCCTGTCTCTGAAACTTAAAGAAAAATAAAATGGAGATGGTGACATATTTTAGCCATGAGTAAGAGGTGGAAATAGTACAATTTATAAACAAATCAAAAATTAGTTTTAAAAGTTTTAAAAATCATTTGCATGTGTTTCTTGATGCCAATAAATAACACAGGGAACAAAGAAGAGAAGACATTAAACAGATTTGGGGGCAGGATGATAATATCAATTTCTGTTCGATAACAAGGTTAAGATGTTATCTTGTTACTAACAAGATGAGCATATTTCTAAGAGGTGTATGGGTTGAAGGTAATGTTCCGAGTCATCAGTACATGTAGGTGGTAGTTAGGAATGGAAGAGGGTCATCACTCAAGGAGATTGGAGCCAGACAATGAAAGGTGCTCTCTCTGCAGCTCTGGGTCACACCCAGAATCAAGAGTCATATACTGAGCTGGGGCTTGTGTATCTGTCAGTGCCCACACACCCAGTATCATGTTCATATGGCTGATGTTAGAGAGCTATTTTTCTGTACTTGTGTTTTGGAATTCATGGAATAAAAGGAGCAGTAGTTTTATCCTTTCTGTTCAAGGCACATCATGCCAGAATCCATGGAGCAAAAAGACTGAAAAAAACAAAAGCATGCTCTGGATTAGAATATAATTCACTATGCATGAATCATGAATGCCCATTTAAATGAACATATTTACTTGAATCCAAAATATGTATTTTTGTGTATATATATATATATATATATATCTCTACCTATATATATACCATATATATATGGCCTCATTTTGTTCATTGGTTTGTTTATATTAAATTTGTGACATTTAGGTTGAACTTTCTAGCTGATTGTTTGCAAGAGCAAAATGCTAATTTAGGTGGAAGAGACCTGATGTGGTTTGGCAGTTTGGCTCTGTGTCCCCACCCAAATCTCATGTTGAATTGTGATCGCCATAATCCCCACATGTCAAGGAGGGATCTGGTGGGAGGTGATTGGTTCATGGGAGTGGTTTTCCCCATGCTGTTCTCATGATAGTGAGTGAGTTCTCATGAGATCTGATGGTTCTGTAAGTCAGTTTTCCCTGCTCTTGCATTCTCTCTATTGCCTGCTGCCATATAAGACATGCCGTTTCCCCTTCTGCCATAATTATATGTTTCCTGAGGCCTCTCCACCCTTGTGCAGCTATAAGTCAATTAAACCTCTTTTCTATAGAAATTATCCAGTCTCCGGTATGTCTTTATAGCAGTGTGAAAACGGACCAATACAAGACCTGAATGACATTTTCTCAATTACAGTTGAGTAGAGCAAAATAATAGGACATTAATAGGACTATTCTGCTGCATAATCGTCCCTAAATCTGTGCTTAAAAGTTTTTCTTCCATTCCAAATCAATGTGCACCTAGTCACCCAAATACAGGGAGAGCATATGGAGAACTCCTGCTTCTGCCTGTGGATCAGTATAATTATGGATGGCTCCCTTTTTCACTTTAAGAATTCTCCAGGCTTGGAAGGCAAATCATGTGGTCACCTGACCAAAATAATAGAGTTTTGTGGCAGTTGACTTTACACTGTATCTTGTCTTCATATCTCCTTTAACTTACTTCATATAATTCCATAATTTTTGTCCAGATATTTTATATTTACATCCTACCCAGAGTGGGCTGCACTTTTCTATCATTCCTTTGTATATCTATACAAATAATTAGTTGATTCAAGATTTATAAAGTATCATGTGTCAAGAAAGTGTCCATATTCTTAAGAAAATAACTGTCTAATCAGAAATTATGTCATTAGAGTATGTAATTAAAATACGATGAGGTAAATAAGAGTTGTAAATTGACTATCTTGGTATTGTGGTGGGAGAAATTATTAGCTATAGTTGTCTCAAGAGTCAGGAGAGACCCTACAGAGAACATAAGGCTTGAATTCGGCATCGAGTAATATAATAATAATTTACAAGCTAAATTTGTGCTGAGCTTGCAATTTTTGGGAACTGACAAAATTAAGTATCTCTCTTAGATGCCAGGCTTCCTGTGGGTGGGAGGTACCCAGAGAAGTGAGCAAAGTTTTACCTTTATTTTTCTATCCCTGGAACCAAATACAATTCTTGACATATGGTTAGAATATTATACTTGTGGTGTGAAATCAAAGTTAATAAATGGGTTTGGAAGAAAAAAAATAAAAACAACACTAATTCTCCTTTATGCCTCCAAATTCTGCCTTTCTTTTCTGACTTACACCTACTAACCAGTGGCTACTAGGACTTGAGACTAAGTAATATTTTTAAATGGATTCTGGAGCCATTTGACAATACCAAGTCTGATCTATATTTTTATTTTTTTCTATATTCAGGAAAGTATTTTTGATTGACCTACTATTTTACTTTTAATTTGTTGTGTTATATTCCTTACAGTATTCAGAGAAATGATAGATTTTCTGACTTCTAATAGTTTAACATCCAGTTTAAGAGATAAGATACTTCGTTAGACTCTTTAGAGGCAGAAAATGTTTATGTTATTACATGAGTGATGCAGTGAATACAAGGCTATATAATTTCAGAAAAGAAAGATCACTCAACTGGAACTCTAAAAAAGAAAAGGGTCTCAAAATATTAAAAATAGAGCTACTTTATGACCAATCATTCCCACTAATGGTTTTATATTCAAAGAAATTGAAATGAGTATGTTAAGAGATATCTGCATTCCCGTCTTTATAGCAGTGCATATTCCACAACAGCTAAGACATGGAATCAACCTAAGTGTCCATCAATAGATGAATGGATAGGAAATGTGGCATATATACATAATAGAATATCACTCAACCATAAAAAATGGAATCCGACCATTTGTGACAACATGGATGAACCTGGAGGACATTACATTAAGTGAAATAAGCCCAGCACAGAAAGACAAATGTCTATATGATCTCACTCATTTGGAATATAAAAACAAAAAGTTGATCCCATAGAAGTAGAGAGTAGAATGGTGATTACCAGAGGATGGGGTGATTAGCAGGAAGGAAGAATTGGGGAGATGTTGGCCAAAGGGTACATAATTACAGTAATAGAAGAGGAGCAAATTTCAAGAGATCTATTGTACTGAAAGCTGACTAGAGCTAATGATGACATATTGTATTCTTCAAAGATGTGAAGAGAGCATTAGTTATGTGCTCTTATCACAAAAATGACAAGAGAGCCAATGCGTTTGTTAATTAGCTAGATTTAACCATTCCATAATGTATATGTACTTCTAAACATCATGTGTACACAATAAAATCATAAGTTATCTGTCAATTTAAATGACATTTCTAAAAAAGGAAAAGAAAAAGAAAAGTTTCCTGAGAGGTAGACTTGAATGGGAAGTTAGAGGTGAAATATTATTTTGTTATATTAAGATAAGTTAAAGAATTTTCTTGTTCATAAAGGTCACAAATGCTCTGAGGACTGGATTTATCCTTTGAGATAAACGTTCCATTTATGATATCCCATCACCTTTATATTTTACTTGAGAATATTATTAGAAATAATGTCAATGAGAGGATAAGCATATAGTCCCTCAAGGTGATTATTTTTAAGAACAAAATTAACTGTACACAAACTTTCCAGTAGGATTATTTAATATTACTATTTTAATAAAATGATCACTTTAGCTATTTAAAAATGCTGAATAAACATATTCTTTATGGTGAATGCAGAAGCAGGGGGTCGGATGGAGATTTTATAAATAGGAGGTGTTAATTTTAAATGTTCTGTGTAATTATCTTTACTAAAATTTTAGTCCTCCTTATGCAACATCTCACATGGCTTCATGTAAGCATAGAATAAATGATTATTTGGTGACTCAGTGAATGAATTATTGAAGTAAAGTAATTCAGGTTTTCCAACTCATTTTATGAACTAGCACACCAGAGGGCTCTCCAAACATGTTTTAATCAGCAGAGTTCTGTTATGTAATTTGTTTGTATTATAATTAAATAAATCATGAAAGATTTTAAAATAAAAAAGATAATCTCTAATATAGGGATAATAATCAAAGAAAAACAATAATAATGCTTCTATTTCATCTTGTTTTTGCTTTAATTTGAATAAATATATCTACATATTTAAAATGTCTAGAATTATTATCAACTATCTAATGTGAACTACTCCACCATTAAAAATCTCGTCCATCTCTCCCAATTTGTTTTGGGTATCTGGACCATAGTATTCTTCTAATTCCAAAGAATTTCCCACAAGAAAAAACAAAATGATTTCCATTTTTTTTCTTGTGGGAAATTCTTTGGAATTAAAAGAAAAAATAATTTTAATAGAAGATTGCAACTGAATAGCATTCCATGTTGTCCACAAAACCTCATTATTATCACTTATCATTGTTTTTCTTCTTGTCACCTTCAGTACAAAAGTGGATAGGATTTTGCCCTACTGAATTATACTTTTAAATTCAATTAAAAATTAACATTCAGATTAATAATTGGATAAAATTATGATTAGCATAGCTTCCATGTAATTCTTAATATAGAAATTGTAAGGCAGTGGTAAGAGGTACTTTTTTAAAAAATAAAAATAACCTGTGTTAGAAAAGATGTCTCATCTTGGACCCCACTGGCGATTGTGTGACCTTACTGTGATTGTGGTACTCTACAGTATCTGCTCTAAATAGGGGTGCTGGGCCTGAAAGAAGAGGCTCAGTGTTTCCATCCATGTAAGTGCAGACATATGTATTTGGATGCCTATTTTTAACTTTGTAAGCCATTTTGTACTTCAAAAATAACATGGCTTTGAGCAATTTTTGCTTGTTTGCATTCAATGTTTCCCATAGCAGGGGTCAGGAACTCTAGCCATGGGGTCACTGAGTATCTCTAAATTGATTCAAAGAGTCTGTTGATAAAGAATTAAGCATAGGCAATTAGCATTGCCGATTCCTGGCAAGAAACCATATGTCAAAATTATCGAGACTTCCCTCTTCAAATCCCACCATTGGAGTCACCATTTTCAGTAACCTCCTCTAACTCCACAATGACTCATTCTTCACCAACCTTTTCTAACAAAGATCACTACCATTCTGATACATGCAGAGACCAGCTCTTCTATTGCAACTCTCTTGCAATGGAGGTGAGGTATTGAAAAGCAAACTTTCACTATCATGGAACAAATTTAATAATGATTACTGTAATACTTTTTCTATATATTATTTTTTCTGCATTTTGGGAGTACTTGAATTAGATACCTAAGATACTTTAAATTGCAAAAAGACATGTTAAAAATCTCAGTCATTAGAACTCTAGATGCTCCTCAGTTACTGTGGAGTTAGATTACTTTATTTGGATTACAACAGTAACTGGGATCTTGCTTACCAATTATGTTTCCATCAAATTTTAGGTCTTTACGAACAATGTAATTCTTAAGATGAAATGTGCATATCTTGATACAGCATTGGTTTTGGTAATCAGTTTTCTACCACTTCTGTTTCTCAGTGACATAAAAATAAATCTTCTTTAAACAAATTATAATTTGTATTACCTGGAAAAAATACGTAAATTTAAAAAATGAATTAAGAAAATAGATAAGAATATTTTAACATTTAAACCAAATTAAATTAACATCAAATAAAACATGAGAACTAATAGGCTCAGTAAAGTGATGGAAGACAGATGTTTTCAATAATCAGGGAGCAAAACAAAAATCATTTTTCCAAACTGTAACTGGTAAAATAAACGGAATTATCAGCAAATTTATTTCCTGATAACATAGTTCCAAAAGCAAGACACTGAAATGAAGGTGGCATTATTATATAGCCAGAATGTTTAGTGGTAGGCCAAGTAAATATTTGAATAACAGATTTAGACTATTTGACAAGATACCAATAAAGTATATTTAAAATTTATCTTAGCATCAGGGACAATGTATCAAACCCTTAAAATTATAAGAAAAATGTAGCAATGGTAATTAGTTCCATATGAGCCAGGATAAGATCAGAAAAAATTGTTAACATTTTCCTATCAATAAAGGTGCATTTTAACACTTTTATTTAATTAATACTCAATTAATTCTATTTGTCTGTACTGATATACAATATATAAGTTATTGTCTAAGGAAGAAA
The DNA here is from genome assembly GCF_000001405.40 of Homo sapiens. Lineage (NCBI taxonomy): Eukaryota > Metazoa > Chordata > Mammalia > Primates > Hominidae > Homo > Homo sapiens. The sequence goes on from NC_000013.11 coordinate 104,902,809, forward strand.
AATTGTTAAGAGTCAACATTTTCAAACAAGTTACATTTCATAGATAACCATTAATGGACTGACTCTCTACATTAAATAGTGAAATTTAGATCCATTATATTTAAAATAATTTCAGAAAGCATAGATCTTAAATTTATAACAATATTTTCTTGGTTGATGATATTGTAAAATAATAGTGAAATTTATATCTTAAGAAAAAGAAAAACACTAAAATAAGATTTGTGATGAAAATAGTTGGCTATATAATTGGAATCAAAAGAAACAAATAAATAATCTTCAGGAATAGGAGATGGAAAAATAAATGAGAAAAAACCCCCAGCTATTATACATGCACAGTAGAAAGTCCCAAATTAGCTAATGTAATCTGAGACCAGAAACTTGACTGATGAAAAGACAATTGGTTTTATATTTGGAAAGGACGTAGTATCTCTTTCAAAAGATTTTAACAGGAAGTTTAACCTGAAAATTAGGTTTTAAAATACTTAGGAGTTTTGTGTCAAATCTCTATTGCTTTGATGAGAACATGCAAAAATTTATTTAGAGAATTAAAAAGAACAGAGGAGTGAGGAGTAAATTATTTCTCTTTCAGGCCAGTAGTAAACCTAGATAGACTAAGTGGCTTATATTTTAGAGCTGTCTATATTGAAGTATTTCTGTACCTATAAAGATATCTTTTGCACTTCAACCCTCCTTTCTTCCTTAAGTATTACTTAATTCTTAATTAATAAATATTTCTTGATATTTATTGATTTTGTATTTCTCATAATATACCACTTATCACAAATAAATTTGCACATTTTATCTCCATGTAAGTATCTCATCTCTTCCTATAAGTTTTTCTATTTTTCTTTTGTTTTACTGTGTTATTCTCCTCAAGACGCTTTAATACCTACCACTCAGTTTTTGAAATGCCTTTTAAAATTTTCTCAGGCCACACTAAAAAGCAATTACCTGTAAAGAAGTTAATCCCTTGCAAATTTATTTTGTTCATTATATTCAATGCACATGATAAACTAATGTTGTTAATACATGTACGTCTAAATTGTAGTAATGCATGTAAATATAAACATATTTACGAATTTAAACTTTGTAACCCTCTACCCTCCAGGTTTGCCTAGGAAAGTGTATTTTATTAGCTGATAATTTTAGAGAAAGTGCTATTTTCATGCTTAAATTTCTTCTCATATATAGTGGCATATTACATGTTTTTAAATAATAAAAAGTAATGCTGTGCTAATTATTATTTTTATTCTTTTATTTTAAGCTAATAGCACAGTACATTAGTATTTCTCAAGTCACAATATTCTATAGTAAGTTCCAAGTAAGGACCTTTTTTGTTTGACTGTTTTTTCTTCACTTATTTTCTCAATTATATTCTCAGTCCAACTGAAGCATACATTGAGGGTATTTGGTACACATTTTAGTTATTTAATTCTTCCAAAGCAAAGTTTATATATGTGTTTATATATTTTATATTTATGTAGCGATATGCTTTATTTGATAATAGATTTACATTTTGTGTTTATTTTTAAAATGTACTTAACATATTTTGCTACATTTTTCATCCCATTTCTTTGTTGTAACTCCGTCTTTTATGTTTGACATCTAACTTGTGTTTATAGATGTCAATATAATTATATTACTGCCTGTTGCATAGCACTTCAGTTTTTTGCTTATACCACCTTTTATTTATATAGTTCTCTTACATAATTTAAGTAATTTTTTTATTTTTATTTTTTTGCCAGCAAAACATGGCTATGAATCCTATTATATAAAAATCCTGTGGACCTCTGGAAAGTAATTTTTTTTAGTTATTTACTCAGGACAACTGCTGAGTGATAAGGCATACATAATTTCATTAATTACTGCAAGATCACTCTCAGTATGGCTGCGTTATATATTTCCACCAGAAATGCAAAGGTTGTTGATTTATTCCTTTTTGACTGTGCCTATTTTCCCTGTTTCTAACTTTTCCCATATTATGAGCTTAAACTAGTATGTCATTATTATCACCTGCATTTCTTCAATTATTAGTGCAGTTAACTATGGTTTTACATATTAGCTAGCAATTAAAGTTTTCTTTCTGTTTAAAAAATGTTTGTGGGTACATAGTAGGCATATATATTTATGGAGTACATGAGATACTCTGACACTAGCATGCAAGGCATAATAGTTACATCATAATAAATGGGGTGTCCATTCCCTCAAGTGTTTGCCCTTTGTGTTACAAGCCATCCAATTATATTTTTAGTTATATTAATATGTATAATTAAATTATTGTTGACTATAGTCACTCTGTGGCGCTATAAAATATTAGGTCTTATTCATTCTTCTTACTACTTTTTGTACGTATTAACCATCTTCACTTCCACTCTTCACTCCTCCCTTTCTCAGCCTCTGGAAACGATCCTTCTACTCTCTAACTCCTGAGTTCAATTGTTTTACATTTTAGTACCAACAAATAAGTGAAAACATGCAGTTTGTCTTTCTGTGCCTGGCTTATTTCACTTAACATGACCCTCAATTCCACCCATATTGTTGCAAATGACAAGATCTCTTTACTTTTTCTGGATGAATATTACTCCATTATGTATATGTGCTAGATTTTCTTTTTCCAGTCATCTGTTGGTGGACACTTAGATTCCTTCCAAATCGTGGCTATGGTGAACAGTGCTGCAACAAACATGAGAGTGCAGCAATCCCTTCCAAATACTGATTTTCTTCTTTTGAGGTCTATACCTAGTGGGATTGCTCTATCCTATGGCAGCTCCAGTTTTTGTTTTTGAGGAACCTCTATACCGTTCTCCATAGTGTTTGAACTAATTTACATTCCCACCAAAGTGTATGAAAGTTCCCTTTTCTATACATACTCATAAGCATTCATTATTGCCTCTTTTGGAGAAAAGTCATTTTAACTGAGGTGACATGATATATCATTGTAGTTTTGATTTGCATTTATCTGATGATCAATGATGTTGAGTGCCTTTTCATAGGCCTATTTGCCATTTGTATGTCTTTTGAGAAATATCTAATAATATCTCAAGGTATTTTCCTATATTTTTTATCTTGTTTCTTTATGGTATAACTCAGTCTATTATATCTGATATCTAGCTTGTGTTTATATATGTGTATTTGTGTTTATATGTATATAAACACAAGTTAGATGTCAAATACAAAAATACAAATTGCTCTAGCCTTTTGTATAAGGCAATCAGACAAGAGAAAGAAACAAAGGGCATCCAAATTGGAAAGTAAGAAGACTAATTATCTTTGTTTGCATATGATATAATCTGTAATTTGGAAACACCTAAAGACTCCACCAAAAAACTATTAAAACTGATAAATTTGCTAAAGGTTCAGGATAGAAAATTAACTTACAAAAATGAATAGCCAACACTGAACAATCTGAAAAACTTTTGCTCATTTTTAATCAGATTATTAGATTTATTTCTATCCAGTTGTCTGAGCTCCTTATATATTCTGGTTATTAACACCTGGTCAGTTGGGTAGTTTGCAAATATTTTTTCCCATTCTGTGGGTTGTTCCTTCACTTTGTTGATTGTTTCCTTTCCCATGCAGAAGTTTCTTAATGTGCTGTGATCCCAATTGTCCATTTTTGCTTTGGTTGCCTTGACTGTGGGGCATGACTCAAAAAACTTTTGCCCAGACCAATGTCCTGGAGTTTCCTCAATGTTTCCTTGTAGTAGTTTCATGGTTTGAAGTCTTAGATTTAAGTCTTTTATCCATTTTTCTTTGATTATTGTATATGGTGAGAGATAAGGGTCTAATTTCATTCTTCTGCATATATAATTTTCCCCGAAACATTTATTGAAGAAACTGTTTTTTCCCTAATGTTTGTCCCCAATGTTTGTTTTTGGTACTTTTTTCAAAATGAGTTCACTGTACTTGGATGGATTTGATTCTGGGTTTTCTACTCTGTTGCATGTGTCTGTTTTTAGGGCAGTACCATCCTGTTTTGGTTATTATAGCTCCGTAGTATAATTTGAAGTCAGATAATGTGATTCCTCCAGTTTTCTTTAGGTAGTATGGACTGTTAAACAATATTGATTCTTCCAATCCATGAACATGAAATAACTTCCCAATTTATTGTGTCCTCTTCAATTTCATTCATCATTGTTTCATAGTTTTCACTGGAGAGATCTTTAACTTCTTTGGTTAATTCCTATTTAATTTTATTTCTAACTAATGTTAAGTGGGAATACTATTTTGACTTCTTTTTCAGATTGTTCAGTGTTGGCTATTCATTTTTGTATGTTAATTTTGTATCCTGAACCTTTAGCAAATTTATCAGTTCTAATAGTTTTTTGGTGGAGTCTTTAGGTGTTTCCAAGTTACAGATTACATCATATGCAAACAAAGATAATTTGTCTTCTTACTTTCCAATTTGGATGTCCTTTGTTTCTTTCTCTTGTCTGATTGCTCTAGCTAGGTCTCCGAGTACTATGTTGAATAAAAGTGGGGAAAGTGGGCATCTTGTCATTTTCCAAATCTTAGAGGAAAGGCTATTAGGTTTTCCCCATTCAGGATGATGCTAGCTATGAGTCTGTCATATATGACTTTTATTATGTTGAGGTATGTTTCTTCTATACCCAGTTTTCTAAGGGGTTTTATTATGAAGGGATCTTGAAATTTATCAAATAATTTTTCAGCATCAATTGAAATGACCATATGGTTTTGTCCTTCATTCTGTTGATATGCTGTATCAAATTGACTGATTTGCATACGTTAAACCATCCCCATATCCCTGAGATAAATCCCACTTGGTCATGATGAATCATCTTTTTAATGTATTGTTGAATTTGTTTTGCTCATGTTGAGGATTTTTGCATCAAAAATCAGAGATATTGGGGTGTAATTTTCTTGCATTTTCTTTTTTATTTTTGATGTGTCTTTGTCCGGTTTTGGTATCAAGGTAATACTAAACTCATTGGATGAGTTTGAAAACATTCTCTCTCTTCTATATTTCAGGATAGTTTGAGTAGGATTGAGATTATTTACTTTTTAAATGTTTGGCAGAATCAACAGTGAAGCCATGGGTTCCAGGCTTTTCTTTGCTGGGAGACTTTTTATTATGACTTCCATCTCATTACTTGTTCAGGTTTCAAATTACTTCATGGTTCAATATTGGTAGTTTGTATTTGTCTAGGAATGTATCCACTTCCTCTAAATTTTTAAAATTTATTGGCATATATTTGCTCCTAATAGCCACTAATGGTCCTTTGAATTACTGCAGTATCAGTTGTTATGTTTCCTTTCTCATCTGTGATTTTATTTATTTGGATCTTCTCTCTTTTTTTTCTTAGTTTGCCTAAAGTTGGCAATTTTGTTTAACTTTACAAAAGAACCACTTTTCCTTTCATCGATATTTTTAATTGGTTTCTTTAGTTCAAATTAATTTATTTCTGCTCTGCTCTTAATTATTTTCTTCTACTAATTTTTGATTTGGTTTGCTATTGCTTTTCTAGTTTTTTAAGATGCATCATTATGTTGCTTGAGTTTTTTCTTCTTTGATATAGGCACTTACAGCTAAAAACTTAGTACTGCTTAGGACTGCCTCTTAGTGCTGCTTTTGCTGTATCTCATAGATTTTGACATGTTTTCCATCATCATTTGTTAGATTTGCAAATGTTATCATTCCATAATCATTTGTTTCAAGAATTTTTTCAATTTTATTCTGAATTTCTCCATTGACCCATTGGTTATTCAGGAGTATATTGTTTAATAACTGTGAGTTTTTATGGTTTCCAGAATTCATCTTGTTATTAATTTCTGGTTTTATTCCATTGTGGTCAGAGAAGATGCTTGATATTATTTTAATTTTTTGAATGTTTTAAGATATGTTTTGTGACCTAACATATAGTCTATCCTTGAGAATGACCCATGTGCTAAGAAGAAGAATGTGTATTCTGTAGATATTGGATAAAACATTCGTAAATATCTATTCAGTCCATTTGTTCTTTAGTGCAGGTTAGGTCTGATATTTATTTGTTTATTTTATGTCTGAAAGAACAATCCAGTGCTGAAAGTGGGGTGTGGAAGTCTCCAGATAGTATTGATGTATATCTCTCTCTTTAGCTGTAATAATATTGGATATATATATATATATATTTTCCAGCATTGGGAATATATATTAATGTATTCACAATTGTTTTACCCTCTCACTGAACTGACACTTTTGTAATTATTTAGTAACTTTCTTTGTCTCTTCTTACAGTTTTTCTCTTGAAATACATTTTGTCTAATATAAGTTTAGCTACTTCTGATGTTTTTTGGTTTCTATTGGTACGAAATATCTTTTTTCATCCCTTTATTTTTAGTGTATATGTATCTTTGTAGGTGAAGTGTTTTTCTTGTAGGCAAAAGACCTTGGGGTCTTTTTTTCTTTTTCATTCATTCAGCTACTGTATGTCTTTTGACTGGAGAGTTTAGTCCATTTATATTCAATGTTATTACTGATGAGAAAGGGCTTACTCTTGTCATTTTGTTATTTGTTTTCTGGTTGTTTTGTGGTCTTCTCTTTCTTCTTTCCTTCCTTTCTTGTCTTCTTTTTAGTGAAGGTGATTTTCACTCTGATTTAATTTGTAGTATGATTTAATTTGTTGCTTTTTATTTTTTGTGTATCCATTGTATGTTTTTTTTTTAATTTGAGGTTTACCACGAGGCTTGCAAATAGTATCTTATATCCCATTAGAATAATAGTGTAAACAAACAAACAAGGAAAAAGAAAACTAATAAAAACTCTATGCCTTAGTTTTTTTCTCTTTTTTACTTTTTGTTGTTTCTCTGTGTCTAATTGTACTGTCTATATCTTCAAAAGCTATTGTCATTATTATTTTTTATTGGTTCACCATTTTGTCTTTTCTACTTAAGGAAAGAGTAGTTTACACACCACAATTACAGCATTAACATACCCATGTTTTTCTGCCAGGGGATGGGGGTGGTCAGAAATTCAAGATTGTTTTCCTACCTTTTCCTACACTGAAGAGTGTCTCTTTCAGTGATATAAAGTTAAAACCAGGTACCATGATTGCTCATCTGATTTTTGGTACTTATGACAGTTCTTTCACGTGGGTGTTTACTATTACTAGTGAGTTTTGTACCTTCAGATGATTTCTTACTATTCATTAGCAGTCTCTTCTTTCAGATTGAAGAACTCTGTCATTTCTTGCAGGACAGGTCTAGTGTTAAATCCCCCAACTTTTGTTTGTCTGGAAAAAGTCTGTTTCTCTTTTATGTTTGAAGGATATTTTTGCCTTCATATACTATTCTAGGGTAATTTTTTCCCCCACAACATTTTAAATATGTCATGCCACTCTCTCCTGACCTGTAAGGTTTCCATTGAAAAGCCTGCTGCCTAACACATTGGAGTACCTTTGTATGTTATTTGCTTATTTTTGCTTGCCACTTTCAGAATCCTTTCTTTTTTCTTTACCTTTAGGTTGATTACTAAATGTCTTGAAGTAGTCTTATTTGGGTTAAATCTGCTTGATTGTTCTACAGCCTTCCTGTAATTGAATATTGGTATCTATCCCTAAGTTTGTGAAGTTGTGTTATTGTGACTTCAAATAAATTTCCTACCTCGATCTCACTCTCTGCCTTCTCTTTAAGGCCAATGACTATTAGATTTGCCAATTTGATGGCTATTTGTCAGATCTGGTAGTTATACATCATTCTATGACTTGGCTAGGAATTGAAGTTTTTGTATCTTACACAGTCTTTCAAGTTTACTTAGAACTCCAGAGCACTTTAGCCCATGGTGGTGAGACTTGCTGAGAAACTCTAGTTCCAACTGCTGGGATGGGCGTTTTCCCTCTGGCAAGGGCTCGTTCAAATTATCCCTCTGAAGTTGGAGACTGGCTGAGCCTAGCACAGCTTTGAGATCTTCTGTGACAAGGCAGCACTGAGTTCAATGCCAAGTCCCCCAGTCACTGTGCTCTCCCTCCCCCAAGTGCACAGATTCTCTCTTCACGCCACGTGACTTCTGCCAGGGGTTGGGGGTGGTGGTGTCAGAAATTCAAGACTGTCTTTTCTACCCTCTTCAGTGCCTCTTTCAGTGACATACAGTGAAAATCAGGTACTGTGATTGCTCTTCTGATTTTTGGTTCTTATGACGGTTCTTTCATGTGTGTAGCTGGTTGTTAAAATTTGATGTTTCTGCAGAGGGAATGATTGGTGGAGGCTTCAATTCTGCCATATTGCTCCATCCTCAACCATTAAGTTTTCTACCTCTGTGATTGCTTAAACACAAACTGCTCATAATGCTATTGATTACATAGTTCCTGATTCTCTACGTTATGATGCTATTTCAAAATAACATAATTTTAAGTCTATAACCGTTTAGAAATTGCACACATCACCATCCTGTCTTACATGTGGATATATTTTTGCTGCCTTTTATTGAACTAAAATCTTTAGTTTTGATACACTTATCTGTACCCATTATAGTTTGTCTTTATAAAAAGATAAAAGATATTTCTGCATACACATGTTCCAAAACTATTTGATGTTTTATTCTATTATTGTCTTAGTTTTTGGTTTTTATAAGATATTTAATCCTTTTATATTGGTTTTGGTATGGTGTGATAACATCTTTTTATTTTTCACAAAATAGTGAACAAATTTCCCCACATCATTTAATAAGAAAACTTTTAATTTACCCACTGACTATTGAAGACACTTATATTATATACAAATTATAATATATAGAGGAAAGTTTCAGACTCTGCGTGGTTTTTGATCCTTGTCTTTGCATTTTTCCCAGTTCTTCATTATTTTCACTATTTGGTCTTCATAGACATTTTGTTTTGAACCAATTTTATAATTAATGAAAACGTTGCAGAAAAATACAAAGAGTTCTTATCTGTCTCTCAACTTTTCCTATTTTTAACATCTCACAAAAACATGCAATTATCAAGAACAGGAAATTAACACTGATACAATATTACTAACTAGACTATTGACCATACTCAAACTTTTTCTACTTTTTCACCAATGTCCTTTTAAAACTGCTTAATAGTGTGCTCTCTCTTTGGCTTATTTTAAAAAATTATCTGTAATAAACTACCCTATAAATCAAGCATATTTATCCTCTCATATTAAATTTAGACAGTTTGTCATAATTTCATTCCACTTGAAATCAATAAAACTGTAACAATTTCAGATAAACTTGTGGAAATTTGAGATTTGTATGATAATGACTTGTCTCATGCAAAAGAAACAGGGTTTCTCATCATTATTATCAGCTATTTTTTCCTAAAATATATGTTATTTCCCTCCATAAATGTTCCACTTATTTGTAGTTAGATATAATCCTATATAATTTTTCTTTCTTATTACTAAAATTATATTTTATTTTCTGTTTTGGTTTTTATTTTTGTCAAACTTATCAATGCATATAGTTTAAAATATTAACTTGTTAATTAGATACCTTAATAGACAACAAATAGCAATCCCTAGCCTCCCACCTTACCTTACGTTTTATGAGTGACTTTAAAGAAAATCGCTCATATTTACCTCTGAATTTCTAAATAACTAAGTTATATTTCCACTTTTCACTCCTTAAATGTAAGCATAATGTATTTCCTAAGATGATGACTTAGTTTCTTTCTCTCAGCCCCACTACATTCTTGCATATAAAATATGTATAATTCTGGCCAGATTATTATTCATTACCCACACTATTATGTCTGCTACTTAGAGTTACACTATATGGTAAACTAGGATTAGTTATCCTTTTTGCGATGTTTTCATTTGCATTCCATGGAGTAATTTTCTTTTCCATTTATTTTCTTGTCCATGAATTTATTAATAATTGAACCCAACTCTCCTCTAGGAAAATCATTCATTCTAATATCAGATCACTTTTATCTACTTGAAGGGCTGTGTCCTGCCATCTTCCGACCTGTTCCTATCTGAATTGATTGTTCTTCGATCTTTGTGCACGTCTCCTATCCTGGAATATCTCTGCATTGCCCATTTTTGGGAATGCACCACATGCTTCCTGGTTTTGGTGTCTTCTACTTTCTTAAAATCCTCCCTCATTAGAATGAATATCATGTTACATGAAAAAATGAGTGTATGGAGTAAATATTTTGAATTCTTACAGGTCCTGAAATATCTTTATTCTACCAAAACACTTGATTGATTATTTAGCTGGCAATTATTTTCATTCAGAACTTTCAGACATGGTTTTATCATCTTCTCGTTTCCAGAGCTGCTACTGAAAATCTGAAATGATTTTGATGCCCAAATATTTCATGTAAAGTGTCTTTTTTAATGAAAGTTCTCTGCTGGCAGATGTCATTTGAGCAGGGGTCTGAATAATATGAATGTTGAACTAGTTCTTGAGATTATGTGAACGGTAGCTGTTTTCATTTCCTGTAGCTGCTATAACTTATTACCAAATACTTGGTAGCTTGAAACAACAGAGATACATTCTGTTACATGTCCAAAGAGCAGAAGCCTGAAATGGGTCTTGCAGGGCTAAAAGTAAGGTATCAACAGGGCTGGCATCCTTGCCGGTTCCAGTTTTGGTGACTGCAAGTATTCTTTGGTTTGTGGCTATATTAGTCCAATCTCTGCTTCTATAGTCACATACCCTCTCCTCTTCTGTAGTGAAATCTCTGTCTGCCACTGTCTTAAGAGGAAACCTGTGATAATATTGGATTACAGTGGGACTGCCTGGATAACCTTACTATCTTAAAATCCACAACTTAATCATCTCTGCAAAGGCTCTTTTAATGAGAAAGGTATCATATTCAGAGTTTCTGAAGTTCAGATAGCAACATCTTTTAGGGGGTGAAGGGATAATTTTTAAGCTTACCACAGTAGTCAATCAGAAAAAAAAAAGATAGTCAATGCAAAGATGTTTTCTGATTTATTGAATATGGTAAGAATTTCATGTGTCATGGAAGGGTACAACATAGGCTAGAGCAGAAGGTCAGAGTTGACTTTGTGCATGGTATTGAAATTCATTCAGGGGTTCACAAAGAATGAGGGATTTCTTTCTTTAAAATCAGCAATAAAAGAATCCTCTTCTTAGAAAGTGTAGATGCTAGCCACTTCGTAGTCTATTGCTTCTCACACTCATTATTATTACAAATAAACAACTTAAGGTTAGGGAGCACATACTACTAATTTTGATAATAATAACAATAAAAGCTGACATTTGTTCTTTATTTACTGTGAGAAAAGCTCTATTGTCAGCATTTTAAATGAATATTTTCATTCACTTCTTACAACAATCTTATTATCACCATCCGCATTCTCCAAATGAAGGGTTATGTGACTTGCACGAGGTCACACTAAGGTTTGAAGTCAGAATTGGAATTCAGGCTCCATTTCTTCTGAAGCCACATGGAAAGTCCACCAAACGTATCCTGAGGGAAAAAATCAGCGAGCATTTCTTCCCCCTTGTAGCTCCTGCCATTTGTCCTAGGGAGTGTCCCAGTAATGAGATGAGCATGAATGGTTGGTTCCACCAGGTCTAATTTGAGTATGCAATGCAATTAATATAGAATAAATATATTTCCTTTTAAAGGAGTAAAACATAATTAAAATATGTTAATTATAAATTTAAGAATACCATAGTTCTCCCTAAGCATGTTTAATTGATAAAGGTCAATTGGTAACATTCAGAGTGGTGATTTAATCCTGAAATATTGAGAATTTTTGTATGACTCAGGTCATAGTTTCCTAATTAGTGAAATTACGTATTTAATTTCCAGAGACTAGAATAACTTCTGTACTTTGCAATCCTGAAAGGCTCTGCCAAAATACCTTTTGGCTGTGAAATGCAGTTTTGTTTTATTTCCCTAGGAGCGGGCAAGGAAAATACAAAGCAATCCTCTATACTCCATGATTAGATGCTTTCCAGTAGAAAAGACATTGGGTTTTAATGATTGTTCTCCAACTATTCAAAGCAATTTAATTAATTTATAGAATTTAAAATGTTATAAATTCTGGAATAATACAAAGACCTATCATCTTGGTCAAGCTGAGAACATGGATGGGGTCTCTGTTTCCTAAGTTTAATTTTCTGTTTTACAATAAATTAATCCTCATTTAGGAGGCAAGGGAGTCTTTGTAATGTTGTTCAAATGAGTTCATCTGCTTTTGATTTGGGCCCACTTGACTCTGCATTTCCAATTTTCCTTGGTATGTAGTTCTAAATCCAAGTGGCTGGATCAAATCACTGAATGCTAACACAGTCTTCTTTATGTGTATATACCAAAGTGTTTCAAAGTCTCTCTTTCTGTGCATTGAAATAATAGAGTATATTTCCCTCCCCTCCCCTACACTCATATTGTGATGTTACCCAGGCTTGTGCTTTTATTTCTTAATAATTCATCACCCTTCACATTTTTTCTTGGGAGACCCTATTTTTGTCCATGGCTTCAACTATCATTTTTATACTGATGTTCTTAACCCACTCCTTCTTCTGAGATCCAAAGTAATCAACCAAACTTCCTCTTCAGCATCATCACCAGGTGGTCCCTTAGGTACGTTAAGACCAACATGTTCACAACACCCACACACGCACCTGCACACACACATGCACACACTCACACCATTCTGACCCATAACTCCAAAGCTATTCATTTTCATACATTCCTTTTCTCAATAAATTGCATTTCTAGCTATCCAGGTGTCCAAGCCTTTCATGATTTGCCTAGCTGCCTTCTTCTCTCTCAGGGAATCTCAACTTGGATTGATCTTTAGAATCACCTATAAACTATAAAATAATACTATAACTGAACTCCCACCAGAAATTCTGATTTAATGTGTTTGAATGAAGTTAGGACATTTATTTGTTTCTTAAAAGCTGAACAGGTAGTTCTAGTTACATCAGCGTTAAGAACCACTGCTTCATGTTATCCAGCTTTCAACAGGTTACCAACTATATCGATCACTGGTTTGCAACCTTTGCTGAATACTGTAATTAACTGGGGAACCTAGAAATATACTATACGTGAATTCTGCTTGTTTACCACCAAGGCTAATAACCACCCTCATAGATACCATCTCAGATAGCTGATCCCTGACAACCCTATGCTAACCCACATTTATTGCCTTGATCCAGGCAGTAATTCTCAGACAGTTACTAGAAGCTTATAGTTCTCTAATCTCACTGCTGCCAAAGAGATTTTCTTAAAACATAAATCTGACTATGGTCCTGGTCCTACATTTCCTAAAATCTTCCGGAAAGTCATTCAGCTTCTGTAGCATCCTGGCAATGTGTTTCTTTTATTATTTATTTATTTTTATTATTTATTTATTTATTTGAGACAGAGTCTTGCTCTGTTGACCAGGCTGGAGTGCAGTGGGGCGATCTCAGCTCACTGCAACCTCCGCTTCCCGTGTTCAAGCGATACTCCTGCCTCAGCCTCTGGAGTAGCTAGGATTACAGGCGCATGCCACCACGCCCAGCTAATTTTTGTATTTTTGGCAGAGACGAGGTTTCACCATGTACTCCTGAGCTCAGGCAAACCGCCTGACTTGGCCTCCCAAAGTGCTGGGATTACAGGTGTGAGCCACCGCGTCCGGCTGGCAATGTGTTTCTTATAAACCAATTTTACCAATAACAACATCAAAGAAGAGTGGTAGGCACAATATTTGAGCACAGGTGTAAAAGACTAAGTCCCACAATTTTATTTCATAGTTGTAGTGTTTATTAAACACAATGTTCCCACAAACAAAATATAGGTCTCTTGTGGCAAGGGCATTTTCAATAAAGTGGCTGGCTGGTAGTAATAATAAAAGAATAACAATAACAACAAAACACCAAAAGCTACTAAAGAGTTAAATGTATATTTCTGTATAATTTAGATAAGTCCAAGACGTTCTCAATCATGGACTATTAACAAATGGCTTAAACCACCTAGAGTTATTTTATTCAGCGTCATTTGTAATAGCCAGATTGTTTAAGTGTTTCAATCAAACTGATTCTGCAAACAGTTCTTAGTAATGTTGAACTTAAACTGTTCAAAAAAAAATCTAGTCAATAAGATTAAGTGTTTTACACTTCAGGTGTTCAGAAAAGCAAACAAAAAGTCAAACATCTGTGGCTCTAGATGATAATTTAGAACCCTTCTACTTTCTGAATTGTGTAATATTTTAAATCCCAAATGGCTTCAGTATTACTCCAAAGATTGCTGCTATTACACAGTATCCAAAGCTAATGTTAATACTTCTGAATAGAGAGATTAAAAACAATATCTGAAGACCCAAGGGGTTATAACAACCTGCACTGTTTTTCATAAAATTAAGATTATAATCTATGTTTATATCTGTCTCATCTATTTACCTCTAACTCACATAATATTATTTATTAATTTTTTAAGGGTCATCATAAAACCCTGTCAAGTATCTTTTATCTATTTAAAACAAACAAACAAAAATAGAGAGCTGTAATTCTGAATAACTCAATGTGTGGCCCGAGCAGCGGCTTAATATGTTTTCTTCTTATGATCCCCGGTCTGTGAATACTCAGAATCCATGTGCTGAACTTCTTTTGAGATTCACCACCATTCTATATACAAACTCCTCTGGCACTCATTAAATGTGCTGGTTGTCCTAACTTGACCTCATGCAACTGGCCACACTGATTTATTCAGCAGTGTGCTCCTGACACAAGGTAGGCTAGTGAGGGTTCTTCTCTTGGATTTTTAAGGTAGATTTAAGAAGGAAGATTCATCTCTCTCTGTGGCTGAAGCCTGACACTGAGTCTTGGAAGTTGTCATTGGTGAGATCTCAGTTTTTCAACCAAGTGAAGTAAGCCAGTCTACTATGAGAAAAAAATAATGAAGCTAAAATAAAAGATGCAGAAAGAGATCTGGCAGCTTTCTGATTTGTATTTTATTTTTGCTTAACTTACAATGGAATGCCTTTCCTATCTAGATTTTAGTTGTTCACACTCCTTGAATTAAATGAGCCAATGGTCCCCACTAATCTATCATAGTTTGACCCATATCTGTCTGAGACATATGTTTGTTCGATCAACCTGCTTAGTTGGATGCCATAGTGTTCTATATGGTTAGACTTCATGGCCTAAATTCAAATTGTGTGTGCAGTAGATATAAATAGAAGTAAGAAGCCAAGCATTTCCTGACAAAAGCATTGCTTTTTGGTGATATTTTAAACGTTTAAAATATTTTAAACGTTTAAAATATAGGCAATGACCAATCAAATCAGATGCCAGCTAGAACCAGTGGCCACACCAGTGTAAACTAACTAAACATTCAATTAAACACAATATTAACGCAAAAGACAAAAGTTATGTTTCTTGGGGTGACACAGTTTTTGATATAGTCAATGGCTGCTAATAATACAATCAGACCTACATTGGGTGTTCTTCCCATATTCATTTAAAAACAAGAGAGCCGATGTCTTCCTAAGAGAAAAGGGTGGGTGGCAGCATATGGCATGATGTAGAGTTTATGGAGAAGACCTCAAACAGAAAGCAAAAGAAATTAGGTTTAACAATTAATACACTGCCTGTGACCAGCAAGAAAGCTTCCAAAATATTTTATTGAGTTTCATATTGCTTTCTTTCTTCTTTTAGTTATCCTCCTCCTTTTCTGTTATTTTCTTGCAAAAATTGTCAACTAGTGTGTTTCTGATATGGTTTGGATATTTGTCCTGTACAAATCTCATGTTTAAATGAAATCTCCAGTGTTGGAAGAGGGGCCTGGAGGGGGTTGTTTGGGTCATGGGGACAGAGCCCTCATGGCTTGGGGCCGTCCTCACGATATTGAGTGCATTCTCAAGAGATCTGGTTGTTTAAAAGTGGGGGGTGCCTTCCGCCCTCCACTCTCTCTTGCTCCCGCTCTTGCCGTGTGACTGCCTGCCCCCAGTTCACCTTCCACCACAAGTAAAAGCTCCCTGAGGCCTCTGCAGAAGCCAAGCTGATGCTGGTGCCATGCTGTTTGTACAGCCTGCAGAACCGTGAGTCAATTATGCCCCTACTTTATAAATCACCCAATCTGGGGTATTCGTTTACACCAAGCCAAGGAAAGCCTAACACATCTCCTCTCCCTTTTCTCTATGTTCCCAGCATCTCTGCCTCCTAACTTTCCTCTTCTCTGCCTGTCACCCTCCTCACACACTCAGCTGCTACAATGAGCCTCATCCACCCAGACATGGTGTCCACTCAGCGAACCGCCATCACCAAATCATTCCTCCTTCCTCTTCATCAAAGTTATTATTACCAGAAACTCATTTTACTTTCAGTTGAACACACACACATGCACCCACACACACACACAGAGCACACTCTTCAGTAAACAATGCTTCTTAATCTAAATTAAAGGACCTTTAATAAGGTCAGAAACATCTGCTTGTTTCACCTGTCTACCTTCATTTCTTCTTCTCTCATCATCATTCAATAATATTATATGATATCCTTTAAGAATATGGTAAAAGGTGGCTGTGTAAAAAGTGTCCGTATCTTTCACCCTCACTCATTCAACCAAATGCTTAGGGGGTAGCATGTGAGAATGTATGGCGATGGTGATAACACAGAGATGAAAATTATGAAGGTGTATTTTCCAAAATAATTTGCAATTGCACAGGATCAAGAAAAGACAAATGTTTCACATGAGGTTTTTGAGCAGAGTGTTTGTCTCCATGTAATTGCTAATGCAGTGATGTATCATCAATATGATAAACATTAAGCTCTTTAACAACAGATTTAGGAAGGTAAAGTGTTCCTCTACCTCTTGGGAAGATTAGGGATTTTTAGGATACTTAACTGAAACAATTTTTGCAGACTATATTTTAGAGAAGACCCCATGCATGCATCACCTCCCCAACTGTCAAAATATCCATGTGGGAATACTGTGAGTGCTCCAACTGTGTGAGTGGGAAAGGGAGACTCTCCTCTCCCAAACACACACCGCCACTGGAGAAGCTGAAGGTCTGTTTGTGGGAGAAGCTTCCGACTTTACCTGGAGCTGAGTCAATTTAGAGAGCCAAGCAAAATACAGGGCTAGAGGAAGCAGCAGAAAGGCCCTGGGAGCTCACTGGGTCCCAAGCAGCCCATTTTTGCCTGGTACCACAGGGATCCATTGGAAGGGTGACCAGAGGAGCAGGGGGTAAAACTCCACAGGGAGAAGGAAATCTCTAGTTGAACTTTGTAACAATTTGAACAGGGCAAGAAGCCTCCTGGCCAGAGCTCAGGTAAGGGTGCAAATCCTGTGTGCAGACTCCACAGGCAGGGGAAGAACCAAGCCCTTTTCTTTCCCAACTAGAAGGCAGGTAGCCTGGGGCAAGTTTTCAAGCCCACACACCCTCCACCTGGAAACAGACTCGGGGCTGTTGGGGAGAGGCAGGGTGGGAGTGAGACCGGCCCTTTGGTTTGCATGGGAGCTGGGTGAGGCCTTTGACTGCCAGCTTTCTCCCACAACCCGCATGACTCAGCAGAGGCAGCCATAATCCTCCTAAGTACACAACTTCAGTGACCTGGGAATCTCACCCCCATCCCCCACAAGAGCCACAGCAAGACCTGCCCAAGGAGAGTCTGATCTCAGACACACCTAGCCCTGCCCCCACCTGATGGTCCTTTCTTATCCACCTGGGTAGCAGAAGACAGGGGGCATATGATCTTGGGAGTTCTAGGGCTCCGCCCACCACTGGTCCCTCTCTATACTACCACAGCTGATGCTTTCTGGAAAGCACCACCTCCTGGTAGGAGGCCAACCAGCACAAAAATAGAGCATTAAACCACCAAAGCTAAGAAACCTCACAGAGTCCACCCCTGCCACCTCCACTGGAACAAGTACTGGTATCCACGGCTGAGAGACCCATACATGGTTCACATCACAGGACTCTGTGCAGACAACCCCCAGTACCAGCCCAGAGCCAAGTAGACACACTAGGTGGCTAGACCTAGAAGAGAGACAACAATCACTACAGTTTGGCTCACAGAAAGCCACATCAATAGGAAAAGGGGGAGAGTACTACATCAAGGGAACACCACATGGGACAAAAGAATCTGAACAACAGCCTTCAGCCCTAGACCTTCCCTCTGACAGAGGCTACCCAAATGAGAAGGAACCAGAAAACTAACCCTTTGTTATGACAAAACAAAGCTCTTCACACCCCCCAAAAATCACACTAATTCACCCACAGTGGATCCAAACCAAGAGAAATCCCTGATTTACCTGAGAAAGAATTCAGGAGATTAGTTTTTAAGCTAATCAGGGAGGGACCAGAGAAAGGCAAAGCCCAACGCAATGAAATCCCAAAAAATGATACAAGAAGTTAAGGGAGAAATATTCAAGGAAATAGATAGCTTAAAGAAAAAAGAATCAAAAATTCAGGAAACTTTGGACACACTTTTAGAAATGTGAAATGCTCTGGAAAGTCTCAGCAACAGAATTGAACAAGTAGAAGAAATAAATACAGGGTTCAAAGACAAGGTCTTTGAATTAACCCAATCCAACAAAAACAAAGAAAACAGAGTAAGAAAATATGAACAAAGCCACCAAAAAGTCTGGGATTATGTAAAATGACCCAACCTAAGAATAATTGGTGTTCCTGAGGAAGAAGAGAATTCTAAAAGCTGGGAAAATATATATGAGGGAATAAATGAGGAAAATTTCTCCAGCCTTGCTGAAGACCTAGACATCCAAATACAAGAAGCACAAAGAACTCCTAGAAAATGTATCACAAAAAGATCTTCACCTAGGCACATTGTCATCAGGTTATCCAAAGGTGAAGAAAGAATCAAGATCTGTGAGAGAGAAGCACCAGGTAACCTATAAAGGAAAACCTATCAGATTAACAGTAGATTTCTCAGTAGAAACCCTACAAGCTGGAAGGGACTGGGGCCCTGTTTTCAGCCTCCTCAAACAAAACAATTATCAGCCAATAATTTCGTATCCGGAGAAACTAAGCATCATATATGAAGGAAAGATGCAGTCATTTTCAGACAAAAAAATGCTGAGAGAATTTCAATACTAACATTGAATACTAACACTGAATGTAAATGGCCTAAAGCCTCCACTTAAAAGATACAGAACGGCATAATGGATAGGAACTCACCAACCAACTATTGGCTGCTTTTAGGAGACTCAAACACAACACATAAAGACTCATAAAAACTTAAAGTAAAGGGGTGGTAAAGGGCATTTCATGCAAATGGACACCAAAAGCAAGCAGGGGTCGCTATTCTTATATCATACAAAACAAACTTTAAAGTAATAATGGTTAAAAGAGACAAAGAGGGACATTATATATGTAAAAAGCTTTGTCCAACAGGAAAATATCACAATCCTAAACATATTTGCACCTAACACTGGAGCTCCCAAACTTATAAACAATTACCAATAGACCTAAGAAATGAGATAGATAGCAATGCAATAAAAGTGGGGGAGTTCAGTACTCCACTGACAGTGCTAGACAAGACATCAAGACAGAAAGTCAACAAAGAAACAATGGATTTAAATTATACCTTGGAACAAATGAACTTAACAGATATATACAGAACATTTCATCCAACGACTGCAGGATACACATTCTATTCAATAGCACATGGAACTTTCTCCAAGACAGACCATATGATAGGCCATAAAATGAGCCTCAGTAAATTTAAGAAAACTGAAATTATGTCAATCACTCTCTCAGACCACAGTGGAATAAAACTGGAAATCAACTCCAAAAGGAATCTTCAAAACCTTGCAAATACATGGAAATTAAATAACCTGCTCCTGAATGATCATTTGGTCCAAAATGAAATCAAGATGGAAAGTTAAAAATTATTTGAACTGAATAACAATAATGCCACAACCTATCAAAGCCTCTGAGATACAGCAAAGATGGTGCTAAGAGGAAATTTCATAGCCCTAAGCACCTACATCAAAAAGACTGAAAGAGCACAAACAGACAATCTAAGGTCACACCTCAAAAAACTAGAGGAACAAGAACAAACCAAACCCAAACCCAGCAGAAGAAAGGAAATTACCAAGATCAGAGCAGAACTAAAAGAAATTAAAACAAAAAAAAAATACAAAAGATAAATGAAACAAAAAGCTGGTTCTTTGTAAAGATAAATGAAATTGATAGACCACTAGCAAGATTAACCAAGGAAAGACGAGAGAAAATACAAATAACCTCACTAAGAAACAAAACAGGAGATATTACAAATGACACCACTGAAATACAAAAGATCATTCAAGACTACTATGAACACCTTTATGCACATAAACTAGAAAACCTAGAAAAAATGGATCAATTGGTGGAAAAATACAATCCTCCTAGCTTAGATCAGGAAGAATTAGATACCTTGAACTGACCAAAAACAAGCAGCAGGATTGAAATGGTAATTAAATATTACCAACAAAAAAAGTCCAGGAACAGATGGATTCAAAGCAGAATTCTACCAGATATTTAAAGAATTGGTGCCAATCCTTTTGACACTATTCCACAAATAGAGAAAGAAGGAACCCCCCCAATTCATTTTACAAAGCCAGCATCACCCATCACCCTAATCCCCAAAGCGGGAAAGGACATAGCCAGAGAAAGAATACTACAGACCAATATCGTTAATGAACATTGATGCTAACATTTTTAACAAAATACTAGCTAACTGAATCCAACATCATATCAGAAAGATAATCCACCAGGATCAAGTGGGTTTCATACCAGGGATGCAGGGATGGTTTAACATACACAAGTCAATAAATGTGATACACCACATAAATAGAATTAAAAACAAAAATCACATGATCATCTCAATAGATGCAAAAAAAAAAGCATTCAACAAGATCCAGCATGCCTTTATGATTAAAACTCTCAGCAAAATTGGCATACAAGGGATACACCTTAATGTAATAAAAGCCATCTATGACAAACCCACAGCCAACATAATACTGAATGAGGAAAAGTTGAAAGCATTCCCTCTGAGAACTGGAACCAAACAAGGATGCCCATTCTCATCACTCCTCTTCAACATACTACTGGAAGTCCTAGCCAGAGCAATCAGAGAAGGGAGAGAAATAAAGGGCATCCAAATTGGCAAAGAGAAAGTCAAACTGTCAGTATTTGCTGATGATATGATTGTTTACCTTGAAAACCCTAAGGACTCCTCCTGAAGAAAGCTCCTAGAACTGATAAAAAATTTAGCAGTTTTCGGATAGAAGATTAATATACACAAATCAGTAGCTCTTCTATACACCAACAGCAACTAAGCAGAGAATCAAATGAAGAACTCAGCTCATTTTACAATAGCTGCAAAAATTAAAATAAAATACTTAGGAATATTATTCCTATATAACCAAGGAGGTGAAAGACCTCTGCAAGGAAAAGTACAAAACACTGCTGAAAGAAATCATAGACAACACAAATGAATGGAGACACATCCCATGCTCATGGATAGGTAGAATCTATATTGTGAAAATGACCATACTGCCAAAAGCAATCTACAAATTCAATGCAATCCCCATCAAAATACCACCATCATTCTTCACAGAGTTAGAAAAAACAATTCTAAAATTTATATGGAACCAAAAAAGAGCCCGCATAGCCAAAGCAAGACTAAACAAAAAGAACAAATATGAAGGCATCACACTAGCTGATTTCAAAGTACACTGTGAGGCCATCATCACCAAAACAGCATGGTACTGGTAAAAAAATAGGCACATTGACCAATTGAACAGAATAGAGAACCCAGAAATAAACCCAAATACTTACAGCCAACTGATCTTTGACAAAGCAAATTAAAACATAAAGTGTTCTTTTTTTTAATTTTTTAATTTTTTAATTATTATACTTTAAGTTTTAGGGTACATGTGCACAACGTGCAGGTTTGTTACATATGTATACATGTGCCATGTTGGTGTGCTGCACCCATTAACTTGTCATTTAGTATTAGGTATATCTCCTAATGCTATCCCTCCCCGCTCCTCCCACCCCACAACAGTCCCCAGTGTGTGATGTTCCCCTTATGAACAGACACTTCTCAAAAGAAGACATTTATGCAGCCAAAAAACACATGAAAAAATGCTCACCATCACTGGCCATCAGAGAAATGCACAGCAAAACCACAATGAGAAACCATCTCACACCAGTTAGAATGGCAATCATTAAAAAGTCAGGAAACAACAGGTGCTGGAGAGGATGTGGAGAAATAGGAACACTTTTACACTGTTGGTGGGACTGTAAACTAGTTCAACCATTGTGGAAGTCGGTGTGGTGATTCTTCAGGGATCTAGAACTAGAAATACCATTTGACCCAGCCATCCCATTACTGGGTATATACCCAAAGGTTTATAAATCATGCTGCTATAAAGACACATGCACATGTATGTTTATTGCAGCACTATTCACAATAGCAAAGACTTGGAACCAACCCAAATGTCCATCAGTGATAGACTGGATTAAGAAAATGTGGCACATATACACCATGGAATACTATGCAGCCATAAAAAATGATGAGTTCATGTCCTTTGTAGGGACATGAATGAAGCTGGAAACCATCATTCTCAGCAAACTATTGCAAGGACAAAAAACCAAACACCGCATGTTCTCACTCATAGGTGGGAATTCAACAATGAGAACACATGGGCACAGGAAGGGGACACCCTTTTCAGCAATGGTGCTAGGATAGTTGGCTGGCCATATATAGGAGAATGAAACTCGATCCTCATCTCTAACATTATTCAAAAATCAACTCAAGATGGATAAAGGACATAAACCTAAGACTAAAACTATAAAAATTCTAGAAGAAAACATTGGAAAAACCCTTTTATACCTTGGCTTAGGCAAGGATTTCATTACCAAGAACCCAAAAGCAAATGCAATACAAACAAAGATAAATAGCTGGGACCTAATTAAACTAAAGAGCTTTTGCAGGACAAAAGGAACAGTCAGCAGAGTAAACAGATAACCCACAAAGTGGGAGAAGATCTTCACAATCTATACACCTGACAAAGGACTAATATCCAGAAGCTACAGTGAAGTCAAATCAGTACGAAAGAAAAAAAAATCCCATCAAAAATTGGGCTAAGGACATGAATAGACAATTCTGAAAAGAAGATATACATATGAAAAAATGCTCAAAATCACTAATTATCAGGGAAATGCAAATCAAAACCACAATGCAATACTAGCTTACTCCTGCAAGTATGGCAATAATAAAAAAAAATCAAAAAACAGTAGATGTTGGCATGGATGCAGTGAATAGAGAACATGTCCACACCGCTGGTGGGAATGTAAGCTAATACAGCCACTATGGAAAATAGTGTGGAGATTCCTTAAAGAACTAAAAATAGAACTACCATTTAATCCAGCAATCCCACTACTGGGTATCTACCCAGAGGGAAAGAAGTCATTATTCAAAAAAGATACTTGCACACACATGTTTATAGCAGCACAATTTAAAATAGCAAAATCGTGGTACCAACCAAAATGCCCATCAATCAATGAGTGGATAAATTGTGATATATATGTATATATATATATATGATGGAATACTACTCAGCCATACAAAGGAATGAACTAACAGCATTTTCAGTGATCTGGATAGATTGGAGACTATTAAATTCTAAGTGAAGTAACTCAGGAACGGAAACCAAACATCTTATGTTCTCACTGATATGTGGGAGCTAAGCTATGAGGATACAAAGGCATAAGAATGATACAATGGACTTTGGGGACTTGTGAGAAAGAGTGGGAGGGGGAGAGGTATAAAAGACTACAAATAGGGTGCAGTGTGTAGTGCTCAGGTGATGGGTGCACCAAAATCTCACAAATCACCACTAAAGAACTTACTCATGTAAGCAAATACCACCTGTACTCCAATAACTTATGGAAAATTTACATATATGCAGGTTTTTGTGTGCACATAAATGTTAAACATATTTGCGTAAATACCAAGGACCCGATTGCTGGATCATACAGGAGATTATGTTTAGCTTTGAAAGAAGCTGCAGAGCTGTCAAAGTTGTTATGCCATTTTGCATTTCTACCAGCAATGAATGAGAGTTCCTCTTTCCCCACTTACTTGCCGGCATTTGGTGTTCTCAGTGTTTCTGAGCTTTCAATATTCTAATAGATGTGTAGTGGTAACTGATGCTATTTTGAGGTAAAATGACAGATGTTTTATTTAATGATCTTTCCCTAACTGCCTATCATATGAAAGCAAATATGGAAGGGTATGAGATTAACAGACTCTTTGATTTCTACTAATATAAGCCTGGAGCCCAGAACAGAGACTTGAAAGTGGCATAGAATGTCCGATTACAATATTTAAAAAAAAAATCACAGTCACTTTCAAAATTCTCTCCTCACCCTTCCTCCCAAGCAAACACAGTTAATGATTACTGCTGTTTTTCTCTTGATATTTCTAGAAGACAGATGCATTATTTTGGACATACAAATTCATGGGTGAGGAAAGGGAAGTAAGGCAAGAGAGGGTGTGAGGACTTTCTAATGGAGACACCACGCTGGCTGCCACTGCACCGTGAGCCTCAGAGGACTCACTGGTGGCCCCTGTGCTGCATATTTGTCTCCTCAGAAGGAGACATGAAAACACGTCCTACAAGCTACCTGACAGACACTCATCAAAACCTTGAGGTCATCAAAAACAAGCAAAGGCTAAGACAATGTCCTAGACCAGAGCAGCCTACGGAGAAAAGACACTCAAATGTAATGTGGGATCCTGAAGCAGAAAATAGACATTACTGGGAAAACTGGAGACATCTGAATAAAACTAAGCATTCAGTTAATAATATTGTATAAGTGTTAATTTATTAGTTTTGACAAATGTTATCACAGTAATGTAAGGTGATAACATTAGGGGGAATTGGATAAAGTATAGCACTGAATTATCTTTGCACCTTTTCTGTAAATCTAATACTATTCCACAAGAATTTATTTTTAAAAAATAAGTCACTAATGCTACAGGTAGACTATAAAATATCATTGCCGTGTTTTCCCATTGATCTTAAAGAGAAGAGGATACAGGCTTATTTTCTTGGGAGGGTATGATTCAGGAGGGGGAAGGGGTGGAGTAGGGTTATTAATGAATTTAAGATAAATATTAATTAAATAAATTAGGCAGCAGCTAGCCTCTTGCCATTTTGTTCAAATAAGTGATTGTAGGGACTCAGTATTAAAGAGTGTTTGAAGAAAACTAGGATGGAGGGCTAGAGACTATGAGGATTTGCCTACATTCATTTCTGGAAGACATTATGTGTACTTTTATTCTGTAAGCAAGGTGAGAAATAAAACACAGACAGACTAGAATTTACACTGAATTTCAAGAGCATAAATATTTTAATATAAGTGTGTTCCAAATATTGCATTTGTTGTTTATCTGAAATTTAAATGTAGCCGGGCATCCTTTATTTTATCTGGCAAACCTACTAGAGGGGACCCTCAGGGCCCATGGCAGACTGCCTCTCTCAATACAACCATAAAGAAAAGGAGCTCACGTTCTACCGGGGGAAATTGCTGTATACTTAGCAACTTGAAAGCATGATACAATGTGAAAGATTCTAAAATATGAATTTAAAATACTTTGGAATCTTTCAGAAGAACATTTAATTAGAACTGAGGGAATTAAAGAGGTCTTGATGGAAGAGATGGTGTTTGTACTGGGTTTCTCAAGGAAAGTAGAAGGTCTGACAGTTGAGGGATAGGTATTTCAGGGTATATCAACAATGTGGAAAAATTACAGAAATTCACTCAGCAAAGGTTTGCTGGTTCCATGGTACATGCAATTTTCTATTCTTGGAAAATGGAAAAATCGCCATCATCCCTCAGTGTAAATTCAAAGAGGAACAAGAAACAAATAAAAATAAACAATAATTGATAAGTTTATGAAATGGAAAGTGTTATAAAAATAAAATTAAGGAAGATTCAGAATGGTGGGAGAGGAGTACAATTTTATATAAAGTGATCGCAGGGAAGGTAACATTTAAGCAGACATTGGAAGAAAGAAGGCAGAAAGAGTAAGGTGTGCATCTTTTCAGGAGCAGAAAAAGAAAGTTCCAGGTAGAGAGAAAGCAAGGGCAAGAGCTTGGGGGCAGAAGCATGTCAGTGCCAGGAAGAGCAAGTGGCCAGTGTGGCTGGAGCGAGATGCATGAGGCAGAAGTGGTGGAAGATCAGATCAGAAGAGTGAGTGAGTCAGATCATGTAAGTCCTCCCTGTCCAAGAAAAGGACTTGGTTGTTGTTTCTCAGAGAATTGCAAAGGTCCTGGAGTTCTGCAAGCTTAGAAATGGCATGATGTGATTCAATCCATAGAAGAGTATTCAGTGTAGGCACTGTGGAGTTTCTACATGGTAAAGATCAAGGCTGAACACCCAATGGGGAAGCTATCATGCTGTTTGGAGTGAGAGGTGATGGTGGCTGGGTGTAAGAGCAATGCATCAAGGGGCTCCAATTGCAGGATTTATAGCAAAAGTAGAACATGAAGGATTTCCTCATGAATCTGAAGAGGAGGAAGGTGAAAACTAAGAGATGGCTTTAAATCATAGAATCATAGAACAGAAATGTTGGAAAATAATAATCAATACAATTAAAGGAATGACCAATGGATGGTAGTGAGAAAAATGCAAAAACATTGTAGTAAATAATAGATGACTTTTTTCAATGTTAGAATAAGAAAATTTGACTTGATTCTGTGGGCAATAGGAAATCAAAAAATGGTTTTGAGCAGAAGAGTGTAATCTCATACAGTCATGCATAGCTTAACAATGGGAATGTGTTCTGAGAAATGCATCATCAATTGATTTTGTCCTTGTGCAAATATCAGAGTGTGCCATAATTACACACACCTAGATGGTACAGCCCATTGTACACCTAGACTCTATGGTAATGCCTATAGCCCTTAAATGCTTATGATTGTGTTACAATTGCTTTCAGGGTTCAGTACAGTCACATGTATTTAAAAGTATATGAATATAGGAATGACACATTAAAAAACATGATACGGAAGATTTAAAAGTGGTACACCTGTATAGGGCACTTACCGTTGAGTGGATCTTGCAGGACAAGAAGTTGCCCTGGGTGAATAGAGTGAGTGAGTGCTGAGTGAATGTGAAGGCCTAGGATGTTGCTATGCACTACTGTAGGCATTATAAACACCTTACACTACAGGTACACTAAGATATTTGATATCTATGTCCCCACCCAAATCTCATCTTGAATTCCCAGGTGATGTGGGAGGGACCACCTGGCGAGGTAATTGAATCATGGGGGCAGGTGTTTCCCATGCTGTTCTCATGACAGTGAATAAGTCTCACAAGATCTGATGGTTTTACAAAGGGGAGTTTCCCTGCACAACCTCTCTCTCTTTGCCTGCTGCCATCCATGTAAGATGTGACTTGCTCCTCCTTGCCTCCTGCCATGATTATGAGGCCTCCCCAGCCACGTGGAACTGTAAGTCCATTAAACCTCTCTTTGTTTTGTAAATTGTCCAGTCTCAGATATGTCTTTATCAGCAGCATGAAAACAGACTAATAACATATTGAAAATATTTTTTCTTCAATAATAAATTACCCTTAGCTTACTGTAACTACTTTACTTTATAAACTTAGTTTTTTTTAACATTTTTACTCTTTTGTAATAACACTTAGCTTAAAACACAAACACATTATATACCAGTACAATAATATTTTCTTTCTTTATATCCTTATTCTATAAGCTTTTTTCTTATTTTTAATTTTTTTACCTTTTAAATTTTTTATGAAAAATTAAGACACAGACACACTCATTAGCCTAGGCCTACACAAGGTCAAGATAATCATTTTCACTGTCTTCCACCTTCATAGCTTGTCCCACTGGAAATTCTACCCTATCATCAGGCTATAGAAATGGTTCACCCTGAGACCATTGTCCTATTGGCTGTCCAGTTTTTACTGAAACATCTCCCTTTGGTGTCCACCCAACTCCCAGGCTATCATGTTTAGATTTTGTTTTAGATTATTACACATAGTCTTTCTTTTTGTTAAAAATTTTCTCTTGTTTTTATTCTTTGTTACCGAGGATTTTTTCTTTTTTTTTTTTTTTTTTGAGGCGGAGTCTCTCTCTTTTGCCCAGGCTGGAGTGCAGTGGCGCGATCTCGGCTCACTGCAAGCTCCGCCTCCCGGGTTCACGCCATTCTCCTGCCTCAGCCTCCCGAGTAGCTGGGACTACAGGCGCCCGCCACCACGCCCGGAGAATTTTTTGTATTTTTAGTGGAGACGGGGTTTCACCGTGTTAGCCAGGATGGTCTCAATCTCCTGACCTCGTGATCCACACGCCTCGGCCTCCCAAAGTGCTGGGATTACAGGCGTGAACCACCGCGCCCGGCCCAGGATTTTTAAAGACCGTGTATCAGTGGTTGTTCAGCCTGTCTCTATCCAAACCTTTTCTCTCCTTCCTCAGGGCTATTCAGGTTAAGACCACATTCACCACTATCTTTCCGGGCTAAGTGTGACCACGTGATTAAATATCAGCCAACCCTATAATTAGAAGGGCAACCTTGTTAAAATCAACTTCTGACCTGGATTTCCACTGTTTCATTTTGGTGTCTGGAAATGATGACAGCCAGACCAACCATGAAAGCCTGGAACCCTAGAAGAATGTGTAGAAAAAAGAAACATCTTATTATTATGAACATTTTTTACGTTTAAGAGAACAGCATTATCTTTATTATACTAATCAATAAAAAAAACTTCCCTTTGCTTCAAAGAGTGCAACACTGTCTCTATCTTCCAAGGCTTTTTGCTGTAAAAACATTCTGAAAAAGTAATCTCAACAAAGATGATCATTGCCTCTGCTCTATAACATGTGCAGAAATGAGAGATGCCAATTTTCTACCCTCCAGATTTCTCCACATCATTCTTACATATAGACAGTAAAATAAATGTGTTTAGTCTCAAAACAAATTGAGAATCTAGTATACCTTGCCAAAATTATTATATTAATTAGGAAACAATAGATTTAAAAATATATTTTTGCCATCAAGGGCAACGATATTCTATAACTTTTTCCAGAGTCCTTTACAATTATTTCCACTAGAAAATTTTAAAACACCCCCTGACACACACACACATTATGGTAATCAATAGTAAATATACTGATTGAATTTTGAGGTTAGTTTGGTGATGTGCTAAGTGTTAGTCAGTCAGGACTTTGTAGAGAGCTAACAGTTTTCTCATCACTGACTTAGTGAGTACTCTGGCTTCAAGCTGTTTATCTCATTCTAAAATAAAATGTAAAGATATAAGATTCCTGAAACTTGGAAATATCTATGATTAAAAGTCATAAAAGTCAAAGTCAAATGTTTAAGAGATGTAAAAAAATGAAGTATATAATTATTTACCTATTGAGAGAGAGCGAAAAAAAGAGAGATATGGCCGAAAAAATATCCCTAATATAGTAGTAAATGAAAATAAGTTGCAAAGGTAGAATTATATTTTTTGTTAAAATAAAAAAATTAAATACATATATACTTGCATGTGACTTTACAAAATAAAAAGTGCTTTCTTTAATAAAAAATTTAGCTGAATTAGGAACAGTATTATATAATTAGGTTGCTACTTTAATAATCAGTAATAGTAAAAGTACACATTTGAAATATTCTTACTATGAAGAATATAACAATTTGTTTAACAATTATCAAATACACAAATTACTCATGCTCAAATATAGCTCAAAATATTTTTGTCATATTCAAAAATACTAAATGTAATTTTTTAATATCAACATTTCTTTTGTTTATTAGAAGAAAGCAAATGGCTAGTATACTGGGGGGGAAAATCCCTGTAGTCTTTCTTTGGATAAAAGATTTAAGTTCCTCATACATTTTGATGGACTAGTGATATTAGCAACCAAAGTAGCACTGCTCTAGAAAATGGATAAATGGATGACTACAGTTGGAGCAAATGAAAATGATTTTGCCAGAGGCAAAATACAACATGTTTCCAACAACAGTCATAGTTCCACCAGGGCCATTGGTGAAACTCCATGGTATTATTATATAAGTTGTTTTTACTACAATGACATATGTTAAGCACTTACAAAATGCTTACCCTTAATTGGAATGAGTTTAGCCTGAAGACAGAATATAATTTATTTAATGTTCTTTCACTTGTCACAATTAAATAAATACATTGACTAAATATGTGATAATTTGTAATCCCTTCCTTTTGAGTTCTTTGTAAGGTACATAATACTTCAGGGTTTTGATAATATAGACATTACATCTATTGAATTTTTCCCTCTTCATAATTTTTATTCAAGAGAGTATTTATAATGATAACTAACTAATAATAAATAAACAATGTAAACAAATCTACTGTGAAAACCACATTGACTTTCTAAAATTTAGCCTGGGCATCCATTTGAAATTTCTATGTCATCAGAGATCTGGTTTTTCACAGTACAAAAAAAAACAAACAACAAACACTCTCTCCTTTTCACAATTCTCTTTATTTCCAAAAGTATTTTGTTTCTCTTCCACATTCAATTTATATTCTAGAGAAGCGAGGCTAGAGGGAGAGCTTGTTTGTTTGCAATGCACTGTACTGTTGACGGATAATTTCTTTTATATTGTAGTTGTCATTTTTTTGTTTATTCATTTGGGAAAATAATCTAGGGAAAAAAGTAAGCTTGTCATTCCAATATTCAAAGTTTGTGGTATTTAAAATTTGTTCATGTAAATATATCAACCAAATTTAAAGAGAATAAAGAAGAAACATGCATTTTGTAAAAGGAGCTTAAATGTAATATATGTATATTTTAAAACAGTTTCATATTGGGAAGTATAACTCTATGGACCTTTGGTTTTCGAACAATGTATTGGTTAAGACACCACTTGGGCTTTTCAGTAATGAATTAGCTGAATGCTTCCACGGATACATTCAACTATTTTGTCCACCTTGGCTACTGCTTCCAGACTAACAAATTTATAAGAAATTTAATTAGTAAGCAGAGTAGTTTTGTGTATTATAATTAGTTTATACTAGTCTTTAAATATATTCAGTTCCTACTAAATGAACTGCTCTTTATTAGTGGCATATCACTAACTACTACTATAAAACTTACAAGTAATGCTGATATGTTTAAGAACAGAAAGCCAAATCGAG
The DNA here is from genome assembly GCF_000001405.40 of Homo sapiens. Lineage (NCBI taxonomy): Eukaryota > Metazoa > Chordata > Mammalia > Primates > Hominidae > Homo > Homo sapiens. The sequence goes on from NC_000013.11 coordinate 104,933,904, forward strand.
AGTGAACTCCCATTCACAATTACTTCAAAGAGAATAAAATACCTAGGAATCCAACTTACAAGGGATGTGAAGGACTTCATCAAGGAGAACTACAAACCACTGTTCAATGAAATAAAAGAGGACACAAACAAATGGAAGAACATTCCATGCTCATGGGTAGGAAGAATTAATATCATGAAAATGGCCATACTGCCCAAGGTAATTTATAGATTCAATGCCTTCCCCATCAAGCTACCAATGATTTTCTTCCCAGAATTGGAAAAAACTACTTTAAAGTTTGTATGGAACCAAAAAAGAGCCCTCATTGCCAAGAGAATCCTAAGCCAAAAGAACAAAGCTGAAGGCATCACACTACCTGACTTCAAACTATACTACAAGACTACAGTAACCAAAACAGCATGATACTGGTACCAAAACAGAGATATCGACTAATGGAATGGAATAGAGCCCTAAGAAATAATACCACACATCTGCAACCATCTAATCTTTGACAAACCTGACAAAAACAAGAAATGGGGAAAGGATCCCCTATTTAATAAACTGTACTGGGAAAACTGGCTAGCCATATGTAGAAAGCTGAAACTGGATCCCTTCCTTACACATTATACAAAATTAGTTCAAGACGGATTAAAGACTTAAATGTTAGACCTAAAACCATAAAAACCCCAGAAGAAAACCTAGGCAATACCATTCAGGACATAGGCATGGGCAAGGACTTCATGACTAAAACACCAAAAGCAACGGCAACAAAAGCCAAAATTGACAAATGGGATCTAATTAAACTAAAGAGCTTCTGCACAGCAAAAGAAACTACCATCAGAGTGAACAGGCAACCTACAGAATGGGAGAAAATTTTTACAATCTACCCATCTGACAAAGTGCTAATATCCAGAATCTAGCAAACTTAAACAAATTTACAAGAAAAAAATCAAACTGCCCCGTCAAAAAGTGGGCGAACGATATGAACAGACACTTCTCGAAAGAAGACATTTATGCAGCCAACAGACACATGAAAAAATGCTCATCATCACTGGCCATCAGAGAAATGCAAATCCAAACTACAGAGAGATACCATCTCACACCAGTTAGAATGGTGATCATTAGAAAGTCAGGAAACAACAGGTGCTGGAGAGGATGTGGAGAAATAGGAACACTTTTACACTGTTGGTGGGGCTGTAAACTAGTTCAACCATTGTGGAAGTCAGTGTGGCGATTCCTCAGGGATCTAGAACTAGAAATACCATTTGACTCAGCCATCTCATTACTGGGTATATACCCAAAGGACTATAAATCATGCTGCTATAAAGACACATGCACACGTATGTTTATTGCAGCACTATTCACAACAGCAAAGACTTGGAACCAACCCAAATGTCCATCAATGATAGACTGGATTAAGAAAATGTGGCACATATACACCATGGAATACTATGCAGCCATAAAAAAGGAAGAGTTCATGTCCTTTGTAGGAACATGGATGAAGCTGGAAACCATCATTCTGAACAAACTATCACAAGGACAGAAAACCAAGCACCGCGTGTTCTCACTCAAAGGTAGGAATTGAACAATGAGAACACTTGGTCACAGGGTGGGGAACATCACACACTGGGGCCTGTTATGGGGTGGGAGGAGGAGGGAGGGATAGCATTAGGAGACATACCTAATGTAAATGATGAGTTAATGGGTGCAGCACATCAACATGTCACATGTATATATATACAACAAACCTGCACGTTGTGCAGATGTACCCTAGAACTTAAAGTATAATAAAAAAATTTTTGTCTTTCTAATGCTTTCTAGATATAGCATCGAGAATACTTTTGTATCAAATAAAGTGAAAAGAAAAGAGTCTTAAAAATATTAATAAAAGTGAAAAAATAATGAAGTAAAAATGAGGAAAATGAGTCTCACATTTCCAAATATAGGGTTCATCTATATCTACAGGCATAGCCTCAACTGGAATCAACACAGTCTTGCACTTCAAGTGATCTGGTAGGCTCTTGAGTTTCCAAAGATATCCTGATTTGCTTTAGATTATTTCTATGTAAAGTTTTTAAAATAAGTTAAATCAGCTTAAAAGTGAATGTATTTTGATTTTAAAGTTCATAAATCAAACAAATATTTCTTGCGATTCATTATTTTTATGTGCTAATTTGAAAATTAGAAAATAATAGGTATAATGTATTTAGATTTTACATGTCTTACTGTGAACTAAAAGTTTGACTTTAGATCCTTTTAATTTTCTTTTCTTTTTCAGAGCAAGCTGAATTGAAACAACTTTGTCTTTGTGAAACCCCACACAATTATCCATCTTGCCTTGAGATTAATTAGAGAAGTATGGTATTTGACAATGAGAATTTTCCTATCAATTTTTATATTTTCTATTAAAATTTTGGAAAGGTAGTGTAATAGTGACTCACTTAGAAATGTAGTCATTAATTTACACTTTTCATTTAACAGATCAAAACACATACTGCCTTATTTTCTGAGAATGTGGGAGGCTCTGGCCCTCAAGGAAGTTCTAACCATGGGATGGGACATAAATTCTGATTGTGTAAAAGTCATCTTTTACACAACAGGCTGTAGTTAGTATTTACTATTTCGTAATATCTCTTGGAACTGTAAGGCATGCAGTGACAATTTAATCTGGCCGGTGGTGTGGGGTTAATCCATCAACTCAACAGTCTTATCAATGTAAATCCTCAGTTGCTAATTTTCAAACTAGTGCTTACAATATAATATTTTCAAACTAGTGCTTACAATGTAATGAATCACAAGAAATATTTATTATTTTTATGGACTTTAAGCTGATTTACCTTAATCACTTTTAAGCTGATTTACCTTATTTTAAAAACTTTACGTAAATATAATCTACAATAAATAAATATATCTCCAGAAATTGAAAAGCCTACCAGATTACTTGAAATCTAAGTATACATTGATTCTGGCTAATGTTATGCCTATAGATATAGATTAACCCTATATTTGGTTATTTATTAAATCAATTTATGATACCATAAATATCACACAGTTCTTGAGTGACAACAGTAGGACCCAAACTGAAGCCCTTCAAATAAGGAAGTGATACGTTTTGTTAAACAAAATATAAAAATTGTATTCTTTCCTCCATTTTCAATGGTTGATACTAGTCAATTTTATTGATTTCACTAAACTAAAGAAGAAAAAAATGCATTGTTTTTATTCCTTTAATCCTTCCAGTTTCTGCTTATATTCCAAGTATATTTCTCCTAATTCTCCACAGGGTTACTTTCAGATGTACATTTTCAGGCCCTGGTAATTACCGTTTTGGAATCCATACTTCTATTCATGCCTGGCATAAAAAAAAAAAATCCTGAAATGAGCCACAGCTTTTTCACTGAGTTATTTTAATAGACTACAGTTTTCATTTCTATAGGTGTAAAGCCTAAGGAATTGAAAGAAGAAGTATTCGCATTCTTCAGCCTGTCTTACATGTAGACGGTATGTGTCCGGGACTCGATATTTTCAAAATCTTCTCAGCAATGGTGTGCCGTAACTGGTTACTATAATTTTTAGGACATCTCATATAGAAAACATACTCTTAGATGTAAAGGGTTAGAGAGAAGGCCAAGACTTTTTAAATTTCAGTCAAGTTGGGTGCACATATGCACCTGTGTGTGCATTTACTGTGTCAATGAGAACACATGTCTAGTGAGTACCTTTAGTGAGAGAGGAAATATATATCTACGTGTATACACACACACACACATATATATATGCACACACGCATGCACATATGTATGTATATGTATACAAACACACACATATACTCACACACACACATATATATCCTTGTACTTTTTTAACAAAATTGCCTCAAATTTTTATTAGCAAGAAAACTATGTAGGAAATGTCTATGTTTTAAAGGATAAAAAAGACTGAAACCTATGTCTAAGGAAGCATAATATATATGAGTTTTTTTCTGTCATTAATGGAGATAGGTCTTTAAATATTACATTCTGGGGAACCATTTATATTTTCTATTTCGTTAGTGCAATGAAAAAAGAACAAGATCCTGATAGTTACATCACTTTATTTTCATGAGGCTCCCTAACTTAGCAAACCCTGCCTTTTAATGAGTAAGCATCGAGCAGACTGCTGGTCTGAAGGTGACCTAGGTTCTGGAGGAATTTCAAGGCTCCATTTCACGGGCAACTGGAGACCACAAAGATGGCCATGTTAACGTAATTGATATCCAACGGAGTAGGTATGTTCACGGCTTTTAGAAGGGTATTACTTGCTGTTAGACTGTAGAAGAATTCAGCCTGAGAGAGCAGAATGTTGTTATCGGGAGGTGCAGGCAGCCTGGATTTAAATGAGGTCCAAAAATAAATAAATAAACAAGGTCCAAAGCAGCCCAGATTCCTGAAGCCAATGCGTGGGTTCTTGTCATGTATATATTGTATCCTGTATTTTGTGTTTCAACACCCTCTGCAAACATCACATGCAGGCTGCATACATTGAGTCTGATTTCCCTTGCTGATTCTATTTCCTCTTGGTAGGAAGTCAGACACTTAGGGAGATATTTGTTTTTCATATGAGGCTACATCATATTGAAATGACTAAGACTATCAAGTCACATCAGAGCAAATCAGCAGAACGCAGAGGCTCTGGGAGTAAAGGTGAAGTATGGTAAAGATTAGGCTGTGCTCCTTTCTAATCTGATTTTTTTCACTCCATCCTTCTCTGTGTCTGGCATAGTGTACTGCTCAAGATTAAGGTTAAATAAATATGTTTTGAACTGATTGAATAGATATTAAATAAATCCATGTAGAATGAAGGAATGAATAAACACATGAATAAATCCTTCCTTCTGTGTGGATGCAACCCTGGAAATGATTATTTTGCTGCATAAAAAATAAAAGAACACGCTGAAGGAAAGATCTTATTGAACCTAGGATGGCTTCATATGTACAAGGTATAGAATAGAACAATTTTCCTTTCTGTCTGTCAAATTTCTATTCTATCTGTGTAGGTCTTATTGGGAAGCTAAGAAACTATCAATATAACTGTTGTTAAGTTGATAAACAGCATTATTAAAGTGTCGGTCTTGATATACATTCTAGTAAATAGTCTTACTAATGACTTGTAAGAAATAGTTGATTTATCAAATGGTGTTACTGTATTTATGAAAAAAATAAACACATAAAAATAATATTGAAAATGAGCTTTGGAAATTAAAAATATTCCTTTTCAAAATTAAATGAAGACAGTATTGGAAAACATTAGAAAAAACTGAAAAGTGCTACATTTGAGGATAAATATATCCCCAGTCACAAACTAATAGGAAAAGTGGTTGGCTAGAAATATAAGATCTCTGTGTCAAAAAATTTATGTCATCCCTGCTTGTATGAAAAATAAAGAAAAAATACAAAATAATAGCAGATTATATAAAACAAGAAAATGGTATTATAGTACCCAGTGGTGCTTATTTTCCACTTATGTAGAGTATTCTATGTTCGTCCTACAGAGAGATTACAGGAGGTCACAAACGATGAGGGAGGAAGCTCTGAGGCCAGGCCCAGACTTTGCTCACAGTTCCAACCTTACTAACTGTGAGGCCTCAGCCTTACTAAAATTTTCTGTGCCTCAGTTTCAATTTGTATGCAAGAAGAAATGTATTAGTACCTATGATATGGTTATAATAAAAATTTTATTATTTATTCCTAATAATAAGTAAAAATGTTTAGTATAGTGACTATGTGACATGGTTTGGCTGTGTCTCCACCCAAACCTCATCTTGAATTGTCATTCCCATAATCCCCACGTGTCATGGGAGGGACCAGGTGGAAGTAATTTAATTATGGGGTGGTTACCCTCATGCTGTTCTCCTGATAGTGAGTGAGTTCTCACAAGATCTGACGGTTTTATAAGGGGCCTTTCCCGCCTTTTACTTTCATTCTTCTCCTTGCTGCTGCCTTGTGAAAAGGACGTGTTTGCTTCCTCTTCTGCCATAATTGTAAGTTTCCTGAGGCCTCTCCAGCCCTGCAAAACTGTGAGTCAATTAAATCTCTTTCCTTTATAAATTACCCAGTCTTGAGTATGTCCTTATAGCATCATGTTAACAGACTAAAACACTAGGTTTAAAAAAATTAACAGTATATATTTTTATCATTTTAAAAGCATATAGGAAGACATTGATTATGAAAACTAAAATAGTTATTTGAGAAAATAGAAAACATAATTAGACTTATTGAAAATTGAACTGTTATATTAGAGGAAATATGAGTATCCAATTCTGAAACCAGTAATAAAAATCAGATTATTATTTTTAAGAGTATAATATTATATGATTTGATACTTTTTTAATTCTAAATATCTACCGCAGGACAAATTATGACTTGTCTTAGGTATTAATAACAACAGATTTGTGTTGTGTATACAGATAATATATAATTGATAGTCTGGTAAACATAATATAAACTTCACATTAAATTGCTGGAATATTTATAATTATAAAAATTAGAATTTCACATTTTCAAAAAATAATTTAACAATAGTAGTAATAATAATATCTAACACATATATAACAATTCTTATATGGCATGGACTCTTTTAAGCACCATATTTATGTCATCTGAATGACAAAATATTGATTTAATGATCTTTCTACTGAGTTCCACAATTTAGTTCATAGATTGTAATTTAGAATATTCAAAGGCTTCATGCAATTTCAAGGAAAATTGAACAGAATTACATATGGCTTACAGAAAATGCTCAAATAGGCTTCCGGGTACACATGCATAACAAATGCAAGCCTTATTGGGAATTAATAGTCTAAAGTAGGTGACATTGCTGTGGATTACATAGCCTTGAGAGCCCAAATAATTTCTTTCAGGTCAAGTCTTGTAGTAATTTGCACGGCTTCCTTCAAAGACTAATTATTTCAACACAAAACAAGATAGTTCAGAGCTAAAGTAATAGTTAACATATTGCTTAATTCTGGCTTGGACCCTTCTTAACACTTATGTCTTCTTTTTTAAAAGATTAGTAGACTGCCTGAAACAAATACATTTTCATGAGTTTTTTTTTCTCCCCAAAACTCTGGATTTTTAGAGTGTCCAAGACTAAAATCAACTATTTAGGAGATTTACAATATATAAAATAGCATTGTATAGAGAACTAATTGCTGGTTTTCTTGTAACTATGGTAGTGGGCACTCTGGCTTCAAGCTGTTTATCTCTTCCTGAAATAAAATGAAAAGATATAAAATTCCTGCAACTCAGAAAACCTATAGGATTGAATGCCAAATGACTCTTTTGACCCTCACTGGCACATATATTTTCTTCTTTATGTCATCGAACCTGACACATATCAGATTAATCACTCCATTTCTGGGAAACAAAATGCTTCTTATCCTTATTATGACATTTGAAATGCGGTAAGAAAAAGCTGAAAAGGTAAAGGAAAAAGAGCTGCTATTAATTTTGAAGGGAAATACATAATCATTACCATCATTTCTTTGGGTAGCATATAGTTAATAAATGATTTTCAGTACTTCTTGACTACAGGCATTCTCTATGTTAGATTAGGAAGAAGAAAAGAGGGAAGGATGGAGGAGGAGTGGGGAGGAAGAGGAAGTAGGAGTGGTAAAAAAGGGAAATGGTGAGAGAAAGCAGGAGGGAGGGAGAGAAAGAAAGAAAAGAGATAAAGAAAAGAAAGAAACAAGAAAAGAGAAAAAATGACAGGTTAAAGCAAGAATTCACCTAATGTATTTAACAACATATCATAGAACTTCTTTCCAGCCGTTTGCCATATTTTGGGAAACTCATTCTGAAATAATTTCAGCGTTTTTTGGTTCTTCCTTTCATTAATTCTTAACCGTCTGTTTCTTTTCTAGCAGTCAGATGTATATACTCAGATGAATGCTTCAGAAATTTAAATCATTCTTTGCATTATTTTTATCTGTTGAATTTTGAAGTGGGATTATAATTCTTATCATTTTGCTTCTTTAATCAATGGATTCTCGATTCTAAAGTTTCGATCCATATACAGAGGAAAACATGATTAAGTTTCTGTGCTGATGAGTTAGCTGTAGGCAGCCTTAAGGGCCTTGGAGAGCTACCTGAGTTCCAATAAACTGCTGGGTTTATCCTCTCCACTTTGTCCTGTTGTGACAAAGGCTCCTAAACCGGTGGCATTTGCTGTTGTCATCGATTTCTTTTTTGGTGAATTCTGAGTTTGGGAATAACACTCACCTTCTTCCTTGAAAAGCAATTATTTTATTATTTGGGTAGAAATGTATCTGCATGTAAGTATAGCATTTGTTTAATCAAGTAAACCTGAAAAGCACCACCTTCTTCAAATATAACCAAAGAGCTAATAAATCACTGCTGTCACCACTTATGAAAATATTAACTTAATAAGGGGCAGAGACCATACCCATATACATCTTATCTAATTATAAATACACATTTATGAACAAATATTATATGTGTACTATATTTTATTGATTCCTCAAACAGAAAATTATTTTTTTTCATAATTAATCACAAGAATCATGCTTTTCAATCTTCTACATGCATATGAATAATGTGGGGATCCGTTTAAAATACAGATGCTGTTTCAGTGGCTTTGGAGTGGGGCCAGAGAGTCTCTATTTTTAAAAAGCTACTTAGTAATATGGAAGCCACTGGTTTGTAGAACTATTTTTTAAGTAGCAAGGTGATAGAGTGCCCAAATGCATTGTTAATTGTTTTCCTTTTGAGGCTTCCGTTTTCTACAGTCATCTTTAAATGTATTTAGGCAAAAAGGGATTGCTTGTAGTGAAAGGCATAGAACTGCCTGGAAATGTGAATTCCTAGGGACCCTTACTTCTGCTTCATTCTGTCGTGTTGTTTTCTCTGAAGGCGACTCCTCCATGGTCCCGTGCCTGACTTCATGGATGGTTCAATGCTGCAGTTCGTCCAGTTCATGGACACTAGTGCATAGTTCTCTGAGTTTACACTCATGGACTTTCTCCAACGCAAAACATGATTCAAGGATAAATGAGTGGAGTAGAGCTGTCAGCCTTGGCTAGAGACTGTCCCCAAACTGCCCATACTCCCTCCCCTCCTAACACACAACCTAAAATTCTTAGTACCTTCTCTGAGCCCAGACCTTCAGTCCAAATAAACAAAATAATAATAACAACAACTTTAAGGGTCACTTAGGTCTCCCTCCTCCAGGAACCAGCTATGCTTACCGAGAGATTGAGGCAGGCTGGACTTCCTCAGAAGGAACTGATTGCCCAGGGTTTGTATAAAAAACACCACTCAACTCACCCTTCCACTTCACAGAAGATGATTTTTTTCCTCAGGTAACAATAAAAAAGAAAAATCCATTTGCGGAGGTTGTACTATCTTTCAGAGCGATTGATTGATTGTTCAAGTTGTATTTGTGTTACTCCTTACTGCGTAGATATTTATTCTTATTCTGTTCCTTACCAGCTAATACCATGAAAAGCTTACTTTTCTAAATATTTTTCCTGTGGACTATTAAATCTGGTATTTTATTCGTTTACTTTTTCATTATAAGTTGAGAGTGGCTGTTGAATTACAAGACTCTTTCTCTAATTTAAACCACATGGGAGCACTAAATGGGAAACATCCTAACAAACATAACAGCAACAAAACAACATGAGAAAGGCCGTAAAACTTCTCCCTTTGGAAAAACAGGGTTTATTTTTATACAGATCATGAGAGTGATTTATAACAAAACACAATGTATCAGTAATTGATAATATATAGAGATAAATTCTCATTGAACAGGAATGTAGACTTCTTGTACCATCTTTAAAGCATTCAAGCCCCTATTCAAGAGTTAAGAAAAACAAAAGTTGTTAAATGTAATGAAAATGCCTTGTCTGGTAGGCATATTTTTTAGTGTTCTTTCAAAAACAAAGCACATGTGAAAAAATGTAGGCAGTCTTTGTTTTATATGCATTGGTCATTAAATTTCTCATGCTGTAAATAGGAACCTGCCAAGGATGTTAGTTGAGCTGAATGGGTTCCAGATTTTTCTTTTGTTATTATTGCTTACTACTCTTTATCTTTAAAAATTTTTAATAAATCGATTTTTTATATCTGAGTCTATTTAGCTGTATTCTCGCCATGCAAAACTAGCACACACACAAATGCAGAAATAAAAACTTCATTGAAGTTCATTCTTTTACCTCTATTTTTGAGTCAGAAATGTCCTAACAATTAATAAAATAAGACTAGGGAAATGTTAGTATTCTAGCTTATGCAATGTTTATAAAAACACTAGTATTAGAATTAGTGACATGATATAGTTTCAGTGCTGAGAATATTAGACCCCTTTTTTGTTAGATTGAATAAGGGTTAATCATGGGGAGAAAACACACACAAACCCCAGCTGCATCACTAACAGATGAAGCATGTGCTTCTGAAGGAAGGTCTACAGCTGTGATCGATTCCAGCCGTTACTGGGATCCATAGGCTTAGGCACATACTAAAGATGGGATAAAAGGATTCCAAAATGTGTTGCTCCCTCTGATCATTAATCTGCTTGTTTAGTCATGAACATTTTGATATTTTACTATGGTTCTTTTTTTTTTTTTTTTTTTTTTTTTTACAGAACCTTCTCTTAATTCCTTGCAAACACAGAGGAAAATGTCAAGTGAATACAAAAGGAGTATTTTATTTTTTATATTGTCTGAAAGGAATGTTGCCAAGTTTGACGATTCAAATTGTTGTTCAAACTCTACTTTGAACAACAATTTACATTTAAACTCAGATTTACTAAGTACTGTCAACTATGGCAAATCTACGTGAATGGCCCAGTTATATTTCTTTGGAGTTAGATGATTTTCTTCCTAAATAACCTAGAAATATTTATATTTGTATTCTCCACCTCCTTGTTTTTTGGAGAGAGTACATTGAGTCTAGAAGATAAGTGAAGATTCTTTTCATCGACATTACATAGATGTAGTAAGATGTGTCTGACAAAAAGGAGGCAAAATGATATTTTAATTTTAAAAATGTAAGCATTTCATGGCAAACAAAAATACAAAAATATTCAGAATGCAGAAAGAAGTATAACATTGAATTTGACAATTGATTGTCTGGCAAATTGAAAATTATAAAAGGAAAAGCAATTAATAGAAAATCATAAAGGTCAAGCTTTATGAATTTTAATTCAATAAGATAAAAATGGAAAGCTCCTGTACAGCCTCAGTGCATAGTTAAAGGTGGGGGCTGGTCATTACATAAACACCTAGGAGAATTGTTTTGGCTTTGTTTCTAAGAATAAATCATGCAAGAACAAACCAGAAAACAGCTGTATCACGTATCACTTATTTAGTTTTATTTCTCTCTTACACTTCTTCCCAAGGGTGTTGTATTCCAAACAAAAACAAAATTGAAAGAGAAAAGTAAGTATGAAAAAAACGAGGGAAGAAATGTGAAAGAAAAGAAAAATGGTAGTGTGGTGTGAAGACATAAATTACATGAAGACATTCTATAGGTGACCTACAGTGATGTGGCAGATACTGATGCCTCAGATTAAAAGACATTAAAACTTAGTTTGAAAGGACTGCTGAAAATAAAAAAGTAGGACAAAATTGTGAAGCATGTTTTCTAACAAATTAGATGGAATTGGTAAAATAATACTGTGCACTAAAAGAGATACACAATTAGGAGGATAATCATATAGAGAGCTTTACTCTGAATGTGTTGGTTTAAAAAATCTTCCTGTCTTTACTATGATCAGGCATGTTAGATTAGAGCTTAATGCTCTAGGAAAGTATAAAATTAGAACTCAGCCAAATGGAGAAAGCAGAAGAATATAGAGAAGCTAGATGCTAGGGCAGAATGGAAGACAATACAGGTTCTTAAAAATAAAGTTTTAGAATAATGAAATAAATATTTGAATTATGTTTAAATTAAATATTAATTGGAAGAGAAACTACCTAGAATTGTAGAAATAAAAGCATAGTAAAGAGTCAAAATTTTAATGTACATGGGACTTAAAATTGGTTAATACTATTTTCTTTCATAATGGGGAGAAAATGATTTTACCTGCTTTTATATTTAATAATAAAACACTTATTAAAAATTGTATCCGTGATCAATAATTGGACTCCAAACATAATTGGGAACAAAATTTAAGATGGGACAAAAACCCCACAGTGGTCAAGATAAATAATATTTGATAAATATTTTAAATCTCAAAATTAGTACAAAATATTCATGGTAAACAGAATATCAACACAGACCAGTGTAAATACGTTATTTCTCCCTGGCTCTCACTTTCTTAAATATCACCTCTTTGAGCTCTATATAGAAAGTTCAGTTGATCTTTGTTGATTTTTACTGTTTGATTTTGTTTTTTTTTTTAATTTAAAAGCAAACTGAGATTGTTTTCTATGAATAATTTTGACAGGAAAGACTCTAATATCCTTATATTCAGTTTTTGAAAGCACAGAAAATGTGGAATCTGCTTTTTAACGTGATACCTATGCTGAACAATCTTCAGAAGACTGTTTTATTATCATGTAGTTGATAACACTCAGTCAGTACTGTATTAAATACATTCTGGAAAGAGGTTAGTGCATGGACATACAGGTGGTACACACACATGCACAGGTGGGCATGCATATGTAATTCCATTGTTAGAGTATTGCGTATGGCATTTTTTATAATGAATGTCTACATTTTACCAATAATTAATGTCCCAGTAATAAATGACATAACCTTGTAATTTTCATCATCAAAGAAATTACCACGTTTTGGTAGTAAGATTGATTAAATTTGGTGTTTCTCACTTTTTGCCCTAGAGAAATGAAATGAAGATATGATCAGTTCTTAAGTTTTACTATTCCTTATGACAAATATTATTGGAATGATATTATATATGTAAGAAAAAAAAGAAATCTATGCACAGCAAAGGCAAAGGAAGAACATGGGAATTTTTTTCAATTACATTCCCCATAGACTTGATTAAAATTGGACATTAAATGTTGGTGAAGGGAGATTTAATTGCTGTTGCTGTGAGTGTTATTAATCCAATATTATAGCAATGCAAATATTTGTCTATCAACATGAGTTCATTTTAATTGAAAAAGACCATAATGAGGCAGCAGTTCTTTTCTTCAACTGAAAGAGAAAAAAAACTAAAATTAGTATTGTGATGATAATGGTACTGAAAATACCACTCACTGGGATGACATATTTTCTTTCAATTATTGTTAGTAAAACTGGAGTAATAGTAAGATCCCTTCGTAAAAACAAACCATGGTTTATGTTTCATGTTAATCACTGAATTAAAGAAGTATTTGTATTGAAATGTAATGTGACTGTTTTTTCCAAGTTACTATAATTGATTAATGCAAACATATGCAATACCATTTGCCACTTTTATATGGATTACTTGAGAGTCGAATACAGCTACAATTAAGTTATTGACTGGATGATTAAAGAAAACCTAAACTATCAAGTGGTTTTAGTTGACAAGATAAATCTTCAACTAAGATAAAAATTCCACCACAAGATGAAGAGAGTTAATTCAAAAATTCAAAAGCAATTATTGATTTCCTTTTGATGCTAAGCACTGCAATAAGTCCTGAGTCTGAAAAGAGCAGTAAGTCTCTGCTTTTAAGGAATTCACAATTTCTCATTTGCTTTGTTACTGTATCCCATATCCCTCTACCAGGTTCTTTACCATCATTATTGCTTTTAAGGAAACTTTATTTTAGTTACTTTATTGAAGTTTTAAATTCAAGAACCCAGAGTTGGTGGCAAAGTGAAAGAGTATTAAGGGAGAATATTTACTTAATTAGGAGAAACAGAAATACTTTAGATCTGTTGTAAGAGACTCAGGAGTAGGAAAGAGCTGTATGTTGTGCTTTTCAATTATGTGTTTTAGAATTTTTCATGTTGCTTTGCATTGAATTGTTTTGATTTGATGCTTTGCAACCCCAGTGTTACTGGGGTACACAATGAATATTGTCTACTAACACATATATATGCAAGTATTCACCTCCATTGCTTCATTTTGGAGACTTTTTCAGAAGTAAATAGAATATGGATTCTTTACCCCAAACTAAAACTTACTGAAATAACTTTGAGAGTTGTAATAAAATTGGTTTCAGTGTTGACTTTCATCATGCATTATTCTAGCTCTCTCTTTCCTACAGGTAACACTCTGGTTTGAATATTGGAGTTACATTTTTCTAAAAAATTTTCATGTTCATTGTACTCAGGTAGAAGTTTTCTTGCTATTATAGCCTGAAAATCTATTTGACTTCTGCTTTTCTGGAAAAATGCTTGAAAAAGGTACATTCAAAGGTGACAAAGATTGCACAAGCAAGCATGGCTATTTTTTAAAAAGTGACAATTCTATAATATTTGATGAGAAATCAAATTAGGAATTGACTAGGTGAAATTGAAATAAATATTTGGGTAATATAGGAAAAATCTTCAAATAATGCTGACATTACCTATACTTAATTTCTATAGTTTGCTTCATTCTGTAGGCAAAGCAAATTATTATATTATTTGGAACACTCTGAGTAAATCTCAGTGACAGAAATCAGAGTATATAGAATAAATTATACTTATATATGTGGGTGTATATACATTTATGTATATGTATACACACACACACATAGTCATGCATAAGGACATATTTCAGTTAATGATGGACTGCATATTTAATAGTGGTTGCATACAATTATAATGGATCTGAAAAATTCCTGTGGTCTAATGATATAGTCATCATAAGATTATAACACAACACATTATTCATATGTTTGTGGTGATGTTGGTGTAAACAAACCTGCACTATCAGTCATATAAAAGTGCAGCATATACATTATATACAGTGCATAATCCTTGATAATGGTAACAAATGACTATATTACTGGTTTGTGTATTTACCATACTATATTTTTTACCATTATTTTAAAGTGTACCTTTTCCACTTAGGAGAAAATTGTTAACTGTAAAATAGCCTCGGGCAGGGAAGGGACCCAGAAGATAGCATTGCTATAGGAGATGACAGCTTCTTGTGTGCCATTACACCGGAAAACCTTCCAGGGGAACAAGATGTGGAGGCAGAAACAATAATGGTGATAATCCTGACCCTGTATAGGCCTAGGGTGGTATGTGTGTTTGTGTCATGGTTTTTAACAAAATTTTAAAAAGTAAAAAATAAAAGTTAAAAATTTAAAGTAGAGAAAAGCTTATAACATGAGGATATAAAGAAAGAAAATATTTTTGTCCAGGTTACAATGTGTGTTTTAAGCTCAGTGTTATTACAAAATAGTAAAAAAAAGTTTACAGAATTAAAAAGTGTATAAAGTAAAAAAGTTACAGTAAGTTAAGTGTATGATTGAATAAAAACAATTTTTATAATAAACACGGTATAGCCTGTATGTACAGTGTTCATAAAGCCGACAGTCATGTCCCAGGCCATCACAACCACTCACCACTCACTCACTGACTCACTGAGAGCAACTTCAGTCCAATTAACTTCATACATGCTAAGTTCCTAGACAGGTCTACCATTTTTTAATCTTTTATGCCATGTTTTTACTGTACCTTTTCTATGTTTAAATATGTTTAAGCACATGAATGCTCACCACTGTGTTACAATTGCCTCCAGTATTCAGTCCAATAACATGCTGTACACGTTTGTAGCCTAGGAGCAGTAGGCCGTATACCACATAGCCTAGGTGCTAGGCTATCCCATCTAGGTTTATGTAAGTACACTCTTTGATGTTAGCACAAGGACAAAAATCACCTAAGGACACATTTATCAGAACACGTCTCTGTCACTAATTGCATGTCTGCACAAGGCTTATTGTCTAAAATTTCCAAAATTTTGACTCAATATATTCAAAAAAGGAGTTATTTGCAGCAATTGCATCCACTTTCTTTAGTGCCTTTATGTTTACTTCAATGCCAATTGCACAAAATTCTTCCACAAGTCTATATTACTGTTGAAAATGTCTTAAGGAAGCCATATATTTCATTGTATTGCCCCTGAAAAATGTGGGCTCTTTGAAAGCAAAATTCATGCTTTCACCCTGTATGGAACTCACGGTCTTTCCCAGGGACTGCATAAGCCTCCTCAGTACCTGATAGGAGTCTAAAGTCTGCCCAAGGAATCAATCAGTCATTTGCTAAGAAGGGGGAATAGAAAGTGAAACAAAAAGAATGAGGCTGGCAATTTTTTATAAGATTGTGGCATGGATTGATATTTATACGACTTTTTGACAATGCTACACTGTTTTGGGAAAGAATTTTATGTAGCCCAACTGCCTCCACATTTGTAATGTTCGGCATCTCTAAGACTGGGCAGGTTACCAGGTCACAGTTCCGTGACATCTGAATAAATTTCATAACCAGCTGGGGAATAGTTCACTCTTGGTTGATCCCGTAGTGGACGGTCTCTATTTATGGTTAAAAATGGAGGACAATAAATTATTTTGATTTAGTAGTTATGAGTTTAAAGTGCGCAATTTATTGTATTTTTTCTAGACCCGTAGAATAACTTCTTTTGATCCTACTAAAATCTCTTCCCTGAGGAAAAGAAATGTAGTAAGAGTTGGAAATGGACATTGGCCTTGGATAGAGACTTCTGTTTTCTAGGATGTGAGCATTATGCCAAACTTTGCTAACCTGGGTGGTCATTTTCAATGTGGACATTTTTCCAAGGAAGTAGACCGAAACCACTAAACATATTTGCTCCATGAGCTAAACCACAATAAAACAGAGGTCTCCTGTGTATAGCTTTCCTCACCCTTTGAATACAGCTCATTCTGACTTTACTTCCATAAGAAGCAAATTCCCTTTAGAAAGTTTCTCTTTGAAGGTTAAATGTAGTTGTGTAAGTGTGTGAATGCCTGTGTATCCAAATGCAATTACATGCAAGTACCTGATTAAATGATGAAATGACCATTTCTTCGGGACAGTTAAGTGTCCTCTGAGAGTTGAGGCATGCCAGACCCCCAGACTCCAGCTGGAGGATCAGTCATCACCTATCTATTGTAAATGTGAATGCATGAAACAGGCAAAATTTTGAAGTGTTATAAACCATTCATAGTAAGATTCCAAAAAATGTAGTGCTGTTGTTCTAGATGTCTATTTGAAAACAAAGTTTAGTTTTTCTGGCATTCTTACCGTTGTGACTGTCCAACATCATTTCAGACACTATACCTAATGCAGTATTTCCTTTGTCTTCATTTTTCTTCCTGTATGAAACTAGGGCTCTGTCCTTTAACCAAAGTGAAAAGGACCATGGATTGTTAGGCCAGAGAACCTACGCATCACACACAGTGGAGCGAAGTGAAATAGCTCATGAGAGATCATGATTGGCAGGCAGCAGGCCAGGAGAACCTTGATCTGCTGCTTGGCCTTGGCTGTTAGTAGCATGCCCAGCTGACTTCAAGGCAAGAGAGCATCTCATCACCACATTCCCCCTTTCTATTCCATTTGGAGGAGAGTAAAACTTTTTAAAATTTAGCATCCTATTTACATAGCACCAATGACATGATTTTTCTGCCTAATTCTGAGAAGTCAATAAAATAATCCAAATATCATGTAATTATCTATTTCTTCAGTGTACTTGGGCAGATATTTCTCCTCTTTTTGGTTCATTTGGTATATTTACATATCTATATCTATCCAGTTAGCCATATATAACCCAAAATGTACAATACTTTTCATTTCTTAAGACGCAGGTGATATATTTTAGTTTGACATATTCCCCCAAAATGTATGTACTATCTTGGATATGAAAGTTATATAAAATTTGAGTTCAAGGTGAATGTCATACTGACTTATTCTGTGAAACTGAAGAACTGCTCTCCCAGCTGCCACATTGTCCTAAATAGAATGAATCTGGTCATGTTCCTAGACGGTGCATAGAGGGGAAATTGCTCTGAAGCTATGCTGTGATGGGCAGGGCTAGAGAGACGTTCTGCTTGCAGAATTAGATATGTAAATTGACACAACCATAGGTAGTGATGATTTATCCCTGGTGATTTTAAAACTTAGATGTAAAACGAATCTACTGCATATTAATAGAAATTATATGTATTGCCTTGTTTAAAACAAAAATTGGTGTTTGTATTTTTAGTAAATGCAAATATTTTATACAACTAATTACAATATATGCTCATAATCAGATTTTATAAATGACATTTTATTCAATAGTATATATTGGACAACTGCACCTTTACAAACCCGTATGCACGTGATGTTAAATACTTAGATATCTTTGTATCATTTTACATTAAAATAAATGTTGAAGAGAAAGCCAATGAACTGAAAAGTTGAATCAATTTTAAAAGAATTACATGTTCTGCAAAACAGTAAATCAAGTAATAACATTCTAAAATTAGTTTATTTTGTCAGAATAAAAATCACGATTTTCTTCCTTAGTTTTTACCTACTATGCAAAAAGAGCCAATTTAGATCCTTCCATGATATCAATAACCATGTTGTAATTGGTGATTCTGCATGTAGAAAAAAACAAAGAGCCAAATCAATACCTGGGCAATAGAAAGTGACTTTGGTGGTGGTGGACATAATTCCCATTCAAATGGGTAAAGCAGCTCAAGGCAAAGACTATTTAATTATTGCCAGTGATGACAAATTGACCTGAACTCTACTTGTATCACATCGTCACAGCTCTCAGATTGCTGGACTGTATTGCTTCTTAATCTTTTCCAGAAATGGCAGAGTGGAATGATTTTAAGTTATTTAAACACAGGTACCTATAATTGTCTTAGAGTTTCTACTGTTCACAGAAGCCTATAGACCAATTATTATATGATCACATGAGCTTTTCTAAAACCATTTGTTTCCTCTTGTGTAATCATTCTGTAAGCATCAAAGCAGCCATAAGTATCAACCAATGATTGCTCCTCCCATTCACCACGCCCCACCCTGTCTCACATCTCACTGGTTACATCTGCAGTTCAGTGATCCAGGGAAATAAATGTTGGAAAAGAGCAATGAAATAGTCATGATAGTTCCACTTATTGAAAATAGTACTACTTCTCTCTAAATTAAGTGTGTAATTGGCAAGACTTATGTATACTCTCATAGGGATTAGTTTTTATTGATCTAATTAGGATGAAGCTTGGGAATGACTTGCCAGTCACCCTGATAGAGCAGCAGCTGCACATTATTATTTTCTTCAAACAGAAAATGGCATTAGTGGGTGAAAATAAAGCATGATATTCCAAACTTATGCTCTGTTACTGAAGGAAGAGTTTGTGAAACCAAATATCATGTTCTGATGGAAAGAGCTGTTCAGGATTTAAATTTTACCTTCTTATCAATAAGATGGGAAAAGAGGTTTCTGCATTTTATTTTCGATGGCAAGTATCATTGCACTGTTAGTGAAAGCTATATACATTTGCAGGAGACATTGTAAAATACATATAATTGTAAATCAGCCTTAAATAACTCAATTTTACCTGAAAAGACAGGTTCCTTTGCCTTTGTAGTTGATTTTAATATCTCTTGATTTTTTTTCTTTCATTCCGATCAAAGGTAGCAGAAAGAATTTCTAACAAATGTTTGCCTTCCCATGTACAAGTCAATGTTGTAGATTATCAGCAGGAATTATACTCCTAAAACAATTAGAAAGAAATGGGCAAAGATGTTTTTTATCTAATGAAATCACTACGCACAGACAATGGGTCTGAACATATTGACCCAGTTATTAGGCTAGGCCCTGTGAACACATGTGGCCGCATTCACTGATCAAACTCCATTAAGATAGTCTTACTGATTTATCCCTGGGCAATGATGAACATCCATGGACACTGAGTCAATATTTTGAAGAAGATTATAGGATAAAGTACTGGCCTTTCGTTTTTAAGATTGCATCAATTTTGAGCCATGATTCAAAGTCTCTAGCCCTGAATAAGTAGAGCTGAACTCCAAAGTACATCTTGGTACAGTTAAGATGATGAAATTAATTGGCTGAGGTTAAAGTTGTACTCATTTAAACAGAATGCAAAGAAAATACTCAGCTTGTGAGATCTTTAATGAGGACTTCTGGCATTTGAAAATGTAAAATCCAATATAAACATACATTTGTTTTTTATTATTTTTCAAAATATATTTCTGCATTTCTATTTCTGACTGATATGAAATTTATTAGCAGTTAATTTGATTAAATGTGAAAGCTGTTATATAACAATGTGCTGATATTATTTTTCTCTCCATGAAAGTTTCATTTTAATTTATATGCTCAATAACCTTTTTTTCCTTAGGATTGTTGTAAAATTTCTAATATTTGTATGATTTAGATTAATATAAGATCAAGGAAATTATTTTGTTTGTTCCTACTGTAATAGTATAGCTCAATGTTCTCTCTCTCTCTCTCTGTCTCCACATACACACACACGCATGCCTAAATATATATTGCTTTCTTTCACTTTTATTTCTCAATGTTATTGTGAAATGTGCAATTGAATTATAGAACTTTTTGTTTGAGTCATTTTGTTTTTCTTTCTTTATTGAGAAATAGTCTTGTTTGTTTATTGAGAAATAATCTTGCAGATCAGGAGGTCAGGAGATCGAGACAATCCTGGCTAACAATCTTGTTTAATCTATTGAGAAATAATCAGAACCTATGGTCTGATAGTTCATAAGAGGAAAATGCAAGTCTAAAAGAATACTTATAGCACATTCTGATAAATGAAAATAGTTTCCAAGTTTCTTTTTATGCCTATGTAAGTGCAAGTCCCCTTTAGAGGGAAGGGGTAATTGAGCGGTTTAGGGAAGAATCAGTAAGAGTTTGTCAGCCAAGAAGTAGGGAAGGTGACCCAGGACAGAAAAAGTGCAACATCTGAAGTGGGATCGTACAAGGACATGGCCACATTGTGGCTGGTAGTCGAAAAGGGTGATAACTTCAGTGAGGTATGTGGGGCCTGATCACAGAGGTCTTTCAATGCCTTATTAAGGTGATTGAATTATACTCAGAAAACAATGCACAATAGCTGAGGTCTTTTAATCAATGAAAGGACATATTCAGGTTTATTTTAGGGACAATAAACTTGTCAGCAACATGTGCAGCAGACAAAATCTAGGGAGCCTGGCAGCCTGGAAGACCGTTGAGGAGGTTGTAAAAATAGTGCAGGCAAGAGATGGGGAAACTACAGTATTTCTCTAGCTTTAAGGAAAGATTATGATGATAAATTGGAGAGATCAAATTCGGATACGTGTGTTTGTAATAAATAGATTTTGGTAATAAATCTAAATTTAGAAGGGAGGGAGAATAGCTGGGTGATGAGGACATAAAGTGACAATGGAAATGTGTGATAAATACCAGGTCTCATGGAGGAGGAAAGGAAAATACAGTGGATTAGTGTAATTACATGAGTGCTGGCTGGGCAGCCAAGGGTCGAGGTCCAGGACTGGCTCTCAGGAGAGATGCTTCAGGGGGACTAGAACTGAAGGAGGGCAGTCGTCAGAATGTAGAATGGGAGTGGAAATTCTCAGAACAATTGTTATCCTGAGACAGTGGTACCACATACGGAAGAGCAGAGCTGAGAACCCGGGTGGGCACACTGTTCAAGGCCAGGGAAAGAAAGCAGACCAACTCAAAAGTCCGAAGTGTGCTAGAAATGGAACCAAGAGAATGGTGCAGTGTAATCTCCGAACGAAGGAAACTCCAGGGGAACAGAGGCTTTCAGCTTTCAGGAATAATGTAAAAAATAAAAATTGGGCCGGGCACGGTGGCTCACGCCTGTAATCCCAGCACTTTGGGAGGCCGAGGCGGGCGGATCAGGAGGTCAGGAGATCGAGACCATCCTGGCTAACAAGGTGAAACCCCGTCTCTACTAAAAATACAAAAAATTAGCCGGGCGTGGTGGTGGGCGCCTGTAGTCCCAGCTACTCGGGAGGCTGAGGCAGGAGAATGGCGTGAACCCGGGAGGCGGAGCTTGCAGTGAGCCGAGATCGCGCCACTGCAATCCAGCCTGGGCGACAGAGCGAGACTCCGCCAAAAAAAAAAAATAATAAAAATAAAAATAAATACAAAATAAATAAAAATAAAAATTGGCCGTTGTTTCTGGTCACGAGTGACTTCAGGATGACAGGTTTCAATAGAGCAGTGGTTGTGACCTTCAGAACATTTGGCAATATTTGGAGATGTTTTCGACTGGCACGACCTGGATGTGGAAGAAGAGCTACCGTCCTGCAGTAGGTAGAGTCCAGGGATGCTGTTAATCATCTTTTCATGCACAGTCCGGCCCCAACAACAAAGAATTACCAGAATAAGAAACTGCAGCAGAGTGAGAGGATCCAGGTTCGTTCTGAATGAGTTGGACAGAGAATTTGAGTTTAGGGACAAGATAAACTAATAAAGAATACTCTCTCAAGACCAAGCAAACAACCTAAGAACTAGAAGCAATTTATGTCTAGGAGCAAACAGTGTATAGGAAAAACCAGAATAATGTACTACAATATTGAAAAACTAAAGCAGAAAATTGCTTATAAAATATTCTTATCTAAATGGCATTGTCATATGTGGATTTGGGATGAGTAGGACAATAAAAGAACTTATGCTGTAAAGATGAGATATGGGGCAATCTATGCAAGTTCAACATAAATCTTCAGCAAAAGAAATACAGATAATATAAACTTGGATTATTAATGGCATCAGAAAAATTATGGCAAAAGGAAGAGATAACTTTCATCAAGAAAGAATAAAATGCTACCCAAAGTTCAGCCTTTCATAGGTCAGAAATAAAGAATATAGAAGGAGAGTTATAAAGATATAGAAAATAATCCAATCACAGGCAAGATCCAGACATATGTGGTACCTTGGAGTCAGCTAGGTTTGACACATTAATCTAATAGAGGTAAAGTCATCAGGATCACCCTTCCTTCCAGGATGAGGGATGCCTGGGTTATGAGATTAGGCAGAGCAATCCAAGTCCCAACACTCCCCAACAATGCAACCTTGGACACATTGCTTACTCTTTTCAAGGGGATCTGGTTTCTCTTTGGATTTGAAAGGGAAAGTTGCAAAGTTTTACTTAAGCCTTCTCTTTTCCCTCAACTACCCTGAAGACTTATTGCCCTGCTATTGATCTTCCAAGGTCCAAAACCAGTGTCTTAAAATGCTTTCTGCTCCCAAATATTACCTAAAGTTCTATTATACCTCATTAAAATTGACATCCCTTGGGTGTTGATCGGCTTGAAATAACATTTTATTGTAACTCATCATAAATTATATGATTTCAACGAAGAGATGGAAAATACAGCTAGCCAGAAGTGTTCTTTTTATTTTATTTTATTATTATTATACTTTAAGTTTTAGGGTACATGTGCACAATGTGCAGGTCAGTTACATATGTATACATGTGCCATGCTGGTGTGCTGCACCCATTAACTCGTCATTTAGCATTAGGTATATCTCCTAATGCTATCCCTCCCCCCTCCCCCCACCCCACAACAGGCCCCAGAGTGTGATGTTCCCCTTCCTGTGTCCATGTGTTCTCATTGTTCAATTCCCACCTATGAGTGAGAATATGCGGTGTTTGGTTTTTTGTTCTTGCGATAGTTTACTGAGAATGATGATTTCCAATTTCATCCATGTCCCTACAAAGGACATGAACTCATCATTTTTATGGCTGCATAGTATTCCATGGTGTATATGTGCCACATTTTCTTAATCCAGTCTATCATTGTTGGACATTTGGGTTGGTTCCAAGTCCTTGCTATTGTGAATAGAGCCGCAATAAACATACGTGTGCATGTGTCTTTATAGCAGCATGATTTATAGTCCTTTGGCTATATACTCAGTAATGGGATGGCTGGGTCAAATGGTATTTCTAGTTCGAGATCCCTGAGGAATCGCCACACTGACTTCCACAATGGTTGAACTAGTTTACAGTCCCACCAGCAGTGTAAAAATGTTCCTATTTCTCCACATCCTCTCCAGCACCTGTTGTTTCCTGACTTTTTAATGATTGCCATTCTAACTGGTGTGAGATGGTATCTCATTGTGGTTTTGGTTTGCATTTCTCTGATGGCCAGTGATGGTGAGCATTTTTTCATGTGTTTTTTGGCTGCATAAATGTCTTCTTTTGAGAAGTGTCTGTTCATGTCCTTTGCCCACTTTTTGATGGAGTTGTTTGTTTTTTTCTTGTAAATTTGTATGAGTTCATTGTAGATTCTGGATATTAGCCCTTTGTCAGATGAGTAGGTTGCGAAAATTTTCTCCCATTTTGTAGGTTCCCTGTTCACTCTGATGGTAGTTTCTTTTGCTGTGCAGAAGCTCTTTAGTTTAATTAGATCCCATTTGTCAATTTTGTCTTTTGTTGCCATTGCTTTTGGTGTTTTAGACATGAAGTCCTTGCCCATGCCTGTGTCCTGAATGGTAATGCCTAGGTTTTCTTCTAGGGTTTTTATGGTTTTAGGTCTAATGTTTAAGTCTTTAATCCATCTTGAATTAATTTTTGTATAAGGTGTAAGGAAGGGATCCAGTTTCAGCTTTCTACATATGGCTAGCCAGTTTTCCCAGCACCATTTATTAAATAGGGAATCCTTTCCCCATTTCTTGTTTTTGTCAGGTTTGTCAAAGATCAGACAGTTGTAGACATGCGGCGTTATTTCTGAGGGCTCTGTTCTGTTCCATTGATCTATATCTCTGTTTTGGTACCAGTATCATGCTGTTTTGGTTACTGTAGCCTTGTAGTATAGTTTAAAGTCAGGTAGCGTGATGCCTCCAGCTTTGTTCTTTTGGCTTAGGATTGACTTGGCGATGTGGGCCCTTTCCTGGTTCCATATGAACTTTAAAGTAGTTTTTTCCAATTCTGTGAAGAAAGTCTTTGGTAGCTTGATGGGGATGGCATTGAATCTATAAATTACCTTTGGCAGTATGGCCATTATCATGATATTGATTCTTCCTACCCATGAGCATGGAATGTTCTTCCATTTCTTTGTATCCCCTTTTATTTCACTGAGCAGTGGTTTGTAGTTCTCCTTGAAGAGGTCCTTCACGTCCCTTGTAAGGTGGATTCCTAGGTATTTTATTCTCTTTGAAGCAATTGTGAATGGGAGTTCACTCATGATTTGGCTCTCTGTTTGTCTGTTATTGGTGTATAAGATGCTTGTGATTTTTGTACATTGATTTTGTATCCTGAGACTTTGCTGAAGTTGCTTATCAGCTTAAGGAGATTTTGGGCTGAGACAATGGGGTTTTCTAGATATACAATCATGTCATCTGCAAACGGGGACAATTTGACTTCCTCTTTTCCTAATTGAATACCCTTTATTTCCTTCTCCTGCCTAATTGCCCTGGCCAGAACTTCCAACACTATGTTGAATAGGAGTGGTGAGAGAGGGCATCCGTGTCTTGTTCCAGTTTTCAAAGGGAATGCTTCCAGTTTTTGCCCCTTCAGTATGATATTGGCTGTGGGTTTGTCATAGATATCTCTTATTATTTTGAGATACGTCCCATCAATACCTAATTTATTGAGAGTTTTTATCATGAAGTGTTGTTGAATTTTGTCAAAGGCCTTTTCTGCATCTATTGAGATAATCATGTGGTTTTTGTCTTTAGTTCTGTTTATATGCTGGATTACATTTATTGATTTGCGTATATTGAACCAGCCTTGCATCCCAGGGATGAAGCCCACTTGATCATGGTGGATAAGCTTTTTGATGTGCTGCTGGATTCGGTTTGCCAGTATTTTATTGAGGACTTTTGCATCAATGTTCATCAAGGATATTGGTCTAAAATTCTCTTTTTTGGTTGTGTCTCTGCCCAGCTTTGGTATCAGGATGATGCTGGCCTCATAAAATAAGTTAGGGAGGATTCCCTCTTTTTCTATTGATTGGAATAGTTTCAGAAGGAATGGTACCAGTTCCTCCTTGTACCTCTGGTAGAATTCGGCTGTGAATCCTTCTGGTCCTGGACTCTTTTTGGTTGGTTAGCTACTGATTATTGCCACAATTTCAGAGCCTGTTATTGGTCTATTCAGAGATTCAACTTCTTCCTGGTTTAGTCTTGGGAGGGTGTATGTGTTGAGGAATTTATCCGTTTCTTCTAGATTTTCTAGTTTATTTGCATAGAGGTGTTTGTAGTATTCTGTGATGGTAGTTTGTATTTCTGTGGGATCAGTGGTGATATCCTCTTTATCATTTTTTATTGCATCTATTTGATTCTTCTCTCTTTTCTTCTTTATTAGTCTTGCTAGAGGTCTATCAATTTTGTTGATCCTTTCAAAAAACCACCTCCTGGATTCATTAATTTTTTGAAGGGTTTTTTGTGTCTCTATTTCCTTCAGTTCTGCTCTGATTTTAGTTATTTCTTGCCTTCTGCTAGCTTTTGAATGTGTTTGCGCTTGCTTTTCTAGTTCTTTTAATTGTGATGTTAGGGTGTCAATTTTGGATCTTTCCTGCTTTCTCTTGTGGTCATTTAGTGCTATAAATTTCCCTCTACACACTCCTTTGAATGTGTCCCAGATGTTAAAGTCTCCCATTATTATTGTGTGGGAGTCTAAGTCTCTTTGTAGGTCGCTCAGGACTTGCTTTATGAATCTGGGTGCTCCGGTATTGGGTGCATATATATTTGGGATAGTTAGCTCTTCTTGTTCAATTGATCCCTTTACCATTATGTAATGGCCTTCTTTGTCTCTTTTGATCTTTGTTGGTTTAAAGTCTGTTTTATCAGAGACTAGGATTGCAACCCCTGCCTTCTTTTCATTTTCCATTTGCTTGGTAGATCTTCCTCCCTCCTTTTATTTTGAGCCTATGTGTGTCTCTGCACGTGAGATGGGTTTCCTGAATACAGCACACTGATGGGTCTTGACTCTTTATCCAATTTGCCAGTCTGTGTCTTTTAATTGGAGCATTTAGTCCATTTACATTTAAAGTTAATATTGTTATGTGTGAATTTCATCCTGTCATTATGACGTTAGCTAGTTATTTTGCTCGTTAGTTGATGCAGTTTCTTCCTAGCCTTGATGGTCTTTACAATTTGGCATGATTTTGCAGTGGCTGGTACCGGTTGTTCCTTTCCATGTTTAGTGCTTCCTTCAGGAGCTATTTTTCTCCCAGCACAGAGTATTATTTTTTCCTTCCATCATATTGAAAACCTTTGTAGGAATGTGTACATACTGTCAAATGCTCCTCAGCCTGATGCGCTTGTTTTTACCTCATACCTAGTTCCAATTTACTCTTTGTATTGCCTGCCTTGTCCCTGCATGTACTTGAATAATTGATGCATAGCTTAACCCAGACCTTCTCAACAGCAAATGTGTATAAGAATCACCTGGAGATCTTGTTAAAATTACATGTTCTTGTTCTGTAGGTCTGGAGTAGGCTGAGATTCATCATTTTCAGGAGCTCCAGGCAATGGTGATGGTTCTGGACCAATAAATGGCCATTTCTGGAGTAGCAAGCATTTAATGCTTTCAAAGGGCGTGCTGATTCTGCTTGGAATCTGTCACTCAAATACATCAACAATTAGAGGTGGCCAGGCGCAGTGGCTCACCCCCGTAATCCCAGCACTTTGGGAGGCTGAGGCGGGCGGATCACAGTGTCAAGTGTTCGGGACCAGCCTGGCCAACATGGTGAAACCCATCTCTACTAAAAATACAAAAATTCTCCTGCCTCAGCCTCCTGAGTAGCTGTAATCTGTTTAGTAACCCATTGCTGTAACTTCACCCCAAAATATTCTTTGCTGATTAATGAAAAAAATTTAGGACAAATTCATTCATGCTTCTAAGCCAATGTTTGTTAAATGTCTACTTTATGTTAGGTACTTTTCTAACTGGTAGAGTGTAGACAGTAAAAAATAAAGTTTTTTCCTTTATGACTTTTTACGGTAGCTGATTGAAACAGGCCTATATTCTGTCCAATGGTATTGAAGGCTATTAAGAAAAAGAAAACATGAACAGAGCAGAAGCCAAGGAAAGTCAATCTGAGACCTGTATACAATGAGAAGACAGCAAGCCACATGGCCAGAGGGTGAAAGACCATTCCGTGCACAGGGGAGAGCCAGTGCAAAGTGCTGAGGTGAAGTGATGCTCTGGGAACACCAGAGTTGCTGAAAGTGTCCAAACAGAAAAGGTCAAGATAGGGAGGGCTCAGAAAACTGGTCAGAGCTGTCATCTGGAGGGAGTGCAGGGAGAGGAGAAAAGTTGTCTAATAACTGAAGCTAGCAGCCCTCTGCAAAAATATAAAATATACATAAAATACAGAATATGAATAAAATGTAGAATTTGTTATCTTGAAAGATTTGGGAGGTGTAGGCATTATAATTTGCATAGTAGTATAGATTATGTTATCTCATCACCACAGTCCTTTGAAATAGGGTATTATCATAATCTTACAGCTGACTGAGCTACAAAAGTTAATGGGTGGCATGTTCCACTATTGACGTCATAACCCACAGTGTCCTTCCTAACACCAGCTCCCTTAGCTCATTCCTAAGGACTGGCCAGGCAGATGGAACAAGAGAAAGGAACCAATACATTCATTCCTTTTAAATGCATAATTCTACATCTAAGAACAATATAGAAAAACTTTCAAAAGACACCCACGGTCCATCTTCTTATTCTGTCTTTTAACGTTCCATAGGTTATGGTAGGTGGAGAGGGAGAGAGTGAGGCCAATAACAGCCTCCTAGCCAAGTCTGGGCAAAGACCATCTGCCACCAGGGCCAGAAGCCAGGGGAAACCACGTGTTTCCACCTGGAAACACCCAGGCTGAATTCAAATGAGAACTGATGCCCACCTGTGCCTAGCAGACATGTACCACATGTCTGTCTTGTAATTACACACTGGGGATGGACCAGTAATATCAGCCAGCATCCCAGCCAGTCATTATCCTACAAGACTGTCCCTACACACTCTGTACCATAAAGCTTTATTCATCATTTTCCTGAGCCTCAAAGGGTGGACTGCTTGCCTTTGAAATCTGGTACAATGGTAAGTCCACAGAACAGAATATTATCGCAGATACCTTGAGGCTTGGTGGTGGAAAGAAAATCCCCAGATTGGCCAAGTTGTAACAAAATGAAGCCAAGTTGTAACAAAATTCAAGCTTCCCACCTGTGGGGTTGTAGTGAAAGACCTTCCCGCTCCTTTTCCACACTCTACTCCCTGCACCTTTGCTATAAAAGTGGCAGACTTGAGGTTTTCACCCAGACTTTCCACACCTTCTGGTTTTTCCTTTGTGCCATCTGACTTCAATGATAAATTAATAATTTTAAAAATCATAAAGTGGTAGAATATTTTATCCACAGAAATTATACCATTCTTTAATAAGCCTCATCTTTGTACTACCCTGGCTAATACATAGGCTAGTAAAATAAGAATAACAACAATAACAAGCAGCATTTGTTAAGTGCCTGGTGTGTGTGAGTTGAGGTTCTACTCATTTGCCATGAATTCCTCGTTCAATCACGCGTCTTCCCTCCCACTCTCTATGCTTCAGTCACACGAGGCTGCCTTGGGCTCCTTGAAAGTTGCCAAGCTCACTTCTGTCTTAGAGAGTTTACACTTGCTCTTCTCCCCTAGTGAAGAAAAATATATTCTGCGTTCTTCACAAGGCTTTTTTTTTCCATCCTTTTTATTTCAACTCAAAGCTCACCTAATCAAGAGGTTCTTTCTGATGCTTAAAATGATCTCTATTCTGGTCAATTTGTATCACATTACCCTATTTCATATTTTTTCACTGTCCCTCTCTATGAAATTATGTTTTATTTATTATCTGTCTGTATGTATCATCTATATAAGTAGAGGTAGACGATCTTCATGACAACATAAGTATCTAGACAGCACGGACAAGTCTATGTTGTAACTATCAGGGAAATGTAATTAAAAACTAGAGAAAATACCATTTTATATCCACTAAGGTGACTAGAATCAGAAGATAGATAATAACAAGTGTTGGTGAAGATGTGAAAAATTACAACCTTCATGTTGTGCTGAGGGGAAAGTAAAATGGCAACTGTTTTAGATAATAGTCTGGCAGTTCCTCTAAAGTTTAAATATGGAATGACCAAGCTACTCTGAAATTTCAGTCCTAGGTACATATACAAGAGGAATGGAAACATACATCCACACAAAGAAAAGTTTCGCATGAATATTCATAGCAGCATTAGTCATAGCAGCCAACAAGCGAAAATAGCTCAAATGTCCATCAAGTGATGAATGGATAAATAAAATGTGCTATACATGCAATGTTATATTATTTGACAATTTAAAAAAAGTATTGTAAATGCTATAGCATGCATAAACCTTGAAAAAATTACACTAAGAGGAAGAAGACAGTCACATACCACCACATATTGTATGTGTTTATTTGAAATGTACAGAATAAGCAAATTCATAGAGAAAGGCAGAAGATTGGTAGTTGTCCAAGTCTGGGAGTTGGCTGGGAAATGACTGCTCATGAGAATGGGGTTTCTTTGGAGGATGATAAAATTTTCTAAAATTCATTGTTGTAATGGTTGCACAACCTCTGAATATACTCTAAAGTATACCATAAACGGATGGGATTTGTTATATGAGTTGCATCTCAATACAGGTAGAATAAAAATAGAGTCACAGTGAATGAGTGGACTTTTATCATCATTCCTTTGCCCAAAGGTAGAACCATTTTCCATTTATCTTTTCTATTTCTTGGCTTCTCAATAAGAGTACCTTTCAAGGTGAGTTGTCAGTAAAATCATCTAAAATGTGGTTAGTTGGTAAGATTGCAGTTAAAGCCTAACTAACCACTTTCTGATTTAATTTCAAAATGTGAGTTAAAAATAACTTTTTACTGGCAAAACCTACATGATTATTTTGTATCATATCTGTATTAATTTTCATATATTTAAATTACTGTGTATCTGATTTTATTTAGGCATGTAATAATCTCTAAGGTTATATGGTATGTATCAGCACAAATTTGCCTGAATGGAAAATCATCCCTGTTCTGTAGTAAAATACAATCTGAATGATGCGTCCTGTCTGCAGGTTGGTTTTGCTGGACATCTTGAACTGCTTTCAAGCACTCGAAGTTAAAGCACCGAATGCCCCTTTTGGAATGACTTCTCCCTTGATTTTTACAACCTTGTGTATTTTAATGGAAACTTAATCCATGTGTTTTTGAATCATTTACACTTAAATCATCAAAACACCCGGTCTTTTAGAGCGATTTGATATCCATGAAGGCTATTGAGACTTTCTGATAATCCTTTAAGGCTCTTTAAAAAAAAGAAAGAAACCAGGAAGTTGTGCTTTTCTCAGAATAAACTAAAATCCTGGGGAGTTCACTTTCCATGTGTTCTAAATTTGTCCAAACAAGTTCTCTCATCTGTAGGTAGAGTAACAAGTAAGGTGCTGGCAACATGCTCACCATAAGTAAAAGTGCAGAAGCTTTTGATGAGACACGGAGCGTGTGTAATTCAGTGTACATTTTACAGCCCTCATGGGCTTTTAGACCTTTTCATCCTAATGAAAAGATCTGAAAATATTAATTTGCATTACTGCAGATGCTGTTACTTGTCTAGCTTTATTTTTCCATATTTGAATGTGTTACCACTTACTCAATAATATTAGGTACGTTATTGCTCTTTATTTGCAAAGTGCTCAGTAATCCTTTCAAATTTATTTTTTCACAGGAGGTGTAAATTTTTTTACATGGGGTGTAAAAAAATCACCGTGCATTTTATATATCACTGATTCCATAAAAATGCTTTTTCCACTCAGTTATATTCATAGGAGATAAAAGTACTGCTAATATTATATGAGAAAACATAGCTTTGATATAAAATACTGTAATTTTTAAAGTTAGTGGTTTCTTTCAGCCTGTATATTTTCATAGTTAAATTGGTTTTGCTCTTGATTCATCTTATGCATTAAAGATGCATTAATTGATTCTTCATTGCCTTGAATCTTCCTTTTCTCACTTTTCCAAAACGAAATACATAATCCTGTACTTACTTATTCAGGTCCATATGGATTGCTTACTATCATTTCATCCCAAGTGTCCATTTGCAGTTCAATTTCCCTTTTTTAGAAGGTTACTTGATCTGACAATGAATAGCTTGGTTTTACATAATTATTACTTTCCTAAGTAGATCATGTAAGAGTGCTCCATGTGATATAAAGATATTTTTCTAGAATATGTTCTGAAGTCTTTTCCTGTTGAATACCATCCAGAATTTTTAAAGCCTTGAATGTATGTTTACTTTTACATAACTTAAGTTCAATGTCAAAAAAAAAAACAAATGGATTTTTGTTTTTCTTTAAGTAATTAAAATCTACATTGTATGTTCAAATGGATTAGATAGTCATGAGGTTGAACCAAATTGAAATCAATCTAATTTTTATGTAGAGCTTTCTTTGAAGTGCTGTTAGACATGTACTCTTTAATGGAAAGGACTTTTACTACTTGAAAATTATCAATAAGCTCAACATGCACACCAGTTAACCTTTGCCCTTCTCTTTGTATGACTAGAAAACATCACAATTATTTCTCAAAAATACATGGAAACATTATACTTTGAAAAACAATCAATATGTTATGATAGTCTAAAGTAAATAACTTCAACCCTAAATTAGGTTGTTTTAATATGTTTTTAAATTGACTAAAATCTATGATTATAAAAATACATGGAATTTCAGAGCTGTTGTTATTTTTAGTTATCAGATCTCACCAAATATTGCCTTATATACTGGAATGAAGAAGTAAGTTCATTATCTTTAAACTACTAAGTCCCTGAGATATATTAGTGGAGTTCATTGCAGTGACCATTTCCATATATCTAGTTGCAAAAATATAGCTTTGTTTACAATCCTATAGCATACTGATGCAGTAAATATTTATTTGTATTAAATGGTTTTCTATTTTATTTTTATAACATGAGGAGCACGAACTTTTAGTTATATAATGTAGTGAGTGAGTTCGAATGTCTGGATTATTGGTCACTTTCTCTTCCTCAATAGATTTTACATTGTAAATTCTAAGTTAAGTTGCTTAGATTAAAACCTACTGTTGAGGAGGCATGTGACCATGTAGGGATATATCTTTCAATGTGCTACTTATTTAAGTTCAATGGCTAATGATATCCCTGGATGTCTTATAATTGATGAAAAACACTCAGTGATACTTGTTTGCTCTAGAGGTTACTTGAATGGACAATTTCTGGTGACTATTTGTCCACATTTGGTAAAAGAAATACTGACATCATTTGTAAAAATATTTAAAATTTTTACATGGATTTTAATAAATAGATATTTTATTTTAAGGAAAAGAACTTCATCTTTAAGCAAAATAAATATTTATTTTAGCCCCAAGAGTGGTGGCAGCCATCAGTAACACAAATCTCTCCTTAGGTGCTTGCCAGTTGGTAGGAATTCACAGAGAGAAAGTTGAGGCAATAACTGAAATTATTTTGGCTACAATAATTTTTCAGAAGACATTATGCTATTGTGCTTCCATTGTGGTTGGCAATCTCTTTCTCTTTCCCTCTCTATTTTTTTCTCTAAATGCTTATTGGTCATAATGCATGTGTGACTGTCAGTGATGGAGCCCATGCTTATTTCTGAAGCCTCGTGGCATTTATTCAAGAAACTTTAGTTTGAAAACTGGCATTTTACTAATTTGTCTGAACTTAAAATGTGTATAATGAACAAATGATGTTTACTTGCTTTATATAAGTAAGCGTTTATAAATAAAAAGTAGATTTTCTGTCTTGTTATGTCTCAGAGAAGGATGTTAAGAAGTGCCAGTGTTAGATTAGCCAAGATCACGTCATTGCACTCCAGCCTGGGCAACAAGAGCAAAACTCCATCTCAAAACAAAACAAAAGTTCCTGTGTTATAACTATTTAAATATTTATAGTCTAAAACATTTTTATATTGGTTTTCTTAGGTCCAGTGTTAAAAGATATTTCTTTGCATTGTTCTCATGATGGAATATTGAGGGTAAGTTAAAATAATACGTATAGTACTTTCATTTTACCACAACCATTTATGCACATATTTAAGAGCTTATCTAATAATGAATTCTTAAGCTGTTTTGTAGAAATAAGCTTTTCCATTCTGATAGCTTTTCCTTTTGCTGCCCTGCCTGCACACGCGGATCCATGTTTTCTCCAAGCTATTTGCAAATGTGCAAGCCATCTGCAGCTGAGTGATAAGTGGAGTGCAGGAATATGTATCCTGTGTTTGGTCCCCATTGGCCACTTATTACTCTTATATTGTTTTAATTATAAAGACTGATCTTCATTGTGACTCTTATACGGCATTTGTATGTTGAAATGTAGCCTCAAATATTCATGTACTTTTAAATTGCTCTATAATTTTTGAGAGATATTAATCTGAGATTAATTTTGGGTATCACTAAGTGTGGTCGGAGTGGGTTTTTGCCGCATAGTGGTACTGAAACTGGAAGTTACATTTCAATGTTAACTGACTGTTACTTGACAAGTAAACAAGTTTAATTGTGTTATTCACCTCATTGACTTTAATGAGTCAATAATAGATGTAATAGGCACCTCAGGACCAGATGGCATAGGGTAAAAAGTCCCCATGAAATACCATTTTTTCATCTCAAGTATCTGATAAATATGTTAACTTCCTGCATTATGGCAATTGTTGAAATTTCTTAGCAGCTGGTCAGTTACTCTACACTGCAGGGGCCATCGGGTGCTGTTTATAGATTACGTTCTCGGTTTTTTATTTGTACAGAGAGTGAGGGTGAAAAAACACTTTCTTTCTGAAGTGTAATACAATATCATAATTGAATAATTGTATAAAATTTCCTTATTCAATTAAGCAAAATTTTGGGGGAATAACTTTGAAATGGATTATGCAATCCGCTATCCTCTAACTTGCATACACATTATGTTGCTGTGAACTGGTAAAGTGACAGTGATGTATATCCTGGAGGGAGCCATCTTCAACTGAAGCAGTGGATTGGTCTTTAGTCTTTACATCAGTGGGCTGCTTTGTGAATAGTAATTAGAGTTGTTCCTTTCTTAATAACATTTTTTAAAATAAAAATCCGAATATTTACCCTTTGTGTGATCTCTAAAAGCTCATCCTCCAGTTAATGTTAAACTGCTGCCTTAGTAACCAGGGAAATGCTTTTTAAAATTTTGTATTTCATTATGTTCCTGGAAGAGCAACCTTGTCAGTTTAATATGACGTCACAATAGAATTCCGATTTCCTCTGATAAGAACTTTACAATGAAGAAATGGCCCATGCATATTCAAAAGTTTATACCACATTGAATATTATTGAGTTTTATGAGAACAACCTATTAAAGCCTCTCCTCAGCTTATCTTTATCACTAAAATTTATGACTTATTCCCACCTACTTAACACTTAAAATCTTATTTGCAGCTTTGTGCTGTTCTATGTAGTACACTGCACAATTGGCATACTGTATTTGACAACAGAATAGCAAAACCAGATTTACTGCCCGCCTACCAGAGGGCATCTTTGAAGATATTTTGTTTGAGAAGATACCTTCATATTACTTGTTTTCTTTGGTGGCGAATGAGACTTTTATTTTCTTGGCTTAGGTAGACTCAAGTTGTTTTCCTAAGTATGTAAAAAACACTATTCTTCATCATAAACGACAACTTAACATTTTGTCCTGGAGAATTAAATCCAACTCCTGGAAATAGAAAAGTAAGTAATTCAGAAAAGCTCTCCTACTAAGAAAAATTATATTTTAAAAAAACCCTGAAACATCTTTTTTAAAAAACATCTGTAGAAATGTCTTGAGGCCGGGGGTGGTGGCTCACGCCTGTAATCCCAGCACTTTGGGAGGCCGAAGCGGGCGGATCATGAGGTCAGGAGATCGAGACCATCCTGGCTAACACGGTGAAACCCCGTCTCTACTAAAAATACAAGAAATTAGCCGGGTGTGGTGGCGGGCGCCTGTAGTCCCAGCTACTCGGGAGGCTGAGGCAGGAGAATGGCGTGAACCCGGGAGGCGGAGCTTGCCGTGAGCCGAGATCGCGCCACTGCCCTCCAGCCTGGGTGAAAGAGCGAGACTCCATCTCAAAAAAAAAAAAAAAAAAAAAGAAAAGAAATGTCTTGAAAAATTCCCAAGATCCACTATAACTTAAAGGACGTGCAGCCTTTGAGTCCTCAGGGGGAAGCTGGTGATTGCAGAGGATAATGCTGAGACACTGGAGTCACAAGCAGAGTTTTCACAGCCCCTGGTCCAGAGACAAAAATATAAGTTCCAAATGCACTAAAAATTGAGATGCTCTGATAAACTAACCTATATTTAATTTGATATCCTAAAAAAATCTTACAA
This sequence comes from Homo sapiens, assembly GCF_000001405.40. Classification (NCBI taxonomy): domain Eukaryota; kingdom Metazoa; phylum Chordata; class Mammalia; order Primates; family Hominidae; genus Homo; species Homo sapiens. Next base: position 104,970,198 of record NC_000013.11, read on the forward strand.
TAAAAATAAATGGAACAAGAAATATTGGCAGCTCTGGTGATCATTGGGACCCTACTGTTGCTTGAGATTATTTCACATAAAACTTCCATTGTCCACAGGCCTCTTACCAGAAAAAAAAAAAACTTTCTGAAGGAACATAAAACATTTCCTTATACCTGAAACTATTTCTCAAAATATTTTTAACAATGTACTGCACAAATTAGACAAAGAGACAAAGAACTGTTTTTTATTTTATTGTATTTATTATTTTTATATACTTTTATTTTTTTTTTGAGTCAGAGTCTCATTCTGTCACCCAGGCTGGAGTGCAGTGGTGCAATCTCGGCTCACTGCAACTTCCACCACCCGGGAAAGAACCACTTTTTTAAAGAGAAAAAAGAGAAAGAGATGAGAGATAATGGACATATCACATACAAATTTTAAAGTAACTATTTTTAATATTTTCAACAAAATAAAATGGCTGATTAAGAATTTCCACAGATAACTAAAAACTGTAGAAAAATAAATCAAATTTCCATTTGTATAACAGAATGATAAAAGTAGATGTAATTAAATACACAAAAATGTATTTAGCAGTGGGGTGGATATGAGTAAACAGAGAATGAGTGAACTAGATGACATAAAGAATATATACACCTCCCAAAAAACAGAAAAGTTAAAGAATAACAAATATTAAAAGATTGCAGAGGGAGAGGAAATATGGTAAAAAGAGGTTAATTATACAGATAATTAGAGCTACATGATGCAAGAAAATAGAATAAAATAGAAGACATATTTCAAAAGCAATGACAAAATTTGTAAAACCAATGAAAGTTATCAGGAAAGTTTTAATAGCACTTCATCACTATTATCCATATATATAGTATATATATAGATATACATATCTATCTAACATATACCATCTGTATATCTGTATTGATATATATTTTCTAGATATCTATACATCTAGGTATATAAATATATATGGGTATATATATATATATATATATATATATATATATATTCCTTCACATTATATTAAAACTCTTAAGAAGCAGAAAGTATGACAGAAAGATCTTAGAAACATCGAGACATTGTATCCTCAAAGAAACATAGTAAAACTAGATCGCATTTCTCAACTAAAACAGTGGAAAGTACATGACAATGCGATTATATTTTAACTGTTCCAAAAAAAAAAGAAAGCAAACAAAACAAAAAATGAGAATCTATCAGCCACACCATTTATAATACACTTTAGATATATTTGTACAAGTGAAAATGGAGACTAAGTCCTCACCAGCAGAAAGAATCATACTAAAAGATCTACCAAATAAATTCTTCAAAATTACCTACGTGGAAACTCAGAGATAAAGAGTAAAGTAAGAAATTCAAAAACTTGTAAACAAGTTGTGTGCATTTACAGAAGAATCTGTAATGGTTTTCACAAAAGTAAGGATGTGATTCTCAAATTACACATAGTACCAAAATACAAGATAAAACTTTCTGACGCATTTGGGGATGGAAATGTATTTAAATTGTTTGGAGGCCACGTGGAGTATTTACAAAATTGACCCATTTCTAAACCAGTGCTTGTCTAGCATTGGAAATTTTTCCCACATCAGGAGACATTTAACGAAGTGTGGAGACATTTTGATTGTCATGACTTGGTAGAGAGGTGTGTGCTACCAGAACTTGATAGGTGAAGCCAGGAAGACCGCTAAACACACTGCAATACACGATACCACCCCACAATAAAGAATTATTTTACCCAAAATATTAATAGTGCTATGGTAGAAAATCAGTCTTCTAGCCCATGAATTGAATTGTCATCAAAGTATAAAATAATGAAATTATATAAAATACACCCTATTAACAGTATGTAATTAAGCTTAAAAAAGTAACACAAAGGTAACTGTGAAAAATCCCCGTCTGCTTGAAAATTATATACTGTACTTTTCAATAGTCCATGAAACAAAGAAGAAAAGTTGATAGAAATCAATATATTTAGAATTAAAAATTGTTTAAGATGCAGATTTCCAAATGTGCAAAATAGAATTAAAGTTGAGTTCGGAGAAAAGAGAAATATAGCTTTTAATGCATCTAATGGGAAAAATACAGAATGAATAAATTAATATTTAAAAGTTAGAAAAAGTGTAAGGAATTACTTCAAAGAAAACAAAGGAAACCAAACAATAAAGAGAACTGAATAGGACTGAAAAAAGTATGAGTTTTAAACTATTTTTGAAAAAAGTATATGAATTTAAAACTATTTATGATTTTAAAAAACAGCAAAAAATGAGAGAATTTTATGTGATAAAGTATCTACAACTGGGGATCAAAAAGTACTGGAAACATTTAAAATAAGAGAGAAGGCAAAACAAAGCAGTATTAGAAAACAGGACATCATCATAGACTCTGCAGTAATTGAAAAGACAATGAGAAGACATTGTAGCAAATTTTACATAAATCATGCTGAAAATTGAGGTGAAATGAACAAATTTCTAGAAAGACAATTTACAAAATATGACAGAAGTAGAATATTTAATCCTTTATCAAAAATAATGAATAATGAATCTAAAGTTGAAACCTTTTTATTTAGAAAACTGAAGGTATATGACTTTGCTGCTGAAATCCAACAAATGCTAAGGCAAGATATAATGCCAGTTTTACATAAAATATTGATAGAAAACTCTAATAAGTGATAATACTTCCAGATATATAAGTTCAAAACAACTTTACAGTTTAATTACAGGAAAGGTAAATCACTGACAAATATCGGTCATAAATAATAAATTATAAACAAAATTACTTTTGCAGTATATACAAATTATGCTATATCATGATCAAGTAGGATTCATTTCAGAAAGGTAATATTATTTAACATCCTAATATCACTCAGTGTAAGTCACTAATGGGAACAAAGCAAAATTTAAAAACTGTGTGATTATTACCTTAACAGATAAGGAATAAAGTAGTTTAGAAAAAAATGTGTATGTGTATCAATTTATATTAATAGCTTTTAGAAAACTAAGGATAGAATGCTGTATCCTTGATCTACCAAAGGGTATCTACTAATCACCCAGAGAAAACATTTTACTTAATGCTAAGATGTTAATTGATTTCTCCTTGACATACCAATTATATACAATATTGTGCACAATTACATAATACTAGACTGAGACTATACTAGACTGAGACTAGACTGAGACTAGACTAGACTGAGACTGGGTATCTACTAATCACCCAGAGAAACATTATACTTAATGATATCATTATCTTAATGATCAAATGTTAATTGATTTCTCCTTGATGTACCAATTATATGCAATATTGTACACGACTATATTATACTAGACTGAGACATAGGACAGGAATAGTAGACTGAGAAATACAAGACTGAGACATAGGACACAAAAAATAAATGAAATACATAAGACATGGTAAGTAAGCAATTTTTTAAAAATTTTTAAATTTTTTAAATTTTTAAATATTTTTAAAATATTGTATTAAATGATTGTGAATTAAAATTCACAAAAATCTATACATTTTAGTTAAACCAGTAAGTATATTTAGCAGGGTGGCTGTACCCAATATTAACATAACAGAATCAATTATATTTATAGATATTAACAAGTTGGAACACAATTTTTTAACATTATAGCATGTATAGTACTATTAATAATTTTTAAATACCCAGGAATAAATATATATTCAGAAATATCTGTTAAAGTAAGCCTTTTTACAGAAATTCATAAGAGGTATTTCAGATAAAATTTTAAAGACCACTAAAGAGAGAGATCTAACATGTTTGTGGAAGATTAATATTCTAAAGATATTATTTTCTTTCAAATTTATGCATAGTTTAAGGTAATGTTATTCAAAAACCAAGAGTATTTTTATGGAAATTGACAAGTTGATTGAAACATTTATATAAAAATAGAGATAGCCAAAAACAGCCAAAGAGTCCTAAAAATGAACAATGTGTGAGGACTTACATGGCCAGATGAGCATGAAGCAACACTAAATTGCATCATATTGGGTTAGTATAGATGGTTATACCAATGGAGCGGAGCAGACCCACATATAGATCATTACTTCATGTACAAAGAAGCTCTCACTGTGTTGAAGTGGCAAGAGAGTGGCCTTCTCAAAAAGAGTAGACTTTGGCAGTGGCATAATCAGCTTAGTTGGTATTGTGAACACTTCTCTACTGTATAAGACAATTATTTTTGGTAATAAATATCGACTAAAATTAATATACTAATGGGTTGAAGTAAATACAGACATCAACATTTTTAAATGGAGTTTTGTCATATACAATTATATACGACCATAGCAAACAGAAAGTGAGCTATGGGTCAAAAGTGGAATAAAAGCCTGCCTTTCTGTTTTATCAGACACAATGCCAACCCCTGTTTTGAGAAAATTAATTTGTTTATGCAAATTTAGGAGATCTAATAATATTGATAACTTCTTTTTTTTTTTTTTTTTTTTTAAGACAGTCTCACCCTGTCACCCAGGCTGGTGTGATCTCAGCTTACTGCAACCTCTGCCTCTGGGGTTCAAGCAATCTCTGCCTCAGCCTCCCAAGTAGCTGGGATTGCAGGCGCCCGCCACCACGCCAGGTTAATTTTTGTATTTTTAGTAGAGATGGGGTTTCACCATCTTGACCAGGCAGACCTTGAACTCCTGAACTCGTGATCCACCTGCTTTGGCCTCCCAAAGTGCTGGGATTACAGGTGTGAGCCACTGTGCCCAGCCTACTTCTTTTCCTTAATATTGCCAACATTAGTTGAGGACCTACCTTGTGTAGAATGAGAAATTAAATTCTGAGGTTATCTAAATCGAGAAAACCATGTCACATAGAGGAGCTCTGTGGAAACTGAATGATTAGGTTAAAAAGCAGAGCAATGAGAGTATGACTTTCGGATTTGGCAGATAGGATTTCAGATTCTGACAATTTCATTTAGGGGCTGTTAGTATTTAGACAAGTTAGTGAACTGCTTTTTGTCTTAGTTTCCTCATCTGTGAAATGAGGATCAATGGCAAGGGATGGAACAGGGGCAGGACTTTTGTAAGGATGTAAAGTTCAGGAAACTGTAGACAATATCCACAGGTGTTATTTTAATTAAAGTCCCTATTTCCCATGAATGCGTAGTAAGGAGGCACACACCACTCCATCACTGGACTCCTTTCCTTCCTAAAATATTGGCTTAAAGTTAATGCTGACAAATTCCAGTCATATATAACAAGTGTCTGAAAATGAAACCATCTACTTCTATATACAGTGAGGACACGGAACTCTAAAATTATCTACTCCCCACAGAACTTATTCTATATTTGGTATGACTTTACCATTCTTACAACTTCTTGTCCAGGCAAATAGCTCGATTGTGCATTAGAAAAACTAACCATCAACTCTTCAGTAGAAAGCATTGGCCATTTGTGTCCCGAGATTCTTTGAATCTCCTGCCTGTGAAAGTACTTGCTGCTGTCCTTACCCAATCTTGAGCCCACTGTCCCCACCAAGAGGGTTGCTTGGCAAGTGTAGGAGATGGAACACCAGCAAAGTTACATGGGATATGTTTGATTGAGGATTCTTTGCTTGAGGGGTATTCATGTAGCTTCAAGAAAGTATAGCACAGTTTTCTAGTATTGACATATTTTAAATAAAATGATATTGATTTAGAGCTTTTTAAGTGTTCTGAAATACTTTAAAAAGGCAGGTCTCTTTTTAGGATCAAGGATAATTTTATATAAAATCAAGTAGTTGATGTTAAAAAATACAAGAGTTGTATTATTGGCCAAAGAAATCAGATAAATATGTATGACTGGGGCCCTTTGGGTGGGCTTTAGAACTTTGCAGGAAAGATCTACTTTAAAAAGTCTCAACTGGCCAGGCGAGCCACTTCCCAGGGAGCCTGTATTCCCAGCACTTTAGGAGGCTGAGGCAGGCAGATCATGAGGTCAGGAGTTCGAGACCAGCCTGGCCAATATGGGGAAACCCCATCTCTACTGAAAATACAAAAATTAGCCGGGCGTGGTGGCAGGCACCTGTAGTCCCAACTGCTCAGGAGGCTGAGGCAGAAGAATCGCTTGAACCCAGGAGGCGGAGGTTGCAGTGAGCCGAGATCGCGCCACTGCACTCCAGCCTGGGCGGCAGAGTGAGACTCCGTCTCAAAAAACAAAAAAGTCTCAATTAAATTCATCAGTGGGGTGAAGGCACTGGAGGTCTGCGGCTGCGTGCACACAGTGCCTTCCACTGCTAGCCTGCTTGGGATGCTGACACCAGCAGAACTTCAAAGCTGTCTAGAGAGCAATTTTGGTTTGGAGTCAGTCTGCTCTTCCTGCATGAATCCCATTTCAAAACCAAAACTTTCACACAGGAAACCAAACATTTATATTCTACATTTTTGTTCCTTTTATTGCATTTTGGGGGAGCATTACCTCACTTTATGTCAATTTATATAGTACATTAAATGCTGTAAATTACCATAAAATGAAACAACACATCAAACAGTGATATTGGAACAATAAATCATTACTATTTCCTACTGCAAACAGATGTTCTTATTTTTAGGCCCATGCCAACATTCATTTTGTTCTTCCAGATTGTAGAGCCAAACTTTAAATTTTCTCGTTATCAAAATGAACTATTATATTCACGCTGTCATTTATAAGCTGAGCAAAATGAGTTGCTCAGGCAGTCAAGGTAAATCAAATTGCGTACATCATTCTTCCACAATTGGCTTCCAATACGTCAGAATTTAAATCAGCAAAGATGAAACTGCGATAGACTCTAAATGATGATCTTATTTGACATCATTAAGTAAAGATGACATTTTAACTTCTGTTGAAAGATCGTTATATATGATTTAAGCAGTGATAGTTTTGCCAGAGCATCACAGTTTATGTCTACAAAATCAGGCTTGGTGTCTTTTAGCCTTTGGGAACGGTGTGTCACTGATCAGAAAAGGAAGCACTAGACAGCAGGCTGTGGGTGTCAATGCTTAATGTTTGTTCCTCAAATTCATCAAGATCTTTTTCTCACCACCTCTTCCCCTGACTTCTTTTTATAAAATTGGAGCCTTATTTATGTGACTCACCAGGTAGAGCAGCAATAGGCAGACTGACAAACAGATAAAAGATTTTATGTCTACAGGCAAGGGGTTGGGTAGATGAGAAGGATATATTTGCAAAATGTCAAAGATGTTAGCTTAGAGATCCATCTGAAGAACACAGATCAATAGAGTTCACTGGAGGAAAATCAAACAAACAATTGAGACAGGACTATGTGTTGGAAGCATGGAAAACCATACCCAAAAAGGAATTTCACTTGTAAGGCACGAAACCTCCACTACCAAATATTCCGTATGTAGCTACTTCAGCCCAGAATTTGAGATATTTTCAATTTTTCTTTAGTGTGTTTCTAGGTTGATGAGTATGAGATTGAGTGGAGTGTGTTTGAAAGTATTTTAAAAGGTGTAATTCAGGAATCAATTCAATAACATCATAGGATTATTGCTTGTTTTGGTTTATTTTGTTTTACGTGTTCAGGGTAAGGGCTACTCTGAAATAATTTACACTGGAACTTGTGAGGTATAAAACATGAAAAGGCACATCTTTCCATTGACAAAACTATGGCCAGAAATTTTGGTTTTAGATGCAAACATTAGTTTCGGAATGCTCTAAAATATTTTGTGAAAGTTTCTCAGTTTTACTCCCCTTTCATTTGTTACATCAGTTGTATCCTTCCTGTCTACAGGCTCTTCTATTTTCTTGCTTATTTTCTCATCTAATTTTCCCTTTTTCCCTCTCTTCCCAGTCCCCCTTTCTTTCTTCATTTTCCTCTACACAAAATAATCTTCTACTGTGCTTTCCAGATAGCAGACTTAAAGACTAATACACCTTCTTCTCCCTAAATAAGGAGAGAAACATCTTCAGGATAATTGTTAAAATTTATAAACTGGGCAATGAGTGCCAACAATTATCAGTGGGATGCAGGATGAGGGATGGCACAGGTGCACGTCAGACGCCTGTCAGCAGAGAATTGCATCGTAATTTTTAAAAATTGATAGAAGAGAAGAAAACTTTGAATTTTTAAAGTATTATTTATTACTATTATTATTAACAATCATTGTTCATATAAATTATATTTAAGAGAGTAAGCCCTAAAGACAATACGTATGTTACAGAAAAGTTGATATCTTAGAAACGAGGAAATGTCATTATTTAATGTAATTTATATTCAGTATGGAAATCTATTATCTTGAGATATATTTAACAGGAATTAAAACAGAAGACTTCATCTTCTGAATGCGATTGAGTTTGTTTCTATTGCCATTGAAAATTATTTCAAACGGTCTTATAAGAAATATATTCACATCATCTTGAGATAAAATTTGTTTACACATTAAATACATCTAGAATCATTCACTCTTTCAACTTACCATAATTTCCTAAAATGCATGGAAACAAACAGCTCAGCACAGCAGTTACTGAAAAGAATTGATGTGACTTCCCAATGTAACTAAATTAAAACCAGAAAGTAATTTATACTCCCTGATTCTATGCTGTGTTTTGTATAGAAAGTGAGACTTTTAAAAAAAATCATTTAGTTTACTTGGAAAAAATGTTCAAGCTCTGTTATTTTCCATGGAGATTTCAAGAGTGAATCTGTCAGTTCTATAAGCAATTCATAATGTGATCAAATGAAGGATTAAAAAAACCGTGAGTGGGATTTTCTTCACCTGTAATAAATACCCTGACGCCTCTTCCCCCTGCCACCAGGAAGTGTTGCATTTTCTGACTTGTGTAATTTTTTTCATGGTGTTGTCCTCTTTTCATAAAACTGACCATCACATCAAGAAACATGCAAATACTCATCTTGGGTCTCATAAAGTTAAGATTAAGTAAACACTCAATTTGATGCAATGAATAATCTCCAAAACATGTAATGAATATACCTTTGTGTTTTATGAATATTAAGCAATGATAAAACAATAAAACTGGTAATTATAGCCAGAGTACCACCAGTCAGGAATTGTCTTCAATTTTCAGGTGGAGGCTCTCTATTTTCTACAATGGAGCATCATTGGCACGAAGGGATTCCTATGGCAAAACACATACTTAAGGAATCTGTAAATAAGCAAATATTTATCAAATGCTTACTGACATGATTTTTGTCCTGAAGGAGCATAATTTAGTTGGGCTGACAAAAATAACAAGGAACAGAGCACAATGAAAAGCACGCTGTGAAATGCTGGCACAACACCTACCATGAAATTTGCAGCTGCTCAAGGGAGAGACGAAGAGGATCAGGTTGTTACAGAAATGAGACTTGGACTGTCTGTGAAAAGATCTATATGATTCTGGTAAGGAAGACAGGAAAGTAAAATACTTCAAACAAGGGAAATACAGGGCAGAGGAAGCTGAACTGACCATGTGTCAGGATTGTATTAGGGAATAATGACTAGATCATAGGACACTGTAACAACCTTTTTAAAATACATTTTAGAAAATGTGTAAGCAACTTAAAAAATTGTGATAGGATTAATAATATGCTTTTGCCCCCAGACTGAATGGGTGTAAGAACTTTAAATCTTTAGTATAACAGTTTGTAAGAACAACGATGTCAGGAAGTCATCCAGTATGGAAAGAATTGTAAAATTTCTGTGACTAAGCCATGTTTGGACAGAATATAAAAACCAGATCTTGGATTTCCATAGATCAACGGTGAATGTATAAACTATAAATGGGACTAAATAACCTATTTCAGAAGTCATTTTTGTAATTCTAATTTTTCTTGTTTTTTTATATTTTTCAAATAACTTGTATTTTTGTCTCAGGTTTCAGTCATCACACAACCAATCATTCTGGATGTAAATACGTAAATCATATCTTCAAAAAAAAATCACTTGCATGAGGTATTACAAGAAAGTATTTGAAAAAAATTGGTTTGATCTAAGAACAATTTTTGTATTTAAAAAGTAATCTTTAATTTTAGCTTCTACACTCTGAGATTTCTTAGAAATTTTATGAATTTAAAATAACAGCAATTAATTGACTAGCTACTGGATTGGGCTCAGACTTAGATATTTTCTCTTAATTTTTTATGTATTTATGTTAATGAATTAATCATAATGTTTATTATAGTGATCATTTGAAATAAATAAGGATGTTCTGAATTATGATGATGATATTTTAGTACTTCATTAAAGCAATATAAATAGAATGATATTATTTCTTATTATTTTATATTGATTTTAATGAGTTCCTCTTCTTATTCTCTTTGAAACTGGACTGAATGTATACATGCAAACAATCTAAATTCTTATGTTACTATTTACACTAGGATGACCCTCATTATGTTTTTTCCTTTTTGCATGCAACCTAAATATCTCCAGTTCTTACCAGATTATGTTACATTTTATTATGTGAACATTAACACAGGTTTTCTTTACCTTGTAAACCCTGAACTTGCATAATTGGATTTCTTTTCCTCCCTAAACATTTCTAGTTATTTCTGGGAGTCCACAGGTGTCTCGTGACCAATTTGTCTCCTGTTTCTCTCATTGCTGTGAATACTAGATATGACAAATTGTGTTAACATTCAGTTCTCGCTGTGACAGATGTGTATCAGAGTTTACAAAAACCACAAGGCAAATACTTCTTCCTAACACTATGCTTCACTGTGATCTTAGGTTTCTCAGCCCCACTATGTCAATTTTAGTAAATTTATTCAGTTCTAGTTCATCTTCAATAAAATTGAATAATAATAAAAATAAAGTATATAAATCCAGTGAGCATAACAGGAATGGATATGATGAATTCATCCCTACATACACGTAAGTACAGATGCTTTCCCCTCCTTAACACTAGACACTGCCTCAATATCATCTACAGTCCTATAAACTTTGTTCTTCTTGAAGTCTAAAGCATTTCTTCAAGCAAAGGCCTTTCAATTAAGTAATTAAGTGGAAATTACCAGACTTAAGGGCCCAAATATTAATTTAAACTCTTCCAGCAATTATACATTTTATCAATTAAACTAAAATGTCTTGTAGTTGGTTATAGGTTTTTGCATGTGAATTATTATGTTGGTGCAAAAATTTGTGCAGTTTTTGCCATTAAAAGTAATGGCATCTTCTAAATTTAGAACTATCTTAATTTGTCAAGTTAAACGTGTTCTGTATATTTGAGTAAAACCATCTTTGATGACAATTCTGTGACCTGTGTAAGTCACCTATTCAGTATTATTTGCTGTATACTCAGCCTAACATGGTAGGCTTTGGCTATGGTCTGTTTGTTTTTACAAACAACCTGAACATACAGGAAGGACTTCACAACCCACACGGTCTCTCTGTTTGACAATGCTATTCTGAAATAATGTAGTAATTTTTACCTAATGTTTCACTGCATTCATTAAAGATTGATTTACTGATCACCTATTATATGAGGAGGCTTCAAAAAGTTCATGAAAAAAATGAATTAAAAGGTAAAATGAAAAGATAAGCTTTATTTCTTCATATTAGATCCATCAAGTTCAAGACACCTTCTTGAAAGTGCGGATACCGGTCATTTAGTCCATTCCTAAAGAACCGAGGTCCCTGAGAATTTAACCATGTCAATGCAGTCTTTTCTACATTATTAACTGGAGACAAATAGTTGTCCCTTAAAGATTTTTCAAGATTAAGAAACATAAAAAAGTCACAAGAAGTCAAATCAAGACTGTAAGATGGATGTCTAATGATTGCTCATGGAAACTCTTGCAAGATTGCGCTTGTTTGATAAGATGAATGAGCAGGTGGGGACTCTCTGTTGAAGTTTTCCTGAGCATTTTTCTGCTAAAGCTTTGGCCAACTTTCTCAAAATGCTCTCATAATCAGAAAATGTTATCATTTTTCAGTCCTTTGGGAAGTCAACAAGCCAAATGCTTTGAGCATACCAAAAAACTGTTGCCATAAATTTTGCTCTTGAAGAGTCTGATTTTGGTTTGACTGGCCCATTTCCACCTCTTGGTAGCCATTGCTTTGATTGTGCTTTGTCTTCGGGATTATACTGGTAAAGCCGTATTTCATCTCCTGTTACAATTATTTGAAGAAATGCTTCAGAATCTTGATCTCACTTATTTAAAATTTCCATTGAGAGCTCTGCTTTTGTCTGCAGCTGATCTGAGCACAATTATTTTGGGACCCATGAAGCAGAAAATTTACTCAATTTTATTTTTTTAGTCATAATTGTGTAAGCTGAAGCAAGTAAGACATCTATGGTATTGGCTTTGTTTCTGCTATTAATCATTCGTCCTATTCAGTTAGGGGACAAACAAGATGATTTTTTTTCTGGCAAATTGATGTGAATGGTCTGTCACTGTAGACTTCAGGACGTCAGTTTAATTTTGACCCTTCCTATAATGAGTTATCCATTTGTAGATTGCTGATTTCTTTGGTGGCATGGTCCCCATAAAGTTTTCATAAAGCATTAATGATTTCACTATTCTTCTACCCAATCTTCATCATATATTTGATGTTTATTCTTGCTTCAATTTTAGTAGAATTTGTGTTGCTTTCATAGGGACTCTTTGCAAACAGATGTCTCATCCTATTTAGTGCCTCAAACTAGATTCTGTTCAGTCATGTTACAAGTTAATATGAGTCTATAATGCTACAAGAAAAACATTTAAAGTCATTAAAGGATCATTTTTTCATAGGACACATTTTCCATAAACAACTTTTTGAAGACTGATCGTAGTCCAGGCACTATCCTATTTCAGGTCCAACCATATTCAGGTTGTTCTATGCTTCTCAGGTTTCAATTTAAGCCAAAGCCATGTAGCATCACAACGTGATGGGGCAGTAGACTAAAGGCATTCATTCACTCAAGCATCCGTCCCTGCAATGTATACTTGTTGAATAAACAGTTTCATCTGGGAACATTGTAGGTTTGGGACATGCTTATAGGCATTTACGTATTTTAAGAAAAGAAGAAAGAAGCATGAGAAGAACAATTGGGAGAAACAGAGGATTAATAAGATGAGAAGTAACTGAAGCAGTATTTCCCTCAACTTAAGAATGTTGTGTAGGCCTACTGATTCATTCATGAAATCTCACTGATGGAGTGGATGGATGAATCAGGTACAACTTGTACATTCATTTTACTGGCGAACAAACCAAGGTTTAATGTGTTTAGGTAATTTTTCCAAAGACTAGTATGATAGTGGAGTTCTAATTTGAACCAAGGGTTATCTGACACTAGATAATTCTGTATGAAGTAATAAACATGTAAATGAATGACTAAAAAAAATGAATCTCTGCTGAACATATCAGATCATACATTCATTCACCCTCTTAGCATATAAATATCCTGAAAAAGAAGTTAGCAAACTTCTTTTTTTCCGAAGGGCCAGGCAGTAAATATTTTAGGCATTGTGGGCTATATGTCTCTTGACAACTCTTAATTCTGTCTTTGTAACAGGGAAGCAGACATACACAATACACACACACACACGCACACACACAAGTGTGACTGTGTTTCAGTGAAGCTTTATTTACCATAACAGGTCCTTGCCAAGACAAATTTAAAAAGCACCCAGTCAAGTAAGGAGGAGAACTAATGCTTAGATTCCAGTTAGAAATGTTGCATATACAATGTAGATACAGGTTGCCATGGGAGCCCAAAGCAGGTGCCTTTAAATCACACAGCCTCTCATTTTCAAGACTTCTTTAAAGAGACTTAAAGGGATTCTATTTTCTTAAGATATGTGATTCAGGTCTTGTGTTCCCCTTTGGGACACAAAGCTTGTACATATTCTTGGAACTCAGTTGTCTAGAATAATGAGAATTTTTTTATGATGTTGATTTTATTCAGATCAAAAACGTCATTCATGTTGGAAATATTTCTATCTATTCTAATCCAAACATTGAACGAGCATCACTGTCTATAGTGAATATACTTAATATATAATATTCCACATAGAGAAATTTGATAAAACTCAAACAACTTTGAGACTACCTAAGGATTTACTGTGTTCCAATGTCTGACAATATGTAAACTCACTTTTTGTTCATGAGAAATCTAGTTTACAAATATAGCCGTGGAGTCCTTTAAGATAATGGCCTTAATGACAAGAAAAAAAGTACCTATGCCATATGAAAAACTCACTTTTGCAGTCCATAAGTTATAAATAGCCCTGTTGCAGTTTCAGTAGCTGGCTGGCAGCCAGGAGAGAGAGGAAAACAGATTGAGGTTAGCCACAGGGAGAAAATGAAGTTGGGCAGAAGGCTTAAACAATGTGAAAGCTTCAAAGAAACATAAACGTGTATTTTAGCAGGGGAAACAAGAGGAAAATCACATGTAGTTACTATTGTGTTAGCTTTCTCTGAAGTTCCATTATCTCTTCAACTATCTCTCATACGTATTGAGAAAACTGAAAGGAGGAGTTAGAGGAAGTAAAATATGAAACATATAATAATCATATAGCATGCTTTGGCAGTACATTCCACTTCCTGTATTTGGAAGAGTAGCCTGGGGATGCAGAAAAGCAGAGAGGAAACAGAGGGTGCAGTACAGGAAATGCTTGGTCAGTGCACATATGCTGCTGAGTTTATGGAACATCTTTACAAAGTAGCTAAGCCTTCCCCAAGTGTAATAGTGACAATTTTAATAGAGATATCAGCATACAAGACAATATATAATTGTGCTTCTTGAAAACTACTTTATGAATCTACTTCCTATCTTATCAAAAACAATCAATGCAAAATGAATTGCATTACTCTTGAAGACACAAATCTATGTAAATATTAATTGGATGACGTTTTATAGTTTAACCTCTACAACAGGTGAAAATTTATTGAGAAATAACATTTGACTTATCTCTACAACTATATGGAAAACAACTTGTAGCTATAGTGTAATTAACATTTCTCCCCTAATTGAATATTTTAAGAGAAATCAGTTAAGAGCTTTCTTTTTGTACAAATAGTAGATTCTCTCATGATGCATGAAGAAACTTGAAGACACACTTTAGAGAATTTATAATACAGAGAATCAGGAAACTTACACTCTGAAACAGTAACAAAGTGATCAAATGTCTAGTATGGCTGAAACTCTA
Organism: Homo sapiens; assembly: GCF_000001405.40. Lineage (NCBI taxonomy): Eukaryota > Metazoa > Chordata > Mammalia > Primates > Hominidae > Homo > Homo sapiens. The sequence continues at coordinate 104,985,286 of NC_000013.11, forward strand.
TTCCATTTGCATATTATGTCCTTTGCCTTTGAGTGTAAAAATTAACCCAATCGAGTCCAAAGACAGTGCTAAAAATTTAGGTAATACTTCTGGTTCATAGACAATTTTTCAAATCCATAGTGCTTAGCACTTCAGCAATTGAAATGGTTTCATTTCCAAATCACAAAAATGACAATTTAGAAGTTAATGCTCCTTAGAGACTTATTGCTATTACCCAGAGATTTCCAGGCCAGTAATAATTTGTTTTCCTCTACTTAGAAAATAATTCATTTTCATGTTCTGTGGTAATATTGAAGCATTAACTTATCTGCTTCAAAATAACACACAGTGTTATATATACAAAATAATTTTTACTTCTGAAGTACTTTCAAATGTATTTGGTCATTTCTAATATGAAACCCTCACTTTTGAGTTTAGAAATAAAGAAACTAATTGACATACCCATATTTACAGAATAAACTATATACTACAAATAATATACTACATTTATCATTTTCTAATTTCTATTGCAGAACTTCTTCTACCCACTATAGAAAGCAGCATTTTAGATAATAAGGTGATTTACTATATCCTTTAATAATAATAAATGTTCTAAGTTTTTTAGAAATAAAATATTCTCAAACTATCCTAATTCTCATGTATGAAGTCATAAAATTGAGTTGCAACCAGTCTACTTAAAATTAATGTGTAGTAGTGGAAAAGACTGCATTTCTGCAGAATTTCAATTCATATATATGACTAGAAAAATATTTGACAATGCTTTAAGCCATTTAGTTTTTATGAATTTATCGCTGTATAGATCCTATGCTTTATTCTTATATATTTACAACCAACCAGTGTGACCATTTTCAGTTAATTGAGTGAGTTCAGCTTCATTTAACCACTTAATGAGTTACTAATATCATTTTTTATAAAATGAATTTCTGCAATGGTAAGCAGGTAGAAATTGGGGAGTACATTAATAATGCAAATGATTTACAGACATTTTCTTTTTTATGTTAGATTTTTTTAAAAAAATAAAAGCTATCTTTTTTTTAACCCAACTGTAGATTATCTGGGAAATGTAAAAAAAAAAATAATGGACAAATCAAACTCAAGTAATAATTTTGTAAGGATAGTAAAAGAAATGACAAATAACTGTATTTTGTGTTAATTCAGGTATTAAATTGTAATAGCAGTGTGGATGCTTGTCTTTGACAAGTTTTCTGGTAGTTCAAGAACAAACTTTCTTCAAAATACATATTCATATATATGTCTGACTGCAATAACTTTATTCAAAAGTTAATTTTAAAGCCATATTTTCATTATGACTCTGGATTATTTTCATAACAGTATATTCATTATTTAGATAGGTAGACAGATGTATAATACATGTTGGTAAAGAAAACTGTAAGTTTGAATTCTAGATCCAGATTTGTCCCATACAAGTTCTATATACTTGGACAAATCTCCCAATACTTCGGTTAGCTTTTCTTTATTTTTTTTTTTTTTTTTTTGAGACGGAGTCTCACTCTGTCGGCCAGGCTGGAGTGCAGTAGTAAGATCTCAGCTCACTGCAAGCTCTGCCTTCTTGGTTCACGCCATTCTCCTGCCTCAGCCTCCTGAGTAGCTGGGACTACAGGCGCCCACCACCATGCCCGGCTAATTATTATTATCATTATTTTTTTAGTAGAGATGGGGTTTCACCGTGTTAGCCAGGATGGTCTCGATCTCCTAACCTCGTGATCCGCCCGCCTTAGCCTCCCAAAGTACTGGGATTACAGGCATGAGCCACCACGCCCGGCCCGCTTTTCTTATATTTAATATAAATCTGATTTGATCTATAACATTTAGTAACACACTGGGCTTCTTATGATAAGGTGGCATCATTTAGAAGTAAACCAGAAACAAGGACAAATAGAAAAATGTAGTGTAGAAAATGATGTAACAGTAATTTGAATGCCTTTAAAAAAAGATAGCAATGAGAGTTACAACTGGCCACAGTTGTGCAAAAATTAGTGGTGAAATAAAAAGTTCAAAAGCAATAGCAGGGAAGCATGAACTAAGAGAATTTATATGAGTAAGTAAAAATATTGTTCCATGGGAAATTAATGAGGGTCATGGCGTAGTTCAGGAAATCATCCATAACAGAACAATTAAGTAGAGGCAATAACATAAATACTATTTTTGTTATATTTACATTGTTACTATTATATTTTATTGTTAGTTATATATTTTATATATTGCCAGTTTTATTGTTAGTAGTATATTTTATTGTTAGAATTAATTTATAATTATTATTGTGTTAACTTAAAGTTGCCTGGAAATAAGTAATAGAAGTATATTGTAGAAGTATATGGTCTTGCTTCCAATTAGTGGGATAAAATGGTGAGTGCATATGAACTAAGATGACATTGCACTGTGTCAGTATTTCCAGCAAATACAGCAGATAGGTTTGGGATTTGTTCTGGGAAACATAAGTGCGAAACAGAAATGTGGCAAGGATAGGGTGGGATTAGCCATTCACCAGGTGTTTTCCAATAGAAACAAAGAAAGATTGTTGTTATAAAAGAAGACAATTAAAGCCACGCTTTGTGTAAGGCACTAGAACTCATCTGGGAGAAATGTGCAGTCAGGAAATGTGAGTTTCCTATGGAGGAAAGTGACAGGGCACATTTTCCCATAAAATGCACGCAATCTTTATTTGCGAAAGAACACCGTATCTATGCAATGCTCAATAGCTGGACCCACTTCAAGGACCCTATATGAAAGTTAGAAGAAAAGAACAGTTATAGTAACATTCTCCTAAGTTAACACACTATGTTTCTACAGTGGGTAGGAATAGGGCAAGGGAGGGACTGTCAGAAAGAAATGCAGACAAAAAAGCAAAGACTGATTTCAGGTTGAAATTAGAGTAACAGAGACAAGAAGAACAGAAATCGCAAGGGAATGATACGAAGTATGGCAGAAGTTCAGCAGGGAGGAGATGGGTCTTGCCGAGAAAAGGAGACAAAAAAATGTCCGAGGAGACGCTTTTGTCTACAGACCTCAGATGAGGAAGAGATGGGGGCAGGATCAAAGTGAATGAATGGAGAAAAAACCAAAGAAATGAGAATAGCAGGACCATGGTTAAAAGAACCTCATTTCCCAACAGGCAGAATATAGCAGAAGATAAATCAAAAAGAAATACAGCTTAAAAGGTAAAATAAAATAAGTGTAACTGAAGAAGACAAAGGTTAAAAGAAAGAAGTTTGAAAGAGAACTTGAAATGTTGAACCAACCACATAAATAGATGGAAAAGGTAATGCAATGTCCTGGAGGAATCATCAGTAAATGTGTGTTACATTCAATTCTCTTATAATCAGCCTAGGTATTCATGAGAAAGCAAATGAGTTAAAGCAGCAGAAGTCACCCAAATGTTAAGACAAACTGCTGTTAAAAAATGAAACATAATAAAGGCAGAAGAGTGGAAGGAGGAGGCTGGGCATGGGGACCAGGGTCAAGGAGGAGAAGGAGGAGAAATAGAATGACAGTTTGAGAAAACAGGTGCGTTTTGTTCTGCTTTAGGTGTTCTGGGCCACAGTTTCCTTTCGTGTTAGGAGAGCAGATGGGACTTCAGGATGGCTAAGGTCTCCCTGTCCTCTAGCCTTCTGGGGGTTTGCCCTTCCATTCTGGCAATATGGAATACCAAATATAGAGAAGGTCAAAGACACTGTTTTGGAGTCCATGGGCAGACGTAGCCAAGCAGCTCAGAAGCGTATTTCAGATTGAAACATAGGATTCAAGTACAAATTTGAGAAATTTCTTTAGTCTCAAGATTTAGGACTCTTCCCAGTGAAAATAAGTGAATATAATCTGCCCAGGAGTTGTAGTTATGACATATTATAGGTTTTTAAAAGGAAAGGAATCTACATGGAGAATTTTGTGACTTGAGCTAGAAAAAATAACCTGTCTTAGAAAAAAAAAAAAAAAAAAGCAAGTCTGATTCTAAGCCCAAAGTAATGTCAAATTGTCTGACATCAGCCTGTTAGAATGTACTATAGAAGAATGTATGTTGAGTTATACATGCTAATCGTCTGAAATAGAAGTATAGTAAGTTGAAGTATACACAAGAATTGATATTGTATATACAGAAATAAGAATTTTGAAATAGAAAAAAGAGTACATTTTTTCATCATGATATTGCAATAGCTAAAACTAATTTCACACAATCCTGAAAATTTGGAAGTCATATGGAGGATTTAAAAACGTATGTTACAACAGGAAGAAATTTAAATATTTAAATATAATCAATGGAAGAGAAAGCTTGCTTTAATTTTAAGATGTCACTAATTACATAACCAGGTAAAATATGATATTAGATACAGATATAAAAACAGAAACAGACAAGCAAATATTCTGTTTTTGCATTTAGTGACATACATAGGCTTTTTTCAAGCAAAGAGAAGGAAACTGAAATAGGACTACCAAAGAAACAAAAAGATGGGAAGAGGGCAAATGAGAGAAGACTACAGTGACATAGCCTGCATAATAATACAGGGACAGATTTGTAAGAATAGATTCCCTGTTTAGATACATATTGCAAGGCAGGGCACAAAAGGATGATGGTGGTGGGCTTAAGAGATGTAAGTAATAGAGCATAAGAATCTATAGCATAAAAGACAATGATGTGAATTAACACTGCAGCATCGCTCAAAATATTTAAGAGTGTTAAGCAAAACTAAAATTGGCCAGAGGCTGCGGCTATACCTTATATCCTACATAAAATACTGCTACCTAATTTAGCACATAAACAAACTGAAAGCCTAATTTAGGAGCGTGCCTTTTGTAACAACTCATGGAGTCTCAGCCAATCACAGCAGCGGAGCTTCAGCCAATCACATTCTGCCAATTTATCAGACCACGCACATGTGAGGCAAATGCCCGGCTGTAACCAGTCACGCTGTTTCTGCACCTCACTTCCAATTTCTGTCTATAAATCCTGCCTGCCCACGGGAGCAGAGCTCTCTGAACCTCTGGTTTTGAGGGCTGCTGGACTGGCAGATAGTTATTTGCTCAATTAGACCTTGTTAAATTTAATGTGTCTGAAGCTTTTTATTTTCACGTGGAAAAGTTAGTGAAGACAGGGAAGTTCTGGTTGATTGTAATGGTCTCATTGCAAAGCATTTGAGGATGACCTGAACAAATCAGACTGTTTATAATGACCTATGGGAGAAAGGGCATGATAAAACAAGCATCATGGTGACACAGAAACTGTTATTAATACAATATCAAAAAGAAGAAGACTAGGAAAATACAAGCTGTGGATCACGAGCCTTCTTAACCCTGAATGTGCTTGGCCCGCGCTCACGTGCATCTGTGTAACCTGATGAATTGTGGTGAAATTTGACTCCCCATGGTAACTCACTGGTTTTCATAGATCCAATGTCTTTCAATCCATGATACAATTATAGTTGCTTTGGTGGTTCATGTTAGATGCTCGCATTTTGGCTAATTGGGTTCCCTTCATGATGGCTGCCATGTCCTTTTGACATGACCTGGTGAGACTTTCTGTGGTCTCTGTTGCTTTCTAGCACAACACTTCCTAGGAGCATCGTGTGTATTTTTCAGCCCCAGACTGGAATCACTCTTCGTTTAAAGTATACTGGTTCTTTTTGGTGGGGAATCCCAAGTGCACATTTCATCTGAGTTGATGTTGATTCTAGGCTTTAACAATTCACAGAGTTACAATATACATAATATGGGGGGAAAATCAGTTCTCAGTGATATGTCCAACTGAATGTTGTTAACATTATGTAACTTGACGTGCTGGATTTTATACTTGAAGTAACTTGATGGTATTTGTTTGTATTGTAAAACAGTTACATGATCCCATTGTCAAAATAATAAAACAAGGTTCTTCAGAGCAGTCTGGCTTTTATCCCGATTAACTCAACCCTCTTCTCTATGTTGTCATATATGCGGTCACTTTTTTAATTTTAATTTATCCTTTCAATGTTTCTTTTTGAAACTCTAGCCAAATATATATATATATATATATATATATATATATATATCTACTAATATTTACTCCTGTCTTAAACAAAATTCTGCATACTGTAAATATTGTTCTGCATTTTGCTTTTCATCCAACCACATCTCTTTCAGGTGAACCTCTATCAAGGTGTCCATCGTCATATATCACTGCTTGTACTTTCCTTATTTAGATAGCACCCTAATAATAGATGTTTGGCTCCAGTTCCCTAATTCTTTGACGTTATAATGCCATAATTAGTAGTGTTGCATTTTTACCATAGTATCTGTAGAATGCAATTTTTTAAGGTGGGATTCTGAGTCAAATATTAAATCCATATGCAATTTTGCTGGATATTCTGAAATTCTTTTCCACAAGAATTCTACATTTTTTATTACAACTATCCATGTCAGAGTGCCTGTCTCCTCACTCCCTCATCAGCAGAGCACATTATCAATTTCTTAGAATTCTGTCAATCTGTGTGAGAGAAGTAATACATCTTGGAATTTTAAATTTTCATTTCTGTTGTTGTGAGTGAAATTTAGCATCTCTTTACATTATTATAGGCCACATAAACATTATTTCAAACCTAGATAATATAGTTACCTAGTAAGTGATCAAAATACTTAAAATGGACTCTATAATGAGGGAGTGGGAAAAGCAAAGGAGAAAGGCAGGTACAGCATCATAGTTGCTGTTAACCAATATGGCAGAGGGAAGCAATGCCAGGTCTATTACTCATGAGAAACATGGGACAGATGCTCTCTGAGGTTCTAATAACTCTAAAATTCTTAATGTATGGTTCTCTTTGTGTTGAAAGTTATCCATAGAATATTCTTCTTCTTTACATAAATGTCTTCTCAATAAGAACTCCAGATTTCTACCTCTGAATTCCCACCTACCTACTACTATTTTTACCCTGACTGCATAGCAATCACTTGAAACTGAATATAGCCAGAGGCAAATTTTCTCTCTTCCCCCAAACCAGTCTGTACTCCACATTTGGCTATTTCATTCATAATCATCATTGTCTTTCCAATCACGCAGATGAAATCTCTGGAATTGAATTTTATTAACTCTTCTCTCTTGTCCCTCAAACCCAGATAACTAAATTGAATTTGCTTTCTTCTTTGGAAACAACTGCGGCTTTGAACCATTGCTGTCTATTTTCTTCAACAGTCTACTCCTATTTTCTAAAACATTACCCCTGCCTCTCAGCTGTTCCCTACATTGGTTTATCTTATTAACCTTGAAGAGGCACATCACAGATTTAAATTTTGGAATTTTTTTTTCTTTTTATGTATCTCTCTAAAATAAAAACAAAACCCAAACTAATAACTAAATGCAAACAATGAATCTACTCTTCTGCTGTAACAAACTTAAATTTCTGATCTGATCTTTTTGAAAATCATATATTTATTGTGTACTACATGATGTTTTCAAGTCTATATACATTGCAGGATAGTTTAATCTAGCTAATTCACAAATGCATTAGCTCATGCAGTTATCACTTTTGTTGTGAGAATACTTAACATCCACTTATCTTGGCATTCATAGCCAAGTTGGCATCATTGAGCATTCCAAATGTATCGCCTAAAACTCTCTAATTTAAATTCTAGCCAAATTGGTCCATGCATGCTTCAAACATGCCGTGAATATATCCTGCTTTGTGATGCTTCGTCAGTACTGTTCTCTTTTTCTGAAATGTACTTTCTGCCTCTGTCCATTTAAAAATGTTTTCCTTCTCTAAAGCCCATGATCCTGAACTCCTTCAAGTCTATTAACATTATTTTAATCACTTTTTAATGAACTTTTAAAAAATGTTGATCAGCCAGGCATGATAGCGCAAGCCTGCTGTCCCAGCTACTGGAGGCTGAGATGGGAGGATCGTTTGAGCCAGAAGTTCAGAGCTGCAGTGAGCTATGATCTCACCTTTGCACTCCAATCTGGGTGACAGAGCAAGACCCCATCTCTAAAACAAAAGAAAGAAAAAAAATGTTGAGGAGGTAGCTTATAACAAAGACATAGTGATGTGTAATAATATCATGAATAAAAAATAGAGAAAAAACAGAAAGGAGGTAAAAATAATAGAAATATAATATTTTAGCCAGTAAAGAGATGTTTGTATATGCGCTTGTTCTGTCCTCTCAGGCTACAAGTGCCTGGACTGCAGACTGTGTCCTCGGTATGTGTTTGATTAATAAATAAGTATAAATCTCAGGGTGTATTCCCAGCATCTCAAGTACCTTGCACATAAGAGCTTCCAAATTAACCTGTTGATGTTCCAGTATCTGAGGAACTAACTGTTAAAGAGTTACAGTATAGGTGACAATTAAGCTACATTGGAACACGGATGGACAGATTGTGTGCAAAAATATTCTTGAATCACTTTTTACATAACATATCCCCATTGCAATTGTTGTGGTGTTCAAGGCTGAATTTCCTAAAGAGAGCCCAAGATGGAGCATAGTGTGCATACGTTTTATTGGGTAATAGTTTTAGGAACTACCCCTGTGAGAGAAAAAGGAAAGCAGGAATCCTGAAGGGAGCGGCTGCCACACTGTGTGATTACAGCTGTAGCTCCACCTGATTCTTCAGTGAGCTGTGGCACTGGGATGCAGTTACCAGCAATGCAGATAGGTGTACTGGGTGTTTACATTCATATCGGCCAGGCACAGGGTGTGCCTGATCTGAAGAAAGCTTAATCTGCCTCTCAGCAGTTCTCTGCAGCCAAGGGCAATTACCAGGGAAGTATTCAGCTGTGAGTCCCCAGAACCCCATATTCCAAGTAGATAATTGTTGGATCCATCAGCTCTGAATTGGGCATCTGGGCAAAGCCCGAAGACTCCACTACATGTAACAACGTTTTACAGTTATGCTGGAGAAACAGTATCATCTCATACAGAAAACATTTAAGTGCAACGTTTAAAGACATATTTATTGTCCAGGTAATTTGTATGTTAATACTCTTTAGGTTCCCAAATACAGGCATATGAGTGTCTATATTCATGTTAATTATGTATGATTTTTTTAAATTGGGAAGAAAACAACAAGACAATGAATGACCATCATTATGGTAATATCATCACTATGATTGATATCATTTACTCTTTACTATTTGGAAATAAATATTATAAGTGGCTGAAAACACACCATTTTAAAAAATCATTGCCTATTAATGGATAAAAATGTCTACCTAAATTTAAATAAAAATGAATTAATTTTATCACAGAAATGTTGAGATGTAAAGAAGCCAATATCAGAAACACATTATTTTAAAGATTTTTTAATGCACTGAGGGGGAAGCATAAGAAGCTGACTTCAAAACTACTAACATGAATCTCCTATCCAATTTTTTTTCAAAAAAATGAATTTATTTGCCACACTCTTGCTCCATTGTCTAATTTATCTTCAATTGTCTTCAACTGCATCCTCTGGTAAATAGAAATATGTGCAGAGACAAGGAAGATAATTGGAGGATCACAAGATTAGATTGAACACTAGAATGGACTTCCCAGACATGGTGTCGAACTTCTCTCCCTGGTGTTTTAAAAATAGATACCCATCTGTTGAGAACAATTTTAATAAAATTCTGCCAGCTTATAGAATATATTCCTCATGTTTTGAATTCTCTGAACTATCCTTTTAGAAAGCAAGCCCATGATAACCAATAGAATTTAAAAAGAAAGAGAGAAAGGAATCCTTAGGCTGTAATTTGTATTTGATTAATTAGCATACAAAGAGGTGTTAGTTTGTTGTAAAATGTTTCTAAGTAGATGTTTATAGCCAAAATATATTTCCCACTAGATTACTGCAGTCTTAAGTATCTTAAGTAGGTTACCTTCTGGTTTAAATTACAGAGGAGGTATCCTTTCATTTTTTTTTTTTTTTCAAACTGGGAATTGGGGATTTTAACTGGGCTGTGATTTCTAGGATTAAGGACATACTAGTTACTCATCAGAAAGGAACACATCATTGGATATCAGAATAATCTGGTAGATGACAACTTAGTTCAAACAGAAACCCCAAAATTAATTTCTTTGTTTTTTTTTTCCCCTTTAATATTAATACTCTCTCTTCAACCAGTGTGTCTTCTCCATTCTTGAAACCCCATTTCTTATTTTCATGGCTTCTGCTCAGTGTACCCAAGATAGTCACTGGGAGTCATGAGGAAGGAGGTGCCGGAGTCACTGAAATTGCCATGATGGCATGTCGTGTGGCAGCTGCCATGATATTGGCACTTTTTAATTAAACATCAGAATAAATGCACCTCACATAATATTTCAAGTGTGTTTGTGTATATGTGCTTGTGTTTTAACCGAACATTAGGTAAAAATATATTATTTAACAGAAAATATTTTCCACTTTAAAGGAAGATACAAGAAAACTTTATACCCTATAAACTGGGGGAAATGAAAATTTACTCGACTTAGTCAAATAACAATTTTGAATTTTAAATGCAAAAAAGTAAGATAGAGATTTTCAGTTTCATAGGTGGCAGAGGTATCTCATTATGACAATCTTGAACATGCTTACTGCATTCTACATGTTCCTCTTATGAATATATTCATACTGGTGTAACTACAGATGAATATATAAGGTACAGAATATGAATATTGTAATGCAGAATTTTGAAAAACCTGGAACTATATTAAGTCTCAACTGTTGTCTTTTATTAGCAAATGTGTCTATCTAATCACCATACTTATTAGTATACTCGAACAGCATATTGATCCTCATTTGATATAAATTACAATATAATCACATAACAGATTTGAGTTTAACTGATTGCAAGCAAATGAGGAGCACATGATGAGACAAAACATGTGGATGTCAGTGCTCTAACCTTATGAATACTTGCACATGTTCAGGAAAGCCCATTGGATAAAATTTATGTATTGCTAATGATTTTTATTGGCCCCTTGGCCCAAAGTAGTGGCAAGTTGCCCAGGAATCTGAAGGAATCCTGTTTTCAGTTAGTAGTCAGAATGCAAAGAGTAATAAAATTCAGAAAAGCATGGTGAAAGCTAAAATACATTTATCCAGGTACAATGAGTCCAGCCAACCTTACGACTGTAATTTCTTTTGACTTTTTTTTTTTTCCTGAGGTTACGGCATTTCGCCTCATCAGGGTACCCTAGGAGGAGGATTGTTTTCACAAAGTCTAGAAAAGTGCTGCATTATCCATTTGTGCGTGTGTTTGTTTGTATTATGTGCCTGCACAATGTCATAAACTGGCTAATATGATCCACAGCTTTCTTTTTCTTGCTGAATAAATGATCTCTTATATCCCTGATGGAATTTCAGGCAAACCACTTTGCCCATATTAAAAGCAGGCATTTGGATAATCCAAAATTCATATACAATTGTACATATGATCCCTCTCTTTATAAAGGTAAGGGCACATTTCCTGCTGAAGTCTATTCATTCAGTCTGCAAGAAAGAGATGTTACAGTTAAAGGCAGCACAAGAGCTTTTCTTCTTTTCTTTTTTTCAGTGAGCTTATTTCAGTTCTCATTACTAATTAAAAACTCATGTCAATTTTGCAAAAATATATTTAGAAAATATATTGAATCAGGACCCTAATTAGCCGTTGTAAGTATGAGAAGCAGCGTACAGGCAGAGAAGATGGAAAAGAAGGTCATTCTCAGGGGCCTGGAAGGGAGAACTAGATTGTAGTAGAACTTGAGGATAAGCACAAGCTTGGCTTCTACTTAGAGTAAATATAAGACACTCAGATATCAAGGCACACACCGGTCATAACAGAGCAAGAGGCCAACCTGGTTGAACAGTTAGACTGGCAAACATGGCCAGTCCTGCAAGCATCCAGGTACTATATTTGGTGACAACACTGCCACCAAAACATTCCAATTCCCTAGCAGTGGAAATCCTCTTTTTAAAATATGATATCAGGTAGAATTCAGATTATCCCAGTGGTTTTAAGGGGTTGGGTCGGCTGTATGAAATTCTCAATACATATATTTACCTTAATACACGTAAGAATTGGCAGTTCCTGTTCTTCCATGACATTTGTGAAATCATCCTCAATTTGTCCATTACTTCAAGTACCACCCTCTGCAATGGCACGCCCTACATAAGACTCAAATTTCACATGTTTACCTGATGTGTTCATTATTTTCAACTGAATAACAATTGTTGGAACAAAAATCAGTAACCACAATAAACATATGTGTGCATTGCGGCTACTGATTTTTGTTCCAACAATTAGTATTCAGTTGAAAATAATGAACACATCAGGTAAACATGTGAAATTTGAGTCTTATGTAGGGCATGCCATTGCAGAGGGTGGTACCTGAAGTAATGGACAAATTGACGATGTTGCGGCACTATTCACAATAGCAAAGACTTGGAACCAACCCAAAGAAAATGTGGCACATATACACCATGGAATACTATGCAGTCATAAAAAAGGATGAGTTCATGTCCTTTGTAGGGACATGGATGAAGCTGGAAACCATCATTCTGAGCAAACTACCGCAAGGACAGAAAACCAAACACCGCATGTTCTCACTCACAGGTGGAAATTGAACAATGAGAGCACTGGGACACAGGGTGGGGATCATCACACACTGGGGCCTGTCATGGGGTGTGGGGAGGGGGGAGGATAGCATTAGGAGATATACCTAATGTAAAGGACGAGTTAACAGGTGCAGCACACCAACATGGCACATGTATACGTATGTAACAAACCTGCACGTTGTGCACATGTACCCTAGAACTTAAAGTATAAAAAAAAAAGAGGTAAAAAAAATCAGTAGCCAAATAATAGTAATAATAATAATAAACCTATGCAGTGGAAATAAGCACAATAGAATCCTAAATGCTGATTTGCTCAAATAGTCATAGCTCTCTGCATATGCCAAGTGGCAGAGCAAATGCAAAGAGAACCCAAGAGAGAGCCACGGAACATACGGCCGTTAACATCCCACCTAAGCAGGTAGGAATCAGGTTCACAGGAAATAAAAGCTAGTTTTAAAAAAAAAAGAAGCATGCAAAATAAGGATGATAAAGCAGCAAACATGATAGTCATAAATTCCCAGAATTGAGTTGAATGTGCAGAAAATTTAATAAGCACAGCCATTATCAAAAGTGCTGAGAGTAAGCAGAGAGGCAGCTTGGTAGGCTCAGGTGTAGGGATCCTTGAGGGCAGGTGGGGTGGGGAGAGTTCTGCCAGTTCACAGAAGCAGACAGAGGCTGCGCTGAGAACAATGATCTTTAAATAGATACAAAGGACCTACTTAGAGAACACTGCAAAGACCCAAGTTTAAAAAGGAGCTAATAGGAAAAGCTCAAATAGCAGGAATGAAAATCCCGAAATTATAGATAAAAACCCAGATTTAGGGTAAAAACGTCAACAGATGTAAACACAGGCTCTTGATGTATGAAACAACTGCAAAAGGAAAGGAGGGAAGAAAGAAGCAAAGAGAGGCAGAGAAGGAATGATCCCAAAAGGTAATGGTTCCAACTGTCTCTCATTAAGAAAACCATAAACCTGAAGATGAGTGTATTAATTCATTCTCACACTGCTAATAAAGACATACTCAAGATTGGGTAATTTATACAGAAAAAGAGGTTGAATAGACTCACATTCCCCGTGGCTGGGGAGACCTCACAATCATGGTGGAAGGCAAAGGAGGAGAAAAGGCACGTCTTACATGGGGGCAGGCAAGAGAGCATGTGCAGAGGAATTGCTCTTACAAAACCATCAGATCTCATGAGACATATTCACTATCACGGGAACAACATGGGAAAACCCACCCCCTTGATTCGATTACCTCCCACCGGGTCTCTCCCATGACATGTGGGGATTATGGGAACTAAGTTCGGTATGAGATTTGGGTGGGGACATGGCCAAAACATATCAATGAGTTTCTACGAGAAGCAGCAGAGTAGATCAACAAGTTTACTAAAAATGGAGTTAGAGTAAGATGAATCTTGGCCCTGTCACAAACATTGCAACTTTAAGAAAACTATAGATCCACTGAGAAAGCTTTATTTTGTCATCAGTAAGTATTAATAATCATACCTACTGCCTGTCTAGCTTCATGGGCCAATGTAAAAATCATATCAATGAACAGGAACACCATGTAAGAATTTGGTAATATTCCTTTTAGGTATTTTGTTTAATGTAAGAATCATTTTAATTTATCCCCCTAAGGAGATATCTATAGGTTTGCTAGGGTTGCTGTATCAAAGTGGCTTAAACAATGAAAATGAATTGTCTCACAGTTCAGTTTTGGAGGCAGAGGTCTGAAATCAAAGCGTTGGCAGGGTTGGTTCCTTCTGAGCATAGTGATGCAGAATCTGTGCCTCTCCTCTAGCTTCTGGTGGCTGTCCACAATCTTAGCGTTACTTCCCTTGTAGATTTCTGCTTTCAACATCACATTTTCTCTTTGAGCATGTCTGTGTCCAATTTTCCACCTTTTCTAAGGACACCAATTATGTTGAATTAGGGGCCCACCCTATTCCAGCACCCCTTCATCCTAACTAACTACCTCTGCAAATATTCGAATTCCCAATAAAGTTGTGTTCTAGATGCTGTGAGTTACAATTTCAACATACAAATTTGAGGGGGGCCATAATTCAACTCACTACAAGTGGTATATATTACAGTTGCCAGATTGAATATAACACAGGTAAATTTGAAATTCAGAGAAGTAAGTGTATGTGTGTGTGTGTTTATATATAAATATATATTTTCATATAATTTCATGTATATTAAAAGTATATATGATGTATATATGATGTGTATATACATATATAAAATTATATATGATGATATATGTATTTATATATGTATATAAGCATATACTTCATATTAATTATTCTGAATTATTTGGCCAATGATGAAAGACATAGTAATCTGCATTGAATACATATATATAATATATAAAAGTATATATACTTTCTATATATATCCCACGTAAATATTTCTATTTGCTAAATCTTGAAATTTTAATATGTGTACATCATTACTTATCATTTTCAATGTCATGATTTTTAGTGAACACTGAACCAGACAACTGAAGTTAGGTAATTCCTTTTAGACTAGAAACTCTGAAATGAGGTCACTGCATCACTTTTGCTGGCTGGTGTGTCCACAGCACATGGCAAGGTACTTAGCCCACAGTAAGTACTTAACTACTAAAGTAACCTAATTTGTTAAAGAATAATTATCATTACTAAATAGTATTATTTAGTAACTGTTATTACTGTGTTTCAAAATTGCAGTATATTAGTTAAAATATATGAATAAAATTAGTATGTGTTATGTACCTAATTATTATATGAATATATAGGAATTATATGAATTTAGACTCAGCCTAAAGATAATATTTTGCAATTTATGAATTAATAGTTATATAGTATTAATGGGGGTATAAACCCTGTTAACAACTTATGCATTGGGTGAAATTTTTTGAGTATTGGTTTTGACGGTCGTGAGAATTATTACAAAATTTAAGTCCACAATGGAGGTCACTTTGCCTTTCATCAGGCCAAATAATTAAAAAGATTGATACGTTTCTATTTCATAAAGATCTACATTTGTCAAGCAACTACTTCTAAAATATATGCAATTCATAGGAGGAAAAATTATTCATTTTCTCCTTTAAATAAAATTCAGCTCGGTAGGAAGGTAAGCCTATAATGCAAAAGGACAGAGATCAAAATTATTTAAGAAAGAGAGGATACAAACCATCTATGACCCGCTGTTATATTCCGAAATGCCTAATATAAGTTCTCTAACTAAATGGAACATTTAGAATAATATTCAGAATTGAAAGATGATGTAAGATTCACCTGCTGATCCCTCCAAAACTTTGATCATTTTCTTGTGCAAGCAACACCCTCCATGCCTCCCACAGTCAGGTGTGTCTCATTTGACACTGGCATTATTTCTTAATCTCCGTGTACTTTTTAATCTTTATCGCCAACCAAATTGTAACCTTCTGGATGACAATTATAAAGTTGATACTTACTTTGTCTTTTCAATGCTGCTGTCAGGTATTAGGTACTAAATTTAAAAAAAAAATAACAAATTGAATGTGAATAAATCCATTAAAGGAAGCAGTAATACACGTATACTGATTCTATATATTGACAACGTAACGGTTATAGCAAATATCATTTCTCTGCTGATTGGCCATCATGATATTTTAAAGCATTTTAGAGGCATGCATGTTCATGAAATGACCCCACTGCCTAAAGAGAGCTCGGTAGCAGTAGCCTAGTCTCTGGCCGATGACAAGGTAACAGTACACATAGACTGTTAGGAAACTCTACTTATAAGTAAATGCTGGGTGTCTCAAGCCTCTCTGGCCCACTGCTCTTCTCCATATAATGGGTGTAGCAGATCTCTAGTAAAGGAAGGGTAGATGCTGGCTTGGCTGGAGTCACGACTATAGAAACCTCTGATGTCTCATATAAGCAAGAGCGATTAGTCTGGTGTTGCTATCTTGGAGATGAGCCAACATTGACACTGGAAAATAACCCAGCCTAGACCAGAATTAACTGGGGAAATGAAAGTAGTATATCAAGGATGGGAAGGATAAGAAGGAATGAGAAACGAGGGAGTGGCCAGCAGAGCATGAGTAGGTTTGACTTCAGGTTTTCTCTCCATTTATCAGTGCAGGCAAACAGCATTTATTTATAGCAATTAGAACCAAGGGGAAGACCAATTTAAGGAAAGAATTCAGGGTCAAACAAGCACAGAGGTTGCTTTCTTGTGTGTATGTTTTCTCCTAAATGAATTATGGTCATTAGTATAATAAAAGGGGAAAAAAGCAACACATACATGGTCTGCCCTAGTTATAGATGCCTACATTTATATGTATGTACATATTTAAAAGAAAATATGTGCATTTATAGATACATCTATTTCAGTGTTGTGTTGAGTTTCGTCCTGTGTATTACATGTCAAGAAGTACATCCCAAAATACTTTTCATAGAAAACTATTTTCTAAGTATACAGAATTTGCTATTTGGTGTGACCTGAGTATCATCAGTCATCATCATCATCATCGTCACCTTCATCGGTAATGCGTCATCATTAAACACTTATTGCCTACCTCCAAATATTCTGCAACAAAATGCTATATTGTGGGACAAAGTCACACCTCACAACTTATACAGAAAATCAATTACTGCAAAGGAAACACATGTAGAAATTGGTACCCATTCATACTTTGTACAAAATTATTCACTTTCTGTGTGGTCACAGTTTCAAGGCCAAGACTAATAACTGACCATTATTATCAGTACATAAAAAGACTCGGGGAATCACTGCAAGGATGCAGCTACAATTATTAAAACAACAAAGACAATGAAAGACCACTGTTTTAGACAGAAAGTTTCCACCTAGGAGGACTCAACACATTTTCATGGTCTTATATGCTGACCAACAGCAAGCAGGAAAGGGGAAAGAGGCTAAATAGTGATTTCAGTGTCATTTCACAGATTTTATTGCTTTTCTTAAGGATCATAATGTACTTGACATATTGTAATACTGGAAAGAATTTTCATGCAGCTGTGAAACAGGTACAGCTTCACAGACCTTTTCATTTTTGGTGTTGCATCATCAGCAAAACATTATGAAAATTACTATCATATTTCTCCATATTCTTTATTAAGCATTCATGACAAATTAAAAAATCATATAATGTTTCATTTGCCATTTTCCT